>NC_000017.11:42560980-43185980 GCF_000001405.40 Homo sapiens
TTTTTTTTTCCAGAGGGAGTTTCGCTTTTTTTTTTTTTTTTTTTTTTTTGAGACGGAGTCTCACTCTGTCACCCAGGCTGGAGTGTAGTGGTGCGATCTCGGCTCACTGCAAGCTCTTCCTCCCGGGTTCACGCCATTCTCCTGCCTCAGCCTCCCGAGTAGCTGGGACTACAGGCGTCTGCCACCATGCCCGGCTAATTTTTTTTTGTATTTTTAGTAGAGACGGGGTTTCACCGTGTTAGCCAGGATGGTCTCGATCTCCTGACCTCGTGATCCGCCCGCCTCGGCCTCCCAAAGTGCTGGGATTACAGGCGTCAGCCACCGCGCCCGGCCGGGAGTTTCGCTCTTGTTGCCCAGGTTGGAGTGCAATGGCACAATCTTGGCTCACCGCGACCTCCGCCCACGGGTTCAGGCGATTCTCCTGCCTCAGCCTCCTGAGTAGCTGGGATTACAGCCATGCGCCACCACGCTCGTCTAATTTTGTATTTTTAGTAGAGACAAGGTTTCTCCATATTGGTCAGGTTGGTCTCGAACTCCCGACCTCAGATGCTCTGCCCACCTCGGCATCCCAAAGTGCTGGGATTACAGGCGTGAGCCACCGCGCCCAATCAGCCTTTGCCTTTTTCTCCTGTCCACAGAGACCCCGCAAACAAGCGCATCAGAGGATCTGGGTGGTGCGAGAGCCTCCTACAGCAGCCAGGTACACACAAGGCCTCAGTTTTTCCATCTGTGAAATGGGTACGTGGACAGACCTGTCCAGTAGCCTCCCATGTGAGAATCCTCGGACTGAGAGGGTACTAGGAGGGCTAATACAGCGCAGCCCTGTGATTCCCCACCTCTGTCCCTGGAATGAAGGAAATCTGGGTGTTAGTTCTGGCTTTGCCGATGCCTCTTGGGTGGCCTGGCTGAAACTAATCTCTCCTCATCAGGCCAGAAGGGAATCTGTGAAATGGGCTTTGAAACCTGCCTTGCCTTTCTCCGCCCGGTCCCAGCGGGGGTCCGATCGGCATCAAGGCTTCACCCACTCCCAGAGCCTTCGGGATCAGCCCCACCCCATCAGCAGGACACAGCCCATGCCACTGGAAATCTCGCGAGAATCCCGCGCTGAAGCGAAGTCGAGACGTTTGACCTTCCTCCGTTTCCGTAGTTCCGAGTTGCGGTTTCTCCGTTAGTGCTTCCGGGTTGCAGCCAGGGAAGCCTCCGCGGTGGTGCAAGTGGAACCCAAGCCTTGAGGTTTCAGTGAGTAGGGGGCCGACGTGAGCTTTAGCGTCCCCCTTTAGCCTCCCTCTTCGATTCCTTGAAGACCCTGGTGCAGCTTAGCAAGAGGGCCCAGGATTTTTGGATCCCCAGCCCTGTGACAAGGGTTCCTGTCCAGTTTCCCCCTCCCAGGATTTCGACTCAGTTCAGCGAAGTCACCGCCCCGTCTGAGAAATGAGGACACCAAGGCTTAGAGCACAGCCCCGAGGCGCCGTCTACCAGGCCCCGTCCCCTCCCCCGGCTCCTGTCGGTCAGCACTGAAACCCCGTCCCTGCTCCAGGCCTCCTTCTCTGGGGTCCAAGGTCCCATACAGGCCTCTGCCTCGGCCGCAGGCCCTTCAGTCACCGTCGCCTCGTCTCCCTGACTGTCCGCAGGCCTGGGCAGCATGGCCGTATTCCGGTCGGGTCTCCTGGTGCTGACGACGCCGCTGGCCTCCCTAGCCCCTCGCCTGGCCTCCATCCTGACCTCGGCGGCCCGGCTGGTGAATCACACACTCTATGTTCACCTGCAGCCGGGCATGAGCCTGGAGGGCCCGGCTCAGCCCCAGTCCAGCCCCGTGCAGGCCACGTTTGAGGTTCTTGATTTCATCACGCACCTCTATGCTGGCGCCGACGTCCACAGGCACTTGGACGTCAGAATCCTACTGACCAATATCCGAACCAAGAGCACCTTTCTCCCTCCCCTGCCCACCTCAGTCCAGAATCTCGCCCACCCGCCAGAAGTCGTGTTGACAGATTTCCAGACCCTGGATGGAAGCCAGTACAACCCGGTCAAACAGCAGCTAGTGCGTTACGCCACCAGCTGTTACAGCTGTTGTCCGCGACTGGCCTCGGTGCTGCTATACTCCGATTATGGGATAGGAGAAGTGCCCGTGGAGCCCCTGGATGTCCCCTTACCCTCCACGATCAGGCCAGCTTCCCCCGTGGCCGGGTCTCCAAAGCAGCCGGTGCGTGGCTACTACCGTGGCGCTGTCGGTGGCACGTTTGACCGCCTGCACAACGCCCACAAGGTGTTGCTCAGTGTCGCGTGCATCCTGGCCCAGGAGCAGCTTGTGGTGGGAGTAGCAGACAAAGATCTGTTGAAGAGTGAGTAAGAGGGACCCTGGACTAGGGTGGAGGATCCCCAAATCTCCCCACCCCCGACCCTTATGCCGAGATCAAGGAAGGGTAGGGCCATTCATTACTTCCCACCCTTCCCAAATGTCACAGTGGTTGACACTCAATTGGTGCTAAGGCCATTTTGTCAAATGAACAGCTTTCTCAGCATGTGGTCCAGTCACCACTCAATCAGAATACCCCAAATGTGAAGCAAAGGGATCTGCATTTTAGCAAGTTTTCCAGGTGATACACCCTAATGAGACACTGGGAATGAATGGGTGAGTGAGCTGCAGGTAGCAGTGCCACAGACAGGAGGAGGAAACTCAAGCATGGCATGGGTCTTGGAATTTTCCATCTGCCTCTGATGCCCTCTGGCACTGCTCGTTCTCTGGAGTGGTTTCCTGGTGGCTTATTCTCTGGACACATGCCAGCCCTTGGAGTGACTATTGTGCTTGCCTGTTTCTTCACCTTCATGCTCCCCTCACCATCACCATAGGCCTTACCAGTTGAACCCTTTCTGCCACCCCCTCTGGGGATACTGTACTTAGGGACACTTTTTCCCAAACTGGCCCATACTCTCCTCCCCAATAAAAAGATCTCACTGTTCTTCTGGGCTCCTTCCCCAGGCAAGTTGCTCCCTGAGCTGCTCCAACCTTATACAGAACGTGTGGAACATCTGAGTGAATTCCTGGTGGACATCAAGCCCTCCTTGACTTTTGATGTCATCCCCCTGCTGGACCCCTATGGGCCCGCTGGCTCTGACCCCTCCCTGGAGTTCCTGGTGGTCAGCGAGGAGACCTATCGTGGGGGGATGGCCATCAACCGCTTCCGCCTTGAGAATGTAACCCCTGAGGGAGACTGGCAGAGGGAGTGGATGGGGGACGGGGAAGGCCATTTTGAGGGGGCTGTTGGAAGTACCATGGCCCCAGAGGAGAGAAGTGGGGGCTCAGGGTGGTGGGAAGAAGCAAGGAGGAACTGGTTCTCAGTTTGCCCGCTGAGTCGGAGGAGGAGGAGCCTGGGTAGGAAGGGGAGGATGGGGGGGCAGGTTGGATGTCAGGGTCTTCCTCTCACTCCCTCCTTCCCTCTTTTTACCCTTTCCTCTTTACCCCAGGACCTGGAGGAACTTGCTTTGTACCAGATCCAGCTGCTGAAGGACCTCAGACATACAGAGAATGAAGAGGACAAAGTCAGCTCCTCCAGCTTCCGCCAGCGAATGTTGGGGAACCTGCTTCGGCCTCCATATGTAAGCTCCTCTCCCTCCTTCCCTCCTGCTTGGTGTCCTGGCAATGCTGGAGAGTAGAAGCTGAGGGGCTCAGCCCCAGGCATGAGGCTGAGGGCCCCAGTAACTGTGGGTTCCCTTTCACCTATCCCCAGGAAAGGCCAGAGCTCCCCACATGTCTCTATGTAATTGGGCTGACTGGCATCAGTGGCTCTGGGAAGAGCTCAATAGCTCAGCGACTGAAGGGCCTGGGGGCGTTTGTCATTGACAGTGACCACCTGGGTCATCGGGCCTATGCCCCAGGTGGCCCTGCCTACCAGCCTGTGGTGGAGGCCTTTGGAACAGGTAATAACTGGGGAAGGCTGAAAGTGGCCTGGAGTGAGGAGCTAGCCAGGCCTCTGTGCTCAGTTGTCTGTCTGTGTTGTCCAGATATTCTCCATAAAGATGGCATCATCAACAGGAAGGTCCTAGGCAGCCGGGTGTTTGGGAATAAGGTAAACAATAACTTCCTAAGGGCTCCTAAGCCGCTACTAGACCCAGGGGTCAGGGTCCAGTGGACCTCTCTGGTCTGGCCCAGAATGCCATTTCCATTGATCTGTTCCCAACACCACCTTGCTCGGGCTGGCTGCCTCTTCTAGAGAAGGTAACCTCTGCCCTCTGTTCCCCTCCCCAGAAGCAGCTGAAGATACTCACGGACATTATGTGGCCAATTATCGCAAAGCTGGCCCGAGAGGAGATGGATCGGGCTGTGGCTGAGGGTGAGTGGGAGGGAGGATGGCAACAGCTAAGGGGACAGTTAAGCTGTTTCTTCCCCTGGGAGCTTCCCTGCCCAACGTGGGACTGTCTGTTCACCCTGGGACTGTGTTCTGCCTGGGAGAACGTCGGCACTGCTGGCGGTGACTGGGGTCTCCCCACAGGAAAGCGTGTGTGTGTGATTGATGCCGCTGTGTTGCTTGAAGCCGGCTGGCAGAACCTGGTCCATGAGGTGTGGACTGCTGTCATCCCAGAGACTGAGGTATCTCGCCCCACCCCCCACACCATCCCTACTGCAGATCCTATCCTGTGAGCTGGAATTCTTCCTGACAAATGTCTCGTCTGTGCTCAGGCTGTAAGACGCATTGTGGAGAGGGATGGCCTCAGTGAAGCCGCGGCTCAAAGCCGGCTGCAGAGCCAGATGAGCGGGCAGCAGCTTGTGGAACAGAGCCACGTGGTGCTCAGCACCTTGTGGGAGCCGCATATCACCCAACGCCAGGTTGGTGCCCAGGGCAAGGCCGGGTTGTGGGGAAGGAGTCTCCAGTGGGTACTGCCTGACCCTGCCCTCTCTTCCTCCCAACATCCTGGCCTGTCTGAAGGTGGAGAAAGCCTGGGCCCTCTTGCAGAAGCGCATTCCCAAGACTCATCAGGCCCTCGACTGAAAAGTTCTCAGTGGGGCCAGACTGGCTCCTGGAGCTGACAAGCGACCCCGTGGTGAGGAGAAATGGGGGCCTTGATGCTCACCCTGGTTCAGGCCCAGAGGTCCAAGCTATACTGTGCAGGACATGGCCAGGCCTGGTGGACACAGGAAGCCTACCCAACACGCTGGTATTTGGCCAACACTGAGGATGTGGTTCATGGGGGAGCAGTCCCCTCCCCACTCTTGCCCATGGGTGACTCTTACCCACAGCTGACTAGGGCCAGCGCAAATACTGGAACCTGTAACAGAATTAAAGGTGAATGTTCTGAGATGTTGCTTGTATGGTGTCTGCTTCCTGTTCCAATGCCCCTAAGTATCTTTGGGATCCTTAAGCCACAAGTGCAGGGCCCAGGCCTGAGCTGGAAGCCTGGGCAATGCAGTGGTTAAGAGAATGGCCTTTGAGGCTAGCCAGAGGCGAGCTTTGGCCCTCCCACTGACCAGCTGTGTTCTTCTGAGTAAGGTGTAGACTTTCTAGGTACTGCCGTGTTTTATTGTTTTTGTTTTGTTTTTAATATGAGAGGCCGCATAACCTAGCTAGCAGGTTCTTTGCAAGGGTTCATTCCACATGCATCCTGCCAGACACTGGGCTGGGTGTTGGAAGATCAGCCTTCCGCGCGCCAGGCGGGGCCTCTGCCCTCACAGAGCTTGCAGCCTGGTGGGGTCGGACGATGTGGCTGGGGGCTTCTCTGCCCGGTTCCTGACACACCGGCCAGCAGTGCAGGTCCGGTGAGCGCGGGGAGGCCGCCCTCAGGGTAACGTGGGGAGCCGGCCGGCCGGACAGTGCGCGTGCACACACTATCTGCGGCGGTGTGCTGACAAGCCAATTGAGGGGACTCCATCTTACAAAACGCGCTTCATGTCGCCGCCATTCCACTGCCTAACCCGGGGAGGGCAGGCACGGCGGGGAGCAGTCTCGAAGGAGGCTGGCGCCAGGCCAAGCGCCGGGCCTTGACGGCTGGAACCGTGGAGTAAAGTCTTTGGGCTGCGCATGCGCGATGCTTCGCCCTGCCCCACCTCTCGGTCGCGGATTGGCGGGCGCGGGTCACGTGGGCACGCCACCCGCTTCCTCGCCGCAGGGGGCCCGCCCGCTGGCCCGTTTCCGGTCCGGTGGGTACAAGATGACGGAGCCGGGCGCCTCTCCCGAGGACCCTTGGGTCAAGGCAAGCCCCGTGGGCGCGCACGCCGGCGAGGGGAGGGCGGGTCGGGCTCGTGCACGTAGGGGGGCCGGAAGACGAGGGGCTTCCCTCCTGTCCCCAAAGTCCCCCACGCTCTCCGTGCCCCGGGGCTGCAGAGAAGACAGCTCTCACCCCGCGTGTGCCAAGGTGGGGAGACAAACGAGGCGTGTGCGCGCGAGTCGGGGGAACGGGGCACTGGGGTGGAGTAGGGGCGGAAGGGATCATACACAGGGGAGGCACTCGCACGCCCTAGCCTGTGCCAGTCTCGGGGGACTCATTAAGCTGCCCGCGCACCCCGGGCTGTGTGTGTGCAAGCGCGCAGGGTGACAGAGGCGCCTTCCCGGAATGGGGGGCGCGCTGTGCGTGCCTGCAGTGGAAGGGGCGCCTCCCCCTAGGGGCGGAGGTCTGACGGGCCCTTCCCGTGCTCTGTGCCGCAGGTGGAGTATGCCTACAGCGACAACAGCCTGGACCCCGGTGAGTAGCTGCCCCATCTTAAGCTCTAGAGGGACACTCCCGCCCAGGCTCTCTAGATTCTTGTGGCGTTGCCAACCACGCCTGAGCACAGTCCACTCTCCCTGAGCAGAGTTCCTGGCTTGAGACAGCAGGAGCTGAAGGACAAGGGCAGAAAACAACTGAGGGTGACACCTAGTTCCCTCTGCTCTGGAACAGGGAAGTGGTGGAACTGATCACTCACCACTCAGTGGAGCAGCTGATCACTCACACCCTCATCACGTCCACATGCCCGTTTGTGAGCCAGGGGGGTATCATGCAGGCCTATGGAGCAGTGTAGACACTAGGGAGCAGAGCACTGCAGCGTGGTCTGGCAGGAAGTGGGGGGCCCAGTATGGTTGGCTTTGGGTTGAAGGGAAGAGGTCAGCATTTAAGAAAGCCATTGTGTGGCCGGGCGCGGTGGCTCACCCCTGTAATCCCAGCACTTTGGGAGGCCGAGGCAGGCGGATCACGAGGTCAGGAGACCGAGACCATCCTGGCTAACACGGTGAAACCCCGTCTCCACTAAAAAATACAAAAAAATTAGCCGGGCGTGGTGGCGGGCGCCTGTAGTCCCAGCTACTCGGGAGGCTGAGGCAGGAGAATGGCGTGAACCTGGGAGGCGGAGCTTGCAGTGAGCCGAGATCGCGCCACTGCACTCTAGCCTGGGCGACTGAGCGAGACTCTGTCTAAAAAAAAAATAAATAAATAAAAGAAAGCCATTGTGTCCTACAGGTGTCTGAGGGTCTGGCAATGTTCCCCACCCCACCCCTTAGTGATTGGGGCCTCTCTTTTCCAGGGCTTTTTGTAGAAAGCACCCGCAAGGGGAGTGTAGTGTCCAGAGCTAATAGCATCGGTTCCACCAGTGCCTCTTCTGTCCCCAACACAGGTAGGCAGTAACATCCCCCCCGACCTCGGGGGGCTCAGATATGTCATAATTGTAGTACCTTTCCTAGACAGGGAAGCCCCAGCCATCCACACAGGGGTGCTGGAGCCAAAGTATCAGACACAAGGTCTCACCATCTTTCACCTCATCTGGAACATTAGGTGGTTCTGTCCATCTGCCTTCTCTGGACACCAGGTTCTTCCCAGCTGGGGAAAGGTGGGCTAGCTGGACCCCACTGGGCCCCAAGATGACCTTTCCCTGCCCCCATCTCTGAGCGTAGATGATGAGGACAGTGATTACCACCAGGAGGCCTACAAGGAGTCCTACAAAGACCGGCGGCGGCGCGCACACACTCAGGCTGAGCAGAAGAGGAGGGACGCCATCAAGGTGAACAGGGAGGCCTGTGCCTCAGCCAGTGCGGGAGGGCCCTGCATAGTTTAGCTTCCCTGTGCCCTGACCCACTCAGACAGTCCCAGGCACCCTAGGGGGTGGGCAGGTAGTATAGTCCCAGGCACAAACACCTCCCTTGCAGCCTTCCCACCCCATTGAGTTTGTGAGCATAGAACTTGGTGTCATGGAGGAACTTTGTGCCATTTTGCTTTAATCTCTCAGGGTTAAAGAACCCATTTCCCCTGCTGTTTCCACAGAGAGGCTATGATGACCTTCAGACCATCGTCCCCACTTGCCAGCAGCAGGACTTCTCCATTGGCTCCCAAAAGCTCAGCAAAGCCATCGTTCTACAAAAGAGTATGGCTAGGGAAAGCACTGGAGGGGATGGAGCCAAGCGGGGCTGTGAAGAGGCCAGTGCCTCCTACCCACCCATGGCTCGGCCTTGGTGTGGTGATTGCCATGGGATAGTTGGGGTCTGGGGTAAGGGGAACAAAGTCAGCCTTATCTTCTTGGTTGAGAATACTTCTGTACCTGTCCTTTTTTTCTTGCCCCCACCCTAGCCATTGACTACATTCAGTTTTTGCACAAGGAGAAGAAAAAGCAGGAGGAGGAGGTGTCCACGTTACGCAAGGATGTCACCGCCCTAAAGATCATGAAAGTGTAAGAGGGGTGCTGAATGGGGGGAACCAGAACTTCTGAGGCAACTTCATTGCACACCCTCCCTTGTTCAAAGGCCACATCAGTTACTGCTGTACAGATAATACTCTTAGTTCCTGAGCTAGCCAGTAGGACTGTGTATCCCCAACTGTCCTTACACATGGCAGACACTCAGGAAATGCCTGTTGGATTAATGTAAGGAAGGTTGGAGAGAGAGGGCCACCTTTCCTGACCTGGAAGCAGTATCTCCCTGATACTGAACCCCACCCAGAAGCTCTCTGGGGCTGCCATTCCTGGGAGTACACAGGATAGTCCCGTCATTCTTCTTGGGTGGGCGGAGCTGCTGCAGCACCTCAGCCCTGGCCTGCATGCTTTTAGGAACTATGAGCAGATTGTGAAGGCACACCAGGACAACCCCCATGAAGGGGAGGACCAGGTCTCTGACCAGGTCAAGTTCAACGTGTTTCAAGGCATCATGGATTCCCTGTTCCAGTCCTTCAATGCCTCCATCTCAGTGGCCAGCTTCCAGGAGCTGTCAGCGTGTGTCTTCAGCTGGATCGAGGAGCACTGTAAGCCTCAGGTATGGGGCAACAATAGGCACAGGGTCTGCGGTTTTCTCTACCATCAAGCAAAGTGGCCCAAGCCATCAGCTGTTGAGAAAAGCGTGGCAGCTGCTTTTAGATCTTAAGGGCGTTTCTACAGCTTTGAGGGCCCTGGTATTTTCCCTTTTCTTTGCTGTCTAACCCACATCTTCATGTTACGGTTTCATTCGGCAAGTGTGACGTGAGCTCAATGTGAAGTCCAGCTCTTGGCTTTTGTCTAGCCCATGTTATCGCTGCCCCTGTATGGAAGCCCCAGGCATCTGCAGCAGAATTGGAAACGCAAATTCTGGGACCCTACCTTTAGGCCCCCTAAAGTAGTTGCCCCAAGAGCTTTTTAAAAATTTATTTATAATGGAGATGTGCTAATGGTATTGCACTAAGTCTTCTAATTGAAGTCTGGTTGCTTTTTCTGAGGTTTTAAACTTGTGTCTGAGATTTCTTGTTTGTTTCTCAACATTTTTTTTTTTGAGACGGGAGTCTCGTTCTGTCGCCCAGGCTGGAGTGCAGTGGCACAATCTCGGCTCACTGCAACCTCCGCCTCCCGGGTTCACGCCATTCTCCTGCCTCAGCCTCCCGAGTAGCTGGGACTACAGGCGTGTGCCACCATACCTGGCCAATTTTTTGTATTTTTTAGTAAGACGGGGTTTCACCGTGTTAGCCAGGATGGTCTCGATCTCCTGACCTTGTGATCCACCCGCCTCGGCCTCCCAAAGTGCTGGGATTACAGGCATGAGCCACTGTGCCTGGCCTCGTTTCCCAACATTTTTATTGTGAAACACATTAAACATATTGCGATGTTGAGAGGAGTTCACAGTGAACACTCGTATACCCGCTCCCTAAATTTTACCGAAACATTTTACTATATTTCCATCTCTCCATCTTGCTTCAGGAGCACCTCAAATTAAACTGCAGACATCAGTACTTCCTGGGGGCTTTTTTTTTTTTTTTTTGAGACGGAGTCTCACTCTGTCACCAAGGCTGGAGTGCAGTGGTGTGATGTCAGCTCACTGCAACTTCCACCTCCTGGGTTCAGGCGATTCTCATACCTCAGCCTCCTGTGTAGCTGGGATTACAGGCATGTGCCACCACACCTAATTTTTGTATTTTTAGTAGAGACGGGGTTTCACTATGTTGGCCAGGCTGGTCTTGAAATTCAGGTGATCCACCCGCCTTGGCCTCCCGAAGTGCTGGGATTATAGGCGTGAGCCACCACACCTGGCCCCCGGGGGGCTATTTTTAAAGCACTTTTCTAAAGTACATGGCTGATCTAGGCAGGCATCTTGGAAACTACTCTGCGTTGACTTGGGCATTGTCTATTTCTTCCTCTGCTGCCCTCGCCAGACCCTGCGGGAGATTGTGATTGGCGTCCTGCACCAATTGAAAAACCAGCTTTACTGACCGGTTCTTGGAAACCTGGAGAACAGCCAACAAGAGGCCCTTGAATCTCTACGTGGCCACTGAACTGCTGGGCCCGGGAGACTGGACTACAACACCTCACACTGGTCAGCTGGTTTCTACTTGGTGTTTGGTTTTTCCCAGCCCCATTTTATCTTCAGCGGAGCCGCGGTGTTTGTTTTGTGAAAGCTTCTGATTAATTTATTATATTGACGATAAAACTCAAACCTACCCAGCCTTCCCCCCACTCCATGGAAGTCCTTGGGATGGGCGTCTGCTCTGGACACCCCAAAGAGCTCCTGCCCTCTCAGCCCTTTATTCAAGCCTCAGATTTCTGCTCATGATCTACATAGATTTGGAAACTGTTTTCCTCTGTTTTGGTCTCTTGGGCAACATTTTTGGCCCAAGTTTGGGCAACATTTGGCCCAAGTTTGGGCATTTTGGCAGTAGCTGTATGGGAGAAAAAGAGTAAGAGGAAATATTCCCACAGCCATGAAGGGTGAAAGGGCACCTTGTGCCTAGACTAGGGCTGCCTGGTCAGTCCCAGGTGAGGCCAAGGGCTTTCTGGCCATCTCAGGGAGGGGCCACCAGGTTCCTCCCCTCACCCCATATTCCATCACCTTCCTCCTCTGCTCTGGGTGGTAAGGGAAGCCCTCCCGGTTCCCACAGGCTATGATGCTGCATGGCAGAGGCAGGTATAACACAGCACTACATATTGGAAATTTTTTATTTTTCTAAATACCAATGCAGTTTTGCTACGGTTACAATTTTGAAATATTAACTGAGCCTCAAAATCACCCTTTCTGTCAAGCATATCTTGGCCTCTCCCATGTCTCAGTGTTGCCTGCATTTCTCCCAGGACTTGGGGGTGGGGTGAAAAGCGTACAAAAGATACTTAAAAGGGCTCCTGGGGTACACAAGCCCAGCAGGTCCTGAGTGAAGCCGTGGGCCCTCCAAATGCTCGTTTTATAGCAACCTCTCTCTACCCTAGTTCTCCAAATTCACTTCTGCCTTCCTCAGGTTTGATATCTGGCAGGTTTGACTATCCAGAGGAAATTAAATATTTTTATATAAAATTAAATTATAATAAATATTGCCAAATGCTTTCCTTTAGCATTGTTCCAAGTCTAAATGTTAACCTCAAGCTACTGCAATTTAGACAATGAAATGGGCTGGGTCTACCCCCAGCCACCAGCCCTCATCCTCTCTACCCAGTGCTCTGGTTTATGCTTGTCTCCTGACTGCTCTGCTTAAAGGTGAAAGTAGCAGGAACAACAACAAAAGCCAACCAAAAACAAGGTAGCCAGTGCAAGACATCTCACTCTTCTGACATCCTGCAGTCCCCACCAGTCCTGACCGTGGGCCCCTCAGGGGTCTGGGAGTGTGACGTTGTAATCTTCATCCGTCTCTATCCCAACTTCCTCCTGTGAGACAGGGAGACAAGTGAATGAGATGTCACCAGGATAAGACCACAGGGAAGCAAAGAAGGAAGAGAGCTCCACTTACAAAGAACTGCTTCTTGCTCTTGGGGTATCCTTCAAGTATTGCATCAGACAGCTCTGTAGCCTGACAAGAAATAAAACCACCCGTTTTCAGATGGGCAGCACTGGGCACTGCCTGTCAGTTTATGATATTGTGTAGCGGCTGATCTGGTGCCTGCCATTTTCAAAGGCACCTCCAGGGCCTGTCTCGGAGCTCCCACACACTTACCATCCTCTTCCTCTTCCTCCACTCCTTACAGTACTTCTGCCTCTCTCTGTACACCTAGAAGGAAAAAGCAAGTTCCTCTAACTCCTCAGAACCACAGCAGCCCTCTGGGGCTCAGCCCTGATGTTCACTCTGGACCTGCACAGCGGTCCTACAGCCTTCCAGCTCACCTGCTCTTTCTCTTCTGGAGTCACATGATTGGTAGCTGCTTTAATGTTCTTCAATCTCTCTCTGTAGCCAGCGCATTCCTTCTTTAACTCCTGGATTTCTTTCTGCATCTCTGGTGTGGTCAGGGCACTAGATAATTCCTTGAGCTCTGAAACCACATCCGCCTGGGGTCACTTGCTACCCCTGAGGAAGGAGTTCTGTCTTTCCCAGTGGGTGCTCCCTGAGGTGTTCCACCTTGCTCTGGATCTATCATCTCACATGGAAACTAAGCCATACAGGATTATTTATTCTTCTAATTTTCTTTCCTCCTCCATCTACAAGTGGCGTGGGTGTGAGGTTGAACACTTACTTAGGCGTAGCCAGTTAAAGAAGCAGGAATAAAGGGAAACGTGGGGACAGTGTACTGATAATCGTGGCAGGGAGAACAAATGCGTATCTTGTCCATTTGTTGGTACACAAAAGCCGTTAGTTATCCTACATTTCTTTTTATGCCTAAGGGAGCCCAGCAAAGGGGTCTTAGCTGCAACAAGATGCTGCAGTCATTGAACCATTCATTTAGTAATTCCTGACCTCTAGAATGAACCTAAGCCTATGGGCACTTTGGAGGGGCTACCCAGTCCTACCAGCCTCCATGTAGCGGCAGCTCTGCTGCAAGCTCTGCACCTTAGCAGTGAGGGCCACGATTTTGCCATCTAGGACTTGAAGGTCAGCATCACTCACCATGTCAAACTGGTCCTGCCAGACAAAGAGGGAAAATACAAGTGAACTGTTGTGAGGCACAAAGATGGGAACACACACCTGGGAAGGCACCATTTGGATATGCTCAGGAACCAGCCACACCCCAAAGTCTCCAGAGGGTCTGCAGAAATAGTGGGAGAGTACTTTTGAGAAATTGTTTTCAGTTAAGGAGCGGCCCCACTAAAAAGGTAGGAAAGAAAAGCTGAAATCTAATGCTTGTCCTTAAGCTACTAGGTTGACAGGATACTGATTAGGACAGAAATCTTCCCATTTAGTGATAAAACCACTACCTGGGCTGAAGCAGTTAAGTAACATTGTTCCCACGGTGGGGAAACCTAGATCATGGGTTTCCATAATAGATAGAAACTGGACAGGTGAAGAAGCATGATGGATGGGATGGATGGACTTCTTTTCTTCTTCCTTCCTGTCCTTTCTTCCCATCCTTCTTTCCACCTTCCTCTCTCCCTCCTTCCTTCCTTCCTTTTTCCTCCCTCCCTCCCTCCTTCCCCCTCCCTTTCCCTCTCTCTTTCTCTCTCTTTCTCCCTCCCTTCCCTCTTTTCCTCTCTTTCTTTCTCTGTCACCCAGGCCAGAGTGCAGTGGTGCAATCTTGGCTGACTGCAACCTCCGCCTCCTGGCTTCAAGCGATTCTCATGCCTCAGCCTCCTAAGTAGCTGGGATTACAGGCGCGCACCACCAAGCGCAGCTAATTTTTGTATTTTTAGTAGAGAAGGGGTTTCACCACGTTGCCCAGGCTGGTCTCAAACTCCTGGGCTCAAGTGATCCATCCGCCTCAGCCTCCCAAAGTGCTGGGATTACATGCATGAGCCACTATGCTGGGTCTTGGGATCCATGTAGATAAGGGATTCCAGTAAGTCTGAGGAGCTTCTCTCATGAGGGGCCATTGCTAGAAAAGAACTGCACTGGGGATCAGTGTGGGGGTGGGGGAGGTCACATCAGTTGGTGATGGGGAGCAGGTTGAAAAAGTATGCCAGCCAGTGCAGTCTGGACTCTACACTTGGGCAAGGTGAACCTATAGGGCAGAGGCCAGCAAACTATGGCCAGCAAGCCAAATCCTGCCAGATGCATGTTTTTGAAAACAAAATTTTATTGAAACAGCCCCACCCGTTCATTTACATAGTCTACAGCTGCTTCTGTTCTACAGTGGCAGAGGTGAGTAGTTGTGGCAGTTGTACAGCCAGCCATGACAAGAGATACATATGGCCCACAAATCCTAAAAATACTGTCTGGCCATTTGCAGAAAAAGTTTGCCAAACCCTCCTTTAGAGAATTATCTTTAGATGAGTAACACAATGCAGCCTGTTTTAGGAAAGTCAGCCTTAAAAGTGGTTTGGTTCAGTTTAACGAGTAATATCTGCTGGATGTTAGATACTGCGGAGGTGCTGATCAGATAAAAATGAATTGAGAAATGGGGTCTGCCCTAGAGGAACTTCAGTTGAATAAAGGAGACAAGTAAAAATTGTAATACAGCATGCCTCAAAAGAGGTAAGGGCCAGGCTGGGCACAGTGGCTCATGCCTGTAATCCCAGCACTTTGGGAGGCCGAGGCGGGTGGATCACGAGGTCAGGAGATCAAGACCATCCTGGCTAACACGATGAAACCCCATCTCTACTAAAAATACCAAAAAAAAAAAAAAAAAAAAATTAGGCTTCGTGGCGGGTGCCTGTAGTCCCAGCTACTCTGGGAGGCTGAGGCGGGGGAATGGCGTGAACCCAGGAGGTGGAGCTTATAGTGAGCCGAGATTGTGCCACTGCACTCCAGCCTGGGTGACAGAGCGAGACTCCGTCTCAACAACAACAACAACAACAATAACAAAAAGAGATAAGGGCCTGAAAAAGAAACAATTAGCTCGGAGCATTCAAGGAAGATTTCTGGAAAAGGTGATGTCTAAGTGAAATCCTCAAGGAAAGAAAGAGCTGGCCAGGAAGAGAAGCAGGTACAGGGAAGACAACATGCAAAGGACAGAGCAGTAAAACACACCAGAATTATCTAGTGTTCGTGGATAGAAAAATAATGAGGATTGGTGAGGCCAGAGGCTGGCTGGGGCGTCTTCCGGTGCCTTTTACATGTTTTTTGCAGCACTAGAGAGCCATTGAAGAGTTTTAAATAGGGAAGGTGCATGACCAGATCTATTTAGACAGATCATTCTGACTGCAATGTTTAAGAGTTTAAGATATGTTTGAAGAGCCAAGATCTGTTAGGAGGATACTGCAACAAATAAAGAGGGCGTGAACTAGAGCAACCATGGCAGATGGAAAGGAGAGTGGATTCAAGAATGGAAAAATTAGCCAGGCTCTGTGGTTCACGCCTGTCCTCCCAGCACTTTGGGAGGCCAAGACAGGAGGATCACTTGAGCCCAGGAGTTGGGACCAACCTGGGCAGCACAGTAAGACCCATCTCTATAAAAATTAAAAAAATAAATAAAAACGGAAAAATCAGCTGGACTTGATGGTTGACTAGTAAAGGAAGTCAAGAATTGCTCCCAATTTCTGGTTTGGGTGAAGAGTAATTCCATTAGGGGAGGAGAATGTTAGAAAGAAACCAGTCCGGGGTGGGGGGAAGATGAGGCATTCTACTGTGGCAATTTTGACTCTGATATTAATGCCTGACAGATTCCAGCTGGAGGTCTGGGCTGGAGAATATAAATTTGATATGTGTGTTTAGAGAATCGGATGGAGGCAGGAGGAACATCATTTGGCAGAGGGTGTTGCTAATGTAGATGATAAGGAATAAGAGCTTTGGAGCGGAAATGGATCTTGGTAGCAACAATACAGAATCTTCTGTCATCCATCATATTGTAAATCTGGAAACCTCGTGAAGTTGGGATCCTAACAAGAGGAGTACACACCTTGATTTAAGGATGGTGGCCTAAGACAGGTGAGTTTTCCATGGGGGGCCTTGTCCCCAAAGAGTTCACACCAGGAGTAGATTCACCCGTTGTCGGGCTCTCATGGGTGACAATCGGCGCAAGTTCTCCTCACCTGATCCGCAAAATAGATCTTCTGCTTGCCGTACATCTTCTCTTTGATCTTGCCTTGTTGCGCCAGCTGCTCCAGCGTCTTCACCACCACCTGGCAGAGGAGAGAGAAGGAGCAATCAGAGGAGTCTGAGCCTGGGTCTGGGGAAATCCAGCCAGTGATGTGGAAAACGCCCAAGGCTCCAAAGGGCACGACCCCAGCCTGAATCCAGGGAGTCCGACGGAGAGGGAATCCCGGGAGAAGGTCCTCACCGCCTTGCCCAGTCCGTGTTCCCGCTGTAGGTTCCCGAACACATCCTGGGAGCTGTAGGGCCGGTTCTGCTCCTGCAGGTACCTCAGGAGGATCCCGGCGGCTACGGAGAGAAAGGCAGGGGAGGGGGCCACTCAACCGACCTCCTCACCCACTGCCCTCCCGGGTCTTCCCCGCGCCCACGGCGCCGTTACCTCCCGCCGCAGCTTCTGCCCGGCCTTTACTCATCGCCTTTCCCGCCACCCAACTCAGAAAGCCGGACGTTGTAGTTGCTCGGGGCGACGGCTCCTTCCGGCGACGGGGGCGGGCCTCGAACGGTGATTGGCTGAAGGGGAAGCCTTCCGGAGGAGCAAAGCGACCCCTCCCGGACTCCATAGTTCATTTCAGGTCGGAACTTGCGCATTCGGGCCGGACCTCAAGCCATGGGCCTCTGCGAAGGCGCCGGCGTGCCCACGGCTAAGAAACTTCCTCTTTCTGCTCCCGGGAACGAAGGCTGTAGCAGAGAAGGCCTTCAAGTTTCGAGACCCAGTTCCAGCCGCAGCTGAGCACTGGTGACCTTGAATTAAGTCTAATGTTGGGATTGGAAGACGCTTCAGACATCCGCTGCCGCCCTGGGCAAGCGACCAGCTCAAGGTTACCCCACAGGGACGTGCTCTGGTCCCACGGTCCAGTGCTCTTTTGTCGGTTAGTTTTGTCATTTGTAAAATAGGAACAGTAGATAGTGGTAGGAAAGTGGTTGTGAAAACTTAATAGAAAGCTAAGCGCCTTGGTCGGGCGCAGTGGCATGTCACCCCTGCAATTCTATCACTTTGGGAGGCTGAGGCGGGCGGATCGTTTGAGCCCAGGAATTCGAAACCAGTCTGGGCAATATGAAACCCCATCTCTGCAAATAAAGTACAAAAAATTAAGAGTGGTGGCGCGCTTCTGTGGTCCCAGCTACTCTGGAGGCTGAGGTGGGAGGGTCACCAGAGCCCCGGACATCGAGGCTGCAGTGAGCCACTATGAGCGCGCCACTGCACCCCATCCTGGCGACAGAGCGAGACGCAGTCTCGAACAAAAAAAAAAAAAGTGGGAAGGGGGGACAGCTAAGCGCCTTGGAGAGCAACCACCCTTATTTGCCTAATACCGAGCTTCGCACCCAGGGGGCACTCGACACCTACTGTAGTTTGGACGCCAAGGAACGATAGGGTTAGGAGGGGGCTACTGTTCAACCACAAAGCTTGTGGAAAAGTTTGTTAGCCCAGACAATCTCAGGGCAACACCTGGCAGGTGCTTTCCACCCCTGACCACAGTGGCCAATGGGACAGAGCCTGAAATAAATATTTCTAGTTTCTGAGGTGAGCTGAAGGCCAAAGAGCAGCTGTCCCTGCAGCTCAGACCATCCAGTGAAGGAGTAAGGTGCTACTTTTTAAAGCCTTCTGCTACCTACAACCTCCTTAGCCTTTAAAACGTGTGCTTGTCTCTGCACGTTTAGGAGACAATATTAAGAATTAGAAATGAAAGGGCCGAGCGCGGTGGCTCACGCCTGCAATCCCAGCACTTTGGGAGGCCAGGGCGGGCGGATCACGAGGTCAGGAGATCGAGACCATCCTGGCTAACACTGTGAAACCCCATCTCTACTAAAAATACAAAAAATTAGCCAGGCGTGCTGGTGGGCGCCTGTAGTCCAAGCTACTCAGGAGGCTGAGGCAGGAGAATGGCGTGAACCCGGGAGGCGGAGCTTGCAGTGAGAGATCGCACCACTGCACTCCAGCCTGGGCGACAGACCAAGACTCCGTCTCAGGAAAAAAAAAGAAATTAGAAATGAAGGAAATACAGGCTAAATACTAGCCAAGAGTGCCAGTTATACTGATGGTGGGGCTCTCACAAGAAGGAAAGTAGCCTCATACTATGGTGATGTTCTGGCCATCACGAAGTAAAAATAGGGGTGGGCTGGTGGGTCCCTCATACCTGGGCTTCCTCTTTTAAGGCTATCACTTCAAATTAATCAGAACTCAGATTTACAAGAGAAGACCTATCAAGGGTAGGACACCATTCAGCATCAGTCTCTTAAAGATTGTTCTCATACAAGATTTATTCCCCAGCACACCCCTCCCCTCCTCAGTTCACAGTGGAGACTATGGAGATTCAGGGCAGGATCCCTCAGGTACAAGAAACACCTTCCGAAGATTTTGCTCTCCTTCCTTCCCTCCCTCTTGCCAACTCCCAAGGCCTGAAGCGCACACTCATGCAAACACACGAAATCCCCCTCCTTCCCCACACCTCCTGTCTTTCCACATCAGAGCTCTGAACTTGAGAGGTGTCAAAAGTCTGTTTGAGAAGCCTAAAGTGGGGAGATGCCATTACCCCTGACCACCCCACTATGAGTGACTATGAGACACCTAACTCTTCCCTCTTCTGTCAACCATTTTCACTCCCTGGCCTCTGTACCTTCTCCATCAACCAAGAGCAAACATGTCAGCACACCCCCACCTGCAGTACATGAAAACAGGCTCTGTCCAACATCCCTCACCCAAGTACAGGGGTGTTGGGGGAGTGGCCCCTGAGGATCAGCAAAGGGTTAATGCAGAAGGAAAGAGGACAGAAGCGTTTGGCTTGAGCTCTGCTTGGGGAGGCAGAGGCTATAGACTGGCACAGGTTTAGAATCAAGTACCATGTTTAGGTTTCTGTCTCACATCACATGATTTCACTAGGGGCTGCAGAACAGATACCCCTCAGAGGGGTCTCTGCTGATTACAGCCACATTCTTACTATTGGCTCATCCTTAAAGGAGGCCCCACCAAGTTGGGAAGCAGTTGAAAATAAAAGCTGTAAAGGAGCTGAACAGGAAGTAAGAATAGGTGGTGCAAGAGATTATGGCCCCTGGGATGAATGACATGGAGCCATTTGTAAAGTGCTACTGTATCATCCCCCATGAATTATTGCTTCTCCAAAGGAGGAGCAGAGGAAGGAACAGGAACATAGAAATGAGTATGGTATTGCTTTGCTCACTGCTGAGGCTGATGGCCAGATGGACCCAGGGGTTATCAGAAACCGAAGATTAACTACACAGCTCCAGAAGACTCAGACCTCAAAATACAGAGGTGCTCACTAATCCTCCCAGCCAGCTGATCCCCCTGGGCCAAGGTAATGTAGAAGAGGCCCATCCCCACATCATATTCACATTTTTTAAATTTCACAAGCAATACTTTGGACCACTGGGGTTCAGGCCCCAAGAAATGATGGGCTAGATGAGAGGGAGCAGGCCTGTTCTGCAAAACCAAAGGACAAGTTTGCTTTAAAAAAAAAAAAAAATCACGCTGGGCACAGTGGCTCACACCTGTAATCCCAACACTTTGGGTGGCTGAGGCGGGCTGATCATTTGCAGTCAGGAGTTCTAGACCAGCCTGGCCAGCACGGTGAAACCCCATCTCTACTAAAAACACAAAAAAATTAGCCGGGCATGGTGGTGCATGCCTGTAATCTCAGCTACTGAGGAGGCTGAGGTAGGAGAATCGCTTGACCCGGCAGGCGGAGGCTGCAGTGAGCCGAGATTGTGCCACTGCACTCCAGCCTGGGCAACAGAGAGAGACTCTGTCTCAAAAAAAAAAAAAAGAAAAGAAAAGAAAAGAAAAAAATCAAATCCTGGTTTAACAAAAGATGACGACTAATCCCAGCACTCTGGGAGGCCAAGGCAGTCAGCTCACTTGAGGTCAGGAGTTTGAGACCAGCCTGGCCAACATGGTGAAACCCCATTTCTACTAAAAATACCAAAAGAAAAATTAGCCGGGCATAGTAGCGGGCACCTGTAATCCCACTACTAAGGAGGCTGAGGCAGGAGAACCTCTTCAACCTGGAAGGCAGACGTTGCAGAAAGCCAAGATCACACCACTGCACTCCAGCCTGGGCAACAGAGCGAAACTGTCTCAAAAAAAAAGATGATGACAATGTAACTACTCCAGCTGCTGCCTGACTTTGGGGGCTCTAGAGAGGCGATGAAAGGAGGAAGGCAGGCATGGGCTCTTTCAGTGAGGGCCCCTGAGCACTCATACCTAAAAGCAAACAGCAGCACCTCCTCAAAGGGGAACCAATATCCCTGACTATTTTGTTCCCCCAAAGTACCATCCTGATGGAGAGAAGCCTCCCTTGGGGGAGCACACTCTCACTTCAGTGACTGAGCTCAGAAATGGGCATCCAGCTGGTGGGAGGGGAGTGAGTGTCCTCTCTAAGGAGGCCTCTGAGCATCAGCCAGGCCACCCAGCATACAAATATAATTCAGGGGAGGGGAGCTGAGTTCTTCCCTTGCCCCATCACCTTAAGTGGGATGGGG
Organism: Homo sapiens; assembly: GCF_000001405.40. Taxonomy (NCBI): domain Eukaryota; kingdom Metazoa; phylum Chordata; class Mammalia; order Primates; family Hominidae; genus Homo; species Homo sapiens. The sequence goes on from NC_000017.11 coordinate 42,581,768, forward strand.
AGAAAAAAACCTAAACCACAGTGACTCCCAAAAGGAGTCTCTGCCTCAGTGGCTCCTAGAACTGGCAGGGTCCAGCTGACTCAGCTCCGACTGGTCCAGAAGTTCAAAGTCATCCCCCTCAGCATCAGTGTCCAGGTCTGAACTGGGGGACCGGAGGAAGCCTCTCGTTGCTCTCTGGGCAGGTGCTCCAGAAGGGCCTGGTTGGGAGGCCCCTGACAAGGCCAGCTGAATCATACCCTGGGAGACCAGGCTGGCAAGGTTGCTGGTGAGGTTGGATCCTACAGGAAGAGCACCAAGCAGGAGCTCCGGCAGCGCAGCCTCGTCCCGGCTGGCAGGTGGGGCCTGGGGCTCCTCAGCCCCTGGCGGAGAACGGTACATCAAGCTGGGCATGCCAATGCTAGTGTCGTCCTCATCATCCAGGCCAGCAGGATCCATATTAATGGAAGGGAAGTCTGGAAGGTCTCTGGCAAAGGATTCCTCTGGATCACTGTGACCATCTAGGTCTGGTGGAATACAGAAGTGTCTGAGTCATGGCACCTACCTGGCCCTCCTGTGCCCCAGCCCCACATGACCAGATTTTTCCCACCCTGGCTTTCTCAGGGCGAAATAAACCCATGGGACTGGTATACCTTTCCCCTCCACTTATAGGTGGCTGTGATCTCTACACAATTCCCCCTCTCTTCTATGTCCCCTGTGAGGCTAGTGCCTGAGGCTACTAAGGGACTAAAGTCTTCAAGAAGGGCAGCAGTGCCATCCTGGCTGTAGCCACAGCACTCAGGCTGCTCTGCCGCCTGATCCATAGCTCAGAAAACAGGAGAGGGGCAAGCACCAGTATCCCCTCTGTTCAGGGAAGCTAAGAGGCAACAGTCAGAGCCATTATCAACTGAGGTCAAAGGCTCCCCTCACCTTCAGAGCCTTCCGTTAGAGGTGTTTGGCCCCTTGAAAGATTGAATGTGCCATTGTCTGTACAGGAGACTTCAGCGTCTGAGTGCTCAGAGTCTGTGATGGCCAATTCCCTGGCAACAGTAGAATCGTCCAGCTTAGGAAAAGACCAACAAATGTGAGATAATGCCATCAGGAACCAGGTGTAGTCACCAGGTACAGCTTTACTAATCAGCTAGCATTAGTTATCCGAAGGCCATCAAATCAATGTAACCAGGGATAGATGGTAACTTCCCGTTGAAAACTCCCTCTCCCCTTTATTTTTTTTTTAATCAATACATGTGAAAGTAACAACAACAAAAAAAATCTTGACCCCTTTTAGGCTGCTCTCCCAAAGAAAACACTCATTCATAACCTCTTAAGCACAGGAAGAAAAGCAGTCTTGGGGGAGTCAATTACCCACTTACTTTAAGGCAAATAATTGATCCAGAGATAATTTTTCAAAGTGGTAGGAGGATACACATACTGCACAGACCCAAGGGTGAACTGGGCTGTTTAAAAGATGATCATACTAGCTCCAGAAGTTCTTCCATAATGGTAGGGTAAAAAGAGATACGGAAGAGCGGTGCTGGGCATCAGGCTCTAATTGAGACCTAGGTTGATTACAGGAATGATATGATAAAGAAAAAAATTGAGATCTAGGAACAAAGTCTCACTTCTCTCCTTGTCTTGGGAACAAGGGGAGTCTAAGGCCTCAAACCTGGTTATGGCCTAAATGTGAGCTGTCGGATGGTTAAAAGGTAGCTAAAGAAAACTGGACAGTGAAGCAGCTCCCACACTCAAGATACCTGAGGACAGAAGGCAGCAAGCTCCTCTTCGCTGTCACTGTGGTTGTCCATGGCTCGTTCTGGGTGGAGAGCTCTGCGGCGTACTGTGGGAAGAGCACAAAGTCTTGCTTGATACCTTCTCCCAGCGTAAAATCCCCTTTGGACTTTAAAGACATAAAATCAGAACACAAAACAAAGAGCCTCTCTGAATCTGGCTCTAAGCCTACATAATAATAACAGAAGGCTGAGCTGCTGAGCCTAAATGCAAGGTGAGTTGAAAACACTGGAGAAAATATCTCAGCTTCCAACATCCTCTCCACCAGACCCTACATATTTCTTTTTTCTTTTGAGATGGAGTTTTGTTCTTGTTGCCCAGGCTGGAGTGCAATGGCGCGATCTCGGCTCACTGCAACCTCTGCCTCTTGGATTCAAGCAATACTCCTGTCTCAGCCTCCTGAGTAGCTGAGATTACAGGTGCTCACCATCACACCTGGCTAATATTTGTATTTTTAGTAGAGACGGGGTTTCATCATATTGGTCAAGCTGGTCTCGAACTCCTGACCTAAGGTGATCCGCCCACCTCAGCCTCCAAAAGTGCTGGGATTACAAGTGTGAGCCACTGCGCCCGGCCTGGCACACATTTCTATTCTGGTCAGATGATCAAATACCAGGCTTTGTCAACAACTCTCTGGATGGCTAAAGGCAGACCTAATGTCAAGGTGTTAAGTGGACATGATCAAAGAGAGGGCAAAAGGAGATGCACACCTTGTTAAATCAGACTTTTGAGGACTGGTATTATTCAACTGGCTGCCCCAAGGGGACTTGGGCCTTGGTGACCAAGTGCAGGGCTCTTTGAAGGCCAGGCCTCCATAAAACACAAAACCTGACAAGACCACACAAGGGAGGGAAAAGTTTGTACTACCATCATTGTGTTGCATGGATCTCAGGCTAGTACACTTACAACCTCTGAGGCAGCAGTTTTTAATCACCTTTGGGAGGCAGCTTTTACTAGTGAAGAGACCAGGCTTAGGAGTTGAAAGGATCTGCTCTGGGCTCAGCACGGTGGCTCACACCTGTAATCCCAACACTTTGGAACGCCAAGGCAGGAGGATCGCTTGAGCCCAGGAGTTCAGGATCAGCCTGGGCAACATGAGACCCCATCTCTACAAAAAAATTTAAAAATCAGATAGATGTGGTGACACATGCCTGTAGTCCCAGCTACTGAAGGGTTTGGCGGGGCTGAGTAGAAGGATCACTTGAGCCTGGGAGGTCAAGGGTGCAGTGAGCCATGATCATGCCACTGCACTCCAGCCTGGGAAACAGAATGAGACCCTGTCTCAAAAAAAAAAAAAAAAAAAAAACAAACCACAAATACTAGGAATTTATCTTCACTGTCTAGCTTTTATTCAACTTGAAAGAGCTTTTATCAGATAGGTTTAAAACGGGAGCCTAGGATTACAAATGATAAAAACTGGCAAGCCTGCACAGGTTTCCCTAGAACAGAATATCATTTTTACCTATCAATCCTCACCCCCACCAACTACCCCCGACTTCCACTTTTGAGGACCCACCCAGTATGTCAGACCTATGGGCTTCTCCTTTTCGCCCCAAATTGCGTAAGTGGAAAGAATGACACCATGACACTTACATTGTCTCTCTCTCTGCTTGGACATCATGTAGCCACGGACACTGAAGTCTAGCCGCTGCAGAGCTGGCTTCAGCCGCACATATGCTCGATCCCACAGTCGGTGGTACACAGCAAGGGGCCACATCATGACAGTGACAACTGTGAGGAGGCATGGGAAACAGTGACAAAATGGAGAAGGGGCTGCAAAAAACATTCCCAACTGTAGCGCTGCTATTGGTCCTTAGGGCTTGGACACAAAGTGTGGAACAGATCTGCCCAAGTCTGCCAGTCATCTTCACCAGTCTCCCCTACACATGAAGGAGTCTTTGAGGGCAGGGACTTCTACAGCCACCCACAAAGCCTACTGCAGGGTTGTGCACAGCACAGTATGCTGCTGACAGGCCAAGGGCAGAACCTGGCAATGGGTGTCACTGAGCCATAAATGGAAATTACACAACAAATCATGCGAGGTTTTGATATACAAAAGCCACAGGCATAAGTACTTAGTTCTTCCAGCCCCAAGCAAGCTGAGTACATGCCAACAGGAAGTAACTAAATTTACAAAACTATGCTCCAAGTGGGAAAAAAGTACTCTGGCATAAATAGAACCTAGCAGAGAAACCCCTAAGAGTTATGTTCTGCTGACAATACCCTGGCTCTAAAAATTCTCTCCTTAAACAGGGACAGGCAGTCCTTTATAGTTGGTAATACCAACAATATATGTTAGTGGACCCTCATCAATTTCTGACTTGGTAAGAAATGAACTTTGTATGTGGAGAGCCTGCTAAAGAAGGATATTTTCATGACACTAAACAGGTCATGAAAATATGCAAAGGTCATATCCTAGAGAATTGAAATATAACAGTCCTCTCCCCACACCTAGAGTTAGCCATAGTTGGAAAGCTATGAGCAGGGTATACTTTGTAGGGGAGGTATATGTCATACTTACGCATCAAGTAGGACAGCAGAAGCCCAGGGACGTAGCGGCCCAAGACAGCCAAAAAGGTCAGTATCCCACAGCTCAGCAAGCAGAACTGGGGAATCAAGAAAGAGTATTAAGTTTCTGTCACATGGCAGGGGACTGGGGTGGGTGTGAAGGGTTAGGGTAGAGATATGACAGAAAGACTCTGTAAGTCAAGCATGGACGTGCAGCCACTGTTGCATCCAAAGGTGATTCTGTTTGGGAAGAAAAGGAGCATGTCCCCTTCTATTCAAACTCCTTTTACATGGCTAACCCCATAGGGCTGCACCTTTCCTGCCAAGAAATTGGTTTGAATAGGACTTAGCCAAAAATTCTCTCTGAAAGCAATGTTGGTGGTGGTTTTTTAAGTCAACAGAAACACACACAAAACCCAAAAAAACACAACAACCTATCACATATTTAATATGACACAGAATGTACACAAGAAAGCTTTCTTTCCTATCTTGAAGCAAGAAAACGGCCTCATCTAAGTGGCAACCACACCAAATGAGCAGTCACCAAGCTCCTGTGTTAGTCCTAATGGCTGGTCAGAAGGCCTTTCCTATAGCTTCCTTTTGTCTCTATGAACATCATAGTCTTTACTTTCTTGAATGAAGACACATAGTAAAGGAGCTGTTTCAGTTTAGCATGAACTGAACTGAGAGGCCAGAGATGAAAGTGAAAAAGGGAAGAGTCTTACCTTGCCTGGGTTTTGCTTTTTGAAAAGCAAAACATTCCTTATGAAAATGGTCCCACTAACCCAGACTTCAGCTACATGGTGGCAGAGCTCGGGCACGCTGAGCAACCGAGGGTGCACAAAGCCCCAGCTATGGGAGAGAGAAGGGGGAGCTGTGAAAGGAGGGTGTTGAGGGTCCCCCCATCTTGCTGTGCAGGCAGCCAGTGCTTCCGGTTTTAAATGGGGTTTGGGGAGTGACTAGGCCCAGGTGCTTTGGAGGTGAAGCATGACTTTCTTCTTGGCTCACCAGGTTGAAATCTGAATTTAGGTACAAGGAGGACAAACTTGTTCTGACAACTCCACCCTATGAGCAAGCAGCCCAATCCACGTGTGTAAACCTGTCCCCAGCTCCAAGGCCCTTTGTGCTTAGAAACGTTTTCTTCCTTGCACTCAGACCATTCCAATTCCCTGTGATTGCAATCCAGGGATAAAAGTGAGCATAGTCTGACTGACACCACTGCTGCTAAGGGGGAGGAAATGGTGGATGTGCCCCTTAGAAAGAAAATAAATAAAGCAAAACCAAAATAAACCACAGCAGAGAAAATTCTTTGGATCAAACAAATGGAGTGGATGAACTGAGAAATGAAAGCAGGAGCTGTAAGACACAAGAGGAATCTTTGGCTTTGACTTGCTGATGCCAGGAACCAATGTGTTTTCTGACCGGGAACTTTAAATAGCCAGAGGTCACAGAAAACACTAAATGACCTGGTATAAAAGCCAGGAGACAAATGAAGTTAGCTGCCTTTAAGTTTTCTCACTGGGACTGAATAATGCAGCTGATTCCCTGGCATGTCAGGTTATGGGGCACTGTAATGCTTCTTTTTCAGAAACTTCTCTTGTAAAGATCAGAGGACACAGGCCATCTCAACATATTGCTGCCTGAACTTTAGGATGTGTTAAAATGATCATTTGGAACAGCCTAGGTTCTCAGTTTACACTGTGTGTCCAGAACATGGGGTTAACAACATGTAACCAGAATATTACAAGAGAATGAATCAGAGCAACAAAAAGGGATTTAATTAGTGTTCCATACCTCTCATTGTCTAATGCGTCGGGTCTTGGCACTACAATATTAAAACAAACACCAGCATTAGTTGGTAGGGAAAACTAAACATGAAAATGTTAGGCTGTTGGTCTGACAGCTCAAGTTTTAATAGGTTGGGGAAAAGAAAACAGTAATAGCCGATAAAAAAGGAGACACTGTGTTATACTGCCAGTTAGGGAGCTGCAGACAAGGGAATAATCACTTATGCCTACTCATTTTTCGAGGGGAAGGAAGGGAGGTCCAAATGGACTATTTGAGCCCCCTTCTAATGACCTCAGCTGAAAGCCAAGGTGTACAAGAAAAATGGTCCATCTCACCCCTTGAGTGTGTCTGGGATACCCATACACATCAATCTGTGCCAGGCTACACAAGGTACGTTGTAACAACTCCAACCCTAGAAATCCACCTGTTGTGTTTATTTTTTTTGAGACAGAGTCTTCTCGCTCTGTTGCCCAGCCTGGAGTGCAGTGGCACGATCTTGGCTCACTGCAAGCTCCGCCTCCCATTCTTCTGCCTCAGCCTCCTGAGTAGCTGGGACTACAGGCACCCACCACAATGCCCGGCTAATTTTTTTTTTTTTTGGAGACAGGGTCTTGCTCTGTAGCCCAGGCTGGAGTGCAGTGGCGTGATCTCAGCTCACTCAGCCTCCCGAGTAACTGGGATTACAGGCACACGCCACCATACCTGGCTAATTTTTGTGTTTTTAGTAGAGATGGGGTTTCACCATGTTGGCCAGGCTGCTCTCGAACTCCTCCACCTCCCAAAGTGCTGGCATCACAGGCGTGAGCTACCGTACCCAGCCGAAATCTGCCTGTTCTCTTTATTTTTTTGAGACAGAATCTCACTCTGTCACCCAGGCTGGAATGCAGTGGCACGATCTTGGCTCACTACAACCTCCACCTCTGGTGTTCAAGCAATTCTCCTGCCTCAGCCTCCCAAGTAGCTGGGATTATAGGCACCTGCCACCACGCCTGGCTATTTTTGTGTTTTTAGTAGAGACAGGTTTTTGCTATGTTGGCCAGGCTGGTCTTGAACTCCTGACTTCAGGTGATCCACCCACCATAGCCTCCCTAAAGTGCTGGAATTACAGGTGTGAGCCACCACACCCAGCCTGCCTGTTCTCTTTAAAAAGAGACCCAGAGCTAGGTGTAGTGATGCTCACTTATAGTTCTGCCTCCTTGGGGGGCTGAGGCAGGAGGATCACTTGAGCCCAGGAGTTCAAGTCCATCCTGGGAAACACAGTGAGACCCTGTCTCTAACCAAAAAAAAAAAAAAATGGGGAGACCCATTATCTACCTGAATGATGTATAAGTCTTTTGAGATTCACCAGCCATTAGATAGGCAGATGAACTACACGATTCCTTGAAGTCTCTATAAAATATGATGGGCATGTATTTAAAACCTGTATACTCTGGTTTGAATATCTTGCCAACACTTCAAAATTAACCTGCCTAAAATCTACATCAGTTTTCCTCTCTCACCCCTTCAAACCAACTTTCCTGTCTGCCTTTGCCTGCTAAGTGTAATGCCATTCTGCCACTCTCTTAGCTTTAACCCCCATCCACTTATGTCTTTTATTATACATATATAACAATTATTATTTTCTGAGACAGGTGTCGCCCTGTTGTCTTGGCTGGAGTACAGTGGTGCGATCACGGCTCACTGCAGCCTCAACCTCCAGGGCTCAAGGGATCTTCCCACTTCAGCCTCCCAAGTAGCTGGGGACCACAGGTGCACACCACCATGCCTGGGTAATTTTTTTATTTTTTGTAGAGACAAGGTTTCGCCACGTTGTCCAGGCCGGTCTCAAATTCCTTGGCTCAAGCAATTCTCCTGCCTTGGCCTCCCAAAGTGCTGAGATCACAGGCATGATCCACTGCACCTGGCCCCAACTATTTATGTCTTGATCTTCCTTATTCACAGCTCTCCAGGCCATCCATCATTTGTATTCACTGAGGCCTCTCTGACTACTTCTCACAAAGACACTGCCACAGTCTCCTAACAGGTCATCCTGTTCCACTTTTCCTCCTTCCATGTGGTCCTAAAAATGCTACTAAATTAATCTTTATTATCGGCTGGGCGTGGTGGCCCACGCAGGTAATCCCAGCACTTTGGAAGGCCAAGGCACGCGGATCACTTGAGGTCAGGAGTTCAAGACCAGCCTGGCCAACATGGCGAAACCCCATTTCTACTAAAAATACCAAAAAAATTAGCTGGGCGTAGTGGTGCACGCCTGTCGTCCCAGCTACTCAGGAGACTGAGGCAGGAGAATCATCTGAACCTGGGAGGTGGAGGTTGCAGCGAGCCAAGATCGCGCCACTGCACTCCAGCCTGAGCAACAAAGTGAGATTCTGTCTCAAAAAAAATTTTTTTTACTTAGCTGGGTGTGGTGGTATGCACCTGTAGTCCCAGCTAATTGGGAGACTGAGGTGGGAGGATCACTTAAGCCCAGGGATTTGAGGTTGCAGTGAGCTATGATCATGCCACTGTACTCCAAAACCTGGACAACACAGTGAGACCTAGTTTGTTAAAAAATAAGAATAGGGCTGGGCGCGGTGACTCACGTCTGTAATCCCAGTACTTTGGAAGGCTGAGGCGGGCAGATCATCTGAGGTTGGGAGTTCAAGACCAGCCTGACCAACATGGAGAAACCCCATCTATAGAAAAAATACAAAAATTAGCTGGACATGGTGGCAAGTGCCTATAGTCCCAGCTGCTCAGGTGGCTAAGGTGGGAGAATTGCTGGAGCCCGGAAGGTTGAGGCCACAGTGAGCCATGATTGCGCCACTGCACTCCAGCCTGGGTGACAGACCAAGACTCTGTCTGAAAAAAAAGAATGCGCCAGGTGCGGTGCCTCACGCCTGTAATCCCAGCACTTTGGGAGGCCTAGGCGGGTGGATCACCTGAGGTCAGAAGTTCGAGACCAGCCTGGCCAACATGGTAAAACCCCGTCTCTAACAAAAATACAAAAATTAGCCAGGCATGGTGGTGCGTGCCTGTAATCCCAGCTACTAGCAGGGCTGAAGCAGGAGGATCACTTGAACCTGGGAGGCGGAGGTTGCAGTGAGCCAAGATCATGCCACTGCAGTCCAGCCTGGCCAACAGAGTGAGACTCCGTCTCAAAAGAAAAGAAAAGAAAAGAAACCAACAAAAAACCTAATCCCAACATACTTTCAGTTTTATTTCCTAGCACTCCCTTTAATGAACCTTCATCCTGGCCATATGATCAATTCTCTGATGTCAGGAAATGCTTTGCAACTTCTGGTTCCTCAGACTAATCAAGCCACTGGACTCTCTAGAAACAGACTTTTTTCTCAATCTGTTCAAATCTTTTGCTTTGTTCCACTCTCAGGCTAGGGAAAAAATACATGCTAAGTATACTAATCACATACTGCACTGTGACATCTGTGGTGCTGGTCTATAATTGTCACTTAATTTTTCATTTGTTTATGTATGTATTAGCTTTTTAAAAAGACACCACATGTCATGGTACTTTCTTTTTTTTTTTTTTTGAGACTGAGTTTTGCTCTTGTCACCGAGGCTGGAGTGCAGTGGCACGATCTCGGCTCACTGCAACCTCCGCCTCCCAGGTTCAAGTGATTCTCCTGCCTCAGCCTCCTTAGTGGCTGAGATTACAGGTATGCATCACCATGCCCAGCTAATTTTTTGTATTTTTATTAGACGGGGTTTCATCATGTTGGCCAGGCTGGGCTCGAACTCCTGACCTCAGGTGATCCACCCGCCTCGGACTCCCAAAGTGCAGGGGTTACTAATAGGCGTTAGCCACTGCGCCCGGCCATCATGGTACTTTCTATAAGTCACAATTGCCTAGCCTAGTGTTTTGCAAATGAGCAATGTAAAAGGAATTCCTGAGAGGTACTGCCTCAATAAAGATGCAGTGTCCAATAACGATAATTTATTATTTTTCATTTGAGGACTACTTATTCCTCAGGCCATTATGTTGGCAAAAATAACTCAGGTGGTGAGTACAGATTTCCTGTGCTTAGTAACAATGGGAAGGGCAGAACCCAGCTCTAAGGAACCATAATTGGGGCACAAGCCCTTCAAGTGCCTCCTAAAGCAAATGATTCAGACTTCAAAAGACAGTCCCCAGCTCCATACACCTCCTCATAAACCCCTAATACTAAAGGTACAAATTATAGGAAAGGCCATCTTCAGTTCAGATTGTTCTAAATGCTACCAAACTCACCTTTTATTTCAGGCCAGATTTTGTTCTTCCATTGATCAATACACACAATGATCATCAAGCCAAATGCAAGTAAAAACACAAGACGAAGAGATGTCAGGGCAAAAAACCTACAGAGGAAGAAAAACAGAAGAAAGATCATTTACCTAGTTATCCTAATTTCAGAAAAGGCCACGTGTGTACGATGGGCTCTGTGGTAAACAGACTTGAGGTCTAGCTTTTTTTGTTCTGACACTTAACTAGTTATACACCTAGGGTAAATCATTTAAACCTTCTGGACCTTAACTACTCTACCTATGGGGCAGAGAAAATAATTTGCTGCTGTAAAGGCAGAGGACTAAATCAAATAACCTCTTAAAGCTCCTTCTGCTTTCCAGTCTATATCTCTATTAATTTCACGGAGAAATTCATCCTTGATAACAAGTTGTTATAATGAAAGCAAACATCTTTCTACCAAATTAGACCCTAGTGTAGGGCAACAAACTGACAGAGATGCACTCAAGAGCATTTAATTCAATTACATATCTTTTTACAGATCTAGGAACTGAGGCCTGAAAAATATTTGATTAAGGTCACACAGAAAGTTGGCATAAAAGCTATATTGAAAAGCAAGTTCTGGCCAGGCACAGTGGCTCAAGCCTGTAATCCCAGCACTTTGGGAGGCTGAGACAGGTGGATCACCTGAGGTCGGGAGTTTGAGGCCAGCCTGGCCAACATGGTGAAACTCCGTATCTACCAAAAATACAAAAATTAGCCGGGTGTGGTGGTGTGCACCTGTAATCCCAGCTACCTGGGAGGCTGAGGCATGCCTGTAATCCCAACTACCTGGGAGGCTGAAGCACGAGAATTGCTAGAACCCAAGAGGCGGAGGTTACAGTGAGCCAAGATCATGCCACTGCACTCCAGCCTGGGCAACAGAGTGAGACTCTGTCTCAAAATAAATAAATAAATAAAAGCAAGTTCTCCAGAATTAACACAAATGCTTCTCAAACTCTTCCAAAAAACCAAAAAAAGGAAACACTTCTTGATTTATTTTGTGAGGCCAGCATTATCCTGATACCAAAGCCAAAGACACAATAAAACTGTAGACCAATATTCCTTATGAATATAGATGTAAAAATCTTCAATAAAATACTAGCAAGTTAAATTCAGCAGCATATTAAAAGTATTATACACCATGAACAAATGAGATTTATCCCAAGACTGCAAGGGCGGTTTAACATACAAAAAAATCAGTAAGTGTAAGGCATCACATCAATAAGGTAAAGGAAAAGCTAGTTCTTATTTGAAGGAATCAACCATAAAAAAATTTTGAGGCCAGGCGTGGTGGTTCAAGCCTGTAATCCCAGCACTTTGGGAGGCAGAGGCGGGCAGATCTTGAGGTCAGGAGATCGAGACCATCCTGGTTAATATGGTGAAACCCTGTCTCTACTAAAAATACAAAAAAATTAGCTGGGCATGGTGGCGGGCGCCTGTAGTCCCAGCTGCTCGGGAGGCTGAGACGAGAATGGCGTGAACCTGGGAGGCGGAGCTTGCAGTGAGCCAAGATCGCGCCACTGCACTCCAGCCTGGGCGACAGAGCAAGACTCCGTCTCAAAAAAAAAAAAAAAAAAAAAAATTGAACAATCTGAGAAATCTGACATTGAGAACACATCTAATGATACTAAGGAATTTTTTTCTTTTAGATGCTAAGTGTTAAGGTAGTTATTTTTTTCAGATCTATTTTGGTTTAATATTAAATGAGGAAATTCAGAAACACAGATTAGTACAGATAGCATAAATGCTACACTCTGGGTCATTTTTTCCCTTTTTTCCCCCTAAGTAACATGTGATGTGAACATGAACTATAGAGCCCTGGCCAGGTGTGGTGGCTCATGCCTGTAATCCCAGCACTTTGGGAGGCTGAGGCAGGCAGACTGCTTGAGCTCAGGAGCTCGAGACAAGCCTCGGCAACATGGGGAAACACCATCTCTAAAAACAAATACAAAAAATGAGCTGAGCATGGTGGCGCGCTTGCGGTCCCAGTTACCTGGGGGACTGCGTCACAAGAATTGCTAGCCTCGGAGGTAGAGGTTGCAGTGAGCGGAGATCGCACCACTGCACCTCCAGCCTGGGTAACGGAGTGAGATTCTGGTCTCAAAAAAACAAATATTGGAGCCAATATGAAAATCATGTATAGATTAGAACAGAATATAAATAGCATTTCACAGTATTCCGAAAAGACTAGGCATGGTGGCTGACGCCTGTAATTCCAACACTTTGGGAGGCCAAGGTGGGCAGATCACCTGAGGTTAGGAGTTCAAAACCAGCCTGGACAACATGGCGAAACCCTGTCTCTACTAAAAGTACAAAAATTAGCCAGGTGCAGTGGCGTGCCTGTAGTCCCAGCTACTCGGGAGGGTGAGGCAGGAGAATCGCCTGAACCTGGGAGGTGGAGGTTGCAGTGAGCTGAGATCGCGCCACTGTACTCCAGACTGGGAGACAAAGCAAGACTCCATTTCAAAATAAAGGCTGGGCGCGGTGGCTCACGCCTGTAATCCCAGCACTTTGAGAGGCTGAGGCGGGCAGATCACGAGGTCAGGAGATCGAGACCATCCTGGCTAACTCGTTGAAACCCTATCTCTACTAAAAATACAAAAAATAAAAAAATTAGCCGGGCATGGTGGCAGGTGCCTGTAGTCCCAGCTACTCGGGAGGCTGAGGCAGGAGAATGGCGTGAACCTGCGAGGCGGAGCTTGCAGTGAGCTGAGATTGCGCTACTGCACTCCAGGCTGGGCGACAGAGTGGAACTCCGTCTCAAAATAAATACATACATACATACGTTTATCCGGCTGTACATTTGAATATACATACATAAATGGGGGACTGGCCTAAGGAACTTTACGTTTTGTTTGTAGATTTTTTTTTTTACTTTTTTTTTTTTTTTTTTTTGAGACGGAGTTTCACTCTTGTTGCCCAGGCTGGAGTGCAATGGCGCGATCTTGGCTCACTGCAACCTCCACCTTCTGGTTGAAGCGATTCTCCTGCCTCAGCCTCCCGAGTAGCTGGGACTACATGCATGCACCACCACGTCCAGCTAATTTTTTTTGTATTTTTAGTAGAGACGGGGTTTCACCATGTTGGCCAGGATGGTCTCGATCTCTTGACCTCGTGATCTGCCTGCCTCAGCCTCCCAAAGTGCTGGGATTACAGGCATGAGCCACTGCGCCTGGCCTTTTGTACTTTTTTTTTGAGACGGAATTTTTTGAGACACCATATTGGCTAGGCTGGTCTTGAACTCCCTGACCTCGTGATCCTACCTTGGCCTCCCAAAGTGCTGGGATTACAGACATGAGCCACCGCACTCTGGCCCTTTTTTTTTTCTTCAGAGTCTTGCTCTTGTGACCCAGGCTGGAGTGCAGTGGCACGATCTCAGTTCACTGCAACCTCTGCCTCCCAGGTTCAAGCAATTCTCCTGCCTCAGCCTCCCAAGTAGCTGGGATTACAGGTGTGAGGCATGACACCTGGCCATAATTTTTAAAAATAACATTTTAAAATCATACAAAGAATGAGGGATGGACGGGAACAAGAACTCAGAAATCCAGTCACCAATGACAACCCTATTTCTTTCTTTCTTTTTTTTTTTTTTTTTTGAGACGGAGTCTCTCTCTTGGTCGCCCAGGCTGGAGTGCAATGGCATGATCTCCGCTCACTGAAACCTCCACCTCCCAGATTCAAGAGATTGATTCTCCCTGCCTCAGCGCGCTGAGGCAGGAGGATTGGTTGGTTAAGTCCAGGAGGTTGAGGCAGCAGTGAACGTGTTCACGCCACTGCACCCCAGGCTGGGAAACAGGGCAAGGCCCTGTCTAAGAAAAAAAAAAAATCATTAAGAAAAAATAGATTGTGAGCCTACAGTAGGTAGAAGGAGTAACAGGCTATCACAGTCCCCAAACTGAATAATTCATGTGTGAATTTCCAGAGTTGACTATATTTGCAGTTGTTTTTGCCAAGTTGGAAAGTTCTCACGCTCATTATCGTTGCCGAAAAATGTTTTCAGCCGGGTGCAATGGCTTACACCTATAATCCCAACACTTTGGGAGGCTGAGGTGGGAGGATGGCTTGAGCCCAGGAGTTCGAGACCAGCCTGGACAATATAGTGAGACCCTGTCTCTATTTAAAAAAAAAAAAAAATTAGCCAGGTATGGTGATGCAAACCTGTAGTCTCAGCTACTCAGGAGGCTTGCTTGAGCCTGAAAGGTTGAGGCCCCAGTGAGCCGTGGTTGTGCCACTGCACTCCAGCCTGGCTGACAAATCTGAGACCCTTTCTCAAAAAAAAAAAAAAAAAAAAAAAAAAAAAAAAAAAAAAAAGAAATAAAAATGTTTTAGTTTTTTTCTTATTACACTGTTTTATCTGCTTGTGAGTTTTTTGGCCCGCATGAATAGACATTGCAGGACTAAACGAATGCAGAGGAATCCTCCCTTTTTTTCCTCCATTCCTTACCCATACCATCTCTAAAGTACTTCATCTTCAATTACATCTTGTCCATCCACATAGTTGCAAAGCTTGTTTTACCGCTTGACTTCTAGGTTACATCTCTAAAATGACAAGTATAATGTGACCTTATTATATACAAAATACATCAATCTGATGTTGATACTCCCTTTTATTTAGGAATTTTGTGTTGAGGGCTGGAAGGAAAGGAGAAGCACACACTTATCTATACCATTTTATATTTGATAAACCTGTAAGAGAACATTAATATTAATTACCTGGTTACCTTGGAGGGGTCAACTCTAGTTCTTTGAGGTGATCTGTCTATTAAGTTTTGCTGTTTGGAAGAATTTTTTTTTTTTTTTTGAGATAAGAGTCTGGCTTTGTCACCCAGGCTGAAGTGCAATGGCGCCATCTTGGCTCACTGCAACCTCTGCCTCCTGGGTTCAAGCAATTCTCCTGTCCTAGTCTCCCAAGTAACTGAGATTACAGGTGCCCTCACCATGCCCAGCTAATTTTTAAATTTTTTAAATAGAGACAAGGTTTCACCATGTTGGCTAGGCTGGTCTCAAACTCCTGATCTCAAGTGATCCGCCCGCTTCGACCTCCCAAAGTACTGGGATTAGAGGCATGAGCCGCTGTACCTGGCCAGAAGAATCTATTTTTTCTTTTTTTTTTTTTTTGAGACGGAGTCTTAGCTCTGTCGCCAGGCTAGAGTGCAGTGGCGTGATCTTGGCTCACTGCAACCTCTGCCTCCCAGGTTCAAGCAATTCTCCTGCCTCAGCCTCCTGAGTAGCTGGGATTACAGGCATGCACCGCTACGCCCAGCTAATTTTTGTATTTTTAGTAGAGACGGGGTTGCACCATGTTAGCCAGGATGATCTCGATCTCCTGACCTTGTGATCCACCCACCTCGGCATCCCAAAGTGCTGGGATTACAGGAATGAGCCACCGCGCCCAGCCAGAATCTATTTTGTGTGTGTGTGTGTGTGTGTGTGTGTATATATATATATATATATTTCGTATATATATTTTTGTGTATATATATATTTTGTGTGTATATATATATATATATATATATATATATATATATATATTTTTTTTTTTTTTTTTTTTTTTTTTTTGAGACAGAGTCTCACTCTGTCACCCAGGCTAGAGTGCAGTGGCACAGATCTCCACTCACTTCAACCTCCGCCTCCAGGGTTCAAGTAATACTCCTGCCTCAGCCTCCTGAGTAGCTGGGGTTAAGGTGTGCGCCACTGCGCCCAGCTAATTTTTGTATTTTTAGTAGAGACGGAGTTTCGTCTTGTTGGCCAGGCTGGTCTCGAATCCCTGATCTCAAGTGATCAGCTCGCCTCAGCCTCCCAAAATGTTGGGATTACAGGCATAAGCCACCGCGCCTGGCCAAGAAACGTTATTTTATACCACAAAGAAAACTCTTCTTCCTCTGAAGTTTTTTTTTTTTTTTTTTTTTTTGAGACGGAGTCTCGCTCTGTTGCCCAGGCTGGAGTACAGTGGTGCGATCTCGGCTCACTGCAAGCTCCATCTCTCGGGTTCATGCCATTCTCCTGCCTCAGCCTCCCGAGTAGCTGGGACTACAGGCGCCCGCCACCACGCCCGGCTAATTTTTTGTATTTTTAGTAGAGACGGGGTTTTACCATGTTAGCTAGGATTGTCTCGATCTCCTGACCTCATGATCCACCCGCCTCAGCCTCCCAAAGTGCTGGGATTACAGACGTGAGCCACCGCACCCGGCCTCTTCCTCTGAAGTTATTATTGTGGCTTGTTCCAAAAAAAGATAAATCTGGGACTAAAATTGATTTATGGACAAGGATTAATCTTGTTATGGAAGATGCTCACAATTTTAGCCTTCAAGACCCAGAAAATATACCCTTTATGAAACTATTGGCTTATCTTCATCTGCAGGATGAAATCCCATTACCCCGTCATAAAAGGGCCTTCATGATCTGGATCCTGCCTCTCTCCCCACACTGATTCCCTCCCTTTGTTTTTTATATTTCAGTTTTATCAAACTACTTGCAATTCCTTAAGTATCTTACTAGATTGGTGTTTTCCCTATCTGAATGTCTTCTCTCTCTTACCACACCTTTCGGCCCCATTTCCTTAACATTTATCTTGCAAATCACAGCTTAGATATCTTCCTGTTTGTTATTATTACCTGTCACGTTATATCGTGAACACAAACACACATGAATTTACTTGAGAGTAAAGTTTGTGTCTTATTTTTTTCTGTAACTGGGCTTCTTACCACAAGGCCTTGGCATGTAACAGGTACTCAAAGGTATGTTGAATTGAATTGAAGCATAGCTTATAAGAATGGAAGGTAAGGGCTGTAACAAGCAATTTAAATAGTCCAGGTCTTAGAAAACAGTCTTTTTTTTTTAATGTTTACCAGTTTATTATAAGGGATATGTTTTTATTGCCATCATCTCTGGAAAACCAACCTTCTTAGGAGAGCTTAATATCCTTTCCCTACCCTAGTTTCTATTTGTGTTAGTAATCGTGCTCTGGGAAGGGGAAATTGCCAACAGTCTGGCAAGCCTCCCTAGAGAGCCCTTTCAAGTACTCTGGAGAAAACAGCGATGCCATGTGCTGCTGCTGGGGAAGGGAAGCAGCAGCACTGGGGAGCAAGAAACCCTAGAGCTCTTCTCCTTGGCCTTGTTAAATGTGCTTGTTTGTTGGGATGATGCACTGGCTTTAGAGAGAAGATCAATGGCCTGAGGCAGCTCTAGAGGCTTATTTCTGTTAAACTGCTTTTATTCTTTAATCTTACATATAGTCACAGTATCCTTTAGGTGGTAGGCTGGAAAAATTGAAATAGGGTTGTTGGCTGGGCACAGTGGCTCATGCCTATAATCCCAGCACTTTGGGAGCCTTAGGTGGGTGGATAACCTGAGATCGGGAGTTTGAGACCAGCCTAGCTAACATGGAGAAACTCCATGTCTATTAAAAATACAAAATTAGCCGGGCGTGGTGGTGTATGCCTGTAATCTCAGCTACTCAGGAGGCTGAGGCAGGACAATCGCTTGAACCCAGGAGGCAGAGGTTGCAGTGAGCTGAGATTGTGCCATTGCATTCCAGCCTGGGTGACAGAGTAAGGCTCCGTCTCAAAAAAAAAAAAAAAAAATTATACAACTAACATGAATTCATGTTTATCGAAAAAAAAGTACAGGCATGGTGGCTCACGTCTGTAATCCCAGCACTTTGGGAAGCCAAGGCAGGTGGATCACCTGAGGTCAGGAGTTCGAGACAAGCCTGGCCAACATGGCGAAACCCCGTCTCTACTAAAAATACAAAAAATTAGCTGGGCATAGTGGCGGGCACCTGTAATCCCAGCTACTCAACAGGCTGAGGTGGGATGACAGCTTGAGTCCGGGAAACTGAGGTTGCAGCGAGCCGTTATCGTGCCACTGTACCCCAGCCTGGGTGACAGAGCGAGACCCTATCTCAAAAAACAAAAAAGCAAAACAGAAAAAACCACCTAAACACTAACAAATTGGTTTGTGGGGAAAAAAAGAGTTTAAAAAAAAAACAACAAATAAAACCACACACAACAGGCCACATGTGGTACCTAAAGCCTGTAATCCCAATACTTTGGGAGGCCGAGGCAGGAGGATCACTTGAGTCAAAGAGTTTGAGACCAGCTTAGGCAACACAGCAAGACCTCATCTCTACTGAAAAGAAAAACATTAGCTAGGTGTGGTGGTGCACGCTTGTACTCCCATTTACTTGGGAAGCTGAGGTGGGAGGATTGCTAGAGCCAGAAGGTTGAGGTTGCAGTGAGCTCTGATTGTGCCACTGCACTCCAGCTTGGGAGACAGAGCAAGACCCTGTCTCGAAAAGAAAAAAAAAAGTATCATTTATGACATTTATAAGAAAATTGGAAATGTGAACACTGACTAGAATCATTAATTTTTTGCATGTGATAATGATGGCAGATGTTTCTTAAAGTCTCTTTTTCAGAAAAATATACTGAAATACCTAGATTAAATGATATGACACATCAATAATTTGTGTCAAACAATAAGGAAGACGTAGAAAAGAACTGGGGTATGGAAGACACAAAATTGGCCAGGAATTGAAAAAAATAATATTATGTACATGGTGGCACACAATATTATTCTGCCTACTTACACATGTTTTAAGCTTTCCATAATAAAATATTTTTAAAATGATCCATTATCCACATATGTACTCTAAAAAGTGTGAAGACAGGCTATTCTCTTCATTAAAAAATTCACATATAAAAACACTATGGTTTTAAAACTTTTTCACATAATACATAGACAATTAGCCTGATGTGGTGATGAACTCCTGTGGTCTCATCAGCCATGAGGTGGAATGATCACTTGAGCTCAGGAGTTCCAGGGTACAGTGAGCCATGATCACACCACTGCAATCTAGCCTGGGTGACAGAGTGAAACCTTCTCTCAAAAAAAACAATGAATGGGCCAGGCGCAGTGGCTCAAACCTGTAATTCCAGCACTTTGGGAGGCTGAAGCAGGTAGATCACTTGACATCAGGAGTTCAAGACCAGCCTGGCCAACATGGTGAAACCCCATCTCTACCTAAAAATACAAAAATTAGCTAGGCATGGTGGCGGGTGCCCGTAATCCCAGCTACTCAGGAGGCTGAGGCAGGAGAACTGCTTGAATCCGGGAGGCGGAGGTTGCAGTGAGCTGAGATTGTGCCACTGCACTCCAGCCTGGGCAACACAGGAAGACTCCATCTCAAATAAAATAAAATAAACTAAGACGGTGGCTCAAGCCTGTAATCCCAACACTTTGGGAGGCTGAGGCAGGCAGATCACGAGATCAGGAGATCGAGACCATCCTGGCTAACACGGTGAAACCCTGGCTCTACTAAAAAATACAAAAAATTAGCCGGGAGTGGTGGTGGGCGCCTGGAGTCCCAGCTACTCGGGAGGCTGAGGCAGGAGAATGGCGTGAACCTGAGAGGCGGAGCTTGCAGTGAGCCGAGATCGCGCCACTGCACTCCAGCCTGGGCAACAGACAGAGCGAGACTCTCTCAAAAAAAAAAAAGAAAAGAAAAATAAACGAAAAATAAACTAAGAAGGTTCCAACTTTTTTTTTTTTTTTTTTTTTGAGACGGAGTCTTGCTCTTGTTGCCCAGGCTGGAGTGCAGTGGCGCGATCTCGGGTCACCACAACCTCTGCCTCCCAGGTTCAACGGATTCTCCTGCCTCAGCCTCCCAAGGTAGCTGGGATTACAGGCATGCGCCACCATGCCCGGCTGATTTGGCATTTTTAGTAGAGATGGGGTTTCTCCATTGTTGGTCAGGCTGGTCTTGAATTCCCGACCTTAGGTGACCTGCCTGCCTCGGCCTCCCAAAGTGCTGAGAATTATAGGCATGAGCCACTGCGCCCAGCCAAAAGTTTCCAATTTTTTGATGTAATAAAAGCTGAACTATACATCACTGAGCATGTTACTGGGTCAAAGGCATTAACTATTTTAAACAAATAGCTTTATTGGTCGGGCACCGTAGCTCACACCTGTAATCCCAGCCTTTGGGAGGCCGAGGCAGGTGGGTCACTTGAGGTCAAGAGTTCAAGACCACTTTGGCCAACATGGTGAAACTCCATCTCTACTAAAAATACAAAAATCAGCCAAGACATGGTGGTGCACGCCGGTAGTCCCAGCTACTTGGGAGGCTGAGGCAGGAGAACTGCTTGAATCTGGGAGGCAGAGGTTGCAGTGAGCTGAGATCATGCCACTGCACTCCAGTCTGGGCCACAGAGTAAGACTCCGTTTCAAAAAAAAAAAAGTAAGAAAATAGCTTTATTGAGATAATGGTTTGTATACGATAAAATTCTCTTTCAATTCATCTGCCAGCAGCAGAGATGAAAAAAAAATCACAATGCTGTACGACTAATAGCCTTATGTAATTTCAGAACATTTTCATCACTCCAAAAGAAACCCATACCCATTAGTATTCTTTCTCCATTTCCCCCAGCCCTGGAAAAGCTTCTTAAGTGGCTTAAAATATGTTACCAAACTACTTGCTAGAAAGGCTGTCCAATTTATGTTCCTATCAGCCATATGCCCATTTTTCCATATTTTCCCCAGAATTAATTATGATCATTAAAAATACTTAAGGCCAGGTGTGGAGGCTCACACCTGTAATCCCAGCACTTTGGGAGGCCAAGGTGGGTGGACTGCTGGAGCCCAGGAGTTCAAGACCAGCCTGGGCAACATGGTGAAACCTTGTTTCTACGAAAAATACAAAACAATTAACCAGGTGTGGTGACACACACCTGTAGTCCCCACTACCTGAGAGGCTGAGGTGGGAGGATGGCTTGAGCCCAGAGGTTGAGGTTGCAATAAGCCATGATCACACCACTGCTCTCGAGCCTGGGCGACAGTGAGATCCTGTCCCCCGCCAAAAAAAAAACTTAAGATAGAAATTAGTAAATAATTTCCATTTACATATATTTGAATTCTTTTCTTATTTGTGAGAGTGAAATTTTATATATCCATTGATTTTTTTTTCCCCTTTTGTGAACTGTCCCTCCACTCTGTCAGGGACTAAAATCCAATTAAATGATCAGTCTAAATAAAATATCCCTGGAATAGCAATTGGTGTCCAGAAACATCGTGAGAAATTCCAGAACCAAACATAAACTTTTGTGATTAACTATACCATGGAGCCTCACTATTAGTACCAGTAAATTAAAGTTTGCTATAATCATAAATAATGACCACATGTCTATTTTCAAAGACATGATTTCTAGGTTCCTTTGTTATTACAGATTAAGATTGTCTCAAGGGCACTTCAAAACAAAGCATCCCATTCTACAGGGACAGAAAGCCTGTTACTGTACAGCACTTGTGACCGCCTGGTTAATGAGCCCAAGTCACCGGTAAATTCAAAGGAAAAATTAACCCAACCTATATCATGCAGTGACAGTTGTTGCTTGCAAAAAAACCAGAAATGAAATCAGCTAGCTGCTAACAGTGGAGAGAAAGCACTCAACCATACAATTAGGGCAGATAAAAACTAAAGGTAAAGAGAGGGGAAGTAAATAAACCAAGGCATCCTTGGGAGTCTTCTCGGCTCACAAAGACAAGAACCCTGCAAAGACTATCATCAGGAACATTCACTCAACAGATTTCATTAGAAATCTGATGTGTAGCCGGGCGCGGTGGCTCACGCCTGTAATCCCAGCACTTTGGGAGACCGAGGCGGGCGGATCACGAGGTCAGGAGATTGAGACCATCCTGGCTAAAACGGTGAAACCCGGTCTCTACTAAAAATACAAAAAATTAGGTGGGCATGGTGGCGGGCGCCTGTAGTCCCAGCTACTCGGGAGGCTGAGGCAGGAGACTGGCGTGAACCCGGGAGGTGGAGCTTGCAGTGAGCCGAGATCGCGCCACTGTACTCCAGCCTGGGCGACAGAGCGAGACTCCGTCTCAAAAAAAAAAAAAAGAAAAGAAATCAGATGTGTAGATTTTTTTTAACAGAACAAATATCTCTACTTAAATGGGCTCCCCATCTTCCATTTCTTGTTTCTATTATTTTTTACTCAAATCCTAACCTTCTAACTCAGAATTGCTGTATATCCTTAATCACTTTTTTGGGTCATTTTTATTTATTTATTTTTTTGGGGGGGCGGACAAAAATAAAATTTTTACATTTCATTTGTGAAATAACAAATTCTATAATAACCTCCTAGAAATACAGTATGGTTCACTGAGACTAGTGACTGCAAAAAGCAGATCCCAACAGAGATCTCTACTTGGGACTCAGCTTGTGGACTGCTCCAAAACAATATTCCTAATTCATAGACTATGTAGATTCACAGATTGTTAAAAACCACAAAGCAGTCAAGGTGCAGTGGGTCATGCCTGTAATCCTAGCACTTTAGGAGACCAAGCCGGGAGGGCTGTTAGAGATGAGGAGTTTGAGACCAGCCTGGGCAACATATTGAGATTCTGTCTCTACAAAAGTTTTGCAAATAGGCTGGGCCCAGTGGCATGTGCCTCTAGTCCCAGCTACTTGGAAGACTGAGGCAAGAGGACTGCTGGAGCCCAGGAGGTAGAGGCTGCAGTGAGCTATGATTGTGCCACTGCACTCCAGCCTGGGCAACAGAGGGAGACCCTGTCCAGCCCAACAACCCCCGATTCCCCAGCAAAAAAAAAAAAAAAAAAAAAAAACTGAAAGAGCTCAGCAGTTATGTAGGCCTCCTTGAACTATCTCTTCATGTTAGGTGGGAGAGGGAGCTTGGAGTTCACACATTTCCAGTGTTCATTTACCCTCCTCTGATCTCAGAGTACAAGTCAAACCAAAAAGTTACCCAAACCTGTTCTTTTCTGATCCTGTCAGGATACATGCTTGTTGACTCTCACATTCTTCCCCCAAATCACTCATTCACAGATGAGGTTGAGACTAATGAAAACACAAGCTATTGGAAGGAACGGCCTGACATTTCTATTATTATGCTAGAGACAATAACAGATCAGTGACCAGAAGTAATCTAGGCTGGAAGACCTCTGATATGGCCACCATAAATTCTCTGGTACCTGAAAAAAAAAAAAGTATGAAAACCTTGGAATACTATGGTGACAAGGTATCTACATCTATCTCCATCTTTTTTTTTTTTTTTTAAGATGTAAGAGGGCATATTCACAGTTACGGCAAAATATGACTGAGGATACAAAACACTGAAAATTAAGAGCTACCTACCTGAATTCTGATGGGTTTTTTTTTGTACTCCTATCTCCTAATACCTCAAAATGCATAAAAATCTCAGTTAATGATATGTCATTTTTGTCCCATTATTCAATACAATAAAAGAGAAACTAAATATTTCAGATTTGATTTTTCTGACTTGAGCTAATGATCCTCCTCCCTTTCTTAAACATTTAAAATGTTTGTTAACTGAACAGTCAGTCACTCTTCCACATTTCTAAGCGAAATGTCAACACTCATACTCAATATGACACTACTAGAATGTGAAGCCCAAATTTCATTTTAAATCTCTAATTACCTACCAAGGAAGCTCATTTCCCCAAACAATTCTGTGAACTCCAATGCCAGACTATCCAAGTTTCTGGGGACTTAACAGTATCTGTGCCTTTCACATGTAGGAGTCCTCTCCAGAAATGGCATACCCAACTGTTCTTTTAGTCTCAAGAGTCACATTGTCGGCCAGGGACAGTGGCTCACACCTGTAATCCCAGCACTTTGGGAGACCGAGGTGGGTGGATCACCTGAGGTCAGGAGTTCAAGACCAGCCTGGCCAACATGGTGAAACTCTGCCCTACAAAAATACAAAAATTAGCCAGACGTGATGGTGGGTGCCTGTAATCCCAGCTACTCGGGAGGCTGGGGTGGGAGAATCGCTTGAACTTAGGAGGTGGAAGTTGCAGTGAGCCAAGATCACGCCATTGCACCCCAGCCTGGGTGACAGAGCGAGACTCCATCTCAAAAAAAAAAAAAAAAAAAAAAAGTCACATCCTCATTTTGTTGTCTCTCTCCTGCACCTTCTTAAAATGTGATGGGACTGTAACAAGAGTAACTGTGTTCTGGATACACAACAGACAAGCTACTAGGAAATGCCAAAGATAAAGACCAATCACAGCAATGCTTTAAGAGACCCAGAGTACAAAAGGGGTTCTAAGTGAGCCTCTAAACATAGCATGTTAATAAGCTTAAGTAAACACTGGTAGAGGCCAGCAAATTAAAGCTAGCTGTAACATCTAAAGATATGTCCCAGTCACAGCAGCTCTTTATGTGCAGACCTCAACCTCACATTCTGCTTCAGAAACCTCTCTCAGACAAGCGGCAGAAGAAAGGTCCCCTCCTCGCAGATCACGAGGTCAGGAGATTGAGACCATCCTGGCTAACACGGTGAAATCCCGTCTCTACTAAAAAAAAATACAAAAAATTAGCCGGGCGTGGTGGCGCGTGCCTGCAATCCTAGCTACTCGGGAGACTGAGTCAGGAGAATGGCGTGAACCCGGGAGGCAGAGCTTGCAGTGGGCCGAGATGGCGCCACTGCACTCCAGCCTGGGCGACAGAGCGAGACTCCATCTCAAAAAACAAAAATTAATTAAAAAAAAAAGGTCCCCTCCTCAAAAAGAACAGCATACATGCTACTAATTCATTTGCATTCATAAATCTTTGGTTTAAAAATCCATTTAAGGCCCGGTACAGTGCAGTGGCTCACACCTGTAATCCCAGCACATCGGGAGGCTGAGACAGGTGGATTGCTTTGAGGTCAGGAGTTTGAGACGAGCCTGGGCAACCTGGCAAAACTGTCTCTACAAAAAAATACAAAAATTAGCCAGGCATTGGTGGCGCATGCCTGTAATCCCAGCTGCTCGGGAGGCTGAGGCAGGAGAATCGCTTGAACCTGGGAGGAGGAGGTTGTAGTGAGCTGAGATCGTGCCATTGCACTCCAGCCTGGGCAACAAGAGCCAAACTGTCTCAAAACAAAAATAAGTAAACCCTGATAAAGTGTTTTTTTCCATCAGGCAGTCATACTTTGATACAAATTGGTTTAATGAGGCCCAGCCTTCTTGCTAGAGATACCAAAACCACTGTGGGAAATGTTTTGACTGGATAAAACACTCTTCAGTGAGGTGCTATAGTGAAGATTTCTACAGAGAGCAATGGGAATCAGTACCTAGGGGTCAAGGAAGAAGCACTTGGCTGGGCACGGTGGCTCATGCCTATAATCCCAGCACTCTGGGAGCCCAAGGCAGGAGGATCACCAGAGCCTAGGAGTTCGAGACCAGCCTGGGCAATATAGTGAGACCCTGTCTCCACAAAAAATTTAAAAAATTAGCCAAGCATGATGATGTGCACCTCTGGTCCCAGCTATTGTGGAGGCTGAGGTGGGAAGATTGCTTGAGCCCAGGAAGTGGAAGTTGCAATGAGCCGAGATCATACCACTGCACTCCAGCCTGGGTGATAGAGCAAGACCTTGTCTCAAAAAAAAAAAAAAAAAAAAAAAGGCCAGGCGCAGTGGCTCACGCCTGTAATCCCAGCACTTTGGGAGGCCGAGGCAGGCAGATCACCTGACCTCGGGAGTTCGAGACCAGCCTGACCAACATGGAGAAACCCCATCTCTACTAAAAAAATACAAAATTAGCCGGTTGTGGTGGTTCATGCCTGTAATCCCAGCTACTTGGGGGGCTGAGGCAGGAGAAATGCTTGAATCTGGGAGGCGGAGGTTGCAGTGAGCCGAGATCACGCCATTGCACTCCAGCCTGGGCAATAAGAGTGAAACTCTGTCTTAAAAAAAAAAAAAAGGGAAAAAGCACTACCAAAAATAAATGAAGAACGTGGTAGGAAAAGTTTACCATCGAGTTTGCTAAAGGCTCTGGAAGCCACAAATGCCAGAGACTACTGTGACACCTTTAACTGGGTCTCTTTCAAACTGGGAGAGGATTAGCTTAATAGCTGAACACTGTTTTCGGGTCAATGAACTTGGAATTATTTGTTCTGCTTCAGCTCACTGAAAATCTTTCAGATAAAGGATAATAAATGTTTTGATTTTAAAACAAATTTTAAGGGGAAAGCTATTTTTAGCAAAAACACAATTAAAAAACACACATATTTTGTTGTTTCAGGCTTATCCAGAATAGTCTTAATCCATTCAGCAGCAGAAAGCCCCCTATAAGTCAGTTCCCTTGGAACCTCCTCCATTACAAATAAATCCAAAATTATGGTTGGTAGATCCTATGAAGTCCTAGGTCCACTTCAGGTGATGACAACTGAGAGAAGCAGCAGTTCCATTTTCACAGAGCATGACACACACAAATAAAGCATATTTACAGTGCTACTTTTCCAGCTCAGGAAAACTCACACACAGTATTAGACATCAATTTCCTTGCCTATAAACCATGGCTAAGGATGCCTCTCTAATTCCTTGGAACAGGGAGGAGTTACAATCACAGGTGGCTTTGACACGCGTGTAATCTCCGTCATCATTTCCTAACTGTTCTTTAAAAGCTTGTAATTTTCTTTCAATTTTCAGCTTTGGGGGCTCACACTGACGCTTAGACTTCATAAACTTCCTTCCTAGATATATAACATGCTAATTCATGCGAATCGCTCAAGCTTGTTTTATAATCACACCTATGGATACCTTTGCAAGACTTCACGCCTCTACTCCAACAATAAACTACTAAAACCTCTGGAAACAATCTAGAACTTGCACTTGAGCAGACAAGAGAAAGGAAGTGATGGCTTTAAAGGGACGCAGCTTTGTCGGGCTCAAAAGAGGAGCCCTCGCTCACTCTTGAGCGGCTCAAGATGTTACCAGAAGCTCCCGCCAGATGTGCGGGGCGGGGGTGCGGGCACAGGTAAGGCAGAGAAGATGGGTGGACGGCCCTGGGAAGAACTAGGGTGCCGAAGCCTGCAGGCGGGATGGAGTGGAAGGAGGTGAGGCAAAATTAGGCAAGTACAGGAAGGAGCCAGTGCAGCGAAGAAAACAGGGCAGGCGAGAAGTAGAGCCCTAGAGGAACCAACGAATTCGGGACTCGGAGGGTTTCCGAGGGTCCAGTTCTCTCACCAGAAAGCCGCGTTCAGCCCCAGGCACCACAGAGCGCTCCTAGCTGGCCGCTCCCACACCAGGGCTGCCTGCACCCGACTCAGCAGAGGCTCGTAAGGCCCCAGCACCTCCACCAGGGCCCGCTGCGCCGCCTCAACCTGCTGGTCCCGCTCCCAGGAGCCTGACACATCTCGGCGGCCCCTGAAAGTCGACCCCGAAGCCGGGCCTGGGGTCGTGGGAACCCCTTCGGCCTCAGCCATCTCCCCGCGGCAGCCACAACATCCGGGGCCGTGGCCCGACAAGTCACAATAACAGCAACTGCGCAGATGCGCGATTCGGCGGGGGAGGTGGCTTCGCACCACAGCGCGCTTGCGCGCAGGCCCAAGCAGGCGCCCACCCAGAGGGGAGGGAGGACGCCGTACCCCGCCCTCACTGAGGCGCGGAGCCGGATCCGGAGGCGCCGAGCCGCATCCGGAGCCGCGCACGCGCAATCTGCATGAACGAAGGCCAGTGCTTAAAGACGTGCCATTCATTGCCAGAACTCGATTCTCATTGGAGCGGAGGAAGTTCGTGGGTGGAGCTGGTTGTTTGGCGCCTGCGTCTTGCGGCGAGCGGGCTGGCGTGCGGCGCCGTTGCGGGCGGGAGCGGCTGCAACGCCGGTGCCTGAGGAGCGATGCCGAGGGAAATCATCACCCTACAGTTGGGCCAGTGCGGCAATCAGAGTGAGCGAAACTCCGGCCCCTCAGCTAGCCAGGTTCCTTAGGGTCAATGGGATCTCGCTGTGGGATCCTGGACTCCATCTGTCCTTGCCAGAATCGTAGTTCTCTGAAAGGCGAGACATCCCTGACCCAGTGTCCACTTGCCCAACCCCGAGGGGCCCTCCCCTGCCCAGTCCCTGGCGTACAGTCCTTTCCTCAGACACGGGAGAGTCCTGCGGCTTGACTTCTTATCCCTGGACGCAGGCGCCCAGTCCCCCGGCTCCTGATTGGAACCTGCCCGGACCTAGATATCTTCTTTCTCCCCTGCCCGCCCCTTCCCCCCAGTTGGGTTCGAGTTCTGGAAACAGCTGTGCGCCGAGCATGGTATCAGCCCCGAGGGCATCGTGGAGGAGTTCGCCACCGAGGGCACTGACCGCAAGGACGTCTTTTTCTACCAGGTGCCCCCAGCGACTTGGCCGGGGGCGGCAGTTGCCCAAGGGGGCGGAAGGGAAGGGAGTGGCCTGGTACTGGGAACCCCGCTGGGCAGTAGGGCCAGGCGGCTGGCTTGAGGAGGGAGGGCCGGAGGGAGCCAGAGTTGGGAGGACTTCGGACTTGGGCCGCCCTAGCTGATTGGGCCCCCTCCTGGACTCCCCTTGACAGGCAGACGATGAGCACTACATCCCCCGGGCCGTGCTGCTGGACTTGGAACCCCGGGTGATCCACTCCATCCTCAACTCCCCCTATGCCAAGCTCTACAACCCAGAGAACATCTACCTGTCGGAACATGGAGGAGGAGCTGGCAACAACTGGGCCAGCGGATTCTCCCAGGTCGTTTCCTATTCCCTGGCAGGGCCCACAACTCGCTGGGTAGGGACAGGCTCTATGACGTCCCGAAGAGAGGGAAAACCGGATCAGGGATGTATGAATGCTGGAGGGAGAGACCTGGCTGCAGGGAGTGGACTATGTAATATTGTCAAGCGCCTACACTAGCTAATGCAGTGTGCCAGGTCATTCTAAGTGCTTTACATATATTAATTTTTCTAAATCTCCCAACAACCCTAGAAGTAAGTACTACAGGTCCACAGTCCCTTATCTGCCTTTCCAGGATCCAGAAAGCCATGAAACCAAAGGACATTTCATAACTAGTTTATCAGCAAAAACAAATTTCAATGAAGACAGGCTGTTTTATAGTTTCTTTTTTTTAATTTTTATTTATTTATTTTTTTTGAGACGGAGTCTCACTCTGTCGCCCAGGCTGGAGTGCAGTGGCACGCTCTCAGCTCACTGCAACCTCTGCTGCCCGGGTTCAAGCGATTCTCCTGCCTCAGCCTCCCGAGTAGCTGGGATTACAGGTGCTTGCCATCACGCCTGGCTAATTTTTGTATTTTTAGTAGAGACGGGGTTTTACTGTGTTAGCCAGGGTGGTCTTGATCTCCTGACCTCGTGATCCACCTGCCTCGGCCTCCCAAAGTGCTGGGATTGCAGGCGTGAACCGCCATGCCCGGCCCTATAGTTTCTATCCAACTTACTGTCATTAGTGATGCCTTTTATTACAGAAATACTAATATATTTGATTAACGTGCTTCTGATTAAATAAAAATTCCCACTGGAATTTTATTTAATATATAGTATATATACCATAATACCTTTCTAAAATCTGAAATATTTTGAATTCCAAAACATAACTGGCCCCAACACTGTTAGATAAGGGTATATGGACCTGTATTATTACCTTCATTGTACAGATGAGGAAACTGAGGCATAGAGCAATTAAATAAGCTGCCCAGAGCTACATAGAAGTAGAGTTAATGGGCCAGGCGTGGTGGCTCACGCCTGTAATCCTAGCACTTTGGGAGGCCAAGGCAGGCAGATCACCTGAGGTCAGGAGTTCAAGACCAGCCTAGCCAACATGGTGAAACTCTGATTCTACTAAAAATACAAAAAATAGCTGGGCATGGTGGCATGCGCCTATAATCCCAGCTACTGGGGAGGCTGAGGCAGGAGAATCGCTTGAACCCAGGAGACGGAGGTTGCCATGAGCCAAGATCGCGCCACTGCACTCCAGCCTGGGAGAAAGAGAGAGACTCCATCGCAAAAAAAAATAGAGCTAATGTATGAACCCAGGTAGTCTGGGTGTAGAGTGCTTTCTTGTAACCACTGCACCGTACTGCCTCTCAATGTAGATAAAAGCAGGTAGCTATGCTCCATAAAAGGACTTCTGGGTGTTATAAGGA
Organism: Homo sapiens; assembly: GCF_000001405.40. Lineage (NCBI taxonomy): Eukaryota > Metazoa > Chordata > Mammalia > Primates > Hominidae > Homo > Homo sapiens. Next base: position 42,611,997 of record NC_000017.11, read on the forward strand.
GAATTGAGGGTGGCTTTTCTGAGGTCAGAGACCTCCCATGGTTCTGTCCCACTCTGACCCTCCCCTATGTCTGTACAGGGAGAAAAGATCCATGAGGACATTTTTGACATCATAGACCGGGAGGCAGATGGTAGTGACAGTCTAGAGGTAAGTGTCCCAGGAATGCTGGTAGGAGCCGACATGGGCAAGGCTTGGCAGCACCCTCTAGAAGCGACCTGTTAGGAACAAGACCCACTCATGTACCCTTTGCACTGGACAGAAGCTATCAGGCCTTGCCAGAAACAAGGCAGTTGCCTAAGCTGTATAAGTGAGGGGACTGGATGGGAAGCAAGGGCTCGGGAAAATGGGAGTCCTAAAAAACTATGAGATGGGTCTAGTTTGACATCCTGCCACTAGATACCTGTACACTGACTGCCCCTTCCCCATGCAGGGCTTTGTGCTGTGTCACTCCATTGCTGGGGGGACAGGCTCTGGACTGGGTTCCTACCTCTTAGAACGGCTGAATGACAGGTAAGTTTGTGTTTGGGGATTAGGAAAGGTCTCCAACTTGGCTTCCTAAATGACTAGGGGACCCAGCAGATATAACTCCATATTTGCTGGAACAGGAAAGAGTTCTTATATTCCCTCCTATAGAGAGGAAAATGAAGTTACAATGACTGAGAACCCCATCACACTCCCAGTAGTGGGAACTGGAGCCTAGAACCTGAGCCCTGGATGAAAGTCGAGGGAGTGTGGCCAGGTCTCAATTTGGAAGCCCAGAGTCTAAGATGTCTCTGCCCTTCCCCCTGTAGGGCTACAGACTTCCAAAAGTCAAGGCTCCCTTCTCTACTGATTTGACCCCACCCCAGTTTCGCCATCAAGATTTATCTGCTTCTGGACAGTTGTTAGGGAGCGCCATGTTCACCAGGCCTTCGGTCTGTTGCCCTGATCCTTTCCCCAACCCCCACCAGGTATCCTAAGAAGCTGGTGCAGACATACTCAGTGTTTCCCAACCAGGACGAGATGAGCGATGTGGTGGTCCAGCCTTACAATTCACTCCTCACACTCAAGAGGCTGACGCAGAATGCAGACTGTGTGGTGAGTCCTGGATTCTACCTCTCCCAACTCTCAACACCCCATACCCACTCGAGTCTATTAAATCATTTTCATGTATTTAAAAAAAATCCATTTTAGCCAGGTGCAGTGGCTCATGACTGTAATCCCATCACTTTGGGAGGCCAAGGTCGTTGGATCGTTTGAGTTTAGGAGTTCGAGACCAGCCTGGGCAACATGGCGAAACCCCATCTCTACTAAAAATACAAAAATTAGTCGGGAGTGGTGATATGTGCAGAAGGATCACTTGTGCCTCAGAGGCAGGGGCTGCAGTGAGCTGAGATCATGTCACTGACTGCACTCCAGCCGGGGTGACAAAGTGAAACCCTGTCTCAAAAAACAAGAACAAAAAAAAAAACTGTTTAAATAATTAAGATGAAAAGAAAAATTTAAAAATCCATTTTGAGCCCTCCTTTGCCCTAGGTCAGTGCAAATCTCTTTCCAGTGAGTCTTTCTGGCCATGAAGCTCAAAGGAAATTAAGCTTCAGAGCCTAGGGTCAGGCAGAGCTCCTGTTTTTCTTATCCCCATTGATCTGTGATCCTCTTCTGTCCCCCCAGGTGGTGCTGGACAACACAGCCCTGAACCGGATTGCCACAGACCGCCTGCACATCCAGAACCCATCCTTCTCCCAGATCAACCAGCTGGTGGGCCCCCACTCCTGGACTCCTTTGGACTTGAAGCCCTCCTTGTTGGAGGGTCATTTGGGGAAGGGAGGTCCCACCCAGGCTGAGGCCCATAACATGGCACGCCTGTCCCCAGGTGTCTACCATCATGTCAGCCAGCACCACCACCCTGCGCTACCCTGGCTACATGAACAATGACCTCATCGGCCTCATCGCCTCGCTCATTCCCACCCCACGGCTCCACTTCCTCATGACCGGCTACACCCCTCTCACTACGGACCAGTCAGTAAGAGCAGCCTTCAGTGTCCCAGGCCAGGCCGGCCCTGGGCCCAACAGGCCCTGTCCTAGCCTTTCTCTCTTCCCCACTGCCCCAGGAGCTACCCTTTGTGGACCCCAAGGCGCGGCGCTCAGGGACTGGCACAGAGTGGGCGACTTTCTTGCTGACTTGCTCTCCACCCTCCCTCTGCCTTTGGCTTCTGCCAAAGAGAAGCCAAAGGGGGACTGTGCCCTGAGCGCTGGCCGGGTCCCTGTCTCACTGTCCTATCAGGTGGCCAGCGTGAGGAAGACCACGGTCCTGGATGTCATGAGGCGGCTGCTGCAGCCCAAGAACGTGATGGTGTCCACAGGCCGAGACCGCCAGACCAACCACTGCTACATCGCCATCCTCAACATCATCCAGGGAGAGGTGGACCCCACCCAGGTAGGGGAGGCCCCTTCATCCCACACCCTGGACCTGCAGGGGTAGAGGAGAGGCCACCTCCACTGCTCCTATGCCCACCCCAGGTCCACAAGAGCTTGCAGAGGATCCGGGAACGCAAGTTGGCCAACTTCATCCCGTGGGGCCCCGCCAGCATCCAGGTGGCCCTGTCGAGGAAGTCTCCCTACCTGCCCTCGGCCCACCGGGTCAGCGGGCTCATGATGGCCAACCACACCAGCATCTCCTCGGTGAGTCTCAAAGTTTGCACCTTTTTTCCCTGAATCAGTTTCCTGACTATACCTCACCTCTCTGCATCTGCTGGCCCTGCTTCTAGCTTTTTTGCTGTGGGCATAGCCCAGCCTTGGTTCCCCAGCTTTCTGGGCCACGTTATTCTTTGAAGTTCTTTGTAACCCCTGTTTTCTGCACACCCCAAGCTCTTCGAGAGAACCTGTCGCCAGTATGACAAGCTGCGTAAGCGGGAGGCCTTCCTGGAGCAGTTCCGCAAGGAGGACATGTTCAAGGACAACTTTGATGAGATGGACACATCCAGGGAGATTGTGCAGCAGCTCATCGATGAGTACCATGCGGCCACACGGCCAGACTACATCTCCTGGGGCACCCAGGAGCAGTGAGTCCCCCAGGACAGGGACCCTCATCTGCCTTACTGGTTGGCCCAAGCCCTGCCTGACTGACCACCCCCTCAGAGCACAGATCAGGGACCTCACGCATCTCTTTCTCATATACATGGACTCTCTGTTGGCCTGCAAACACATTTACTTCTCCTCTTATGAGACTATTTATCTTTAATAAAGCACTGGATATAAATCAAGTCACTGCTCCCTTTAAAGCCTTTGGGTTCTGGAGATGCGGTGGGGATGCCTGTTCTTTCTCCATCATTCTGACAGGGTCCTCACCCACTTCCAGCATCTTCAATTCTGAACCAACAGCTTCCCCTAGGTTTTTCCTCTGCCTAGTTTTGGAGAACGCTGGTGGGGTTTGACCCACCTGAAATTCCTTTCCAGGGTAAAAAGGCCCAGAGATATTACTTTGTTCTCTGTCTGACCCTTTCTGGGTCCCCGTTCCCTCCCACCCTCACTGTATCAGGTGAATATTCCACCAGCCTCATGTTTCCACATCAGAGTGTCTGATTAATCACAACCTGAGGCCCAAGGCCACCACCACTGCCACTAGGCCATGAACAAGCAATGGAGTCCAACCCAATACCTTTAAGCTTCTAGCAAGCAGTCCAGGAGAGCCGCTCGTTTCAGGCAGTTGGAGTCTAGCAGCATCAAGTCAGCGACCAAATCTAAAACCTAGACTGTAAGCAGGATCATAAGTGGTTCCATAGCTAAGGCACCGTAATTCTCTTCTCTAGTGGTTGCCAGTAATTTAAATGGCCAGTGCCTTCTACTTCTGGTGGAAGATTGCAGGGAGGTAGTAAATACATAGGGGCCTAAGTCTTCAGGATTGTTTTTTTTTTTTTTTGAGATAGGGTCTTGCTCTGTCGCTTTGTCACCCAGGCTGGAATGCAGTGGCATAATCACGGTTCACTGCAGCCTCGACCTCCCTGGCTCAGGCGATCCTCCTGTCTCAGCCTCTTAAGTAGCTGGGATCACAGGCACACACCACCTAAATCTTCAGGATAAAAAGGGCAAAGCAGGTTCTCCTTAGAGCATGGTGGGTTGTCAGGGCCCCATTAGGCTCTTATACACACCATAAAGTTATATAGTAGTGACAGCTAACACGCACACATACGCTGTGAGAAGTACATTATTTTGTTGAATCCTCACAACAACCCTATGAAGTGGTAGATACTAATTTTTTTTTTTTTGAAATGGAGTCTGGCTCTATTCCCCAGGCTGGAGTGCAGTGGCATGATCTCGGCTCACTGCAAGCTCCACCTCCCGGGTTCCAGCAGTTCTCCTGTCTCAGCCTCCCAAGCAGCTGGGACTACAGGTGCCCGCCACTGCGCCTGGCTAATTTTTTTGTATTTTTAGTAGAGACGGGGTTTCACCGTGTTAGCCAGGATGGTCTCGATCTCCTGACCTCATGATCCACCTGCCTCGGCCTCCCAAAGTGCTGGGATTACAGGTGTGAGCCACCGCACCCGGCTGGTAGATACTAATTTTTAAAATACAATAACAAGGCCGGGTGCGGCGGTTCACGCCTGTAATCCCAGCACTTTGGGAGGCCAAGGCAGGCGGATCACCTGAGGTTAGGAGACCAGCCTGGCCAATATGGTGAAACCCCATCTCTACTAAAAATACAAAAAGTTAGCTGGGCATGGTGGTGCATGCCTGTAATCCCAGCTACTCAGGAGGCTGAGGCAGGAGAATCGCTTGAACCTGGGAGGCGAAGGTTGCAGTGAGCCGAGATTGCGCCACTGCACTCCAGCCTGGGTGGCAGAGCAAGACTCCGTCTCAAAAAAAGAAATAAAAGTAAAACAATAAGGCCGGGTGTGGTGGCTCACGCCTGTAATCCCAGCACTTTGGGAGGCTGAGATGGGCGTATCACAAGGTCAGGAGATCGAGACCATCCTGGCTAACATGGTGAAACCCTTTCTCTACTAAAAATACAAAAAAAAAAACAAATGAGCCAGACATGGTGGCAGGCGCCTGTAGTCCTAGCTACTCGGGAGGCTGAGGCAGGAGAATGGCGTGAACCCAGAAGGCGGAGCTTGCAGTGAGCCAAGATCGCGCCACTGCACTCCAACCTGGGCAACAGAGTGAGACTTTTGTCTCAAAAAAATAATAAAAATAACAATAAAAGTACAAATAAAAACCAATACAGTATAACAATGATTTACAAGCATTTACCTTGTATTAGGTACTACAAGTAATCTAGAGATGATTTAAAGTACTGTACAGGAGGATGTGCATAGGTTATGTGTAAATTCTACACCATCTTATATATTTTCTTCTTTCTGTTTTTTTTTTTTTTTTGAGACAGTCTCACTCTGTTGCCCAGTGCAGTGCAGTGGTACCATCTCGGCTCGCTGCAACCTCTTCCTCCCAGGTTCAAGCAATTCTTGTGCCTCAGCCTCCCTAGCAGCTGGGATACACACATGCGCCGCCATGCCCAGCTAATTTTTGTATTTTTTGTAGATATGGGGTTTCTCTATGTTGGCCAGGCTGGTCTCGAACTCTTGACTTCAAGTGATCTGCCCACCTTGGCCTCCCAAAGTGCTGGGATAACAAGCATGAGCCATGGCCATATTTTATTTTTTCTAAACCATTTTATTTAATTAAGGATCTGCAGATTTTGGCATCCTTGGGTGTCCTGGAACCAATACCCTGTGGGTACCAAGAGACAACTGTACTTGCTCACTATTGGCCTAGGAATGTACTTTTCCTTCTATGAACCTGTTTATCTTTCATGGTTATCCCCCCTTTGCCAGGTAAGTATGAACCTGTTTATCTTTCATAAAGCTCTACATGTGAACAGAGAACAATATACAGGCCAGGCCCCTATGAACAGAGGGGACCCTTTCAGGACTGATGGGCAGAGAACAGGCCATCAGAAGCTAGGCCCTAGGCTACTGAGGGGTAGCAGAGAGGCCACGAGCCTGTTATCATCACAGCCAAGACAACCAGCCTGTCACTATCAGTTGCCAGTGTCTTCAGGGGGCTGACTCAGGGAGAGCCAGCCTGGTTGGTGTGAACCAGCTGCCTGTTCTCCCAAAAGGAAGGAAGATGACTTCAGTGAAAACCAGTGTGCACCTGGTCCCTTCTCAGCTCCTCCTCCTACTTCTGTACCACTAGGTTCCTTGCCTCAGTCCTCCTTTCCTTCCCCTGCCCTTGAAGACCAACCTTGCATTAGTTGCTCCAGGCATCTGCACGAGTGCTGGTGCTGAGTAGGGGATCACAAGCTGGCACAAGTAGCGAGGCTGCTGTATGTGAGTGGCCAGCTGGCCCACCTCCAGGCCATAAGCAACCCCCAGGCCCTCTTTTGGAGGATCCAGTTAAGTAGCACGTAAAGCCCTGAGCAGGAGAAAACACCAGGTAGTCCAGAATAAAAGTTATGTCTGGTTAGTACTACAGCCACCAACCCAGAGGGGTGAATACATGCCCTGGGGGGAAAAATGGAGCTGCAAAGACACCTCCTTTTCCTGATGGCTAAGTATCAGGCATTCTAAGCACAGACAAAGCCTTCGGTGCTAACTTCAGAACCAGATCCCTCCCCCAAGGCTATTTCCAGATCACCCATCACCCCAAACCAGGGCAGCCCCTCCCTGTTCTTGGCCAGCCTGCAAACCCCAAAGTGTGTCAACTAGAGGGCAGCTCAGAGGCCAGGTGGAAAGGGAGGGAGGCCTCTGGGAATCAGGACAGCAGGTGGTGCTGGTAGTGAAAAGTCCCTGTGGTTTGAGAGACTGTAAGCCACAGAAGAGACTGTCCCCGCTGAGAGACAAGGACTGCTGCAGAAACAGAAAGCCTGGAGGCTGGCCAGTGCTCAAGCCTGGAATAGGAACTTCTCTGCAACTAAATAAAAGAAAATTAGCTGTTTAAAGCTAATGTTCCTAGACTTCAGTGTGATGTGACCCCAGGGACCCTCAAACATGCATGACACGGACATCTATATCAGGAAGCTCATAGGCAAAAATAGAGCTGTGTAAACGAATCTGAAACTTAGAAGCTGTAACTTTGGAAAGTGAGACGTGAAGAGGTGGCGAGCACACACGGTGGGTGGGGAGCACGTGGCGAGCAGAGACACTGGACAAAGAGTTGGTGGGTCAGTCCATTAAGCCTTATCCTGGTCTCTACCAGTTGCAAACATTCTAGATCTCCCTAGTAAATGGGCTCCTCAGTGGAGAGTCCATTGAAATCCAACATGTAACCCACCCCCAAGTAATGCCCACCTCCAGCACTTGCTCCCTTTCCATTCCTTCTCAGGTATCTCAAGCAGGGAAGGGGCTGCCCTAGGAAAGTAACAGAAATATTTGAAATTGACATTCTGAACTACTAATACATCACTTATAAGATTTACTTAAATTTGGCCAGGTGCGGTGGCTCACATCTGTAATCCCAGCACTTTGAGAGGCTGAGGCGGGTGAATCACTTGAGGTCAGGAGTTCGAGACCAGCCTGACCAACATGGTGAAACCCTGTCTCTATGAACAATACAAAAATTAGCCAGGTGTGCTGGCAGGCCTGTAATCCCAGCTACTCAGGAGGCTGAGGCAGGAGGATTGCTTGAACCCAGGAGGCAGAGGTTGCAGTGAGCTGAGATTGTGTCACTGCACTCCAGCCTGGGTGACAGAGCGAGACTCCACCTCAAAAAAAAAAAAAAAAAAGTTTTAAAATTAGCCAGGCATGGTGGTGCATACCTGTGGTCCCTGCTACTCCACAAGCTGAGGTGGGAGGATCGCTTGACCCGGGAGGTCAAGGACAGTGAGCTGTGATCACGCTACTGTTCTCCGGCCTGGGCAAGAGAGTGAGACCCCGGCCACTCCAAAAAAAAAAAAGAAACATTCCATGATGGGGACAAAAAATTAAATAAAATAAGAACAACCCCCCCGCCCCCAGAAATCTTCACATTCCCTTAGTCCTAGGAAAACCAGGACAGTTGGTCACCCTAAATGAAAAACCACCACGGAGAATGATTAGAAAATCGCAAAGCAGTACATATAAATAATCAGGGCTGAATTAAGGCCTGGTAGATATTTGTTCATGAATTAAGCAAGGATTTATTAAAAACGGAGATTGAGTTGCTCAGCACTAAGCTTCACAATGGACCCTACCTAAAGGGGTTCCCACTTTTACTAGAGGGGTGATATAGCATTGTTACCATTTGGATAGTGTTTTACCCTGCATGATGCACCTGCACATGCATTCATTATCTGGGTTTTCTGAGGGAGGTTTTTTTCGTCATTTATCATCATAGGGAAATCGGTTTAGGGAGGGTAAGTAATTTGTCCAACATCACACAGCTGGTACATAAAAGACACACTAGACCTCATGTCCTCTGGCACCAAATCAATACACTCTTTCCTCCACACCCACTAAGAAGTGCTCAGAGGTGATGCAACCTGAATTGCAGTTGTTGGTTTGGAGAGTTTTATTTATTTATTTTTTTGACACAGAGTCTCGCTCTGTCACCCAGGCTGGACTGCAGTGGCGCGATCTCATTTCACTGCAACCTCCGCCTCCCAGGTTCAAGCAATTCTCCTGTCTCAGTCTCCCAAGTAGCTGGGACTACAGGCGCATGCTACCACACCCAGCTAATTTTTGTATTTTCAGTAGAGACAGCGTTTCACCATATTTGTCAGGCTGGTCTTGAACTCCTGACCTCAGGTGATCCACCCGCCTTGGCCTCCCAAAGTGCTGGGATTACAGGCATGAGCCACTGTGCCCGGCCTTTTGTGTTTTATTTTTGAGACAGGGTCTCCCTCTGTTGCCCAGGCTGGAGTATGGGTGGCACAATCATGACTCACTTCAGCCTTGGCTGAAGCTATCTTCCTGCCTCCGCCTGCCAAGTAGCTGGGACCACTGGTGCGTGCCACCATGCCTGGCTAATTTTTAAAATTATTTGTAGAGACAAGGTCTCCCTATGTTGCCCAGGCTGGTCTCAAACTCTTGGCCTCAAGAGATCCTCTTGCCCCAGCTTCCCAAAGCGCTGGCATTACAGGCATAAGCCTCTGGGCCTGGCCTCAGTTGCAGGTTCTTAAGTGAGAAGGGACATGATGAAATCTGTGTTTTAGGGCTGGTGCGGTGGCTTGCACCTGTAATCCCAGCACTTTGGGAGGCTGAGGCAGTGAAATTGCTTGAGCCCAGGAGTTTGAGAATAGCCCGGGCAACACAGCAAAACCCGTCTCTAGAAAATATACAAAAATTAGCAGGGCATGGTGGTGTGCACCTGTGGTCCCAGCTACTTGGGGGGCTGAGGTGGGAGGATCACTTGAGCCCAGGAGGCAGAGGTTGCAGCAAGCCGAGATCACACCATTGTACTCCAGCCTGAGTGACAGAGCAAGACCTTGTTTCAAAAAAAATAAAAATCTGTGTTTTAGGATACTTTGTCTGAAGCTGGCTTAAAATGTAAATCAGCAAATTGGCAGTTTTTTGAATGAAAAAACACTCAGTGGTTTTTGGGGGTGTTGTTGTTGTTGTTTAGAGACAGTCTTGCTCTGTCACTCAGGCTGGAGTACAGTGATACAATCATAGTTCATGGTAACCTTGAACTCCTGTGTTCAAGCAATCCTCCCGCCTCAGTGTGCCAAGTACATGGGACTACAGGTGGTGCCACCATACCTGGCTAATTTTAATTTTTTTTTTTTTTTTTAGAAATGGGGTCTCACTGTATTGCCCAGATTGGTCTCAAACTCCTGGCCTCAAGTGATCCACTTGCTTTGGCCTCACAAATTGCTGGGATTAAGGCATGAGCCACTGCACCTGGCCTTTCTTTTTGTTTTCTATATTTTCCAAATGGTCTATAATTAATATGTATTACTTTTATAATCAGAAACAAGTATATTTTAAGTGTAAATAAGTAGAAGAGTAAACAGGAAAAGAAGCTAGAGGTAAAGTGGCCACAGATGGTAAATGACAATAAGGTAGATATGAAAAACAGAGATGATTATAACAGAACAGAAGGAGAAATCTAACTGCTTGGTGGTGGAGATCAATACATTCTTATTTCAGACAGATTTTTACTCTCTTTCTGAAAACTATGGGAGACATGAGGGTTTAGGGTTATTTCAAAAAACAAGTGGAGGCTGGGTACTCATGCCTGTAATCCCAGCACTTTGGGAGGCCAAGTCGGGAGGATCACTTGAGGCCAGGAGTTTGAGATCAGCCTGGGCAACATAGCGAGACCCTGTCTCCACAAAAATAAGCCAGGGCTGGTGGCAGGTGCCTGTATTCCTCGCTACTCAGGAGGCTGGAGTGAGGAGGATTGCTTGAACCCAGAAGTTCAAGGCTGCAGTGAACTATGATTGTGCCACTGCACTCCAGCCTGGGCAACAGAGGGAGATTCTATCTCAAAAAAAAAAAAAGTGGATATATTTGATTCAAATTTAGAACTACAAAAGAATAGCAAGCAAAGAAACAAGCTCAATATTTTTCATACCATGACCAACAAGAAAACTTAACATTCTAAATGAACTTTCTATAATATATTAGTTAGTGTACAAGTATTATAAAATATACATTCATGATATACAATTGTATACATTAATATGCAATACAAATGGATATAAAGTATCTCAACAAAAGTTTTTTTTTGTTGTTTTTATGTTTGTTTGTTTTGTTTGTTTATTTTTAGGAGACAAGGTCTCACACTGTCACCCAGGCTGGAGTGCAGTGGCATGATCATAGCTCAGTGCAGCCTCAAATTCCTGGACTCAGCCTGTAATCCCAGCACTTTGGGAAGCCGAGGTGGGCAGATCACCTGACTTCAGGAGTTCGAGACCAGCTTGGCCAACATGGTGAAACCCTGTCTCTACTAAAAAGACAAAAATTAGCCAGGCATGGTGGTGGGCATCTGTAATCCCAGCTATTTGGGAGGCTGAGGCAGGAGAATCACTTGAACCCAGGAGGCAGAGGTTGCAGTGAGCCAAGGTCGCTCCATTGCACTCCAGGCTGGGCCACAAGAGTGAGTCTCAAAAAAAAAAAATGCCTGGGCTCAAGTAATCCTCCTGCCTCAGCCTCCCAAGTAGCTAGGACTGCAGGTGCCTGGCACCACACCTGGCCTCAATGAAACTCTTAAAGTGATGAATAAATACTCGAAATGCTAGGGATGGACTGCTGAACATAAATATAATTTTTGCATATAATCATATGCTTTGGTTTGTTTTTTCAAATTCAAAATAAAATGTTGCAAAACATAAGTTGTCCAGCTAGGCACAGTGGCTCACACCTGTAATCCCAGCACTTTCAGAGGCCGAGGCAGTGGGATTGCTTGAGCCCAGGAGTTTGAGAACAGCCTCAGCAACATGGTGAAACCCTGTCTCTACAAAAAATACAAAACTTAGCTGGGTGTGGTGGCACACGCCTGTACCCAGTCACTTGGGGGGCTGAGGTGGGATAATGTCTTATGGGATGGGACAGTGTCTTTATCTCTATTTCCCTGTTATCTACTACAGGCCCTGCACAATGTAGCTGTTCAAAAAACATTTGTTGAACAAATGAAAAAATGATGTCAAGGCCATAACTTTTACTCCTCCTCTTTTCATTAACAAGAAGACATTAAGAGATTTGCCACATAATCAAATAAAAGCACACCCCAGGACAAATTAATGTGTTGACCACATTGGATCAGGAATATTGAGACTTTAATCCTAGACTGTTTTCAGAGAGGAGTTGGAAAATGGGGAAAAAAGATGTAATTTCTCCAACTAGAAATTAACTTATTAAAATTCATGCATAACATAAGCTATTCCAAGATTCCCCCTTTTTTTTTTTTTTTTTTTTTGACACAGGGTCTTGCTTTGTCACCCAGACTGGAGTGCAGTGGCACGATCACGACTCACTGTAGCCTTGACCTTCTGGGCTCAAGCAATTCCCTGCCTTAGCCTTCCAAGTAGCTGGGACTACAGGCATGCACCACCATATCTGGCTAATTTTTTTGGTATTTTTTTGTAGAGACAGGGTTTTGCCATGTTGCCCAGGCTGGTCTCGAACTCCTGAGTTCAAGTGATCTGCCCGTCTCAGCCTCCCAAAGTAGCAGGATTACAGGTGTGAGCCACCAGGCCTGGCCTATTCCAAGATCCTTACACCAAATAGCTTATAGTATCAGAAACCAAATGGCTTGATGTAGCTGAATTTCTGATACTTGATACTTTGGAAATTTTCCCAATGGACACATTATACAAGATGCCATTAGCACCTGAATGGAAACAAACTGGTGACTACAAGTATTCTACATCCTGCCAGATCAAATAATAGTCATGAGTCATAACTGGATCTGCAGACAGCTGCGTAAAACAGATTATCAGTGGAAGGTATGGCAGTTCCAAGGCCTGACCTGCAAAGTCAGTCGGGAAAAGGGTGCGGTCAGAACCAGCACAGCTGGAAGGTCACCCACAGAATAAAAGTTGCCAACTGGATGTGTTCCTCTAAGACAACTTTGCAATGACACAGAAGCACAGCCATGGTCAAGAGATGGCCAGAAGGAGGTGGTGAGGAGCTGAGAGAGGTCCTTGGTGATCCTCAACCTACAACTGGGCTAATGAGGCAAACACTGGACCAAACAGCCCTAAATCTCACCCAAAGACTTGAAGGCTGTCCGTCTTCGTTCCCCTGACACACACAGTACTCCCTGAGAATTCCCATTCTCTCTACGTCCCATCCTTCTTTAGGATTTCTGAACCTAGAGAAATTTGCTCCCTGAAATTTTCTGTGGTGCCCACATAGATTTCAAGTTATGGAAATGGCTCTATAAGGAATACCTGGCTGAGTGCAGTGGCTCACGCCTGTAATCCCAGCACTTTGGCAGGCCGAGGTGGGTGGATCACCTGAGGTCAGGAGTTCAAGACCAGCCTGGCCAACATGGCGAAACCCCATCTCTACTAAGAATACAAAAATTAGCCGGGCATGGTGGTATGCGCCTGTAATTCCAGCTGCTTGGGAGGCCGAGGCAGGAAAATCGCCTGGACCCAGGAGGTGGAGGTTGTAGTGAGCCGAGATCGTGCCACTGCACTCCAGCCTGGGCAACAGAGCAAGACTCAGTCTCAAAAAAAAAGAAAAAAAAAGAGTACCCCATCAGCCTGGGCCCCAAGGATGGAAATGAATCACAGATAACACTGGCCACAGGGATGGTATAGAAAGGTACTAGGTCCCCAGGGTACCCGGAAGGGATGAAGTAGAGATGAACAGAATGGAGTTTAGGTCACGGAGCTTAAGAAGGCCAGGTTACTACTTCTGCTTCTAAGACACAACCATAGGCAATACGGCTCAAGAGGATCACCTACCCCGAGCCAGGAGACAACCTTAAACTGAAGTCTAGTGTGGTTCCTTGGAAATCCTTGTGACTTGGCCCTCTTGTGAGGCATAAATTGAATCTGGCCTGAGAATATCCTAATACTCTGTTTCCTCTGACAACAAATTGTGTTTAGTGACCTCCCCATAGTGACTGCTCTATTCCTACTGGCTATGTTCCATTGGATGCATAGTATTTATGTGCATAGTATTTTTTTTTTTTTTTTGAGATAGGGTCTCACTCTGTTGCCCAGGCTGGAGTGCAGTGGCATGATCACTGCTCACTTCAACCTCCGCCTCCCCGTTTTTTTGTTTTTTTTTTTTTTGAGAAGGAGTCTCACTCTGTTGCCCAGGCTGGAGTGCAGTGGCATGATCACTGCTCACTTCAACCTCCGCCTCCCCGTTTTTTTGTTTTTTTTTTTTTGAGAAGTAGTCTCACTCTGTTGCACAGGCTGGAGTGCAGTGGCATGATCTCAGCTCACTGCAAGCTCCGCCTCCCGGGTTCAGGCCATTCTCCTGCCTCAGCCTCCCAAGTAACTGGGACTACAGGCGCCTGCCACTACGCCAGGCTAATTTTTTGCAATTTTAGTGGAGACAGGGTTTCACTGTGTTAGCCAGGATGGTCTCGATCTCCTGACCTCGTGATCCGCCCGCCTCAGCCTCCCAAAGTGCTGGGATTACAGGCGTGAGCCACCACGCCCAGCTGCCTCCCCATCTTAAGCCGTCCTCCCACCTCAGCCTCCCGAGTAGCTGAGACTAGAGGCACATGCCAACATGCCTGGCTAATTTTTAATTTAATTTAATTTAATTTATTTGTTTTATTTTATTTTATTTATTTTGAGACAGAGTCTCGCTGTGTCATCCAGGCTGGAGTGCAGTGGTGTGATCTCGGCTCACTGTAACCTCCACTTCCCAGGTACAAGTAATTTTCCTGCCTCAGCCTCCTGAGTATCTGGGATTATAAGCACCTGCCACCACGCCTGGCTAATTTTGGATTTTTAGTAGAGACAGGGTTTTGTCATGCTGCCCAGGCAGGTCTCGAACTCTGAAACTCAAGTGATCTTCCCGCTTCTGCCTCCCAAAGTGCTGGGATTACAGGTGTGAGCCACTGTGCCTGGCCTACACAGTATTGATTTCTCTGACTGCCTTACAGTTGCCACCAGCTCACTCAGAAGGTTCCAGACTACTATCTCTAGCCCACAGAGATACATGTAACTACTGTTATCTGGTGATGTAGCAGTTGTTAATCCATAGGCCCTAGGCCATCAAAATGAGCATGACTACACTGCCAGACTCCATTCACTTGTGTTCCTGCTGTGTGAACCACAACGCCGCTATAAATGCATTGTTCCTTCTCTTTTGCCCTACACCAAAAGTTCTTAACTTTTGTTCATTCACAGATCTGTTTGAGAATCTGCTTGGACATTTCCCGGAAAGAAATGGACACATAGATTTGCAAACAATTTCAAGATGTTCTCCACACATAAAGCCCATCCTTGGGATCCCAACTTAATGCTCACAATTTCTGATGGTAAGAAATGAAGACACTTCGGCCAGGCACGGCGGCTCATGCCTGTAATCTCAGCATTTTGGGAGGCCAAGGCAGGTGGATCACCTGAGGTCAGGAGTTCGAGACCAGCCTGGCCAACATGGTGAAATCCTGTCTCTACTAAAAATACAAAAATTAGCTGAGTATGGTGGCACGCACCTGTAATCCTAGCTACTCAGGAGGCTGAGGCAGGAGAATCTCTTGAACCTGGGAGGTGGAGGTTGCAGTGAGCCAAGATCACACCACTGCACTCCAGCCTAGGCACAGAGTGAGACTGTGTCTCAAAAAAAGAGAAAAGAAAGAAAGAGAGAAAGAGAGAGAGACAGAGAGAAAGAGAAAAAGAGAGAGAGAGAAAGAGAAAAAGAAAGTGAGTGAGAGAGAGAAAAAGAGAGAGAGAGAGAGAGAGAGAGAGAGGGAGGGAGTCCAACCAGTTGCTGTTGTCACCTGTCCACCTAGCTCAGGCAGCAGGCTCATCATGACCAATCAAGGCAGAGCTCCTCTCTGAGACTGACACAGGACCCTCCCCTTGCCCACACCCAGACACTCCCACTTATGGGTCTAGGGCAGACCTTACATACCTTTCCCTATGGCCACCTAGGTGACACTAGTGCCCACTTTGACACCTTGGAACAGCGGATGAAAAGGACTTCCCGCTGGGCGCAGTGGCTCACACCTGTAATCCAAGCACTTTGGGAGGCCAAGGCTGGTGGTTCACTTGAGGTCAGGAGTACAAGGCCAGTCTGGCCAACATGGTGAAACTCTGTCTCTACTAAAAATACAAAAATTAGCCAGGCATGGTGGCGGGTGCCTGTAATCCCAGCTAGGGAGGCAGAGGTTGCCGTGAGCCGAGATGGCACCACTGCACTGCAGCCTGGGTAACAGAGCAAGACTCCATCTCAAAAAAAAAAAAAAAAAAAAAAAAAAAGCTGGGCATGGTGGTGTGCACTTGTAATCCCAGCTACTTGGGAGGCTGAGGCGAGAAGATCGCTTGAACCCAGGAGAGGGAGATTGCAGTGAGCTGAGATCGAGCCACTGCACTCCAGCCTGGGCGACAGAGCATGACTCTCAAACAAACAAACAAACAAAAAAACTTTCCCTAGGTCTACTAGGCCACGTCTTTTCTGTGTTCCTCCTTCTCCCTTCTTGTCTTTCTCTCTCTCTCTCTCTCTCTCTCTGTCACACACACACACACACACACACACACACACACACACACACACTCCAGCTGTCAGTAGAAGAGCCAGAGTCAGCACCTTGAGGCCTCCTGGAGCAGAGATTTTCTGGAAAGTCTTCAGGGAAGACTCTGCTGAGCTCAGTGACAATTGCCACCCGGCCACTGGCCAGATTACATTTCCTGGGTCACTTTGACCTTCTCAAAGGCCGCAGCCACCATTGAGCTGGTATTCGCTCATGCTGACATCCTACTCCAACCCTCTCTGCCTCATCAAATACAGCCTTGATTTTGGTACAAGCCTAAATGCTCATCATATGCACACATATGCTGGGGTTACCACCAGCCTTCCCCAAACTATGCCAAAAATGATTCTATACATCTCACAAAGATTCATCATGAACACAATTGAAGGCCTATGGATCCTCGGGATAGGGAAAGATCTCCCTGCCCTTCCATAGAATTGGGACTTCTTGTGTTCTAGCCTTTCCCAGCTATGGGAAAAACAACCAAGGTGGCTTCTCTTGTCTACAAACATGGACCCACCATTCCTAAGGTACAGCATTAGCAAGAAAAACAAAACTAAGGAATTAAAAAAATAAAACTCTGAAGATAGACGAAAGAGTCAACTCTTTTTTTTTTTTTTTTTTTTTTTGAGATGGAGTCTTGCTGTATCACCCAGGCTGGAGTGCAGTGGCGTGATCTCTGCTCACTGTAACCTCCGCCTCCCAGGTTTGAGTGATTTTCCTGCCTCAGCCTCCCTAGTAGCTGGGATTATAGATGTGCATCACCATGCCCAGCTATTTTTGTATTTTTAGTAGATGAAGTTTCACCATGTTGGCCAGGCTGGTCATGAACTCCTGACCTCAGGTGATCCACCTGCCTCGGCCTCACAAACTGCTGGGATTACAGGCATGAGCCACTGTGCCCAGCCGACAGAGTCAACTTTTGATGCTGTGAATTGTCACGTGAATTTCTCCTTTGTTTTTTGAGACAAGGTCTCACTCTGTCATCCAGGCTGGAAGGCAGTAGCAGGATCATGGCTCACTGCAGCCTCAACCTCCCAGACTCAAGCAATCCTCCTACCTTAGCCTCCCAAGTAACTGGGACTACAGGTGCACACCACCACACCTGTCTAATTTTTTTATTTTTTGTAGAGACAGGGTCTCACTATGTTACCCAAACTGGTCTGAAACTCCTGGGTTCAAGCAATTCTCCTTCCTTGGCCTCCCAAAGTGCTGGAATTACAAGTGTGAGCCACTGTGCCCAGCCATTAATTTTAATTCTGTCAATAACCTGTGATCAAAATTTTATTCCAAGATCCAGCTCTGTTCTGGCTTCTTACTATGTGTTTCCCAGCAATGTAATGTAATTAAAATGTTATCATAACCTGTCTCTCAGAATGTTGTTACTACATTTGTGATCTTGGGCAGGTCACTTCCTGTCCCTGGGCCTCAGTTTCATCATTCTGTTGCTCAACAAATATGTATTGAGTAGCTAGTAAGTTCCAGGCATTGTGCTAAGTGCTGAAGACAACAAAGATGAGCAAGATATAGTATGGCTGAAGAATTGCTCATTCCATTGTTTATGTGTTAATGTAAATAACTCATCATGTACCTGTGTGATTAGGGCTATAATGAAGGTTGGACAAGGTACGAGAGAAAAACTGGAAGGGGAACACCTGTGTCTGATGGGGGTTAGGGGTTTGTAAAATAAGGGGTTCGGCTTCTAGAGGAGTCTGTTATTCTAAGATTGTGATACATTCAAAAGGACACAGAGTCCATTTAGATATTCTGTTTCAGGGAAATGTGTACAATACCAGCCCTCTGCTAGTGCAGATAAGGAGTTTACCATTGGCACCAATACCTCTTTTTCAAGTTGAGTAGAAGCCAGATTCCTATTATCAGTCGTTTGCATTACTCAATTCTAACAATCACTTGGGAACATAAATAATACTTGGTAAAATTAATTCTTTTCCAATACAAATGAAAGAAACATATCACATATACTTGTGCCATACATACGCTTAACCAACAAACACATCATCTGGGGAAGAAAAAGCAAACCCAGACACATATAAAATGAAATCATCGTAAGGTTTCATTTTATTTATTTATTATTATTATTTTTTGAGACAGAGTTTCGTTCTTGTTGTCCAGGCTGGAGTGCAGTGGTGCGATCTCAGCTCATTGCAACCTCCACCTCCCAGGTTCAAGTGATTCTCCTGTCTCAGCCTCCCGAGTAGTTGGGATTACAGGCATGCGCCACCATGCTCAGCTAATTTTGTATTTATAGTAGAGACAGGGTTTCACCATGTTGGTCAGGCTGGTCTCGAACTCCTGACCTCCGGTGATCCACCTGCCTTGGCCTCCCAAAGTACTGGGATTACAGGTGTGAGCCACTGCGCTTGGCCTAAGGTTTCCTTTTAAAATACAATTTTTTTAATAACATAGAGACGGGGTTTCACCGTGGTGCCCAGGCTGGTCTTGAACTCCTAGATTCAAGCAGTTCACCTACTTTGGCCTCCCAAAATGCTGGGATTACAGGCATAAGCCACTGTGCCTGGCCCATCATAAGGTTTTCTTTCAAACAAAATCAGAAGTAAAATGTTATTGATTTGTTACTGCCAGGAACTCAACATGCACCCTGCGATGCTGTTGAACTAAAGTCTGCTAACTGTGGCTTACAAATAATTGAAGCACCAGCTAATACTATTTAAATCCTTAACTAGTGAAATAAAGAGTTATGAATTCCTAAAAGGCCAATATTTATTTTTTTGTAGTGACAGGGTCTTGCTGTGTTGCCCAGTCTGGTCTAGAACTCCTGGCCTCAAGTGTTCCTCCTGCCTTGGCCTCACAAATATTGGGATTACAGCCATGAGCCACCATGCCCGGCCCTCATTCCATTAGGCTTATATAAATATAATGATTCGTGTTAAACATTTTGTGTTTAGGATGGGCACAGTGGCTCACACCTACAATCCCAGTACTTTGGGAAGCTGAGGCAGGAGGATTACTTGACCCCAGTAGTTGGAGACCAACTGGACAACATAGCAAGACCCTGTCTCTAAAAAAAAAAAAAATACAAAAATTAGCCACATGGCCCAGCGTGGTGGCTCACACCTGTAATCCCAGCACTTTGGGAGGCTGAGGCAGGCAGATCACTTGAGGTCAGGAGTTCAAGACAAGCCTGGCCAACATGGTGAAATGCGGTCTCTACTAAAAATACAAAAATTAGCTGGGCATGTTGGTGCATGCCTGTAATCCCAGCTACTTGGGAGGGTGAGGCAGGAGAATCGCTTGAACCTGGAAGGTGGAGGTTGCAGCACTACACTCCAGCCTGGGCAACAGAGTGAGACTCTGTCCAAAAAAAAAAAAAAAAAAATTAGCCAGGTATGGTGGCATATGCCTGTAGTCCCAGCTACTTGGGAGGCTGAGGTGGGAGGATCGCTTGAGTCTAGGAGGTCAAGGCTGCAGTGAGTTATAATTGCACCATAGCATTCCAGCTGAGACCCTGTTCCTCCATCAGAAAAAAAAGGAAAGAAAGATTTTTAAAAATTTAAAAATTGTGCTTAAGAAGACATCTCAATGGTTGCACAATCTTAATGTATTTAATACTACTTAACTGTATGTTTAAAAATAGTTAAAATCTGTAATCCCAGTGCTTTGAGAGGCTGAGGCAGAAGGATTACTTGAGCCCAGGAGTTCCAGACCAGCCTGGAAAACATGGCAAAAACCCATATCTGGAGAAAACAAAAATACAAAACAAAAAATACAAAACAAAACAACCCATGGCGAAAACAAAAAAATACAAAAATTAGCCAGGTATGGTGGCACACACCTGTAGTCCTAGCTACTTGGGAGGCTGAGGCAGGAGGATTGTCTGAGTCCAGGAGGTTGAGGCTACAGTGAGTCATGATTGTGCCACTACACTCCAGCCTGGGCAACAGAGCAAGACCCTGTCTCAAAATAAATAAATAAATAAATAGTTTAAAATCGACTAGCTTGGGCAACATGGAAAAACTCTGTTTCTACAAAAAAATAAAACACACACACACACACACACACACACACACACACACGAAATTAACAGGTCGTGGTGGCACACACCTATAATTCCAGCTAACCAGGAGGCTGAGGTGGGAGGATCACCTGAGCCCAAGAAATCAAGGTTCCTATGATCATGCTACTACTGCACTTCAGCCTGGTCAGCAGAGAGAGAGATCGTGTCTCAAAAAAAAAAAAAAAGTTAAAAAGGTTAAATAGTAAATTTTATGTTATATGTACTTTATAAGTTTTTTTAAAAAATAAACAATTTTTAATTAAAAAATGTAACTGATGGCCAGGCATGGTGGCTCACGCCTATAATCTCAGCACTTTGGGAGGCCGAGGCAGGCGGATCATGAGTCAGGAGATCAAGACCATCCTGGCTCACACTGTGAAACCCCGTCTCTACTAAAAACACAAAAAATTAGCTGGGCGTGGTGGCAGGCGCCTGTAGTCCCAGCTACTTGGGAGGCTGAGACAGGAGAATCCCTTGAACCTGGGAGACAGAGGTTGCAGTGAGCAGAGATCGCGCCACTGCACTCCAGCCTGGGTGACAGAGCAAGACTCTGTCTAAAAAAAAAAAAATGCAACTGACTTATTTATATGGACTATATATCCCATAACCTTTCTAAACTCCCTTATTAGTTCTAAACTCCCATATTAGCTTTTTTTTTTTTTTGGTACATGCCTTAGGATTTTCTATGTACAATTATGTCTTCTGTAAATAATAGTTTTATTTCTTCCTTTCAAAAATAAAAATAGAAAGACATCTCTACATTAACAAAGGCACCAGAGTATACATTTTCTTTTTCTGTATCCTCAATAGCTTCTAGATAGGCCATGAAGGAGAAACAGTGCTACACAGAGGTCAATTCAGATTAGGAAAGATAAGATTAAAATTACTTTGATTCAAACACATGAGAACAGTTTAGGAATGACTATGCTTCAACATGTGATTAACAGCCATATATCACTCCTGAGATAGGGAGGAACTATGGCAGAGGGAAGCAGGGAAGTGCACACAAGTTTGTTTCCTTGGTTTATCAGCTCCTTATTTGAGCACAGAGTGATTCAACCAGCGAGCACTGCTTCAACCTGTTTGGTCTTGGTCTATCTAGAAAACTCACTGGCAGACTTGTTTCTATCGCTAACTTACAGTTGGGCTTGAAGCAAGCAAGGGAAGAGTTCTCAGAATAGTCACGGACTGGCCCAGACAGCCAGCGACTGTCTGAGACCTGCTGGGCCCTAGGGACAATCACCGAAGTCGGGAGAGGTAAGAAGCCAGAGGGGGCCGGGCGTGGTTGCCCACGCCTATAATCCCAGCACTTTGGGAGGCTGAGGTGGGTGGATCACTTGAGGCCAGGTGTTCGAGACCAGCCTGGCCAACTTGGTGAAACCCTGTCTCTACTAAAAAAACAAAAATCAGCCGGGCGTGGTGGCAGGCACCTGTAATCCCAGCTACTAGGGAGGCTGAGGCAGGAGAATCACTTGAATCTGGGAAGCCGAGGTTGCAGTGAGCCGAGATCGTGCCACTGCACTCCAGTCTGGGCGACAGAGTGAGACCCCGTCTTCAAAAAGAAAAAAAGGAAGCCAGAGGGGCAGGCCAGCCAGGGCTCAGAAAACAAGAGCTCCAAAACTAGCAAACGAAACACTTTTCATTAGTGCAAAGTGTTAAGGACTTAAAATATCCTTAAAAAGCTATATCTTCTCTCTCTTTTTTTTCCCATTTCTTTTTAGAGATCGGGCCTCACTCTGTCACCCAGGCTAGGGTGCAGTGGCATAATCATAGCCCACTGCGGCCTCGAACTCCTGGAAATATTTGGAACTATAGGCAGGGGCCACCATGCGTGTGTTTTTTTGGGCTTTTTTTTTTTTTTTTTTTTTTTTGGTAGAGACAGGGTCTTCCTATGTTGCCCAGGCTGGTTTCAAACTCCTGGTCCCAAGGGATCCTGCCATCTTGGCCTTGGGAGTCCAAGGGATTATACGCATATAATCCCAAATCCTGGGATTATACACATGTGCCACTGTGCCCAGCCTCCTGTCTTCAATTAGAGTGTGAAATTACTATTCTGAGAACTTTACAGTGTTGATTTTTTTTTTTTTTTGAGGCAGTCTCTCTCTGTCGCCCAGGCTGGAGTGCAGTGGCGCCATCTCGGCTCACTGCAAACTCTGCCTCCCCGGCTCAAGCCATTCTCCTGCCTCAGCCTCCCGAGTCGCTGGGACTACAGGCACCCACCACCACGCCCGGCTAATTTTTTGTATTTTTAGTAGAGACGGGGTTTCACGGTGTTAGCCAGGATGGTCTCGATCCCCTGACCTCATGATCCGCCTGCCTCAGCCTCCCAAAGTGCTGGGATTACAGGCGTGAGCCACCGCACCCGGCCTACAGTGTTGATTTAACAAACCAAATGATAGTAGGAAACTAAAATCATGTCAAATGTTAATGCTTAATAACAATATCCTAAATAGTTTTTAATTTAAAAATTTGCCTAGCACTGTGTTACTAACCTGTAGTCCTACCTACTACTAGGAGGCTGAGGCAAGAGAATTGCTTCAGCCCCAGGAGTTCAAGGTTGCAGTGAGCTATGATCATGCCACTACACTCCAGTCTGGGCAACAGAGAGACTCTGTTTCTACAAAAATAAATAAATAAGTAATAAATATCAATTAAATCAAAATGGACTAAAATTCTCAACATACATATAAAAATAATGGAAGCAGGCCAGGCGTAGTGGCTCACGCCTGTAATCCCAGCACTTTGGGAGGCCAAGATGGGCGGATCACCTAAGGTCAGGAGTTCAAGACCAGCCTGGCCAACATGGCAAAACCCTGTCTCTACTAAAAATACAAAAATTATCTGGGTGTGGTGGCAGGTGCCTGTAATCCCACCTACTCTGGAGGCTGAGGCAGGAGAATCGCTTGAACCTGGGAGGAGGAGGTTGTAGTGAGCTGAGATTGCACCATTGCACTCCAGCCTGGGCGACAAGAGCAAGACTCCATCTCAAAAAATAATAATAATAAAATAAATAATGGAAGATGTAGGAATAAAGGAATAATAACTTAATCCCAGATACTTAAAAAAATCAATTTACAAAATATAATAACATATTAAAACTTTATGTAAGAAATATATTTTACCATATTAGAAAATATTTCAGGCTGGGGACAGTGGCTCATGCCTGTAATCCCAGCACTTTGGGAGGCCAACATGGGAGGATCGCTTGAGGCTAGGCGTTCAAGACCAGCCTGGGCAACATATCAAGACCCCGACTCTATTACATTTTAAAAAAATATTTTAAGTTTTGGTCAGGCACGGTGTCTCAAGCCTGTAATCCCAGCACTTTGGGAGGCTGAGGCGGGTGGATCACTTGAGGTCAGGAGTTGGAGACCAGCCTGGCCAACATGGTGAAACGCCCATCTCTACTAAAAAAACAAAAATTAGCCGGGCATGGTTGTAGGCGCCTGTAATCTCAGTTACTCAGGAGGCTGGGGCAGGAGAATTGCTGGAACCCAGGAGGTGGAGGCTGCAATGAGCCGAGATCACGCCATTGCACTCCAGCCTGGGTGACAAGAGCAAAACTCCATCTCAAAAGAAGAAAAAAAAAGGTATTTGTGAAAGCATAGAAGCACAAATGGTTGGAATAGCAGGATCTTTTCTTTTCTTTTCTTTTTTGAGACAGGGTCTCGCTCTGTCACCCAGGCGGGAGTGCAGCGGCAAGAGCTTAGCTCACTGCAACCTATGCCTCCTGAGTCCAAGCAATCCACCCACTTCAGCCTCCCGAGTAGCTAAGACTACAGGCACATGACACCATGCCCGGCTAATTTTTGTTCTTTATATAGAAGCGGGATTTCACCATTGCCCAGGCTAGTTTCGAACTCCTGGACTCAAGTGATCTGACCACCTCAGCCTCCCAAAATGCTGGGATTATAGGCGTGAGCCACTGCGCCAGCCCAACAGCAGGATCTTAGAAAGGATCTCTGACAAAAGGCCCAACATAAATATATAATTGGTTAAATAGAAATCATGTTTAAGAAGGAAAAAAAATATGTGTAATTTTCCTAATAAAAGGAAAATACAGACCATGCACATAATACTAATACTATTATTTGTAAATGATTCAAATACATTTTTGAAAAAGAGAAGGATCTGAGTTTCCTCATTCACGATACGGTGAGTTAAACTAGACTTGTGTGCTTATAATGGGCCATAGGTGTGCTGGATCGGGACCCTTCCGCTCTGGCTGGAGCCTGCAGGCAGCCCATCCTGCAGCAAGCTGCTTCTTCCCTTCCCTTTTCTTGGGGTGTTGGATAACTTCTTCATTTTCTATGTGAACCCTCTGCAAGAAAGCCCGGGAAGCCTACTTAAGAAATGAGCTCCAGGTCCTGCTTAGGTCTAGCATGTGTCACTGTACCTCTAATAAATCATCATGATGCACTGTAGCAACAAGACAAACAGACAGAACCTCCATGTTGCACAAAAGGTAATGAAAATGACAGAAATGGCCGGGCGCAGTGGGTCACGCCTGTAATCCCAGAACTTTGGGAGGCTGAGGCAGGGAGATCACAAGGTCAGGAAATCAAGAACATCCTGGCCAACATGGTGGAACCCCATCTCTACTAAAAATACAAAAATTAGCTGGGCATGGTGGCGGGTGCCTGTAGTCCCAGCTACTTGGGAGGCTGAGGTAGGAGAAACGCTTTAACCCAGGAGGCGGAGGTTGCAGTGAGCTGAGATCGTGCCACTGCACTCCAGCCTGGTGACAGAGCAAGACTCCATCTTAAAAAAAAAAAATGACAGAAATACCCCTATTCTTCTAATAGCTACATTTCTGTAAGTTAAATACTTCAAAAAAGTTAGGGCTGGGCGAGGTGGCTCACACCTGTAATCCCAGCACTTTGGGAGGCTGAGGCGGGCGGATCACGAGGTCAGGAGATCGAGACCATCCTGGCTAACACGGTGAAACCCCGTCTCTACTAAAAATACAAAAATTAGCTGGGCGCGGTGGCGGGCGCCTGTAGTCCCAGCTACTCGGGAGGCTGAGGCAGGAGAATGGCGTGAACCCGGGAGGTGGAGCTTGCAGTGAGCCAAGATCGTGCCACTGCACTCCAGCCTGGGCGACAGAGCAAGACTCCGTCTCAAAAAAAAAAAAAAAAGTTGGATGGGGTCTTGCTATGTTGCCCAGGCTGGCACTTTTCTGTCTTTCTTTCCTTTTTTTTTTTTTTTAGACAGAGTCTCACTCTGTCATCCAGGCTGGAGTGCAGTGGTGCAATCTTGGCCCACTGCAACCTCTGCCTCCCAGGATCACATAATTCTCATGCCTCAGCCTCCCTAGGATTAGAGGTGTGCACCACTATCACCAGCTAATTTTTGTATTTTTAATAGAGACAGGATTTCACCATGTTGGCCAGGCTGGTCTCAAACTACTCGAACAAGTAATCTTCCCACCTCGGCCTCCTAAAGTGCCAGGATTACAGGTGTGAGCCACCTTGCCCGGCCTCAAATTTATGTTTGGAATAAGTTTTCCATTTAAAAGCAACTGTGGGCCGGGTGTGGTAGTTCATGGCTGTAGTCCCAGCACTTTGGGAGGCCGAGGTTGGCGGATCACCTGAGGTCAGGAGTTTGAGACCAGCTTGGCCAACATGGTGAAACTTCATCTCTACTAAAATACAAAAATTAGCTGGGTATGGTGGTGCGCACCTGTAATCCCAGCTACTTGGGAGGCTGAGGCAGGAGAATCGCTTGAACCTGGGAGGCATAGCTGAATCCTGAACATGTAACTTCAATCTGATCAGTTATGTATCTTTTCAATGCTCTTCAATAAAAGAAAGAAAAAGACTCAATTAAGCATATTGTAGAGCAGTGCTTCTTAAACTTGAATATGTGTACAAACAACCCAGGAACCTCCTAAAAATGTAGATTTAGATTCAGTAGGTCTGCATGTAGTGGGGCGTGAGACGGTATGTTTTTCTTTTCCTTTTTGTAAAAATAGAGACAGGATCTCTGTCACCCAGGCTGGGGTACAGTGGCTCGACCTTGGCTCACCGCAATCTCCGCCTCCCGGGCTCAAGTTATCCTCCCACCTCAGCCTCCCCAGTAGCTGGGACCACAGGTGTGTGCCACCATATCCAGCTAATTTTTGCATTTTTTATATTTTTATATTTTTTGTAGGGTTTCTCCATGTTGCCCAGGCTGGTCTTGAACTCCTGGTCTCAAGCGATCAGACTTGGCCTCCCAAAGTGCTGGGATTACAGGCTTGAGCCACTGCACCTGGCCTTGCTTTTCCTTTTTTTGAGACAGGGTCTGGCTCTGTCCCCCAGGCTAGAATGCAGTGACGCCATCATGGCTTACTGCAGTCTCAGCCTCCTAGGTTTAAGGGGTCCTTCCACCTCAGCCTCTGAGTAGCTGGGACTACAGACGTGCACCAACACACCTGGCTGATTTTTTTTTTTTTTGGTAGAGATGGGGGTCTCCCCATATTGCCCAGGCTGGTCTCAAACTCCTGGGCTCAAGCGATCCGCTCACCTCAGCCTCCCAAAGTGCTGGGATTACAGGTGTGAGTCACTGCACCCGGCTGAAATGGTATATTTTAAGCAAGCTCCCAGGTTGTCCAGAACCACACAGTGAAGAGCATGGCTACAGAACGGTGGTTCTCACACTTTCGGTGCATGAGAATCACTGGGAGGGCTTGTTAAACCAGATCGTTGGGCCCACCCCCAGGGTTTCTGACTTAGAAGGTCTGGGGTGGCATATGATATTCTGCATTTCTAACAAGTTTCTCCATGATACTGATGTTGCCTGTCCGGGGACCACACTTGGAGATCCACTGCTGCCAAGGAAAGCATATTAGATTGTGAGAGTCAAAACCCGGGTTACTAACTGGCCCTATGACTCTATCAGGTAGAAATGCATTCAACAGAACAACCAATTAACAGTAGCTTAAACAAATAATAGTTTGTTTTTCTCATTTGTTAAATCCAGAGGTGGGCAGTCCAGGTCTGGGGTGCTTCTTAGAAAGTCAGCAAGAACACGTGGTCTTTCTTTCTTTCTGCTCCACCATCACTAACGTGGCTTTTGCGTTCATAGGCACAAGATGGCTGTGGAACCAAGTTCCTAGCAGAAAGAAGGGAGCAGAGACTGGGCATGGTGGCTCACACCTGGAATCCCAGCAGTTTGGGAGATGGAGGCAGGATAATTACTTGAGCCCAGGAGTTTGAGACCAGCCTGGGCAATGTGGTGAAACCTGGTCTCTACAGAAAAAAACACAAAAATTAGCTGGGAGGCATGCACCTGTAGTCCCAGCTACTTGGGAGGCTGAGGTGGGAGGATCACCTGAGCCCGGGAGGTTGAGGCTGCAATGAGCCGAGATCATGCCACTGCACTCCAGCCTGGGTGATGGAGTGAGACCCTGTTAAAAAAGAAAAAAAAAAAAGGAAGGAGGGAGGGAGGGAACGAGAGAGAGAGAGAGGAAGAAGGAAGGAAGGGAGGGAGGGAGGGAGGGAGGAAGGAAGGTAGGTAGGAAGGAGCAGAGCCAATGGGGAAGGAGCATCCAGCTTCACTTGCCCTTTTGAGAAAGTTTACCCAGGAGCCCTGCTCCATGACTTCTGCTTACATCTCGTTGGCCTGAACTGTGGCAAACACAGACCAATCACTGGGCGGCAACTAGGGTGAAAGGGTGAGACTTGCTGCTTGACACTGTCTGCCACAGGGACCTCTGATGTAGACACAAAATCTTAAGCCATGCATAGTAGCACGCATTTGTAGTCCCAGCTACTTGGAAGACTGAGGCAGGAAGATTGTGTGAGTCCAAGAATTGGAGGCCAGCCTGGGCAACAGAGCGAGACCCTCTCTCTCTGTCTCTCTCTCTTTGAAACAGAGTCTTGTTTTGTCACCCAGGCTGGTGTGCAGTGGTGCAAAGACTGCAGCCTCGGCCTCCTGGCCTCAAGCGATCCTCCCACTTAGGCCTCCCAAAGTGCTGGGATTAGAGGTGTTAGCCACCATGCCCAAGACAAGGTCTTGCTCTGTTGCCCAGGCTGCAGTGTGGTGGGATGATCTCATCTCACTGCAGTGACCCTATCTCTTAAACAAAAAAATCTTAATATAATTTCAATGCTACAGAAGCTCCCAAAAGTAGGCACGTACCTCAGCTCTGTGACCCTCAGTCTGCTTATCCATAAAATGTATGAGATGCATGACTGGCATTTTGCGTAGGACAATTCATCAGCGTGTGGAGCTCTCCTGTGCATCGCAGAGTGTTTAGCCTCTCTAATCTCTAGGTACCAAATGCCAGTATCACCCACCCACAGCATTGTGATAAAACCAAAGGCCTCTGTGGGTTTGCAAATACCTTCTGGTTGGGTGGGGTATGGGAGGGGACCACCTTCCTGGGCTGGAAACCACCATACTTTTTTTTTTTTTCTGTCACCCAGGCTGGAGTGCAATAGTGTGATCGTAGTTCACTGCAGCCTCAAACTCCTGGGCTCAAGCAATCCTCCCACCTCAGCCTTTGGAGTAGCTAGAAGTACAGGCACACAACACCATGCTCATCTAATTTTTAGGTTTTTTTAAGAGACGGCGGTTTCATTGTGTTGCCCAGGCTGTAGCCTCTTTTATAAAGGTTAGAGGTTTTTCTGTTTTGTTCTGTTTTTTTTAACTTTCTCTGTTGCCAGGCTGAAGTGCAATGGCACAATCTTGGCTCACTGCAACCTCCACCTCCCAGGTTCAAGCGATTCTCCTGCCTCAGCCTCCCAAGTAGCTGGGATTACAGGTGCATGCCATCACATCCGTCTGATTTTTGTATTTTTAGTAGAAGCAGGATTTCGTTATGTTGGTTAGGCTGGTCTCGAACCCCTGACCTCAAGTGATCCTCCTGCCTCAGCCTCCCAAAGTGCTGGGATTACAGCAGTGAGCCACTGCACCTGGCCTCTATCTACTATTGTTCCAATGATCTAATGACTTCAAAATCACTCCTCCATATTTCCAGAAGACCTTCCTCTCCACATTGGGTGGCGGGGCAGGGGGGGGGGGGGGTCTCACTCTCATCCCAGGTGACTTTTATTACGTTGGTGCAAAAGTAGTTGCAGTTTTTGCCATTACCTTTATTTTATTTTATTTATTTATTTATTTTTTGAGACGGAGTCTCGCACTGTTGCCCGGGCTAGAGTGCAGTGGCACAATCTCAGTTCACTGCAACCTCTGCCTCCTAGGTTCAAGCAATTCTCCCGCCTCAGCCTCCCAAGTAGCTGGGATTACAGGCATCTGCTACCACGCCCGGCTAATTTTTTGTATTTTTAGTAGAGATGGGGTTTCCCTATGTAGGCCAGGCTGTTCTCCAGTGCCTGACCTCATGATCCACCTGAGATCATGCTGGGATTACAGGCGTGAGCCACCGCGACCGGCCTATTTTTTTATTTTTTATCTATTTATTTTTTGAGACAGAGTCTCACTCTGCTACCTAGGCTAGAGCGCTATGGCTCCATCTTGGCTCAGTGCAACCTCTGCCTCCCAGGTTCAGGTGATTCTCCTGCCTAAGCCTCCTGAGTAGCTGGAATTACAGGTGCCCACCGCCACATCTCGCTAATTTTTGTATTTTTAGTAGAGACGGGTTTCATCATGTTTGTTGGCCAGGCTGGTTTCAAACCCCTGACCTCAGGGGATCTGCCCACCTTGGCCTCCCAAAGTACTGGGAATACAGACGTGAGCTGCCGCACCCGGCTGCCATTACCTTTAATGGCAAAAAGCACAATTACTTTTGCATCAACCTAATATGTCCATCTGGATGGTCCTGGCTGGACTGGCAGTTCCCCTTTACCAACACCCTTTACCTCTTCTCTATTTCACTTGCCCACACAGTGGCCAGAGCCCAGCACTTGCCATCCATGAACTATTCCTTAACCTTAAACTTCACTAGCTCTGGCCGGGCATGGTGGCTGTAACCCCAGCACTTTGGGAGGCCAACGCGGGCAGATCACTTGAGGTCAGGAGTTCGAGACCAGCCTGGCCAGCATGGTGAAACCCCGTCTCTACTAAAAATACAAAAATTAGCCAGGCGTGATGGTGCATGCCTGTAGTCCCAGCTACTCTGGAGGCTGAGGCAGGAGAATTGCTAGAACCCAAGAGGCAGAGGTTGCAGTGAGCTGAGATCATGCCATTGCACTCCAGCCTGGGCAACAGAGCAAGGTTCTGTCTTTAAAAAAAAAAAAAAAACTTCAGTGGGTCATCCGTGGTTCATCCCTTCCTGCATCTCCACTTTCTCATTCCCTTGGTCTCATTCTTCTTCCCTGTGTTTATTCACCCTCCTCAGCTATCAGCCCCATTCTAGCTTCACATTCTTCTTCCTGCAGCCTGGATATGCTGATCCATGCTTCTTCCATTCCCCTGATCCTCCCCTCATCCTCCTGGGAGAACCCCAGCCCTGGTTCCAGCTGACTTTCTGCCCTCTTATCCCACACTTGGCAGCTGAGCACTGATGGAGGCAGTGCACACCCAAGCAGGTGGTTGCCATGACAACCCGGTGGTCTCTGGCCACTCCACTCCTGGGCTGGGAGCTCTTCTGGGCTGTCCTTGTCAGTCCTTTCTGTTTCCTACCTTTATCCTCCTCCCTTCTCATTGTAACTCTCGACAGATAACTTCACTCCTACTTGTAGGTGAAAATAGAAGCCATCAGGCAGAAGCCCCCCTCAATTCCTGCCCCCCACTCCCACCCCACTGAAACATTTATTTTTATCCACTCTTATTCTTTCCTCCCTTTTATTGTGGGAAAGGTTTCCTTCCTGTACTTAATCCCTCCACCTGAGCCCTGCATCCCAGTAGTTCAGCCTCCTCAGGGACCTTGGCTCTCAAAATCGCCTCTCTGCCCTTGCAGTATTTTAACATGTTAGCCTCTCTTCTCTCCTAAAAAGCCAGGTTCCCCAGACACTACAAGTCTCCCTTTCTCTCTTTTCTCTTGGAGCAAGGGTTCCTAACCTTTTTTAACTGTGGATTCCTTCGGCAGTCTGGTGGGGGTTTTTTTGTTTTTTTTTTTTGTTTTTTGAGGCGGAGTCTCGCTCTGTCACCCAGGCTGGAGTGCAGTGGCGCAACCTCTGCCTTCCCGGTTCAAGCAATCCTCCTGCCTCCGCCTCCCAAGTAGCTGGGATTACAGATGCCCACCACCACGCCCAGCTAATTTTTTTGTATTTTTAGTACAAAAATACCATGTTGGCCAGGCTGGTCTCGAAACTCCTGACCTCAGGTGATCCGCCTGCCTCAGCCTCCCAAAGTGCTGGGATTATAGGCATGGGCCACCGCCCCGGTGTTTTTTGAATACATAAAATGATACACATAGAATTACCACAGGAACCAATTATATACAATATGTTGTTACAATATTTTTAAGTTGCCTGAATAATTTTTGACATAGTTATACATTTTCTTTTATTTTGTGTCCTTTATTAATGCATTCAATAACGAGATCTTGAAGTGGGCCTAATAACTTCTGTATTTAATTTTTTTTTTTAGAGACAAGGTCTCACTCTGTTGCCCAGGCTAGAGTGCAATGGCACGATCATAGCTTACTGTAACTTCAAACTCCTGGGCTCAAGCAATCCTCCTGCCTTAGCCTCCCAAAGTGCTGGAACTATAGGCATGTGCCACCATGCCTGGCTAATTTTTATTTATTTATTTATTTTTTTGTAGAGAGAGGGGGTCTGCATGTTGCCCAGGCTGGTCTCAAACTCCTGGGCTCAATTGATCCTCTCACCTTGGCATCCCAAAATGCTGGGATTACAGGTGTGAGCCATCACACCCAGCAATTTCTGTATTTTTAAAATATTGATAATTATAAGCAATATTTTGCTACAGCTGCATCAAAAAACTTTTTTTCACTAGCTGAGCATGGCAGCATGTGCCTGTAGTTCCAGCTACTCAGTAGGCTGAGGTGGGAGGATTGCTTGCGCCTGAGAGGTTGAGGTTCCAGTGCATGGTGATTATATCACTGTACTTCAGCCTGGGCAACAGAGCGAGACCCTGAACCCTCCAAAAAAAAGTGTATACTCACCGACCACTTCCTTATCTTCCACACATCTCAATTTTATGATTTCTCAAACATCCCTTTGTGCCAACTGTGTATAAGGTTAAGCAGTGATTGTTTTGGCAGCACATATACTAAAATTGGAATGATACAGAGATTAGCAAAATTAAATTAAAAATTCAAAAATACAAAAAGGATAAGTAACCTTTTGCAATCTAGTTTTTACTCCATGGCCCAGGGCCACTAGTCTTCCCAAAGGTTCCAATGGTCCCTTGAATTTTTTTATTTTATTTTATTTTTTTGAGACAGAGTCTCACTCTGTTGCCCAGGCTGGAGTGCAAGTGCCATTCACTCAGCTCACTGCCACCTCTGCCTCCCAACCTCAAGCAATTCTCCTCCATCAGCCTTCAAGTAGCTGGGATTACAGGTGCGCACCACCATGCCTGGCTAATTTTTGTATTTTTAGTAGAGATGGGGTTTCACCATGTTGGCCAGGCTGGTCTCAAACTCCTGACCTCAAATAGTCCATCCACTTAGGCCTCCCAAAGTGCAGGCTGGGATTACAGGCACGAGCCACCGTGCCTGGGCCCTTGAATTTAAAGCACATTTTCTGGCCGGGTGTGGTGGCTCACGCCTGTAATCCCAGCGCTTTGGGAGGCTGAGGTGGGTGGATCACGAGGTCAGGAGATTTAGACCATCCTGGCTAACATGGTGAAACCCTGTCTCTACTAAAAAATACAAAAAAATTAACTGGGCATGGTGGCGGGTGCCTGTAGTCCCAGCTACTTGGGAGGCTGAGGCAGGAGAATGGTGTGAACCCGGGAGGTGGAACTTGCAGTGAGCCTAGATCGCGCCACTGCACTCCAGCCTGGGTGACAGAACAAGACTCCGTCTTGAAAATAAATAAATAAATAAAAAATAAAGCACATTTTCTTTTCTTTTTTTTTGAGACAGTTTTGCTCCTGTTGCTCAGGTTGGAGTGCAATGGCGCAATCTCAGTTTACCTCACACCACCTCCATCTCCCGGGTTCAAGTGATTCTCCTGCCTCAGCCTCCTGAGTAACTGGGACTACAGGTATGCGCCACCATGCCTGGCTAATTTTGTATTTTTAGTAGAGATGGGGGTTTCTCCATGTTGTTTAGGCTGGTCTCGAACTTCTGATCTCAGGTGATCCACCCGCTTCAGCCTCCCAAAGTGCTGGGATTACAGGTGTGAGCCACCACGCCTGGCTTTTCTTTTCTTTTTTTTTTTAATAGGCATGTTTCAGAGCTCAGTTTGATTACGTAACATCTAGCATGAGTGACTCCATTCTGGTTTGGTCTGGATCGCTAGGGCCTAGGACAGGAGGCTAGTCTAAAGCAATGGACTCCTGTAAATTGTATTTAACAGCATGAATAGGATCTTCCACGGAGAATATGTGGTCTGGGAACATCCTAGATTGGAAGAGGACTAGACTACAACCTGACAGTGAATGGCAAAGAAAAATGAAGGAGCCAGCAAAAAAAGCAGAAAGAAAACTGGCGTGTGTCAGTATGGTTTCATTGCCTACCCCTTCATTTGGGACAAAGCCTCGATTTCGTTTTGCATTCCACCCTTCCTCCAAGTGGTTCAGCAATGAGTCCTGATTAATCCAAGCCAATCACTGTTATCACAATTCCCTGCCAGGGACTGATTTAGGAAGGGGCATATAATACAATACAGGCCAGTGAGATGTGAGGATAAAGACTTCTGGGGGCTTCTGGGGAAGGTCTCCTCATTGGTTAAAAATAAAGAGACATATGGGAAAAGACACACTCTCTAGCTGCATTTTTTCATGTTGGGATATAGCATTGGAATGACTTGTATTAGGGTTTTCCAGAGAAACAGAACCAGTAGGTTCTAGATATAGATATACAGATAGATATTTATATATGAGGAGATTTATAGGAATTGGCTCATGTGGTTATAGAGGCCAGGAAGACCCATGATATGCTCTCTGCAAGCTGGAGAACCTGGAAAGCCAGTGTGTAATTCTGTCTGAGTCCAAACGCCAGGTAATCAGCTGAGGGCCAATGATGTGGGTCCCACTCTGAGTTTGGAAGCCCAAGTCCGAGGGTAGGAGGAAATGGGTGTCTCAGCGCAAGCAGAGAGAGGGAGTTCACCCTTGCTCGATCCTTTTGTTCTATTCAGGCCTTTAATGAATTGGGTGATGCCTACCCACACTGGGAGAGCCATCTGCTTCACTCAGTTCATCAGCTCAAATGAGAATCCCTTCCAGAAACACCCTCACAGACACAGCCAGAAATAATGTTTTACCGGTTATCTGGGCATCCCTTAGCCCAGTCAAGTAATACACCCAATTAACCATCACACACTGCTGCAGTCATCCTCGAACAGTGCAGAGAGCACCTTTAGGACAAGCCATCGTCTTCAGGGTGGTAGATCAGAATGGTGGACGGTAGCTGGGAGCAACAGCTCATGCATGTAATCCCAGCACTTTGGGAGGCCAAGGCAGGCAGATTGCTTGATCCCAGGAGTTCAAGACTAGTCTGGGTGACATGGTGAAACCCTGTCTCTACCAAAAAAAAAAAAAAAACAAAAAAATTAGCTGGGCATGGTGGTGCATGCCTGTACTCCCAGCTACTTGGGAGGCTGAGGCAGGAGGATCATTTGAGCCCAGACGTCGAGGCTGTGGCGGGCCAAAATCATGCCACTGTACTCCAGCCTGGGTGATAGAGTGAGACCCTATCTCAAAAAAAAAAAAAAAAAAAAAAAAAGGTGGAAGGCACCCAAGTCCCTGATGACACTGCTGAGCCTTCAAATTAATCAGCCCTGAAGCTCTTCAAATGTGAGGTATATTTTTCCTATGGTTCAAGCTACTTGACTTGGATTCTTTTTTTTTTATTTGCAGCTAAAGGCACAGCCATAGAGAAGAATACTGCAAGAGCCTAGGCGGCAGAAAGCTCCAAAGAGGAAACGAGTTGGCATCTGAGGCTGCAGGGAAATGGAGTCATATGGAGACAGAAAAAGGTACTTTAGGCTGGGTGTGGTGGTGCATGCCTGTAATCCTAGCTACTTGGGAGGCTGAGGCAGGAGAATCGCTTGAACCCAGGAGGCAGAGGTTGCAGTGAGCCGAGATCGCACCACTGCACCGTGCCAGCCTGGGCAACAAGAGTGAAACTTCATCTCAAAAAAAAAAAAAAAAGAAAGAAAAAAAGGCCAGGCACAGTGGCTCATGCCTGTAATCCCAGCACTTTGAGGGCCAAGGCAGGAGGATCACTTGAGATCAGGAGTTTGAGACCAGCCTGGCCAACATGGTGAAACCTGGTTTCTACTAAAAATACAAAAATTACCTGGGCATGGTGGTGCGCGCTGGTAATCCCAGCTACTCGAGAGACTGAGGCAGGAGAATCGCTTGAACCTGGGAGGCGGAGTTTGCAGTGAGGCAAGATCATGCCATAGCACTCCAACCTGGGTGGTAGAGCGAGACTCTGTCTCAAAAAAAAAAAAAATTAAATTAAATAAATTTTAAAAAACCACACCACGAGATTCACAGCACCCAATCTAAAGAGCTCAGTTTACCTGTTGCCATGATAATGAGGCCCCCTCTGTTTCAATCCTGTAAGGAAATCGCTTTGAAACAACCAATCCACTTTTTGTTCTCTGTTTCTGCTTTCCTCAGTCCTTTTCTGTCTATAAAACCAATCTTTTGGATGTTCAGCTGCCTGTTTGGGGTGACGGACTTTCCATCCTAGAACCACGGCCTAATTTGTCCGTAACCTCACAGAGGTGACTCTGGCGCTAGTGAACAATGCTGCTGTGACTTATGTGAAACCTCAACTGGCCACATTTTGGTACTATGCCAAAGTTGAGCTGGTTCCTCCACCCCTGTTGAGATCCCTAGAGCTATCCAAAGCCTGGGGGAAAAAAATAAGTCACTAGTGCTCAAACTGGTAGCTTCAAACCGCTCACAGTTAAGGAAGTGGTGCTGAATGATTTGGTGGCCACTGAGGTGTGAATGTGGTTTTATGTTGGAGAGATCACAGGCAAGTGTGGCATGATTGGCTATAATATTTGAAGAACAAGACTAGTGAACAATACAGTCAGGATGGCTAAAGGTGACCCCAAGAAACCAAAGGGCAAGATGTCTGCTTATGCCTTCTTTGTGCAGACGTGCAGAGAAGAACATAAGAAGAAAAACCCAAAAGTCCCCATCAATTTTGCAGAATTTTCCAAAAAGTGCTCTGAGAGGTGGAAGACAATGTCCAAGAAAGAGAAATCTAAATTCAATGAACTGGCAAAGGCGGATAAAGTGCACTATGATCAGGAAATTAAGGATTATGGACCAGCTAAAGGAGGCAAGAAGAAGGATCCTAATGCCCCCAAAAGGCCACCGTCTGGATTCTTCCTGTTCTGTTCAGAATTCTGCCCCAAGAGCAAATCCACAAACCCCGGCATCCCTATTGGAGACGTGGCAAAAAAGCTGGGTGAGATGTGGAAGAACTTAAATGACAGTGAAAAGCAGCCTTACATCACTCAGGCGGCAAAGCTGAAGGAAAAGTATGAGAAGGATGTTGCTGTCTATAAGTCGAAAGGAAAGTCTGATGGCGCAAAGGGTCCTGCTAAAGTTGCCCAGAAAAAGGTGGAAGAGGAAGATGAAGACGAGGAGTTCTGTATTCTACACTCGGTGCTAACTTTTTGGTATGTCTATTGCCTTCACAAAACCATATGACTTTGGTTTGCTATCTCTATTTTCTGAGCTTAAAATAGTGTGCAAGGCCGGGCGTGGTGGCTCACACCTGTAATCCCAACACTTTGGGAGGCCGAGGCAGGTGGATTACCTGAGGTCAGGAGTTTGAGACCAGCCTGGCCAACATGGAGAAACCGTGTCTCTACTAGAAATACAAAATTAACCGGGCGTTGTGGCTCATGCCTGTAGTCTCAGCTACTGGGGAGGCTGAGGCAGGAGAATCGCTTGAACCTGGGAGGCGGAGGTTGCAGTGAACCGATCGTGCCGTTGCACTCCAGCCTGGGCAACAAGAGTGAAACTCCGTCTCAAAACAAAACAAAACAAAACAAAACAGTGTGCAAACTTGCAGGTGTACCCACTGAACCTAGAATAAGAGTTGGAAAGAAAAAAATATATATATGGCAAATAAATCTATAAAGAAAAGGGGCCGGGCGCGGTGGCTCACACCGGTAATCCCAGCAC
The DNA here is from genome assembly GCF_000001405.40 of Homo sapiens. Taxonomy (NCBI): domain Eukaryota; kingdom Metazoa; phylum Chordata; class Mammalia; order Primates; family Hominidae; genus Homo; species Homo sapiens. Next base: position 42,649,282 of record NC_000017.11, read on the forward strand.
TTTGGGAGGCTGAGGTGGGCGGATCACAAGGTTAGGAGACCGAGACCATCCTGGCTAACACGGTGAAACCCCATCTCTACTAAAAATACAAAAAATTAGCTGGGCGTGGTGGTGGGCGCCTGTAGTTCCAGCTACTTGGGAGGCTGAGGCAGGAGAATGGCGTGAACTGAAGGAGTGGAGTTTGCAGTGAGCCGACATCGCGCCACTGCACTCCAGCTTGGGCGATAGAGCAAGGCTCCATCTCAAAAAAAAAAAAAAAAACTATCAAGAAAAAAATTCCAGTGTTCCAGCCTAGTATAGATGCATAATAAAAAAAGAATAATCAAATGATCTACAAACAGGATTACTTTTAGGCTTATTTTCTTTTTCCTGTTCCTTGAGAAAACAATACAGAAACAGGGCTGGGCGCGGTGGCTCAAGCCTGTAATCCCAGCACTTTGGGAGGCCAAGACGGGCGGATCACAAGGTCAGGAGATCGAGACCATCCTGGCTAACACGGTGAAACCCCGTCTCTACTAAAAACACAAAAAATTAGCCAGGCGCGGTGGCAGCGGCTGTAGTCCCAGCTACTCAGGAGGCTGAGGCAGGAGAATAGTGTGAACCCGGGAGGCGGAGCTTGCAGTGAGCCGAGATCGCGCCACTGCACTCTAGCCTGGGCGACAGAGCAAGACTCCCTCTCCGAAAAAAAAAAAACAAAAACAACTACAGAAACATCCCATTTTGTTCTATTTCACAACTAAAATATGAATTTAGTACAACTCCCTTCACATAAAGAGCGTCGGCTCTTTGCCATCATTGTTTTAATTTTTCCTTTTCTTTTTTGTTTTATTTTGTTTTGTTTTTGAGACGGAGTCTTGCTCTGTGCCCAGGCTGGAGTGCAGTGGCACAATCTCGGCTCACTGCAACCTCCACCTCCCTGGTTCAAGCAATTCCCCTGCCTCAGCCTCCTGAGTAGCTGGGATTACAGGCGCACGCCACCATGTCTGGCTAATTTTTTTTTGTTGTTGTTGTATTTTTAGTAGAGATGGGGTTTCACCATGTTGGCCAGACTGGTCTTGAACTCCTAACCTCAGGCAATCTGCCCGCCTCGGCCTCCCAAAGTGCTGGGATTACAGACGTGAGCCATTGCGCCTGGCCCCCTTTTCTTTATTTCGAAAGTTAAACTTCCCAGGGTCATAAGATTCCAGTCTCATGACTGGAAGAAGCTCTAATTAGCTGCTCTTCTTCCCAGTCCCTGCCACAGCCTCATTCCGCCACCTCACACTTCTACTTCCTCACCTTGACAAGATACCTGTGCTCCTGACATACTGCAGGCTAGGCATTCAGGAAAGGTCAGAATGAAAGTGCATCCCAAAACATGTTTTATTCCACCTGGGATGTCCAAGAAAGGCTCTGGACATTTAACAAACTTGTTAGTTTACAAATGCTACGTTTATTATCAGAGGCCAACCAAGGCCTCAGACTAAGGAACAGCACATCCCACTGCATTATCACAACCAGGACCAGAGAACTTGCAGCCAAGCCAATTAAAGTCAACATTCAACAATCAAGCCATGGGTACATGACCTTGAGGCCCTGGATGTGAAACCTATGAGAAGGACCATGACCCTGGGCTTTCTGCTGAACCTCATGAAAGTTCGATCTTAAACTGAATCTGTGGGATCATAAGCACTTGGGTGTTCAAGACCAGCCTGGGCAACTCCCGTCTCTACAAAAAAAAAACAAAAAAAAAAAACGCCAGGTGAGGTGGCTCATGGTTGTAATCCCAGCACTTTGGGAGGCCAAGGCAGGAGGATCACCTGAGGTCAGGAGTTCAAGACCAGCCTGGCCAACATGATGAAACTTCGTCTATACTAAAAATACAAAATTAGCCGGGCATGGTGGCTGGCATCTGTAATCCCAGCTACTTGAGAGGCTGAGGTGGGAAAATTGCTTGAACTTGAGACGGGGGTGTTGCAGTGAGCCGAGATCGTGCCACTGCACTCCCGCCTGGGTGACAGAGTGATACTCTGTCTCAAAAACAAAGAAATAAACAAAAATTAGCCAATATGGTGGTATGTGTCTGTAGTCCCAGCTTCTCAGGAGGTTGAGGTGGGAGGATCAATTGAGCCCAGGACCCAGGAGGTCAAGGCTGCAGTGAGCCATGATTGTGCCAGTGCACTCCAGCCTGGGTGACAGAGCAAGACCTTGTCTCAAAAAAAAAAAATCTTTCATCTGCAGCAGCAGCCAAGCTATATACTTCAGTTCCGATTGCATCTAGTGATAATAACAGTGGCTAATATTTGTTAAGTGCTTACTATGAGTCAGTCACTGTGCTAGGTGCTCATGCATCATCTCATTTAACCCATATTGATTGGAAGGCATACCCTGCTAATGACTGGGAGAGCTACGGTCAGTTCTGCGAGTGCATTTCAATTTCCAACCCATTTCTACAAGACCAGAAAGAGAGGAGCCTCCTGTGTGTTAGAGATGGCTTCTGAGAGGAAGTGTGCCGTGCAACTCCTCCAACTCAGAGTCATGTTTTCTTTTTTTTTTTTTAATTTGAGATGGAGTTTCACTCTTGTTGCCCAAGCTAGAGTGCAATGGCACGATCTCAGCTCACCGCAACCTCCACCTCCCAGGTTCAAGTGATTCTCCTTCCTCAGCCTCCCGAGTAGCTGGGATTACAGGCATGTGCCACCATGCCCAGCTAATTTTTTTTTTTTTTTTTTTGAGACGGAGTCTCGCTGTCGCCCAGGCTGGAGTGCAGTGGCGCAATCTCGGCTCATTGCAGGCTCCGCCCCCCGGGGTTCACGCCATTCTCCTGCCTCAGCCTCCGAATTAGCTTGGACTACAGGCGCCTGCCACCTCGCCCGGCTAATTTTTTGTATTTTTAGTAGAGACAGGGTTTCACTGTGTTAGCCAGGATGGTCTCGATCTCCTGACCTCGTGATCCGCCCGCCTCGGCCTCCCAAAGTGCTGGGATTACAGGCGTGAGCCACCGCGCCTGGCCGACCAGCTAATTTTTTGTGTTTTTAGTAGAGACAGGGTTTCTCCAGTTGGTCAGGCTGGTCTCGAACTCCCAACCTCAGGTGATCCACGTGCCTCGGCCTCCCGAAGTGCATGAGCCACCGCACCCGGCCAAATTCACGTTTTCTAACCTGCTTGCCTACAACCTGGGATTTGAAGAAAGTTTTCCAACTTTTGGGAGACTTCAACTCATCCTTCAACTTCTGGGAGACTATATGTTTGAGTAAGGCACTGTTACGAATCACAAGAAAAGGAGAAACTTAATTCCCCGGTTTCCCGAGTGTTTATGAACTAATTATCATTGTTATTATTGCTTTATTTAATTTAATTAATTTATTTTTTGAGACGGAGTTTCGCTCTTGTTGCCCAGGCTGGACTGCAATGGCACGGTCTTGGCTCACTGCAACCTTTGCCTCCCGGGTTCAAGCGATTCTCCTGTCTCATCCTCCCAAGTAGCTGGGATTACAGGCCACCATCACATGTCCAGCTAATTTTTGTATTTTTAGTAGAGATAGGGTTTCATCACATTGGCCAGGCTGGTCTCGAACTCCTGACCTCAGGTGATCCATCCACCTCGGCCTCCCAAAGTGCTGGGATAACAGGCGTGAGCCACCGCACCCGGCCTATTTTATTTTTTTGAGACGGAGTCTTACTCTGTCGCTCAGGCTGGAGTGCGGTGACGAGATCTCGGCTCACTACAACCTCTGCCTCCCAGGTTCAAGCGATTCTCCTGACTCAGCCTCCCAAGCAGCTGTAACTACAGGCATGTGCCACCACCCGGCTCATTTTTGTCTTTTTAGTAGAGACGGGGGTTTCACCATGTTAGCCAGGCTGGTCTCGAACTCCCGACCTCAAGTGATCCGCCCGCCTCGGCCTCCCAAAGTGCTGGGATTACAGGCGTGAGCCCCCATACCCGGCTAATTATTATTATTATTTTTAGAGATGGGGGTCTCGCTATGTTGCCCAGTCTGGGCTCAAACTCTTCTGCTCAACCAATCCTCTCGCCTGGGCCTCCCAAGTACCTGGGACTACAAGATGGCGCCACCGCGCCCGGCATTAGCTTACTATGTAAAAGCCCTACCAGACTCACGTGGCCGGGGGTCAGTTTATTCTCATCTCTTGAAGCCATGCGCTTCACCTGGGCCGACTGGGAGACAGTCCTGGCAAAGCCTCTGAAAACAGCCAGCCCCTAAGGAGCGGTTCTGTTGGGGGAAGGGAGCCTCAAGGCTAACGAAGGAGCTCCCACCCTACCCTTCAACTTCAGAGGGAGAAAAGAACCCTTCCCTGAAAGGGCGAGACTACTGGGTCCTCTTGGGGGACGCTGGAGATCCTCCCGACCAGAGCTGGAGGAAGCTGAGAGGCTCTGCGGGGTGCGGGGAGGGAAACTGAGCCGAGGCCGGGTAGAGGGCGGGCGTGGGGCGAGCCAGAGACTTCTCAAGAAGCCCAGAGGATTCTGGGGACTGGAAAGCGGCCGAGTTCTTTAAAAAAAAAGAGAGAGAGAGAGAAGAAAACAAAATCTCTCGTCTGAGCATGACTCTTGGCGGTGGTGCTTTCGCCAGCGCGTCTGCAGCGGTTCCCAGAGAAAGCCCGCCAGGCAGGGACAGACTGACAGACCGACGGAAAGGTCTTCCCAGCGAAGACTTGGAACGCCCCAGGGGGTGGGGGAGGCTGCACCGCCTCTTCAGTAATTGGTTTGGAGACAATTGGCCATCCATACGGAAAAGATAAAGTAGATCCTATCTGACGGCAGGCCTCCAAATAAATTCCAGATGAACTAGAGACCTACAGGGAACAAGCAACGCTATTACAGAGCTTTGGGAAGAAAACGGAAAGATAGCTGTATGACACTGGGATAGGGGATGTTTTCTCTAACAAAGTATAAAACGTGCAAAACATAAAGGAAAAGATGGTATGGACCGGGCGCAGGGACTCACGCCTGTAACCCCAGCACTTTGGGCGGCGGAGGAGGGAGGACCGCTTGAGCCCGGGAGTTTTTGTTTTTGTTTTTGTTTTCTTGAGACAAGGCATCTTGCTCTTGCCCAGGCTGGAGTGCAGTGGCAGCGGGATCTCTGCTCACTGCAACCTCCGCCTCCCAAGGAGCTGGGTGGGGCTAAAGGCACCACCACCACACTTGGCTAATTAAAACAATTTTTTTTGCAGAGATGAGGTCTCACTATACTGCCCAGGCTGGTCTCAAACTCCTGGCCTCAAACGATTCTCCCGCCTCGGCCTCCCAAAGTGCTGGGATTACAGGCTGTTCCACTGTGCCCAGGAAGCCCAGGAGTCCGAGATGAGCCTGGGCAACACAGCGAGACTCCCATCTCTATTTTTTTTTTTAAAGATGGTATGGTGTTATGATACATATTGGTTTTCGTCCACAGCTCCTGGCTCATGACTCTCATAGTCCTTGTTAGTCTTTTGTTATAATATTGAGTGTGTTAGCCCTCAGGGGCAGTATCTGACCTTCTCCTGCACTCCTTTCACTCTAACCTTCCTGGGCCTTTCTGACTGTGGGCCTTAAGACCCTCCCATAAAGCTTCCATGAAAACCCAAGAGGACAGGGTTCAGTGAGCTTCCAGATGCCTGAACACCTGGAGGTTCCTGGAGGGTGGAGCACCCAGAGAGGGCATGGAAGCTCCACACCCCTGCCCTCATACCTTACCCTCCGTGTCTCTTCATCTGTATCCTTTGCGATATGCTGGCTTTTTTTTTTTTTTTTTCAAATGGAATCTTGCTCTTTCACCCAGGCTGGAGTGCAGTGGCGCCATCTCGGCCCACTGCAACCTCCACCTCTAGGGTTCAAGCGATTCTCATTGCCTTAGCCTCCCTTGTAGCTGGGATTACAGACACCCACCAACCACACCTGGCTAATTTTTTTTTTTTTAGTAGAGACGGTTTCACCATGTTGGCCAGGCTGGTCTCGAAGTCCTGACCTCAAGCGATGCACTTGCCTTGGCCTCCCAAAGTGCTTGGATTATAGGCATGAGCCACCACACTAGGCCTGCAATATGGTTTCTAATAAACCAGTAATTGTCAGTGTTTCCCCGAGTTCTGTGAGCTGCTCCCACAAATCAATTGGACCCAAAGAGGGGGTCATGAGAACCCCAACTTAAAGCCTGCTGGTCAGAAGTTCTGGAGGCCCAGACTTGGGACTGGTGCGGGGCAGGGAGGCAGTCTTGGGGACTAAGCCCTCAACCTATGAGGTCTGACACTGTCTCTGGGTAGATGGTGTTAGAACTGAATTAAAGGACACCCAGCTGGTGTCCACTGCTGGGTGGGGAACAAAAGCCCCATGTGTATGGTCACAGAAATCTGTGTGGATGATTGCTGTGGTGTGAGAGTAGAGGAAATGGTTACAGTTTTCTCTAAACAATTGGTGTCAGTGAAGTGGGATTTGCAGGAATGGCCCTGACTCACATAAACATGTGGTTTGGGAAGAAAAAGGATAAAAGGGTGGAGGAAGAGGTCGTCAATTCCTGGGTGACCACGTGGTCACCATGGTGTGAAGCCACAACTCTGTTGAGATCAGTTACTAAAGGTAAAACTTACTAGTGGAATTTAGAGATGGATCCAACTCCCAGGAATTGGTTCATTGAATGCATAAGGAAATGCAAACTAATAAGAAAAATGTGAAATATTCAGCCCCCTGATTATTGTTATCTATAATGGCTAAAATGAAAGTAAAAGAGGGTGCTGGGTTAGGAATTGAGGCTGGACCAAGCACAGATGTGGGTCTGGCTGAGCTCAGGCCACTAGCCTCGGAGTCACCCACAAAGGAGGAAATTATGCAGGGACAACAGAAAGTACCTCTGAGACCTGTGGTTACCAAGAAGGTAGTCAATGTGAAGGAACCAAGTAATTATCGAAACCAGACAGTAGAGTGTGGAGGAATTGTTCCATTTCATAGATCAGTATCATCAGCTTCCTGAGGAACATTTACTAAAATGGATTCTGAGAGTGACTAATTTAGGGGCAGTATGCAGAGTGGAAGAGCATGTTTGGGTTGATGCAGGACTCACAGTTCACCATTCTAGTCACAGTTGGGTATATATGATTCAGACACACAGGAGATTATTCCTGAGGGAACAGCCAGCCTGGTGGAATGTAGAAAAGTCACTGTAAAGGTCGGGCATGGTGGCTCACACCTGTAATCCCAGCACTTTGGGAGGCCGAGGCGCGTGGATCACCTGAGGTCAGGAGTTCAAGACCAGCCGGGCCAACATGGTGAAACCCTGTCTCTACTAAAAATACAAAAGTTAGCCGGGCGTGGTGGCTCATGCCTGTAATCCCAGCTACTCAAGAGGCCAAGGCAAGAGAATCACTTGAACCCGGGAAGTGGAGGTTGCAGTGAGCCAAAATCATGCCAGTGCACTCCAGCCTGGGCAACAGAAAGAGACTCTGTCTCAAAAAAAAAATTAGCTGGCATGGTGGCATGTGCCTGTGGTCCCAGTTACTCAGGAGGCTGAGGTGGAAGGATCGCTTGAGCCCAGGATTCCAAGGCTGCATAAAAAGTCTCAGAGGCTGGGTGCGGTGGCTTACGCCTGTAATCCCAACATTTGGAAGGGATCACAAGGTCAGGAGTTTGAGACCAGCCTGGCCAACATGATGAAACCCCGTCTCTACTAAAAATACAAAAATTAGCAGGGTATGGTGGAGCGTGCCTATAATCCCAGGTACTTGGGAAGCTGAAGCAGGAGAATTGCTTGAACCTGGGAGGCAGAGGTTGCACTGAGCTGAGATCAAGCCATTGCACTCCAGCCTGGGCTACAGAGTGCGACTACGTCTCAAAAAAAAAAAAAAAAAAAAAAGGCTGGGCGTGGTGGCTCACGCCTGTAATCCCACAGCACTTTGGGAGGCCAAGGCAGGTGGATCACATGAGGTCGACCAACATGGAGAAACCCCGTCTCTACTAAAAATACAAAATTAGCTGGGCGTGATGGTGCATGCCTGTAATCCTAGCTACTTGGGAGGCTGAGGCAGGAGAATCGCTTGAACCCGGGAGGTGGAGCTTGCGGTGAGTTGAGATCGAGCCATTGCACTCCAGCCTGGGCAACGAGAGCGAAACTCCATCTAAAAAAAAAAAAAAAAAAAGATTGTAACTTGGCTACTTGGCTGAGCATGGTGGCTCATGCCTGTAACCCAGCACTTTGGGAGGCTGAGGCAGGTGGATTACCTGAGCTCAGGGGTTCGAGACCAGTCCGGGCAACATGACAAAACCCCTGTCTCTACTGAAAATACAAAAAAATTAGCCGGGTGTGGTGGTGCACACCTGTAATCTCAGCTACTAGGGAGGCTGAGCCAGGAGAATCGCTTGAACCTGAGAGAGGCAGAGGTTGTAGTGAGCCGAGATCATGCCACTGCACTCCAACCTGGGCAACAGAGTGAGACTTAGTCTCAAAAAAAAAAAAAAATCTTAAGTGGCATTTACAGTGTTTGTGATTCTAGATCAGGCTACGTTTCATTCCATAAAATAAATAGAATGAGTGTTCAGATGAGTCAAGCACAGGTTAGTTTTTATGGACAAAAAAGGGTAGAGAAAAATAGAAACAGAAGGAAAAAAAGCAGATGGGTCCTTTCAAAGTTACTTTTCTTGTAAAAGGACTTCCGTATCATGCCGGCTCACACTGGCTTGTTTGGGGTTTTGGCTCTTCCTTCCCTCTCCTGATTCCTCTGAAGGTTTGATAAACAACTTAGTGTTGCTTAGTGACATAGAACTTTAGCGTGAGTGACTCCATTTTGGTTTGGTCTGTTGAGCCAAGCACAGGAGCTCAGTGCAAATCAATGGCCTCCTATAAAATTTATTTAACTGAACCCTTGTGCATTGCTGGTGGGAATTTAAAATGGTGCAGCTACCATGGAAAATCGTATGGCGATTCCTCAGAACATTAAACACAATTACCATATGATCCAGCAATTCTACCTCTGGGTGTATATCCAAAATAATTGAAAGCAGGGACTCGAACAGATATTTGTACACTCACATTCAAAGCAGCAACATTCACAATAGCCAAAAGGTGGAAGCAACCCAAATGTCCATGGAGGGATGAATGGTTATGCAAAATGTGGTACATCTATACAATGGAATATTATTCAGTTGTAAAAAGGAAGGAAATTCTGACACATGCTACGAAATGGAAGGATCTTGAAGATATTATGTTAAGTGAAAGAAGCCAGACCCAAAAAGACAAATACTGTATAATTCCACTCATATCAGGTGCCTAGAGTAGTCAAGGGGAAGTTACTGTTTAATCGCGATAGAGTTTCAGTTTGGGAAGATAAGAAAGTTCTAGAAAAGAATGGTGGTGGTGGTTACAGAACAATGTGAGTGTACTTGGTGCCACAGAACTGTATGCAGTACTTACAAATGGTTACAATGGTAAATTTAGGCCAGGAGTGGTGGCTCATGCCTGTAATCCCAGCATTTTGGGAGGCCAAGGCAGGAGGATTGATTGAGGCCAGTAGTTTAAGACCATCTTGGGCAACACGGTGAGATCCCCATCTCTATAAAAATACATTTTAAAAATTTAAAAATTAGCTGGGCGTGGTAGCACACGCCTGTAGTCCCAGCTACTCGGGAGACTGAAGTGGGAGGATCACTTAAGCCAGAAGTTCAAGGCTACAGTGAGCTATGATCGCGCCACTGCACTCCAGCCTGGGCGACAGAGCGAGACCCTTCTAAAAAATAAAAAGGTAACATACATGTGTATGTATTGTAACACCATTAAAAAACAGAAATTTAAACGAAGAAAAGTTGGCTTCTAGCCCTTTGATCTAGCAAAGCTGACAGTGTCCTCACCTACCAATATAGGTAGATGACTCCTTACACGTGGACAAGCACATCCACCTGGCCGCTTCTCCCCTTTCCTCCCCTCCCCCGTTCCTCTCCTCCCCAACACATCCAGGTTCCGACCCTGCCACCCCCAACGAGTCTCACTGCGCAGGCGCGGAGCGGTGGGCAGGAGCGGGCGTGGCCTGACTCTGCGCCTGTGCGGAATTCCAGCTGCGACTGCTGAGGGAGAAAATGATGCCCAGGTTGGGCTCCCCGGCCCACCGGCCGAGGAGAGGCCTGCGCTGCACACGCGCAGACCGAGCATCCGCGTCAAGAGGCGAAGAGAGCGCGCGCTCCCCACGTCCTGCGCTCCTGGCTGCCGGGCATTCGTCTCAGCCGTGACTCTCGCCAGGCCGGGGCTGGCGCGCCCACGTCTGAAGAGCGATGCCCCGGGAGATCATCACCCTGCAGCTGGGCCAGTGCGGCAACCAGAGTGAGCAAGCGAGCGCCGGCCCCGCCGGTCTCTGGTTCTGCCCCTTCGGGTCCCACCCAAGTGCCTGGCTTCCACCAGTCCCCCTTTCCCTTCCATGAACCCCCTGCCCTGCTGCTCTGGATAACCCAGACCGAGAGCTGCGCCTCCAGCCCGGGGCTGGGGCAGCTACCAAACCCAGGCATCTTGGGTCCACCCTCTGATCGTGTCAGCCTCTGAGACTAAAACTGGGCTCCTCAGGCCTTAAGGCTCCAGCAGACCCGGGCATCTCCCCCCTCCCCCAGTTGGGTTCGAGTTCTGGAAACAGCTGTGCGCCGAGCATGGTATCAGCCCCGAGGGCATCGTGGAGGAATTCGCCACCGAGGGCACTGACCGCAAGGACGTCTTTTTCTACCAGGTGCCCCCAGCGACTTGGCCGGGGGCGGCAGTGGCCCAAGGGGGCGGAAGGGAAGGGAGTGGCCTGGTACTGGGAACCCCGCTGGGCAGTAGGGCCAGGCGGCTGGCTTGAGGAGGGAGGGCCGGAGGGAGCCAGAGTTGGGAGGACTTCGGACTTGGGCCGCCCTAGCTGATTGGGCCCCCTCCTGGACTCCCCTTGACAGGCAGACGATGAGCACTACATCCCCCGGGCCGTGCTGCTGGACTTGGAACCCCGGGTGATCCACTCCATCCTCAACTCCCCCTATGCCAAGCTCTACAACCCAGAGAACATCTACCTGTCGGAACATGGAGGAGGAGCTGGCAACAACTGGGCCAGCGGATTCTCCCAGGTGTCCTAGCGACCATTCCAGAGACCTTTGATATTCCCATCCAGAGGCAAGGCAGGCTCAAGCTACTAGGAATTTGACCTGACTGACAGAAAATAAGAGACAAAAGGATGTCCCGAACAAGAGGGACAGCCAGGGAGAGGTTTATGCAAATTTTGTGCAAATCATTTGCAATAGTAGCACTTCTGGGTTGAGGGCTACAGCCTAGGCTCTGCTTCAGGGTGGCAACAATATTCCAGGGTAGACAGAATTCTTGGTGCTGTGCTGAGAAAAGATGCTCTCTGGAACCTTTGGCCTGACCCTCCCTTTCCATATCTCTATACAGGGTGAGAAAATTCATGAAGACATCTTTGACATCATAGACCGAGAAGCAGATGGAAGTGACAGTTTGGAGGTGAAGTTATGGAGTGGGGGAAGGAATGGGCAGGGAGGCCGAAGAGTGCTGGGGACAGGTCAGGAGGTGGCCTGGATAGGTAATATGAGGGGAGCAATTCAATTCAAAACCCGTTTATGGAGCATCAGATGTGGGATATTGAGGTGAATAAGATATAATCTTTGTTCTCAAGGAAGTCATAAATCTGAATGGCACCGGCCCCTTAGGCATGAGTCATTCAGCTGCTTCTCCAGCTCCAAACCTTCCCAAGGAGCCTCAGCCTGGATGCATAAGAGGAAGCTTTGAGACATTGGCGTTTTGGGAATGGAGAATGAACCAAGCCGAAGTCTCTCCCCCAGATCCTTGGAGACTGCCTCTCCATCTCTCCCCATGCTGGGTGCGATATGTTCCTGGCTTACAGCTCTTATAACCCATGTAATTTCCTAAGGGACTAGAGCAATAATAGTATGTTTTGTTAAAATATTTGACCTTTTGTCCTTGGTTTCTGAAACAGCTCCAGAACAGCTCCAGAGTGATAAAGGTGAAAGACAGTCTTTTGTTATTTATAACAAGCCCGTTTCTTTTAGTTTAATCTTTCATTTTATTTTAATTAGTTAATTTTACTAACCACTGTACTAAGGAGGAACAAGTGCCTTTCAACCAAACCTGAGCTTATGTTAAAGAGGCGATTTTTGGAAAGTCCCAGATAGCCACTGGATGGGGGGCTGGTTGCCAGGGGAACAAACCTGGTGCTCTGAGGGTTGGAATTTACAGGCCCACCCCTCACCTCTGGGGAAGGGAGAGGGGATGAAGATTGAGTAGAGCACCAATTGCCAATGATTTAATCGGTCATGCCTGTGTAATGAAGCCTCCATAAAAATCCAAAAGGACTGAGTTTGGGGGCTTCCAGGAAGGTGAACAAGAACACATCCACAGGCCAGGAGGGTGCAAACCCAACGCCACAGGGCAGCAACTCCTATGCGCCGGACCCTTCTAGAGCTTCCCCTCGGTATCTCTTCATCTGGCTGTTTATTTGTATCCTTTAAAATATCCTTTATAACAAATGGATGAACGTAAGTAAGTGTCTCCTTGAGTTCTGTGAGCTACTCTAACAAATTAATTGAACCCAAGGAGCAGTCCTGAGAACCTCGATTTATAGCTGGTTGGTCAGAGGCACAGATAAAACAACCTGAAGCTTGTGTTGGCATTGGAAGTGGGAGAGTCTTGTGGGACTGAGCCTTCACTCTGTGGGATCTGATGCTATCTTCAGGTACAGATACTCCTCAACTTACAATGGGTTTATCAGGATGTAAACACATCACAAATTGAAAATATTGACTAGGCACAGTGGCTCATGCCTGTAATCCCAGCACTTTGGGAGGCCGAAGCAGGTGGATCATCCGAGCCCAGGAGTTCAAAACCAGCCTGGGCAACATGGTGAAACCCCATCTCTGCAAAATATACAAACATTATCCAGGCATGGTGGTACATGCCTATAGTCCAAGCTACTTGGAGGCTGAGATAGGAAGATGCCTTGAGCCCAGGAATTCAAGGCTGCAGTGAGCTATGATCACACCACTGCACTGCAGTCTGGGGGACTGAGTGAGATCCTGTCTCTAAAACCAAAACAAATTTGAGGACAGGTGCGGTAGCTCATGCTTGTAATCCCAACACTTTGGCAGGCCGAGGCGGGCAGATCACTTGAGGTCAGGAGTTCAAGACCAGCCTGGCCAACATGGTGAAACCCCGTATCTACGAAAAATAAAAAAATTAGCCAGGCGTGGTGGTACATGCCCGTAGTCCCAGCTACTTGAGAGGCTGAGGCAGGAGAATGGCTCGAACCTAGGAGGTAGAGGTTGCAGTGAGCCAAGATCGGGCCATTGCACTACAGCTTGGGTGACAGAGCAAGACTCCGTCTCAAAAAAAAAAAAAATTGAAAATACCGTAAGTAGAAATGCATCAGGTTATAACCCAATAAGCCCATCATGAAGTTGAAAAATTGTAAATTGAACCATTGTAATTCAGATGCTTCTTGATTTAAGATGGGATTATGTCCTGATAAACCCATCATAAAGCCAAAACATCTTAAATTAAACCATCCTAAGTCAGGGACAGTCTGTAGGTAGTCCAGAATTGAAGTGAATTAGTGGATACCCAGCTGGCATCTACTGTAGAATTGACTGCTTACCTGATGTGTGTGGTAAGACCCCACCCATCTGGTATCAGAATTGTGTTGTGAGAGTGTGGCAGGAGAAACTGAGTCTGTTTATTCCTGTATACACACAGGGCTTCGTGCTGTGTCACTCCATCGCTGGGGGTACGGGTTCTGGCCTGGGCTCCTACCTCCTGGAGCGACTGAATGACAGGCAAGCCTGTGTTTGGGGAGAGGGCATTAACCCTGGTTCCCTGAGTAATGTCATTGCTTTTTTCTCTTGAGCTAGAAAGTCTGCCACTACCCCTTTTGAGTCATAGGGACAGACCCACCCAAGGACCATGTTGGAAGCTATTTTGGGGGGTGGGGGTTTACCTGTGGAGGGGAGGGGATCTACAGAGTTTGAAGCTTTCAGGCTTATCCTTTTTGGCTCTGAAGACTCAGTTCTGCCCTCACCCCTTTTGTACAAAATGGCACATATGGGCAGTGATGGAGGGGTCCTTCCGGTTCACTATGCCACCATCCTCTTTTCTCTCAGGTACCCCAAGAAGCTAGTGCAGACTTATTCAGTGTTTCCCTACCAGGACGAGATGAGCGACGTAGTGGTTCAGCCCTACAATTCACTCCTGACACTCAAGAGGCTGACGCAGAACGCAGATTGTGTGGTGAGCAAAGAAAGAGTTGAGGGGCTGGGTGTGGTGGCTCATGCCTGTAGTTCTAGCACTTTGGGAGGCCTAGGCAGATGGATTGCTTGAGCTCAGGAGTTCAATACTAGCCTGGGCAACATGTGAAACCCTATCTCCACAGAAAATACAAAAATTAGAGCTGGGTGCGGTGGTTCACACCTGTAATCCCAGCACTTTGGGAGGCTGAGACGGGCGGATCACCTATGGTTGGGAGTTCGAGACCAGCCTGACCAACATGAAGAAACCCCATCTCTACTAAAAAAACAAAATTAGCCAGGCGTGGTGGCGCATGCCTGTAGTCCCAGCTACTCGGGAGGCTGAGGCAGGAGAGTTGCTTGAACCTGGGAGGTGGAGGTTGCAAGGAGCTGAGATTGCAGCATTGCACTCCAGCCTGGGTGACAGAGCGAGACTCTGTCTCAAAAAAAAAAAAAAATTAGCCAGTCCTGGTAGCATGTGCCTGTAGTCCCAGCTACTTGGAGGCTGAGGCAGGAGAATCACTTGAACCCGGGAGGCAAAGGTTGCGGTGAGTCAAGATCACACCATTGCACTCCAGCCTGGGTGACAGAGCGAGACTCTGCCTCAAAAAATAACATAAAAAAAAATTAGCCGGGCATGGTGGCATGTGCCTGTAGTACTAGCTACATGGGAGGCTGAGGTGGGGGGATTGCTTGAGCTCAGGAAGTCGAGGCTGCAGTGAGCCATGATCACACCACTGCACTCCAGCTTGGGCAACGGAACAAGACCTTGTGTTTAAAAAAAAAAAAAAAAGGGTAGAGGACTTTGGTCTGTCTCCTCAGGCCAGTGAGTCTCATTCACCCCACCTTTCCTCAGCCCCTATACACACAGACAGAAGACCAACAAAGCCATACCTGTGGGCCAAATTAGGAAATAAGGTCCTGACTTCTAAGTTTCTTAGAATCCTTTTAGGCAGCAAAACTCTCAACAAAGTGAATATACCTTCCCCACACCACCACGTATCCCACCTTTGCCTACTTAATGCCCACTCATGCTTGTATTCTTAGCTCAAGGATAACTTTCTTAGCAAAACCCTTCCTGACTACTCAGTCAAGATCAGATTCCTATATGTGTATTTTAGGGAGTTAACTATAATTTTCTGTTTTATATTTAGTGTGCCTCCCTCCACGAGACTATAGGCCTAATGAAGGGAAAGACGGTGCCTGTTCCTCTCTGTGGTCTTCCCAGAGCCAGGCACAGTGTATGGCACATGTGGGTACTCACGTGTTTGTTTACTGCCCTGCGTAGTCCGAGAGTATCTCATGGTGCCCCAGAAACAGTACTTTTCTTTCTTTTTATTTTTTATTTATATTTATATATATATATATATATTATATATATTTATACTTTTTTATTTATATTTTTTACAGAGATGGCATCTTGCTGTGTTGCTCAGGCTGGTGTCCAACTCCTGGCCTCGAGTGGTCCTCCCACCTTGGCCTTGGGATTACAGGCCTGAGCCACCATGCCCAGCAGTACTTTTATTTTATTTTATTTATTTTATTTTATTATTTTATTTTATTTTTGAGACGGAGTCTTGCTCTGTCCCCCAGGCTGGAGTGCAGTGGCATGATCTTGGCTAACTGCAAACTCCGCCTCCCGGGTTCATGCCATTCTCCTGCCTCAGCCTCCGAATTAGCTGGGACTACAGGCGCCCGCCAACATGCCTGGCTAATTTTTTGTATTTTTAGTAGAGACGGGGTTTCACCGTGTTAGCCAAGATGGTCTCGATCTCCTGACCTTGTGATCCGCCCGTCTCGGCCTCCCAAAGTGCTGGGATTACAGACATGAGCCACCGCGCCCGGCCTCAGTACTTTTTTTTTTTAAACTAACAAACCTACTTCCTGGCTTTGGAGTTCAGCAGGGGCTAAGCCAATATCTTATTTCTATGCCCATTTTATCCTCAAGATGCTGTGATGCTCTTCTGTCCCCCCAGGTGGTGCTGGACAACACAGCCCTGAACCGGATTGCCACAGACCGCCTGCACATCCAGAACCCGTCCTTCTCCCAGATCAACCAGCTGGTGGGCCCCCACTCCCGGACTCCTTTGGACTGGAAGCCCTCCTTGCTGGAGGGTCATCTGGGGAAGGAAGGTCCCACCCAGGCCGAGCCCCATGACATGGCACGCCTGTCCCCAGGTGTCCACCATCATGTCGGCCAGCACCACCACCCTGCGCTACCCCGGCTACATGAACAATGACCTCATCGGCCTCATCGCCTCGCTCATTCCCACCCCACGGCTCCACTTCCTCATGACCGGCTACACCCCGCTCACTACAGACCAGTCAGTAAGAGCAGCCTTCAGTGTCCCAGGCCAGGCTGGCCCTGGGCCCAGCAGGCCCTGCCCCAGCCTTTCTCTCTTCCCCACTGCCCCAGGAGCTGCCCTTTGCAGGCCCCAAGGCACTGCGCTCAGGGACTGGCACAGAGCGGGCGACTTTCTTGCTGACTTTCTCTCCACCCTCCCTCTGCCTTTGGCTTCTGCCAAAGAGAAGCCAAAGGGACTGTGCCCTGAGCGCTGGCCGGGTCCCTGTCTCACTGTCCCATCAGGTGGCCAGCGTGAGGAAGACCACGGTCCTGGATGTCATGAGGCGGCTGCTGCAGCCCAAGAACGTGATGGTGTCCACAGGCCGAGACCGCCAGACCAACCACTGCTACATCGCCATCCTCAACATCATCCAGGGAGAGGTGGACCCCACCCAGGTAGGGGAGGCCCCTTCATCCCGCGCCCTGGACCTGCAGGGGTAGAGGAGAGGCCACCTCCACTGCTCCTATGCCCACCCCAGGTCCACAAGAGCCTGCAGAGGATCCGGGAACGGAAGTTGGCCAACTTCATCCCGTGGGGCCCCGCCAGCATCCAGGTGGCCCTGTCGAGGAAGTCTCCCTACCTGCCCTCGGCCCACCGGGTCAGCGGGCTCATGATGGCCAACCACACCAGCATCTCCTCGGTGAGTCTAGGTTTCTATTCTTCTTAGAAGAGTCTGTTCCACTGGCCACCTTCATCATCTTCCCCAAGTTCACTCCTAACCCCCTGGCTCGCATTTTGGAGATTTTCATCTCTTTCAGCTCTTTGAAAGTTCCTGCCAGCAGTTTGACAAGCTGCGGAAGCGGGATGCCTTCCTCGAGCAGTTCCGTAAGGAGGACATGTTCAAGGACAACTTTGATGAGATGGACAGGTCTAGGGAGGTTGTTCAGGAGCTCATTGATGAGTACCATGCGGCCACCCAGCCAGACTACATTTCCTGGGGCACCCAGGAGCAGTGATTTCCCTCCCCACTACTCCTTCTCCTTCTAGATGGTAACCACAGCCTCGACCATGCCTGCTCCCTCTGACCCAGCTTCACCTCATGGACAACCCTTCTTGGTTCATCTCCAGCCCGTGAGCTGGTCCTGCTTCCTCCCTTCCATGCCCTAACTTTTAATATGCTTGTTCAGCTCTAATAAAGTAATAAAGCTTGGTTGTCAGTATAGCCAGGGCTTGATCTGTGAATACGGGGGGGTGGTGAAGGGGTCCAGTTTCTAGGCATCTGACAGTAGGGTGGCCTTCACCTCCTCCAACGTCTTATCACTTAGTCCAAATCTTAGTGTGTTCACTGTTTCCATTGGCATCCCTCACCTTGAACTAGGCTGTTTAGTATTACTAGAGTCAGCCCTTGTCTCAAGATTACAGAGCTTTACTGAGGTTTGCTGTCTCCTCAGCGCCTAAGCTTTGCCCCAGTGAGGGTCAATGTTGCCCCAACCTCTTCCACTCAGGGCAGAGGAGGTGGGGTCTACTGAAGGAGGGCACACTACATTCTGAGCAGGCCAGGAGAGCCAAGGTTCCAGATTCCCAGTGCCCAGGGCCATGAGAGTTCCAGGAACTCAATCCAGTTCAACCCAACCTGATAAGTAGAAACAGAATTCAAGAGTAGGGCTGAGCACATCCTGAGTTACTTTTCTGTGCCAGAGAAATTCGTGGGTTTGTTATCTGCCCCAAGCTTCTCTCCATTCTAGGCCCAAAGCATTAGGCACACCAATGATGGGCCCAGAGGTGGACAACGAGTAAGAAATGGGCAGTGCCAGATCTGATGACTCACTGCCCTCCAGCCTCAGGGATTCCAGGAGGCCATCTGTATGCCACTCAGTGGAGAAGGGAGGGTGAGTAACTGCCAGCTTCCAATGAGGCCTGTTTGCCTGCTCCACCCACAAACCTGTGGCAGCACACTGGCCAGGAGGAGGTTAAGTCTGGAAGGTCAAGGAGGGGGAGGGTGAAGCGCTGTGGTGTCCAGACTTCCCCCAGAGCCTGGTAAAAGCCCAGGGTGTGGGCATCCCCAGAGGCGGGGCTCTGCGTTATGGGGTTCCAACTTGTCCCACTGAATAACACTCCCACAGGAAGGGTTTGTGTAAATAAGAAACTTTTTTTTTTTTTTTGCTTCTCTTCTACAAATAAATTAAGAAACAAACTAGAAAATTACCCACACCCATTGTAGCCCTTGGGTGTGGGATGTGCCCTGTCCCTGCAGGGCCAAAAGGGTCCATGTTTCCCTCAAATCTCAGAGCAGTCCTGGCCCAGGCTGCAGGCAGGAGGGAAGTCGTGACCTCTTGGCAGGCTCAGTCCTGCAGCTGCCCCAAGCAGCCAGACTGTCCCTGGGGCTCGTCCAGGCCCGGGCGCTGGCTGGGAGGGGAGGTGTCTGGCAGGTCTTGGCATGGAGGAGAAGAGCTGCTGCAGGGCCTCTCGGGGGAGGGGTTGGCCAAGTAGGCATTCACCAGCTGCATGATCTCTTCCACCTAAGAGAGGGCAGAGGTCAGTGTGCAACAGGGGCTGCCAGGTTCTCTTCTTTTTCTCATCCTTTCTCCAGGCTCTAGGGCTCCAGCTTCCCCACCAGGGTCCTACGTGCTCTGGCCCTGCAACCTTTCCTTCCTTATCACCACTCTCTCCTTCATTTCTTTTTTGTTTTTTGAGACGGAGTCTCGCTGTGTCCCCCAGGTTGGAGTGCAGTGGCGCGATCTCAGCTCACTGCAAGCTCCGCCTCCTGGGTTCACACCATTCTCCTGCCTCAGCCTCCTGAGTAGCTGGGACTACAGGCGCCCGCCAACACGCCCGGCTAATTTTTTGTATTTTTAGTAGAAACAGGGTTTCACCGTGTTAGCCAAGATGGTCTCGATCTCCTGACCTCATGATCCGCCCATCTCGGCCTCCCAAAGTGCTGGGATTACAGGCGTGAGCCACCGCGGCCGGCTTCTCTCCTTCATTTCTATGTGCCAGTTATACTTGGTTCTTTCTGCTCTTCTAACATTTTTTTTTGTTGTTGTTGTTGTTGTTGTTGTTGAGACGGAGTCTTGCTCTGTTGCCAGGCTGAAGTGCCTCGGCTCACTGCAACCTCCGCCTGCCGGGTTCAAGCAATTCTCCTACCTCAGCTTCCCGAGTAGCTGGGACTATAGGTGTGCGCCACCAGCCCCAGCTAATTTGTATTTTTAGTAGAGATGGGGTTTCGCCATGTTGGTCAGGATGGTCTCGATCTCCTGACCTCGTGATCTGCCCGCCTCGGCCTCCCAAAGTGCTGGGATTACAGGCATGAGCCACTGCACCCGGCCACCTTGCAATTCTTTCTACCTGGAATGCTGTTCTCCCAGGTCTTCCCTGGCTAGCTTAAATGGCACCCTTTTTGAGAACCCTTCCCTGGCTTCCTGTCACATCACTCTTTCCTTTGTAGCATTTCTCACTGTCTTCATAGCCTGGGATTCCTTGTTTATTGTCTGACTCCACTCTAGTGTAAGCTCCTTCAGCTTGTCTGTGATCACTGCTGGATCCCCAGTGCTTAGAGCTCTACCTGGCCCAGGTTTGGTGTTCTGTAAATGCTTCCTGACATCGCTTCCCTTCTCTCCTCCTCCCACAACTCCTCTTCTCACTCACCTGGGGGCTCTGCAGGAGGAGCTGGCTCTCTCCCACCCTCAAGGCCAGGGTGTGGGGGCCCATTAGCTGGCAGGCGGCCACATGGCCATAGCTGACACTGTGGATGGGCTCCGTCTCCCCTGGCCGGGAGAGGGACATGGCCTTGGCTCCCAAGCCCAGGCACAGCTTCTGTGGAGCACCCCGACCAGGCTCCTGCAGACAGAGAGGCAGAGTCAGGGTGGAAGGAGGAGCCCAGCGTTATTTTTGGTAGGGGGAGATGGGTGTCTGTGAGCAGGAGTATCCTGATCCCCCTATGATTCACAGCACGTGTGTGGAGGGGGCTGAGGCTCCAGGGATGTGAGGGCCCAAGGGCTGGTGACTCCTGGGGTTTGAGATGGGTAGCTGTTCTGGATGTGGGGAATTACGTGACACTCCGTGGGACCTGTGGCTCTGGGGCAAAGGTGTGGGGCTTGGGCCGCCAGAGTCCCCTTCTCCCTTCTCCCCCTCACCGTGCTCAGCTCCAGAACGTCATACCGAGCAGCGCCGAACCCCGGACACTGCGCCGCCAGGGCCAGGTAGGCGGCCATGGCCTCAGCTCGGCCCATGCCCCGTAGCCGCTTCCAGCCGCCCAGCACGGCAGCTGCCGTGCCGGCGCCGCCTCCTCCCTCGCGGGCAATGCTTCCCGCAGTGCGGCCGGCCCCGCCGCGCCGGGCCCGCTCCGCCCGCCTCTTGGCCAGGCCCGGGCTCCAGAGCGCCCCGGCCAGCAGGGCAGCGGAAGGGGGCGGCCTGGGGGTCGGGCGGGGCGGGTCTTCGCGCGGCGGGGCCGGGGGCGGGAGCAGGCGGTCCAGGCGGGGCAGGGGCACCCGCGGAGAGAAGTCCCGCTGCAGGCTCTGCAGGCGCAGCGCCGCCAGGGCGCGCAGCGTGTCGTCGGGTGGGGGCGGCCGGCCCCGCAGCAGCAGAGCGTGAGCCTGCAGGGGAGGCACCCGGCGTCAGTGTACGAGCGGCGGCGGAACCGTCGCGAAAACGCCTCGCGGAATCTGAGCAGGTCTAGGTTCCAGTCAAGCCTCCCGCGGGGCTGCCATAGTGATGAAATGAGACGGCCTAGAAAACCAGGGGTTCAGGCTTGGGGGTCTGTTTGGAGGCGTGAACGCCGGAGAGCCTCACCTGCTCAAAGAGGAAAGGCAGTTCGTGACCGTCTGGGGACAGCCCCTCAGGGTGCAGAGGTCCGTGAAGACGCAGACATAGTCTCCACCCGGAGTCGGGCGAGTCCTCCAACCCAGCTTCCTCCGCGGCCAAGCTGCAGAAGAGGAGCGGACGAAGCGCTAGGGAGAAGCCGGACCCCTACGGCGAGGGCAGCTTGGGGTGGGGGCGGGGCCATGTGTTTGGGGCGGGGCCTGGGCGGAGCCGACAGCGGAGGTGATGCTGCAGTCGGACTGCAAACCTGCGGCGGGCAGGTCCGTCTGTAAACCAGCGAACACCACAGCGCAGGGCCAGGGGCAAGCGCTGGATAATGTCCGCTTAGAGACTGACCTCAGCTGAGAAGTGGATGGGCTAATAGAGAGCAGGGCTGGGGCTGGACATTTACTTCTCAAACCTGGTGAGCACGTCGGCCACGAGGGTCCCCCCAGCCAGGGCTCGCTCCTGGGCCCCTCGCTGCTCGTACAGCGCGAATGCGTTGCGGCTCCGGGCCAAGCCCAGCCGCCCCACCAGCTCTCGAGCCACCTAGAAGAGGAGGGTGAGGGGAGACCACTCAGAGGTCTTGCCAGGATTCTGGGAGGGGTTGATTCAATTGGAAGGGGTCTCTTAGTCCTGTCACCACCACTCCCTCCCTTACCAAAATAATCTAGACTCGGGGCAAACCTAGGGTCCAGGAAGAGGGAGAGACAGGCGTGAGAAGCTGGCAGGGTGGGTTGGAGGTCATGGGGCCTTTCTCTGGCCTCACCTCCCCCGCCGTGGTGTGGGAGTCGATGGCCACAGCACAGGCACCAGCCCCCGGACAGTGCACGGTACACAGCAGCTCCTGCCGTTGGCTCAACGCGGAAATCTCCGCCAGCGAGGGCACCAGCTCTCTGCCGCGCGTCCGGCCCAGCGCTTTCCGGATGAAGCGCGCATATTCCGCCAGTTCCGAGTCCGGGAGTGCCTGCTCGGTCCTGGGTTAGGAGGAACCCAGGGATCAATACTCCAAGGGCTTTCTTCTCCCCCTCCCTCTTGCCTGCTTCTCTTATAGTTTATTTTATCTAGCCGATTTCCTCCCCGCCCCAACTCAAGTTCTTTGAAGGCTCTTCTAAATCTCTCCCCAGTGCTTTGCATAGAGCTGAATTACTTTTCAAGTCCCCTGGCAGCTTTCTCCCAACTGCCTCCACCACTTCCAAAAGTCTTCGTGATCTTCCTTCGGCCTGAAATCGAAATCCAGCCACTTTACTACATTTTCCTAAGCCCTGGCGCTGGCCTGCATCAGCTGGAGGAAAAGCAGCCTTTTCATAACTCCTCAGCCCAAGGGGGGCGTTTTATTGTAATTCATCCGCTCACAACTGCGATAGGATCTTGTATCTCCCACAAAGGCACTGTATGTATTACTCGGTTCTTTACCTACCAAGTCTTTTGCAAAAGACCTTTCATTCTCTCCCAGCCCGGTAGCTCCTCGCCTAGGCCGTAACCCCCACCTCGCCCCTCTCACCTCTCCAAGTGCCCCAGGAGGTGCCCCCGCACAGCTCCCCCAGGTCGGAAGGTGCAGCTCATGCAGGTGAGGAGTTGCCAGTACCGCAGGGCCGCAGGGTCTTGGGTAGCCGGGAGCCCGGGGGGACCTGCAGGGCCCGAGGTCTGCTTAGCCAGCTGCAGGAAGAGTTCATCCCGGAGCGCGGGCAAGTCCCGGCAGGTTTGGAGCACACCCTGCATCAAGGGCCCGGGGCGCCGCGCCCCCTCCAGCGCCTGCAGCGCCAAGAACAGCCGCACCGCCTCCTCGCGCAGGGGTGCATAGCCCGGACCTGTGGGAGGGTGGGGGCGGAGGGACGGTTTGGAGAGGGGACACAGAGCTGCGCCCTGGGAGGAAGGCATGAACCAGGGGAAGGTCAGAGGGAATATAAGGGGATGGGGTGGCAGGGAGGGGAGGGTACGAACGACAGGAAGAGTGAAGGGAAAGCAGTGGTCCCACGGAGCCAGACTCTCAACCTCTGCCTCCCAGGAATCCCCTTCCCAATCCCACTAAGCCTGCATTTGGACTTAGGGAGACGGACGGCCGGGAAGGGCTGTAGATTCACACCCCAGATTCTGTAACTCCATACTGAGGCTCACCACCATAGGTCAGAAAACAGGCTGGACTAGGAGTCAGAAAACCGGGGTTCCTCTCCCAGCACCCTTTAATCCTCTAACTTTAGGACCTGGGCCAGTCACTACACCGTTTAGGGAGAAGTACAGTTGGATGAGGCCAGCACATTCTACAAAAGTGGTAGCTTTTCTACCACTTGTAAAGGTAATATGGCATAGTCTCAAGAGGATAATGAAAAAATAGGGGAGTGTACAAACTCCTGAAGGAACATCAGTAGTCAGAATGAGACCCATAGAGAAGGTGGCCAAAGGGGGCCCTTTTGTGTGTGCTGGCTTCCTCTCCTCCACCCTGGCCAGCTTCCAGTTTCACCTTCATCCTTCGAAAAGTGAGGAGCTGGCAGGTCCATGAAGGATGCTTAGATCCCTGCCAGTTAAGGGATTCAGATTCTTACCTCTGAACCACCCCATCCCATCCAGGGGACTTGGGCCATGGGACCACTCACCTGGGGCGCTGACTCCATAGGGCAGGGGCAGGAGTGGGGCATACAAGGCTCCACTAGTGTGTCTCAGAATCGGGTTCCTCAGGTAAATGAGGGCAACGGCCTCTGGGTCCCCGCAACTTTCCTAGGGGGCCAGGGAGAGGGTCACCTTGATGGGGAAGGGAGTTCCTCACAACCCCAGAAAGCTTTGGGGTCCACCACTCTCCTGGCTCTCCCTGGTGTGTACCTGTATGTCCCTGAGCAGTAGCTGGGTGGGGGTCTCCAGGGGTGCCTTGGAGGCGATCACTTCCCGCAATGCCACCCCCCAGCGCTCAGCCTCTGCCTGGCGTGGGGAGCAGAGGCGGACACTGTGTTTCCGACCAGACACAGTCACTGACCACAGACCTGGGGAAAAGAGAGGCCAGGGAGGGCCATTAGGGTCTGCCGGGGCCCCTGCCTAGGAAGGTAGGAGAGTCCCCAGGAGGTCTCACCTGTCTCCTTACGCCTGCGCTCTGGGCCGGTCACCGAGCACAGGCTGGTGAGCACGAGGCTCCCGAGACGCCGCGCCCCTTTCCCGCTGCTGCTG
This sequence comes from Homo sapiens, assembly GCF_000001405.40. Lineage (NCBI taxonomy): Eukaryota > Metazoa > Chordata > Mammalia > Primates > Hominidae > Homo > Homo sapiens. Next base: position 42,673,738 of record NC_000017.11, read on the forward strand.
AACTGATCCAGGGAGTCCCGCGTGAGCACAAACCAGGCTCGGCGCGGGGGCAGCCAGGGCCGCGCCCCTCCTCCGCGGGGCTCCCGGTACAGCCAACCTGGGGGCCGGAGAGGGAGGGAAGGGACATCAGTAGAGACATTAATCCCTAGGGGGTTGGGATTGGGGGCCTCCAGAGTGCACTGAGGGGGGTCTCTACCTTTCACAACGATGTCCGGGTCGTCCTCCGGCAGCCCTTTCTCCGGGATGAGGCTCCAAGTCTCCTCCCAGCTCTGCAGCCTGGGCCAGAGGGGAGGGAAGGTTGGGTCTCCACTCTGCCTCTAGGGGGCTCCTCTGTAGGGGCTCCCCAGACCGCACGGGTGTCTGCTCCCAAGCTGGGCACCCCTCCCCCAGGCTGTGGGAACCGCTGGGCCATTCTGACCTCGAACCAGAAATAGCCCCGACCCCCCTCTTTCTCCCCGCGCCCCCAGCCGGACCGCCCCCCGGGACCCCAGCCAAACCACAGCGTCCGGCATAGGGCCTCTCCCTTATTGCACAACCGCTAGGGGAGACAGAGAGGATGGGGGTCCCGGGAACATGCTGGGGTCGCCAGACTATGGGACGTAGGGGCGTAGCTCACCTGTTGGAGACAGGCCCGCTCCTCACTGGCTGAGTCAGCGTCACTTCCAGGGGACCCTGGGGAGACAGGCGGGGAAGCCCTCAGGGTCAGAGCCCTTCCTGCGCAAGGTTCGTGCCTTCTGCCCTCAGGACAGGGCTGCTCAGGGGATTGAGGAAGGAGGAGTCACAGAGTGGGGTCGTGACTAGGGTGGAGCACGCTGGAGCCCCTGGGCTCGCCCCTCCCGCCAGTCTTAACAGGACAAGCTCTTCAGAACAGCAGGAGCTAAGGAGCCAAGGCTCCTCTCAGTTACCCTTTGAAAATACAATCAGGGGTAGGGTAGGGTGGAAAGAGCACTGGGCAGAGAGTCAGGAGACCTGGGTTCCAATTCCCGCCCCACCACTAACTCACTGTGGAACCTTGGGCAAGTCTCTTCCCGTCTCCGGGCCTTAGTTTCCCCATCTTTGAAACAGGAGAGGTGAGCTCGTTCTGCCAGGCTCCAAGGCACCCTCTCCTCCTCATTTTCCCTTCTTCCACACTGCCTCCCTGGCCAAGGCAGGACAGGTGGTAGGCACAGAGGTGAATGAAGGGCAGAGGGACCCTTTCAGTATAGGGCTTTCTCCAAAAGCGTCTTACATTCTCCCATAGACACTCCTGAGACTCAATGGTGAGCAGAGACCCTGCCCCTTTGCTGGGGCTTAGGAAGGGCGGGCCAGACTGAGGAATGGCACACCCTCTGGAGGCAGGTGTAGTTCAGGGTTTTGCCCTCCCCCTCCCCCTCCTCCTCCCTTCCCCCTGTCCTGGAACTTCAACTGTAGACTGGGGTCTGAGAGAGGCCACAAACCCAACCCGGAGGCCAGTCAGGCGGGAACCGTGCCATCCTCATATTGCTCCCAGACTGCTAGAGCCAAGAGGGGGAGGTGGGGGAGGGGGCCAGGGACACCTGTCCCCAGGCTCAGGGAAGGGGGGAGTTGAGGTGGAGCATGAGGGAGGCAATGGCCTGGTAAAGCCGACCCTGCCCAAGCTGGAAGCTTGGGGACGCCTGGGTCCTGCACCCTTCCTACGTGAACCTCCACCTATTTTCTGGAAGGTCTGAGTGGGGCTGTCAGCCACACCACATGTGGCAGGTACTGACCACCCTCTTAGGCTAACTCCCCTAATCGCAGTGCCCTGCTTCCCTCCCTCCCCCCTCCTCTATATTTATCCACCCTCCGCCTCCGCCAGGTGCTGGCGCCGGCCCCGGCGGCGCAGCCCGCCCCACCCGGGCACCGAGCCACTGGGCCTGCTGGGGACCCCTGCGCGGGGGATGGGAGCCTGACCCGGGCCACAGCACACGGGAGTCTGGCCGCCAGTGTGCAGGAGGGATGGGGGAGGAGACGTCAAGGGATGGAGGTCTCCCACACCAATCGTGCCTCCGTTTCCCCACGGGGAGATTCGACAAAACCAGGCAGCAGCCCAGTGTCCCTCACCATCCATCCCCTCAGGGGTTTCCCAGGAGCCTCACCCGGGAAAGCCGAGAGTTCTGTCCTGAGTGGCAGGGTAATGAGGAGGGGTCCTCAAAGAGCTCCCACCTCCCTCTCCTTGGGGTCCCCGCCACAGACCCCAATCCTGGGATGACTTCTCCCCCTCGTCCAGGTCTCCGCAGCGGGAGCTCTCGCATCTGGCCTCCGCACTTGCGAACTGGGAGCGGAGGGGGACCCAGGCGTTCGAGCCGCCCAGCCGGCCTCGCCACATTCCTCGGCGCTGGCGGAGGCGGAAGGAGACGGGATGGGACGCGGGCCCAGCGGGGAAGGGAGAGGCAGGGCCAGGTCGGGCCACGCGTGACGCCTCCCCTGCCTCAGGGCCCCCAGCAGGTGGATAGCGCCCAGCCTGCAGCGGGAGGCCCACAGGCACATCCCGAGTAGGGCTGCTGCTCCGAGAGCTCCCGGGGGCTTTGGCCCCCAGGCAAAAAACTCTCCCTCATCCCTAGTTCGCCAAGCGCGCAGCGTGTGGCTGGAGGCTGGAGCGGATCAGCGTGACGGCCGGTTACAGCGAGAGTGATTGAGACGAGGCTCCGAACCCCCGGGACTTACCCTCCCGCCGCCCGCTGGACTCGGGGTCCGCAGCTCAAAGGTTTCCTCGTCCTCGTCCTCGTCCCCGTCCCCGCTAAGCTCGCCGTCCCCGTAGTCCCGGTGCAGAAGAGTGAAGCCTCGACGGCAGCAGAGAAGCCACCATAGTCCCCCGGGGAGAGGCATCCGGGCGAGGAGCTGCGGATGGGGGCGCGGGCAGCCGCGGCCGAGCAGTAGGGGGTCGGAGGAACTGGCGGGGCTCCGACCCGAGCAGGGGAAAGATGAGGTGGGAGGAGCAGAAGGGAGAAGAGGACAGGGAGGAGGCAGTGTCCTGGGCTGGGGTGCAAGGGGACGCTAGCCAGACGCTGAGGGGGGCTCAGTGTCTGGGCCCCCGGAGGGGGGAGGGGGAAAAGCGTCCAGGGCCCCGGGAGAGGAGGGAGCAATGTCCGGAGCTGGGAAGTAGTGTCCGTTGGAGTGTCCAGCCCTGTGGGGGGCAGTGTCCGGTGCAGCGTCCGAGGTGGGCAGTTGTCCAAGCTCCAGGGAGGGTCGTGTCCGGTAGGGCGTCCGGTGGCCGGGGCCCGGGCCGCGCGCGCTGCGCTCCCTGCAGCCCCGGGACTGGCGCGCTGGGGGCGCGAGCACAGAGCTGGGACCCCGCCCCCCCGGCCCCCTCCCTCCCGGGGGGCCCCCCCTCTCTCTTCTTTCTCTCCTCCCTTCTTTACTAGGCAGGGTCCAGGTTTCGTCACAGTCTCCTCTGTCCAATCCCTGTGCCTGGCGCCGGGCGCGGCTACCAATCAGACGGCTGAAACCGCGTTGGGTTGCATCATGTGCCCCTGGCTTGGTGACAGCGGGGAGGGGCGGGGAAACAGGGAGGGAGGGGACGAGGCTATGTTAGCCACGCCCCAGTCTCTGAGGTCGGACGCGGGGTGCTAGTGACGTCACGGAAGCCCGCCTTCAGGCTCTTGTTTTAACTCTTGGCTCACCAACCAATTAAAAACCCTGTTGAGGAGTTTTGGCACAGGACAGAGGAAAACCCAACTGCCGCTCTCTGAACCCCTGTCTCGTCTCAGGGTCCCTGAGAAAGGGAAACGCCTTGGCTACTAAGAGGATGTCCAGACCTGCGAGGACACAGCTCTGGAGGTGGCCCTCCACGTCTGGGGAGAAGGAGTCCAGTTTCTCCAGTTTCTCGGTCTGATTCAGCTCTCCCCCACCCTTTTTTTTTTTTCTTCCAGACAGGGTCTCGCTGTCTTGCCCAGGCTGGGGTGCGGTGGAGCCATTATAGCTTACTACAGCCTCGAACTCCTCGGCTCAAGGGATCCTCCCACCTCAGCCTCTCCAGGAGCTGGGACTACAGGCGTACACCACCATGCCTGGCTAATTTTTTAAATTTATTTTTTGTAGAAATGGAGTCTCACTATGTTGCCCAGGCTGGTCTTTAACTCCTGGGCTCAAGCGATCCTCCCAGCTTGGCTTCCCAAAGTGCTGGGATTACAGGTATGAGCCACTGCACTCGGCCTCACCTCCTTTTCGAGGTGAAGGAGTTGAGGCAGGCACTCTGGGAAGGTGCAGACCTAGGCCGGAAATAAAATCGAATATAGAGCTCACAGCTCACCGAACTCAGCTGGGGAGACTGACTTGGATTCTAAGGAATTCTGTGGTCTCCGAATACAGTGGAGGCCTCTTAGGGCTAATATCCTGCGGCTCTGTATAGGAAGGGGTTAACTCAGGCGCTAGGCGGCCGGGGCGGGGCCGCGGCCTCCGCGGGCGCGCGCGCGCGTTGCTGACTCAGCGGCGATTCCAGAGATCTTGGATGGAGGGTTCCAGGTCGGTCCCCAGTGGCTGGCGTGTGGGACCCTTTGAGGATCGGCGCCGTCTCCGGGCCTTCCCTGGATCCTGGCCCCTAGAGGCCGTGGGGGACCCCTTTTCGCCGCTGCTGCGGGAGGCTCTGAGGACTGCTAGCCTGGGCAGGGCTGGGCTGGGCGGGGAGGGGCGGGGAAGGGCGGGACGGGCGGGGCCGTCAGGCCAGCACCTCCCTTGAGACCTCCTCGCCACGCCCCGCCCTTCTCGACCCTAGACTCCAGGCTGGAGCGGTGGGGACAGCTTTGCTGACCGATATTAAACCGCGAGAACTGTCGCACGTGAACACCATCCTGCCCGTTGTGATTGTGTAAAACAAAGACCAGGAATCAATGCGAGCGTGTCTAGGAGGCCATCTCGGCCGTGGCCTCTCTCCACATGAGAGTGGCCTGTACTGAGAGATTACCTAGGAATGGAGATACCACAACCATCTTCCAGGTCTGGATCCCAGGCCCTTGCCTGCAGAGAAGTTTTTTCCCATATCCAACCTCTCTCTTTCCGGCCAGCTCAGTGCATTTCCTCTGACCCAGTCCCCAGAGAAGATGGAGAACAGCAAATATCCCTCACCCCCACCACACCCGTGATAACTACTCTGGAAATTTGCAGATTGCAATCCCTCCTAGGTTTTTCTTCAAGGTGGAAAAACTTCAACTCAAATTTTACAATTCATTTTTTCATTTTTTCTTTCCATCACAGACACTAGGAAGGGATTGTAAAGTGGTTATGAAATCCAAACGCCCACCAAAAACGGGAATCCCCTGCCCCTCCCCCTCCCCCCACACCACGCAAAGGCCCACAGCGTCCCCGACAGTCTGAACATTCCAATAGCGGGAACTCAGTATTTGCTAAGGCAGCCATTACTGGAGAGCGCTCTGGTTGTTAGAAAGCTCTTCCTTACAGTATTGCAAGAGGAACCACCGCCCCTCCTTGCCTGGCAGCTTTCCCACCTCACCTCTGTTGGCTGAGGCCAGGTGACGGTGGAGGGGGTGTCAGTGGCTAGAGCTTTAGCAGACTCAGCAGCCCCCCACCCCCACCCAGGCCCTCAGCGTCTTCCACTCAGAGAGCCAAGCGCGGGGCAGGGCGGGGGGTGGGGCGGGGGCGGGGTGTTAACCCACCGGTTCTGCCCCGCCACAAATCACTTCCAAGTCGGTGACTCAAAAATAGTAACAGTTGTTGGGTTGCATCTCATTTCCATGTTATCAATTTAATGTGGCAAGGCACAGAGGTAGTCCCTTTAGGTCCCTGCCTCTTTCTCAGTGTTCCCCCACCTACTCCCCTTTCCCACGACCCTCAGCCTGCCCCCTCCTCTAGATTCGCAGCCCTAGTTGTCCCAGGAGAGACTGTGGGTCTCCGTGGGAGCTGAGCAGGAAGAAAGGCGGGGCCGGCGGGGGCAGCCGCGGCGGGGTTGAGGCCCTGAGGGGCAGCTCCCACCCCGTAGCAGCCTCCGCAGGTCCTGGCGGAAGCGCAGGCCCAGGAAGGCGTAGAGAACGGGATTGAGGCCACAGCGGGCGAGGGCCAAGCCGCTGGTCACCAGCAGTGCGACATCCTTGCGTTTGCTGGCAGGGCAGCTCCGCTCGCGCGCAGCCAGTAGATCGGCAGTATCCAGCAGCAGGGCGAGGCTGTAGGGCAGCTGCAGCACCACGAAGGCCGCCACCAGAGCCACCACGACGCGCAGCGCACGCCGGCGCTCGGGCCCCCTGGCGGCCAGCAGCGTGCGGCCCAGAAGCGCGTAGCAGGCTACCATGACGCCCAGCGGCAGCGCGAAGCCCAGGGCCACCTGCGCCACGGCGCTCGCCCCCTTCACCGTCTGCGTGAGGCCCTCGGGGAAGATGAGGCGACAGCGTCGTTGGCCTTCCCGCTGCCCATCCTGGCTGAAGAGCAGCGCAGGCAGCGCCAGGAGCAGTGACAGCAGCCACACGATGACGGAGACCAAGTGTGCGCGGCCGGGAGTGGAGGGCCGCGGCCCGGCTGGGAGCGCTCGCGCGATGGCCACGTAGCGGTCGGCGCTGATACAGGCCAGGAAGAGGAAGCCGGCGTGGAAGGAGGCCGAGTAGAGGCCAGAGATGGTGCGGCAGGTGGCACTTCCCAGACTCCAGCCCTGAAGAGCCCCTGCTGCCGCGAAGGGCAGAGTCAGGGCCAGCAAGAGGTCGGCCAGGGCCAGCTGGAGCAGGTGGGCAGAGGTGGGCGAGCGCGCTGCGCGTCGGGCTGCCAGGTGGGTGGCCAGGACCAGGCCATTGCCGGCCAGACCCAGCGCAGCCACGGTCAGGGAGACACTGGGTTGGAAGGCCCGGCTGAAGGCCTGGACATCGGCCTTGTAGCAAAGCTCCGGCAGTGGCTCAGCCGAGTATGCGTCCTCTTCATCCCCAGAGTAATGGCCCCAGGAAACCTGGGAGGGTCAAATGAGAGGCGGGATCTTATGAGACACATCTGACCACACAACTCCCCCGCCCACACTTGCCTTCCAAGCTGAGAGCTCCTGTGTGGCCAGATGTAACAGTACACGGGGAGACATAAGCTCTTCTCCAGACTCTTCCTAGCACACCTTCAGCAGGCCTTGGCTTCCCTTGCACCCCTCCTACCTCTGCTTCCAGCTTCCTGGGTGACCTTGAGCAAGCCACTTGCTCTTTCTAGACCTCAGTTACCTAACCTGTAATGTTGAGATTATAAATCCTGACCAGCCCACCTCTCAAGGTTTGCTGTGAAGATGGCAATATGGAAAATAATGGATGGGGAGAACCTGTGTTCTCCAAAGGCCATAATACAAAGTTTGTATTATTATTATTATTTATTATTATTATTATTGGAGACAGAGTCTTGCTCTGTCGCCCAGGCTGGAGTGCAGTGGCACGATCTCGGCTCACTGCAACCTCCGCCTCCGGGTTCAAGAGATTCTCCTGCCTCAGCCTCCCAAGTAGCTGGGACTACAGGCGCCCACCACCACGCCCAGCTAATTTTTGTATTTTTAGTAGAGATGGGGTTTCACCATGTTGGCCAGGATGGTCTCGAACTCCTGACCTCAGGTGATCCGCCCACCTTGGCCTCCCAAAGTACTGGGATTACAGGCCTGAGCTACCACGCCCAGCCCAAAGTTTGTATTATTAATAAATCCTACAGCTTCAGTTCCCTTTGCAGCGCCCTCTCCTGGAAGGATGCCCATATGCAGGCTTTGCCTCAGACCTGAGCCCTGGACTCCAACCTCCGTCTGGAGTGGGTTTCTGTTTCTCTTCTTTCCCTTCCATACCCACCTTCCCTGTACCTCCAATACCAGCACACTGAACCACTCATGCCAAGGGGGTCTCCAGGGTTGGGACTCAGGTTTTCAGGGCCCAGGTGGGACCCTGGACCTCTAGGTTCAACCCGCCTTTCCCCTCAGCCCTAGTCCCTGTCCCACAACCCCAGCCTCACACCACCAGCCCATTTATCTGGAGGACCCCTAGTCTGAGACAGCGCCAAGAATCCTGAATAAGCCATAGGATGGCAGAGGCCCATTGCCAGGTGGGGAATCCCATTCCTTCCCTGTCTCCTCCCTCTCTGTAACCCTTCTCCCCCTCCCTGCCCCCACTCCCACCTGCTCTGTGGCCTCCGTCCCCATCTCTGGCTACACAGGTTTCTGAGGTATAGCCACAGGGGGTAGAAGTTAAACTACTAGCGGGACAGGAAGGAAGAGGCGGGGAGAGGGGCCGAGAGGGAGGTGGGGATTAGGGTCTACGGGGTCACTTTCCCATTCCACCTCCTCCAAAAGACTTCACTCTCTTGTGCAGGATCTGGATTTTACGAAAAAAAAAAAAAGAAGAAGAAAGGAAGGAAAGAGGAAAGAAAGAAAGAAAGAAAGAAAAAAAGGAAGGAAAGAAAGAAAAAAGAATGAACGAAAGAAAGAAAAAATAATTTACTGTCTTTGTCAGTGAAGAAAGAACGGGCTTCGGAATATAATCATTTGCTGTGTGATATTGACTAAGTTTCTTGACCTCTCTGAGCCTGAGGTTTTTCATCTGCAAAGTGGAGTAGGGCAAAAATGCTAAATTCACAGTGCCCAGCACCACTCCTAGAGCATAATTTGCCTTCCGAAAATGTTAAGATTCTTTTACTTACCCTTCATTCCATTTCCAGGCACCCCTCCCCCAAACCACCTCCCTTTTCTTGAAATTTTCAGGATGCTTCTGGCCCTAGGTTCCCTGTCCTCACTCCTGTGGCCCTAGTCCCGGGCAGCCTCGGGTTACTTGGGGTTTTCCCGGTGGCGAGAGGCTCTCTACCCCCGCCCTTTCGCAGCAGGGCTGAGGCACGCGCTTGCGCGGGGTCCGGGAAACCGGCGCGTGCCAGGAGACAGAGGCTGGGGAAGGGGGGAGGTGAGAGGAAAGAGGGTGGAAAGGAGAGGATAGAGAGAGAAGAGCGGAGGACCAGGAACCAGAGAGAGAGAGAGAGAAAAGAGAGAGGAGAGACAGAGCGCTTGGGGGCGAAAGGAGAGAGGGAGGGAAGGGTGGGTAAGGAGGAGAGAGCGGTCTGCTGCAAACCCCAGGAGGAGAGCTTGGAGCCCAAGCCAGAACTCGAGCCCTAGCCGGAGCCGTTCACAGGGAGGCGGCTGCCGGGACCGTCAGCCCTGCATGATGCATCTCCGGCTCTTCTGCATCCTGCTCGCCGCGGTCTCAGGAGCCGAGGGCTGGGGCTACTGTGAGTGTTGGGCTTGGAGGCAGGTGGGGTTGGGCCCAGGAGTCCAGAGCCTGCAGGGCGGCCCCGAACCGCATTGCGGCTGGGTGGTCGCGGGTCCTTCCCGGCCGGCGCGCGCCCGCTGGCTCTCATCTTTTCCTGCCTCTCCCCCGCGCTCCGCATTGCAGCTCTGAGGCTGCCGCGCGCGCCCGGGGCTGGGGCTGGGCTCTGGGAAGAGGATGAAGTCAGCGGGCAGGGATTTGGGGTTGGGATCCAAGCAGGAGCTGGTGCCTGGGTTTGAGGCTAGGGCTGGGGGATAAGTGTATACTGGTGACCGATACTAGGATTAAGGTTTTGCCAGGGCTTAAGGCTGGACTTTGGAGCTGGCCAAGGGGTGGGGTTTGTGGCTAGGGCTGGGGTTTGTGGCTGGGGCTGGGTTTTGTGGCAGGGATCCAAGCAGGAGCTGGTGCCCCTGACTGATGCTAAGGCTGGACATGGAGCTGGTGATGGTGCTAGCACTGGCTGAGGTTGGGTGCAAGGCCTGTATTTGGGGATGGTGCAGGTTTTGGGGGCCGAGTTGGATTGAGGCTAGGGTTGGAGCTGGATTGGTGTCTTGGGTTGACTTAGGTTGTGGAAGATGCTGAGGTTTAGGATTGAGTTTGGGAAAGTACTAAACCAGGGCAGGTATTGGGCTAGCTAGGGAGGGTCTGGCCTTGGGCCTATAGGTGTAGCCTAGGGGTTTGCCTAGAAGGAGAAGGTAGCCTCCTCTGAGCATGCAGCTGTTGCTGCAGCCAGGATTGAATAGATGGCTTTAAGGTAGGGCTGGGTGTGCCTCTGGGGGCGGGGGTTGGGGGCACGGAAGGGGAAGCTTCGGTCGCTAAGTGGGCCGGCCTTTGGAAGGGTCTGGGAGGGGCCAGCGCTGACTAACAGTCGGTTTCCCTACCCTAGACGGCTGCGACGAGGAGCTGGTGGGTCCCCTGTATGCACGCTCCCTGGGCGCCTCCTCCTACTACAGTCTCCTTACTGCGCCGAGATTCGCCAGGCTGCACGGTGAGCTCCGCGGAACATCAGCTGCCAACTGGCAGCGCACCGCGGAAGGGTGGGGGCCTCCGGAGGACTTCGGGGAGAGGGATAGCCGGTTAAAGCTCCTGTCCTTTCTATAGGCATAAGCGGGTGGTCACCACGGATTGGGGATCCGAATCCCTGGCTCCAGATAGACTTAATGAAGAAGCACCGGATCCGGGCCGTGGCCACACAGGGCTCCTTTAATTCTTGGGACTGGGTCACACGTTACATGCTACTCTACGGCGACCGAGTGGACAGCTGGACACCGTTCTACCAGCGAGGGCACAACTCGGTACTCTGGGCGCCAAGGCGGTAACACTTGGGGAGCTTCCTCTGCTCCAGGCTCTGGGCCGGGCACCAGCCTCTGGGAAAATGGAGGGGGTGGTGGTGAGGGCTCGGACAAGGAGCAGTGACTCCACTCCAGGGACTCTGTCCAGAGGGACTGTCAGCTTAGGACGTGCGCGAAACACTCGGTTCACAGGGTTTAACACACTTTAGGGTAAAACCTGGGAGAGCTTCCTAAGGAGGTGACATTTGATTTCAGGTCTGAGGAAATAATAGGATTGTGGGACAGGGCACTTTATGGAAACTGTGCGGGCAAAGCCGCCAAGCAGGGAAGACCAAGGAGTGTTTACTTTCCAGAAGTCGAGATTGGCTGGGTGTGAAAGTTGTGGGCTGGGAGGCTATGGAGAAAGAAGCAGAGGGGGGCCGGGCGCAGTGGCTCACGCCTGTAATCCCAGCACTTTGGGAGGCCGAGGCAGGTGGATCACGAGGTCAGGAGTTCATGACCAGCCTGGCCAACATGGTGAAACCCCGTCTCTATGAAAAATACAAAAAAATCAGCCGGGCGTAGTGGCGGGCGCCTGTAATCCCAGCTACTTGGGAGGCTGAGGAAGAGAATTGTTTGAACCCGGGAGGCAGAGGTTGCGGTGAGCCGAGATCGTACCACCGCACTCCAGCCTGGGCGACAGAGCGAGACTCTGTCTCAAAAAATAAAATAAAAAAAAGAAGCAGAGGGCAGGACGTGGTTACTACTCTCCTCCACCCCCGCAGACCTTCTTTGGTAACGTGAACGAGTCGGCGGTGGTGCGCCATGACCTGCACTTCCACTTCACTGCGCGCTACATCCGCATCGTGCCCCTGGCCTGGAACCCACGCGGCAAGATCGGCCTGAGGCTCGGCCTCTATGGCTGCCCATACAGTAAGTGTGCAGAGAGCGCGGAGGGGGCCTGGGAGACAGCCTCCCCAGTTCCCGGCCCACCTACGGTCCTTTGCGCAGAGGCCGACATACTCTATTTCGACGGCGACGATGCCATCTCCTACCGCTTCCCGCGAGGGGTCAGCCGAAGCCTGTGGGACGTGTTCGCCTTCAGCTTCAAGACCGAGGAGAAGGACGGTCTTCTGCTGCACGCCGAGGGCGCCCAGGGCGACTACGTGACGCTCGAGCTGGAGGGGGCACACCTGCTGCTGCACATGAGCCTGGGTGAGCTCGGCGACCATGTGCGATGCGGAGCCAACCCCTGAAGCTCTCTCACCGCCCTCCTCGTGGCACCTCCTCCGCGCATCCGCGCTCAGCCTGGTCTTCCACTTCTCTAAGGCCTGGACCAAACTGCCCCTTTCTTGTAGCATTTGGTGCTAGCAAAACACTGGAGTTGAGTGAGAACTGGATTCCAGTCTCAGCTCTACCACTACACAGAGATGTGACCTCGGATGGGGCACTTCCGAGCCTCAGTTCCCTCCTTGTAAACACACACACACAGACGCACACACATTGTATCTCATTAGCTTTTCATAACACCCGCACATGAAATAGAAGCAGCTCATGTGTTCCCAGTTTTACAGACAGGAAGCCAGGCTAAATGGCTTACCCTGTCACACACTCGCCAATGGCTGTTGATCTATTCGCCCACTCTCCCTGATTGCCCTGGGCTTTGTTACACGCTGCTGCTCTGCCTAGGAGCTTGGACTCCATGGAGTTCTCCTGGCTTGAGGTTTCACTCTGTCCTGCCCCACCCTCAGGCAGCAGCCCTATCCAGCCAAGACCAGGTCACACCACCGTGAGCGCAGGCGGAGTCCTCAATGACCAGCACTGGCACTATGTGCGGGTGGACCGATTTGGCCGCGATGTAAATTTCACCCTGGACGGCTATGTGCAGCGCTTTATTCTCAATGGAGACTTCGAGAGGCTGAACCTGGACACTGAGGTGAGAGACTAGGGAGGTGCTATTTCGTGGTAGGGTAGATGCTGGATGAGTGAGTGCAGGTCGGTCTCTCCCTTTCTCTTTTCCTCTGTCTCTCAGAGGAAAGACCTGGCATTCAGGCTGTGGGTGGTGGCTCATGCCTGTAATCCCAGCACTTTGGGAGGCTGAGGTGGGAGGATTGCTTGAGGCCAGGTGTTCAAGACTCACCTGGGCAACATAGTGACATCCTACCTCTATTTAAAAAAATTTTTTTTTTCAAAGACCTCGCATTCCAATTCCTGAATATCCTAGCAGCCCTTGGCAAACTTGCCACTCACCAGAAAAAGGCCTGTTTTTTTTTTTTTTTTTTTTTTTTGTGGGTGTTGTTGCTGTTAGCATGCAGACTCCCAGGCACTATTTCAGAACTAATGAGATGGGGTTTGGAAATTCAGATTTTGGGGACTAGGCAAGGTAGGAAAATTGTTCCCTTGGATCCTCCCACAACTTTGTGGAGTTGTTAAAGACCCTGACCCCATCTGCAGATAAGAATCCCAGGCAGGCTAATTGACTTGCCCAAGGGCGTGCAGCCGATTTGTGTTGGAGTCAGAGCTTGAACTCAAGCCTTGAAAGGCCTAGCGAGCTTTAGTACCGACACTGGGGAAATGTGTGTTTTAAGTCTTTTACAAAACCCCATCTGGCATTTGGGAAAGCATACGGCGGGGACGCGCGAGAAAGGCAGGCGCCCTCCTGTGCCCAAGAGGCCTCATTCCCCACGCCTCCCGCAGATGTTCATCGGAGGTCTGGTGGGCGCCGCGCGGAAGAACCTGGCCTATCGGCATAACTTCCGCGGCTGCATAGAAAACGTAATCTTCAACCGCGTCAACATCGCAGACCTGGCCGTGCGGCGCCATTCCCGGATCACCTTCGAGGCCAGTGGGCAGGGGGGTCTGGGAGGACAGGATATCAAAGCGTCGTGGAAAGCAAAGAGGTGGAGCGGGAAGAGATATTGAACATCAGATAAAAGCGGAGAATCCCTCTGTCCCCAGCCAGATGCTCAAGTTGGGAGGGGAGCGGGTCTCACCTGAGGTGCATGAGCCACGCAGGCCCCTAGTTAAGAAGCAGTGGTCGGGTCCAATCACCTTCTTAGTTCATAGATGAAGAAAGTAAGGCGCAGACACAGGGAGTGGCTTGTCCAGGGGTCGTGCAGCTGCACGGTGGCTGAGTAGGGACTTGAACCGATGGCTTCTCTGATATGCCCCCCTCAACCCTCTCCGACTCTGGAGCTCTGTTGGGAAGCTGGCAGGAGCCAGGTCTGTGGTCCAAAATTGCCTCTCGATACTGGAAGGAGAGAAGCGGTCGAATCGCAGACGGTGGAGATCAGCGAGAGCAAGCGAGCAGAGTTCCGAGGGCCGACTGGGTTGGGGCCCCCTCCACAGATGGACGAGCTTGGAGGGGAAGAGGTCACGTCATGGTTGGAGATCTCACCCCCGCCAACACCGAAGGAGGGCGGTGACCAGGGTCTTAGACCGGTGTGAAAACTGAATTCCCAGCTGAGGCAGAGGCGGCTCACGGGTGTTGATGCGTCTTCACTTTTGCCCCTAGGGTAAGGTGGCTTTTCGTTGCCTGGACCCGGTACCGCACCCTATCAACTTCGGAGGCCCTCACAACTTCGTTCAAGTGCCCGGTTTCCCACGCCGTGGCCGCCTGGCAGTCTCATTTCGCTTCCGCACCTGGGACCTCACCGGGCTTCTCCTTTTCTCCCGTCTGGGGGACGGGCTGGGCCACGTGGAGCTGACGCTCAGCGAAGGGCAGGTCAACGTGTCCATCGCGCAGAGCGGCCGAAAGAAGCTTCAGTTCGCTGCTGGTGAGGGCGTTTCGGGGGAGGCACAAGAAGAGAAGAGAAGTGTAGAGGATCCCAGGAAAGTTGTAGGCCTGGACTGAGGCCTTTACATTCTGGAGAGGGGAGAGGAGTGAAGGGGGCAGGGCAGGAGGCCCCAGGGTACTGGGAAAAGGTGGGAGTGGCTAGAGGCAGTGAGGAGGCGAATCTGAGGGACTAAGTATTCTTGGAGAAGGGGGAAGCCTGGGAGTCCTGGTATTCTCCAGTTCCAGAAGGCCCCTGGAGATTTGGTTACTCGTTTATAACTGTGCAGACTCTGTGGCAGTTGCTGGGTCATGGATAATGAAGAGACATTCAGAGAGGTCTCCACTGGGTGTGAGAAGTGTAATCACGGGGGCACACAGGCTGCTACTGGGACACAGTGGGGCTGCTGCTTCCCCACTCAGAACATTCTTCTACCCTAGTTGCTGCTTCCCTCCACCCACACCATCATCCATTCTTGTCCAGGGTACCGACTGAATGACGGCTTTTGGCACGAGGTGAATTTTGTGGCACAGGAAAACCATGCAGTTATCAGCATTGATGATGTGGAAGGGGCAGAGGTCAGGGTCTCATACCCGTTGCTGATCCGGACAGGGACCTCATATTTCTTTGGGGGTAAGTGGGGGCCAACCTGACCAGACCTCTGTTTCTGGGTGGGAAGGCTCCATCTAAGTCCACCCAGATGGGGCCACATGGAGAATTTTGGAGGGATCAAGCCCTCTTCCCCTCTGGGGCCTCAGGGAGTGGAAGGTCATTGCCATCTACACTTTGGTTGTAGTCCCCTTTCTTCCTTTATGTCTGGCTCCCCCTCAGCATGTCCCTGGGGGAGGGTCTTTGGGGTCTCCCCTGGGGAGGATCTCACAGGGGTGGTTGCTCCAGGTTGTCCCAAGCCAGCCAGTCGATGGGACTGCCACTCCAACCAGACGGCATTCCATGGCTGCATGGAGCTGCTCAAGGTGGATGGTCAACTGGTCAACCTGACTCTGGTGGAGGGCCGGCGGCTTGGATTCTATGCTGAGGTCCTCTTTGATACATGTGGCATCACTGATAGGTACCCAGAAGCCCCTAACAAGAGATGACCCCTCCAAAGCCCTCTTCCCTGGTCTCCCAGTAGGAATGGCCTCTTTCAATAATCTCCCTTCTCCTTGTCTCTGCTCCTTAGTCCCCTGCTTGGGGATGATTCTTCTTTGATCTCTTACCTCCTATTTCTTCCCTTAAGGTGATACATGCTCAGGATGGAAATGACACATTTGCTTTTGGTCCTAGAGGGGTTTTTTGTGCTAGGGGGATGATAGGGGTAGAATAAGGCATGTTTTGATGTTTTCAGGAAGGGGGAATAGTAGTACTTGAGCCCTGAGGACTGCCTAGTGCCCCTGCATCTGCGCTTATACCCGGCTGGCTAGGCGGGGTGTGTCTCACCGGGTTCTGGGGCTTCAAGGAGCTGGGAGTGAAGCTTGCAGGGATCAGACCCCACTCTCCAGCTCCCAGTAAGGCTCCTTCCCTTGGTCCTGACCCCTTCCCTAGGTGCAGCCCTAACATGTGTGAGCATGATGGACGCTGCTACCAGTCTTGGGATGACTTCATTTGCTACTGCGAACTGACGGGCTACAAGGGAGAGACCTGCCACACACGTAAGCCAGATGTGGTATGGGGGGAGTCAGGGACAAGGGAGGTCAATAGAAGGTTGCTGGGGATCATCAGGCTGCTAGAGATGGCGAGGATGGCCCTTCCAGCCCTCTCGCTTTTTGTTTTTGGTTTTTTTGAGACAGAGTCTTGCTCTGTTGCCCAGGCTAGAGTGCAGTGGTGCCATCTGGGCTCGCTGCAACCTCTGCCTCCTGGGTTCAAGCGATTCTCCTGCCTCAGCCTCCTAAGTAGCTGGGACTACAGGTGCACACCACCACGCCTAGCTAATTTTTATATTTTTATTAGAGATGGGGTTTCACCATGTTGGCCAGGCTGGTCTCGAACTCCTGACCTCGGGTGATGCACCACCCCGGCCTCCCAAAGTGCTGGGATTACAGGCCCGAGCCGCCGCACCTGGCCAGCCCTCTAACTCTCTAACTGCCTTTGTCTCAACCTATTATCTGCCAGCTTTGTATAAGGAATCCTGTGAGGCTTATCGGCTCAGTGGGAAAACTTCTGGAAACTTCACCATTGATCCTGATGGCAGTGGCCCCCTGAAGCCATTTGTAGTGTACTGTGATATCCGAGGTAAGTGTCTCTGTTGGGTGGTGAGGGGGTGAGGGGAGAACCAGGAAGGATAGAGTGGTGGGTGGGGGCCAGTTAGACTAAACAAGTGAGGGTAAAGGAGGACAGAGGGGAAGGGCATACTGAGGAATTTGTAACCTAGCCTTAAAAGTAAATCCCAAGCCAGGCGTGGTGGCTCACACCTGTAATCCCAGCACTTTGGGAAGCTACTCGGGAGGTTGAGGCAGGAGAATCACTTGAACCTGGGAGGTGGAGGTTGCAGTGAGCTGAGATAGCGCCATTGGACTCCAGCCTGGGCAACAGAGCGAGACTTCATCTCAAAAAAAAAAAAAAAAAAAGTATATCCCAGCTTCCTTACCCATTCCAGCTATCTTATTTCCAGCCTACAATGCAGAGTGCCCAGGGCAGAGGTGGAATGGAGCTGCTGGCCACGTTCAGTGGCTCTGAGTTGCAGCAGCGGTGGTGGAGGTGGGCAGGGAGATGGGTAGAGAATGCCCAACTCCAGCCAAAGCTCTGTCCCCTCTTGTCTGCCAGAGAACCGAGCGTGGACAGTTGTGCGGCATGACAGGCTGTGGACAACTCGAGTGACAGGTTCCAGCATGGAGCGGCCATTCCTGGGGGCTATCCAGTACTGGAATGCATCCTGGGAGGAAGTCAGTGCCCTTGCCAATGCTTCCCAGCATTGTGAACAGTGGATCGAGTTCTCCTGCTACAATTCCCGGCTGCTCAACACTGCAGGTTAGGGCTGGGGTCAGGGAGGTGGCGGAACTGGAGGAGACACCAATGGGGGCCTGGGAGAAGGAAGCCAGAGAGCCAGCTGGGGCCTTGGGTTGGAAGATTCAAGGAGGGGTCTGAACTCGCTGGAAGGGCGAGAGGAGCCCAGAGGCTAATGGAGGGACAGGGCCTGGAAGCTGCCTGCACCTCTTCCCCAGGAGGCTACCCCTACAGCTTTTGGATTGGCCGAAATGAGGAGCAGCACTTCTACTGGGGAGGCTCCCAGCCTGGGATCCAGCGCTGTGCCTGTGGTCTGGACCGGAGCTGTGTGGACCCTGCCTTGTACTGCAACTGTGACGCTGACCAGCCCCAGTGGTGAGGGGGCAAAGGGACAGGGTTTTTAGGACTCCGGGAGTGGGAGGAGCTGAGTGGCTGGGGCTGAGCCATGACATCCTGCCCCCACAGGAGAACTGACAAGGGACTGCTGACCTTTGTGGACCATCTGCCTGTCACTCAGGTAGTGATAGGGGATACGAACCGCTCCACTTCTGAGGCCCAGTTCTTCCTGAGGCCTCTGCGCTGCTATGGCGATCGTGAGTGGCAGTCCCCTTTTGTGTGCCCTCCCAGAGCTGACTCTCCAGTTTCCAAAATCTAGGCCGCATGTCACTGGTGGTCTCTAGCTGGGGTGCCCGACCCCCAGCTCCTGCTGTGATGCGATCTCATTACCCCTCTGCACCTGGCTCCTCTTTCATTCCACTCCTTAGTCTCCCCTCCGTCACCTCAAACCCTCCCCCTTTGCCCAACCTTCCCTGCCCCCAACCCCAGGTTCTCTTCCTCCTCCACCCTCCAATCTCCCTGACAAGACCTTCCTCCATCTGCTTTTCTAGGAAATTCCTGGAACACCATTTCCTTCCACACCGGGGCTGCACTACGCTTCCCCCCAATCCGTGCCAACCACAGCCTGGATGTCTCCTTCTACTTCAGGACCTCTGCTCCCTCGGGGGTCTTCCTAGAGAATATGGGGGGCCCTTACTGCCAGTGGCGCCGACCTTATGTGCGGGTGGAACTCAACAGTGAGCAGGCAGACTGTGGGAGGGCCTCGGGGTAGATGAAAGTGCTGTCTGGGGAGACAGGGGTAGGCTGGGGTTGGAGCCAAGGGCAGATGCCCTTTTGACAGGCAGCATGGGAAGGGTTGAGATACCCTATGTTCTAGCCCTCACTCGGTCTTGACGGCTGGCTGGGTGACCCTAGGCATTCACTTGGCCTCTCTTGGCCTTAAGCCCCTTCCTTGTGCCATAAGGAAGCTGGACCTTCGAGTCCCTCTCACCGCTGATTAGCCATGCTTCTAGCCTGGGAAGTGAGGCTGGGAAGCTGGCTTCAGGGATCTGTGATGTGGGGAGAGACAAAGGGTATGAGGTTTTTAAGCAGCTGGTAAGTTTCAATGCAAGCTACAGACAAATTGGAGGGATATTCAAGAAGCTCCAAAGAGGTGAGGGAAAGAGGTTATATTGGGCAAGGATCTATGAAGGGTCTTGTAGGTCTGAGTCCTTTTCTCCCCTACCCTGCATCACACTGTCCAGCATCCCGGGATGTGGTCTTCGCCTTTGATGTGGGGAATGGGGATGAGAACCTCACAGTACACTCAGACGACTTTGAGTTCAATGATGACGAGTGGCACCTGGTCCGGGCTGAAATCAACGTGAAGCAGGCCCGGCTCCGAGTGGATCACCGGCCCTGGGTTCTGCGGCCTATGCCACTGCAGACCTACATCTGGATGGAGTATGACCAGCCCCTCTATGTGGGTAAGCAGCAACCCAGAGGCAAGTCTGAAGCCTCCTTTACCTCCCCATCCTCCAAGGCCACTCGCCTTGTTTCCAGGAGCCTCCTGTCTTAGGTGCCAGTCCCCTCTGCTTCAGAGCAAGCCAGTGTCTCACTTGTCCCTCCAGGCCTTTGTATCCTATTCTATTCTTCCAGCCCTCTTGGCTCCCTTTCCAACTACAATACTTCATCCTGTCTCTGGCTCTGCCTCCATTTCTTTTCTTTTTTTTTTTTTTTTGAGACGGAGTCTCGCTCTGTCACCCAGGCTGGAGTGCAGTGGCACGATCTCGGCCCACTGCAAGCTCCGCCTCCTGGGTTCAAGCAGTTCTCCTGCCTCAGCCTCCCGAGTAGCTGGGACTACAGGCGCCCGCCACCGTGCCCAGCTAATTTTTTTTGTATTTTTTAGTAGAGACGGGGTTTCATCATGTTAGCCAGGATGGTCTCGATCTCCTGAGCTCGTGATTCGCCCGCCTCGGCCTCCCAAAGTGCTGGGATTACAGGCGTGAGCCACCGCGCCTGGCCCTGCCTCCATTTCTTGACCTGTTGCCTACCCTTCCCAGGATCTGCAGAGCTTAAGAGACGCCCCTTTGTGGGTTGCTTGAGGGCCATGCGTCTGAACGGAGTGACTCTGAACCTGGAGGGCCGTGCCAATGCCTCTGAGGGTACCTCACCCAACTGCACAGGCCACTGTGCCCACCCTCGGCTCCCCTGTTTCCATGGAGGCCGCTGCGTGGAGCGCTATAGCTACTACACGTGTGACTGTGACCTCACGGCTTTTGATGGGCCATACTGCAACCACGGTAAGTGCTGCTGGTTATGGGGCAACAGGGAGCCATAGGGTGTAATGGGATGTAGGGAGGGCAGGGAAGGAAATAGCATGTAAAGCCCATATCATGGAAAATTAGAGTTGTCCCTGGATTCCTGAGCTCTGAGTTTGGGGAGTTAGGCAGTTGAAGATCATGGGTGACTCCAAAGGCATGGACAAGGAAGGGATGGTACAGATAGCTGGTGCAAAAATATCTCAAAATCACCAAGTATGCTTTGGGAGCCCAAGGTGGGAGGATTGCTTGAGGCTAGGAGTTCGAGACCAGCCTGGGCAACATGGCAAGACCCTGTCTCTACAAAAAAAATTCTTTTTTTTTTTATGAGATGGAATCTCGCTCTGTCACCCAGGCTAGAGTACAGTGGCACGATCTCGGCTCACTGCAACCTCCGCCTGGTTCAAGCGATTCTTTTGCCTCAGCCTCCCGAGTAGCTAGGACTACAGATGTGCACCACCATGCCTGGCTAATTTTTGTATTTTTAGTGGAGATGGGGTTTCAC
The DNA here is from genome assembly GCF_000001405.40 of Homo sapiens. Taxonomy (NCBI): domain Eukaryota; kingdom Metazoa; phylum Chordata; class Mammalia; order Primates; family Hominidae; genus Homo; species Homo sapiens. Next base: position 42,694,060 of record NC_000017.11, read on the forward strand.
CACATTGGCCAGGCTGGTCTCGAACTCTTGACCTTGTGATCTGCCTGCCTCAGACTCCCAAAGTGCTGGGATTACAGGCGTGAGCCACCGCGTCTGGCCAAAATAATTTCTTTTTTCTTTTTTTTTTTTGAGACTGAGTTTCACTCTTGTTGCCCAGGCTGGAGTGTAATGACTCGATCTCGGCTCACTGCAACCTCCACCTCCCGGGCTGAAGCGATTCTCCTGCCTCAGCCTTCCAAGTAGCTGGGATTACAAGTGTGTGCCACCACACCCGGCTAATTTTTGTATTTTTAGTAGAGATGGGGTTTCACCACGCTTGCCAGGCTGGTCACGAACTTCTGACCGCAGGTGATCCACCCACCTTGGCCTCCCAAAGTGCTGGGATTACAGACGTGAGCCACAGCGCCTGGCAAAATTTTTTAATTAGCTGGGCATGGTGGTGCACACTTAGGCCTAGCTACTCGGGAGGCTGAGGTGGGAGGATCACTTGCACCTAGGAGGTCAAGGCTGCAGTGAGCTATGATCGTGCCACTGCACTCCAGCCTGGGGGGCACAGCAAGGACTGTGTCTACAAAAAAAAAAAAAGCAAATCGCTTCTCCATCTTCCCACCATCACCATGGTAACACAGGCGAACTCCCTTGTCAATGTATTTGATGATTGCTGCATTCCTAAAACATGTCAATGACCCAGTTCTTGGTTAAGGTGAGCCTTGACATTCCCCATAGCAAGATCCTACACACATGCCAAGACTGCATCCTCCCTAAGGCTGGCCTATAGGGAGGATATATGAGCAGGTGGGTTACTGGTGGGAGGAGTGTGGGGGACTAGGGAGATACAAGACTTAGGGACCAACAGATTTCTGGTGGTGGTTTGGAAGTGTGAGTAGTGGCACATATACTACATGGGGTCAGGATATCCCCATCACCCAGGCTGGAGTGCAGTGGCATGATCTTGGCTCACTGCAACCTCTGCCCCCTGGGCTCAAGCAATTCTCCTGCCTTGGCTTTCCTATAGTAGCTGGGATTACAGGCATGCACTACCACACCTAGCTAAGTTTTGTATTTTTAGTAGAGATGGGGTTTTGCCATGTTGGCCAGGCTGTTCTCGAACTCCTGACCTCAAGATGATCTGCCTGCCTTGGCCTCCCAAAGTGCTGGGATTACAGGTGTGAGCCACTGTGCCTGGCCTTACTGCGTGTCTTTAAGCAAGTCACTACTCATCTCTGAGCCTGTTTCCCCATTTGTAAAATGCAGGGGTTGGATCAGATGATCTCCAGTTTCCCATGGCTGTAAGATTCTGTTCTGTGACAGAGGGGCTCAAGGGGACCTAAAAGTAAATGGAGGGTTGTGAGGGTGGCAGAAACTGAAGTAAGTCTCAGGATGTGTGTATGGATGACATAAAACCTCTGAATTGGGGAGTGAGCAGTGTGGGGGCCCTAACCTCCCTGCTTCTACCTGCAGATATTGGTGGTTTCTTTGAGCCGGGCACCTGGATGCGCTATAACCTACAGTCAGCGCTGCGCTCTGCAGCCAGGGAGTTCTCCCACATGCTGAGCCGGCCAGTGCCAGGCTATGAGCCTGGCTACATCCCGGGCTATGATACTCCGGGCTATGTGCCTGGCTACCATGGCCCCGGGTACCGCCTGCCCGACTACCCCCGGCCTGGTCGGCCTGTGCCCGGTTACCGTGGGCCTGTCTACAACGTTACGGGAGAGGAGGTCTCCTTCAGCTTCAGCACCAGCTCCGCCCCTGCTGTCCTGCTCTACGTCAGTTCCTTTGTTCGTGACTACATGGCTGTGCTCATCAAGGATGATGGTAAGCTCTCCCGGGCTCTCTCACCCCACTCCAGCTTCACCCCGGTGCCCCTAATTCTCCTATTGATTCACAAATACAAGGACCCACGTGCTGTTAGAAGATAGGAGTCATGGGGCCTGAGACCCCAAATTTCTTCTCCCCACCCCACAGGGACCCTTCAGCTGCGATATCAGCTGGGCACCAGTCCCTACGTGTACCAGCTAACCACTCGACCAGTGACCGATGGCCAGCCCCATAGCATCAATATCACCCGTGTTTACCGGAACCTCTTCATCCAGGTATGCATAGAGGGAGGTGAGCCAGTTCAGATCATAACCTCATGGTCTCCGTTGTGGCATCCAGGAAAACATCAAATACTTAATATTTGTAGATCACATTTGAATGTATAGAGGATTTTCACGTGTGTCACCTCATGTAACCCTCACAATAGCTCCAAGGGGACAATAGGCATTTTTTTTTTTTTTTTGAGATGGAATTTTGCTCTTGTTGCCCAGGCTGGAGTGCAATGGTGTGATCTCAGCTCACTGCAACCTCTGCCTCCCGGGTTCAAGCAATTCTTCTGCCTCAGCCTCCCGAGCAGCTGAGATTACAGGCATGCGCCACAACGCCCAGCTAATTTTGTATTTTTAGTAGAGACAGGAGTTCTCCATGTTGGTCAGGCTGGTCTCGAACACCCGACCTCAGATGATCCGCCTACCTCAGCCTCCCAAAGTGCTGGGATTATAAGCGTGAGCCACCGCGCCCAGCCAGACAATAGGCATTCTTATTTAAGTGTTTTACAAATCAGTAAAGAGCCTCAGAAAGTAAAGCGGTTTCAGCTACTCAGGAGGGTGAGGCAGGAAAATTGCTTGAACCTGGGAGGTGGAGGTTGCAGTGAGCTGAGATCGTGCCACTGCACTCCAGGCCTAGGCGACAGAGTGAGACTCCATCTCAAAAAAATAAAGTGGTTTACCCAAAGTCAAACCGCTGGTAAGCTGCAAAGATGGGGCTTAAAACCAGGGTTTTAAAAAATATATAGGCCAGGTGCAGCGGCTCACACCTGTAATCCCAACACTTTGGGAGGCTGAAGTGGGAGGACTGCTTGAGGCCAGGAGTTTGAGACCAACCTGAGCAACATAGCAAGACCTCATCTTCACAAAGAAAAATATTTAATAAATAAAATAAAATAATAATAATAAAAATATATATACCAAATCCTACATCTAGGCCCAGGGGTTGCCCACTTCAGATTGAGCTAGGACTCACCCAGCTGGCACCGCCAGTTTGGACAGAATGAGAGATCTCCAGTATCTGCCCCCAAGTATATTCCCAGGGTCCACACAGTTCCAGTCCAGCCCACAGGCATCTGCTTCTGGTCCCCGCTCCCTCATCGCCCTCCCCCTCCCCCTCCCCACCTCAGGTGGACTACTTCCCACTGACAGAGCAGAAGTTCTCGCTGTTGGTGGACAGCCAGTTGGACTCACCCAAGGCCTTGTATTTAGGGCGTGTGATGGGTAAGCTGCGGGTGCGGACGCGTTTTAGGCAAGGAGCTGTGGCATATGTTCCTGGATCCTCAAGGAAAGTGAAGGCCCTGGGAATGGCTGAGGGCAGTGGGAAGGATGAGTGGGAAACCTGTGGACAGTGAGAGTGGCAGGGCCTTTGGGTCCAAGTCCCTCTTTCTGGGCCTGCCTCTCTCTCAGAGACAGGAGTCATTGACCCGGAGATCCAGCGCTACAACACCCCAGGTTTCTCAGGCTGCCTGTCTGGTGTTCGATTCAACAACGTGGCTCCCCTCAAGACCCACTTCCGAACCCCTCGACCCATGACTGCTGAGCTAGCTGAGGCCCTTCGAGTTCAGGGAGAACTGTCCGAATCTAATTGCGGAGCTATGCCACGTCTTGTTTCAGAGGTGCCACCTGAGCTTGATCCCTGGTATCTGCCCCCAGGTACATTCCCAGGACACAGAGGACAGAAGGGAGGGATGACACGGAAGGGAATGATTCTTAACATGGAGGAGGCATCTCCTAACTGGTGCTTTCTCCTCTCCAGACTTCCCCTACTACCATGATGAAGGATGGGTTGCCATACTTTTAGGCTGTGAGTAGCACTGATCACTAAGCTGACCTCCCAAGACTACCCTCTGACTGTCAGCATCCTTTCCCTGCCCCTGATCCCCAAGGCTGCAGGATGGCAAAGGCACTAGATGCACAATGGCACAAAGGATGATGAGACAGGCTATGCTGAAGGTGCCATATAACTGGGCAGAGATTTTTAGATGTTTGAGGATGAGACAGGCTATGCTGAAGGTGACATATAACTGGGCAGAGATTTTTAGATGTTTGAGGATGCTACAGATTTTTAAATAAAATATTAAAATGAGACTATAGCTAAGGGATGGGAAAATGGGGATACAGTAACACCTAGAGAGATAAGAAATTGGGGTAACTACCAGGGATGTGGAAAGAGAATATTAGAAACAGAAGGTGGCAGGGGGTAAGCCAGGAATTCAAACCTGCCAGACACTTGAGATGAGTTTAGTGTGGTCGAACAGCTAACTGAGGGTCATACATTATGCTTTTGGCCAAAAGTAAATGTGTGTGTGTGTGTGTGTGTGTGTGTGTGTGTGTGCAGGTGAAATCCCAAAGTGTGTGTATGTATACAGGTGAAATCTCAAAGAGTGCGTGTGTGTGTGTGTGTGTGTGTGTGTGTGTGTGTATACAGGTGAGATCCCAAAGATCTGAATTGTCCCTTTTCTTCTTTTCAGTTTTGGTGGCCTTTCTGCTGCTGGGGCTGGTGGGAATGTTGGTGCTCTTCTATCTGCAAAATCATCGCTATAAGGGCTCCTACCATACCAATGAGCCCAAGGCTGCCCACGAGTACCATCCTGGCAGCAAACCTCCCCTACCCACTTCAGGCCCTGCCCAGGTCCCCACCCCTACAGCAGCTCCCAACCAAGCTCCAGCCTCAGCCCCAGCCCCAGCCCCAACTCCAGCCCCAGCCCCTGGCCCCCGGGATCAGAACCTACCCCAGATCCTGGAGGAGTCCAGGTCTGAATGAGTCAGAAGGGCTTCTGGGACCAATTCCAGCTCCTGACATTCCCCCAGTCCTGCCTCTCCCCCATCCTATCAGGGACATTTGGCTCCTCTTAGCTGGCTCTGCTCATCCAGAGGATATTCCCCCATCCCCCCCCCATCAAGTTTGGTGGGCAGAGCTACAGATGGGACCCAAGGGAGTGGCCGAGCCTCACTGCCTAAACCAATGCCCTTCTCATCCCTGTTTCCCCAGGCTCCTGGCTGTTTATCTGCCCCAAAGGAGAAGCCTCATGGGGTTGACATAGGTCCTTTCTGCCATCTCTGTTCCAGCTGCTGTCAGGGATTAACAACAGAGTGTAGGGGAGATTAACTGCCTCCCTTCCAATAGACACTATCAGCAGGGACAGATGTGTGGGAGTGCAGGGCTGCAGAGGGTATGGGGGGAGGAGGCTGCTAAACCCTATCCCCCAGCCTCCCCCCTGCCCTGAAGATCTTCCATTTGCTTCCACTCAGCTGGAGGCTCAAGAGGGCTTGATGGCTGTCCCCTGCCCCCCTCCTTTTGTTTTGTACACAGAGACCAAGAGGCCTCAGTTTAGCACCTTAGTACCTCCGCTGCTTCACTTGCTTTAGCCAAAGCCATAAAAAACCTGCAACGTAGAGAAAATAATGCAGATACCCTGACTAGCCAGCCCTCTACTCCTCCAACCTTTTCCAAGATATGCAATGGCCTTTGTGCCTGCCCAAAGGCTTCGCCCCCTCCAGTGCATGAGGAACCCTCTTTCCTCCGCTCAGAGATGCTGCTTCATTTACCCAGGAGGTCATATTCTTTATATATATTTTTTGTTGCAAAGTGTCTCTCTAGAGAAACTCTATATATTATTCGAATTTTTAAATTATTTGTTTATATATAAAAGAAAAGCTCAATTGGCTGTGCTGTCCTGTGCTGTGCTGTGCCCACAGTCTGTAGTTTGCCTTTCCTGTGTTGGAAGTGTCGTGAGTCCTGCTGGTCACCCACCAGCCTGGTCCGGCCTCCACTCTGAAGCAGGGTTGAGCCTGCTGTGCTCTCAGACGCGGAGCCGTTCCAATAAAGCAGAGTGGCAGAGCCCCAGTCTGTGTGTGGTAGCTGGCGTCGTGGTTAGGGGATAAGTGGGATGATTTTAAGGGAACTAATCTGAGGGCTCAGGAATTTCTAGAAGGAGCTCTCAGAATCCTTGCATCACCTTCCAGGGACTTGACTGACTGGCTCTTGCCAGAACCCCCATCTCCCCCTTTCCCAGATCTCAGTGGGTAAGTGGGGATCAGAATGCTGATGCTTCGGCCCAACCTGCTCCTGGACCCCATCCCTGGATCCTTCCAGCCCCAAAGCACACAGTACACAACTTGCCAAAATGGATTCTAACACTTTATTAAGAGGTCACAAGCCACAGGACTTTAAAGTGCATGAAATTTATTGGCAATGAAGCCGCATGTATACCAGGCTCCCCTAGTCCCCACCACCTTGCCCCATCCATCATGACGTGGTGGGGAGGGGTTGAGACCCATCTTTAAAAGTGGGGGACAGCAGGGACAAAGGATGGGAAACTGGAGGAACAGGAGTATTCATGAACTGAAGCTGGGACAGGAGACTGACCACAGTGATTCTGCTCACTGAAGGAAGGGTGGGGTCAGTCTAGTCTCTCAAAGGCTGGTGAAAAGTTTTTTTTCACCTATTCCTCACAGCGAGCCCCTGGCATTTCAAATAGACCTAACTCCTCCTCTTCATCTTTCTCTGGTTTTCTCCTCTATGAGTAATTTGGAACCCACAGTCCAGCTTGAGGGTATCCCTGATATGCACAATGAATACAAACCACGGCGGATGCAGATTTCAGGATCATGCTGGGGCCTGGCCCATTTGGGTGGGAGGAGCTTTCTGTCAGGAGTTGCTGGGTGCGGGGTACGTGTGTGCCCTCCAGTGTGGTGAGTGAGAGCATGTGAGTGTGTGTGCATGTCCCATACCAAACCGTAAGAGGCAGCTGGGTCAGGAGGAACCCCACTTCTTCCTTCATGGGACAACAAGTGGAGTGGGAAGAAGCGGGGCTCTGAGTCCCAGAAAGAAGGGAGAAGCCTGCTCCCTACTGTAACACTCCCAGGCCAATCTATACCCGCCCACACCCTTTCTACTCAACATACTGCTCCTTGTTCCCAGCCAGCCCGGCACACCCACCATGGACACAGGGCAGCTCTTGCTGGCCCCATTCACATGAAATTCTTCTGTGTGAAACTCACTCGTCTGCCTCTCCCAGGAGATGAGACAGGACTGGAGGAGAATCTCCCACCCTCTCTTCTTCCCCCTCCCTCAGGAGTGGGATTTAGGCAGGGACCCTAGAGACCTTAGGCCAAACTCTACCCCAATCTATAGACCTTTTAAAAGAAATGGTTAAAGTGCTTTGCTCTGCATGAATGCCAGAGAGGGTGGCACCACAGCCTGGGACAGGTGGTCTACCTGCTTCTTCTCCCACTTCAGATACCCTCTGCCAGTGTGCCCTGCACACGGGGTGCCAGCCTAAACGCGTGCAATTTAGCCCCTCACCAACCTTGGAACATATTCTAACTCACCCTTTCCAAACAGCAGGCACTACAGACAGGAAAGCAGATTACACCAATCTTTCTCCTCTCTAGTCCAAGCCTGTGCCCACCTACCCTGAAGCGATAAGCAACACTGGCCATTGGGCCTTGCCTCTATGGGGAATGGAAGGCCTGAAAACACCCACAAATCCAGCGAGCCAGGATGCTCACACCTGCCAGGCATACCCCTAATGCTTCTTCAATAGCAGCATAATGCTTGCCTGCAGCTGCTAAGCCAGAACTTTGGAGGAGCTGGAGCACTGGTGTCTGTTCCCAGGAATCTGAAAACACTTCTCCATCTATCTCCAGAGTACACAGAGAAGGCTTTCTCAAAGCCTCCTGGGCCCAAGCTTAGCAGTTTAACTACTATCATCTGGCTGGTTCTCCCTCTCTGGCTAAGGAAGGATGGCGTAGCTTTCCTTCCCCCAGCCTTGAATGCCTGTACTTAGAACCCACACTCTTTCAGTTTGAGCCCTGCCACGAGGGAGGAGGTAGTAAGGTGACCTGTCTACCTCTGAGTTCAGTCTGTGCTGCCTGCCAGGCTCGCCTCTAACCCAGACCACTTGTAGGCTCCAGGGACCACACTTCACTTAGCCTGTCCTCTCCAGGTCTTAGGACCACAGAGGTTTGCCTGCATCCCAATAACATAAGGACTCTTGATGTGGAAAGCTACAATTACAGGCTAGCGCTTGTTGGGAACTGCCTAAGTTGATTCCTGAGGCCACAGCCTGGGGAGCCGACACGAAATCACGCATAAGTCATCCACCCCAGCCTGTGCTCGCTTCTTCTGAGGCCAGAGAAACAGTCTCCCATTTCTGTAACTCTCTGTCCTGGGAGACCAAGCCCTAGCTGCCTCTGTCTCCCCTCTCATTGAGACAGTTTTGTGCCCTCTGGACATGGCAGAGGCCTCACTACAGAGGGAGTGGGTTGGGGGGTTTCTCAGTGTGGGAGACACAGTGCAGGAGACTCGAGCAGCAGTGGTGTGAGCACGAAAGCCAAGACAGTGCCGCTACCATAAGTGCTGCCGTGGGGCCTGGGAGGGCTAAAGGACGTCGGTCTCCCTCTCGATCCCCACGTACTTGAGAGCATCAGCTTGGCTGTACCTGTCCCAGAGCAGGGAAGAGGAACCAGGTTACTCTCATGACTTTTGTGATTGAAAAGGCGGAGTCCCCTCCCGTTTCACTTCCCCTCCCACTCCTTAAGGGCTGTTTACAATGGTCCCACTTCTGAGGCAAGGCACCAGATATCAGAACAAGGGACACAGCCTTATTCACCGGGAGACTCTCTCCTCCATCTCCATTACCCTCCCTGAGCCCCCAAATCTATTCCAACAGCCACTCTTTCCAATTCCTGGGCCACATCCCAAGGACCATTACTGGCACCTCACCTGTAATCAAAGAAGAGCTCTTCGCCAGCTTGAATTGCCCTCTTGGCAAAGATCCCAATCCGATGGTCTCCATTCACCATGACCACTGCAAGCAGGATAAACCCGAGGCTAGGTTCCTACCCAACTCCAAGTCAATAACCAGTAGGCTTCTGGGTTGATTTTCTCCAAATTCCCAGTGAAAACATGAATCAAATGGAATTAGAAAGTAGTCAATATGGTAGTTGCCTCTATGCTTTTAGATCTGTTATTATGGCAGAAAAATTATCTTTATTATTATTATAAGTGGGGTTTTTTGTTTTGTTTTGTTTTGTTTTTTGAGACAGAGTCTTGCTCTGTTGCCCAGGCTGGAGTGCAGTGGCATGATCTTGGCTCATTGCAACCTCTGCCTCCAGGGTTCAAGCGATTCTTGTGCCTCAGCCACCTGAGTAGCTGGGACTACAGGTGCACACCACCACGCCCCCCAGCTGATTTTTGTATTTTTAGTAGAGATGGGGTTTCACCATGTTTGCTAGGCTGGTCTTGAACTCCTGGCCTCAAGTGATCCACCTGCCTCAGCCTCCCAAAGTGCTGGGATTACAGGCGTAAGCCACCACACCCAGCCTATTATTATTTTGTGAGATGGGTCTCACTATGTTGCTCAGGCTGGTTAAATCATGTTTGTGGGAAAGTGTTTATAATGTATTCGCTGAAAAAAGCAGATTAGAAAACTAAGATTGAGAGGGGCCTAAAATGATACCAGATATTAATCATGATTATCTTTGGACAAAAAATAGCTCAGCTAAGGAAAATGTTCAACAACGAATGGAAATCACAGTAAAGAGGCATCCATCCCCCACCCCACCTCCCAGGTTACTGGGACTCACCTTTGGCATAACAGTTGGGATTCACTGAATGATTTGCAAATCGAATTTTGTTTCCTTTCCGAGTAGCATCCACTACAAAATCTGTATAAAGTAAATCAAGGAAAACCATAAGCACAGCAGGCAATTCCACAGCTTCTCAGCTTGAATTTAAAATCAGTTAAATGGTAACAGAAACACTTTAGTCTGATGGGAATGTTGAAGCCCAGTGTGCTAACAGGAGCAGAGGAAAGCATGCAGCCTCAGAATTCAGCCTTGTGTGGGAGCACTCCCTTTGGGTCCCTCTTTGAATTATGGATCTTCTCATCTACTGGGCAGGGAGATTTCTCAGGTAAAGACGCTCAGCACTCCTATTACAAACAGAACCCAGAAATGGAGGTTCTTCCAAAGCAAGGGCACTGTGGCCTGTGGGATCCCCAAGTGTGATCCTGCCCCCTTGCTCTATGCATCTGCTGGAAGATTCGGAGCTGATCTAAACTTGGACTACAGCAAGGGCAATCTGGTAGAAAGATCACCTTGGGGCCAAGTGCGGTGGCTTACTCCTGTAATCCTAGCACTTTGGGAGGCCGAGGCGGGTGGATCACTTGAGGCCAGGAGTTCGATACCAGCCTGGCCAACATGGTGAAACCCAGTCTCTACTAAAAATACAAAAATATTAGCCGGGCATGGTGGCAGGTGCTTGTAGTCCCAGCTACTCGGGAGGCTGAGGCAGGAGAATCACTTGAACCCGGGAGGCAGAGGGTAGAGGCTACAGTGAGCCAAGATCGCACCATTGCACCCTAGCCTGGGCAACAGAGCAAGACTCCGTCTCAAAAAAAGAAAAAAAAAAAAGACCACCTTGGGATGAGACAAAGTGACTTCATACCATTATTGAGGTTGAAGAGGAAGCTGGACATGTATTTGTCATAGACCTTTCCGCGTCGATCAGCCTCATCCTGAGAGATGAGCTAGAGAGATAGACAAATAACAAATAGGAGTATCAGGCTGCCTGCTCAGGGCATGGTACCCTGCCCCCAGAAAGGGCTGGGTGGTATCTCACATGGGTGCTTACTGAGCATCATGATGAGAATCACAAGAGAGCAAGTTCAAGTTATGCTGTTCCAATTCCCACCCAGGCCAACCAGTTTTAAGGCTGAAAAGAGCCCCCCTCATCTCTTGTGTCTGGAGTTGCCAAAGAGTTGAACAGTGGTTTCAGTACTGCAAACGGTTCTGTGGGATCTCCCCAAGAGGCCACGTGAGAACACAGCTGAGTTATTTAGAGATTAATTCAAAGAAGCCTGGCCCACAGAAAATCAGAGTTTCTCATCAGTCTCCCCCGAGTAAGAATGTGGGCCAAAACTATAGCACTCACCTCACCACAGTATTCAGAAATGAATTCGTTCTTCTGCACAGACTCCTTTATGAAGGTGCCCCATCCGGCCACATCAGAGGGGGCCAGCAGCAGGTGCTGGGGAAGAGGGGGCCAAGTCTCAGACTACAGGGTGTGCATGAGTAGGGGGTGTGTGCTGGATGTGCACATGTGTGGTGGGGGTGGGGTGGAAAGAACCAGCAACTGTTAAGAGGATCTGAAAGCAGAAAAAGGTCTAACCCATTCTTTTCTGCTTGGGAGAGAAAAGAAAATGGGAGGTGGTGACGAACGGAAATAGGATATCTCTTCCTTTATCCATGGAGCCCTCCTGGGCCTTAGTCTATAGGAATTCACTGCAATGTGTGAGGTAAACATAGACATCACCAAAGGTGCATACACCTCGCAGCTCCTTTTTGTCTGGCCAGTTCAAGGAACCACTTTTCTTTCTCTTTTTGGAGATGGAATCTCACTCTGTCCCAGGCTGGAGTGCAGTGGTGCGATCTCGGCTTGCTGCAACCTCCACCTCCCAGGTTCAAGCGATTCTCCTACCTCAGCCTTCTGAGTAGCTGGGATTACAGGCATGCACCACCATGCCTGGCTAATTTTTATATTTTTAGTAGAGACAGGGTTTCACCATGTTGCCCAGGCTGGTCTCGAACTCTTGACCTCATGATCCGCTGGCCTCGGCCTCCCAAACTGCTGGGATTACAGGCATGAGCCACCACACCTGGCCAGGAACCATTTTTCTAAGCCCTACTGGGACTGAAGCCTTTATTAATTCAGTAAATATGTGTCTTTTAGGATTTATCAAGCACTTTCACATATAAAGCCTCAAAAGAACCAGTGGAAAGAGAATGCTTGGGACCGTTCCTTCCTTCCCCCTCCATTTTATGTGGTGTGGGGTCCTGAGGAAAGGCCTCACCTTCTTAAGTCCACGCTGGATGCTGCAGTTTTTACAGGAAACCACCTTGCAGTCCCAGTGCTCTGAGGCCCCACAGGTGAGACACAGGTCAGGGTCACATTCTCGCACTGCCAGATAGCAAGGACATTGCTTGGTATTGCACTGGGTCTTACAGCGACAGCCAGGGAAACGATTCTGACCTGGGAAGGGAAGACAGGTAAGTCTTAGAAGGGAAATAAGCTAATACTGGGGCTTGTGGTTGACTCAAGGGACAGCAAAGAAGTAAATTTTTTGTGTTCAAGGATGTTTGGCAAAATAAGAGGAAGCTCCCTTCCCAATAATCAAATACACAAGTTTTGTCCATAGAAAACTGAGTGCTTCCCAACATTCATGCCTTCGAGTCAAAAAAGCAGGTGTGGTCAAGCATGGTGGCTCATGCCTGTAATCCTAGCACTTTGGGAGGCCAAGGCAGGAGAATCACCTGAGCCCAGGAGTTCAAAACCAGGCTGGGCAACATAGGGAGATCCTGTCTCCACAAAAAAATTAAAAAAAAAAATAGCCATGTGTGGTGACACCTGCCTGTAGTCCCAGGCTTGATGGATGTAGGGGGATGAATGGCTTGAGCCAGGGAGGTTGAGGCTGCAGTGAGCCATAATTGTGCCACTTCTCTCCAGCCTGAGCAACAGAGCTGAGATCCTGTCTCAAAAAAATTTAAAAAATGAAAAAAAAAGCAGGTATACTAATAAGAAGTGTCCCCTAGAGATTCCCCAACAATCCTCTCCCTCCCACTGAGGTGGAGAGTACCCCAGAGAATATGAAATCAGTGTGTTTCACTGGTAAATTGTCACCATCAAAACAAGTATCATTTTGAGAACAGAATGCATCCGTTCTATGCCATCCTTCTCCACCCACTGCCCAACCCAGCGCAACCACTTCTCTGCTGCGGCTAAGATCACTATCTGCTATGGGTTAGGAGGTATTTCCTCCAGCAAAACCGCCTGGGCACCAAGTTCTGCAAGCTGTGGGGACTGCCATCAAACTGCTCAGCTTTGAGTTGGGAAGGGCATGGTGGGATAAGAAGTAAAAGATAAGTACCCGGATGTCTCTGCTGACATCCAGGCCCCTGTCTTCTACCTGATATTAAAACTCCAGCTATGAAATGAAAATAGACATACACAGAATCACAAACAAAAAATATCTGAATAAAAAATTTTTTAAAACAGTATTCAGAAAAGGGAAACTGGGGCTGTAACTTAAAAAAAAAAAAAAGAGTCCCACATTTCTTTTCTTTTTGAGACAGAGTCTTGCTCTGTTGCCCAGGCTGGAGTGCAGTGGCACAATCTTGGCTCACTGGCAGCCTCTGCCCTCTGGGTTCAAGCAGTTCTTGTGCCTCAGCCTCCCAAGTAGCTGGGACTACAAGCATGTACCACCATGTCTGGCTAATTTTTGTATTCTTAGTAGAGACGGGGTTCACCATGTTGGCCAGGCTGGTCTTGAGTCCTGACCTTAAGTGATCTGCCCGACTTGGCCTTCCAAGTGCTGGGATTATAGGCGTGAGCCACCACACCTGGCCTAATTTTTTTATTTTTAGTAGAGATGAGGTTTCGCCAAGTTGGCCACGCTGGTCTTGAACTCCTGACCTCAAGTGATCCGCCTACCCAAAGTGCTGGGATTACAGGCGTGAGTGACTGCGCCTGCTGCCCCCCACATTTCTTAATTCTCCCCTAGAAGACAAAGTTGGGAAAGTATCTGATTTCTGTGTAATTGCTGCTTTTAGAATCATGAACCTAAACGTTTTCCAGAAACGACTCTCCCAGATCTCATGCACTTATTTCATTTGTAGAATCCCTAAAACACAGCAAAGGGGATATCAGAAGGCCATAAGCAGTAAAGGGCACAGGAATGGGGCAAGCCTAGGGCACACTGGAGCCAACTGTTTTGGTAGACTATACAGAAAACGTAGCACACTTACAGTCTGGGTTGCACTGGCAGAACTTCTCACAGAAATTCTGAGTCATGATGCAGGGGCAGGTGCTGTCACAGGGGCGGTCTGGGTGGTCGCAGGGTTGGTAGTTGTACACTTGTGTGGAAGAGTTATCTAGGAAAGAAAACAGAGGAGGATGCTGCTGTGACCATACTCTCCAGCTGTCTTCCCTCCCAAGTGTCCAGCTGCCCTGATTCAGAGGAGGCTGGTCCTAACAATCTCCTTGGACACACATTTAGCACCTGAAGTGAGAAGACAGGGATGACCGTTGTTCATAAGCTGCAGTGGGGTGATCTGCTTTGTGGGGAGGGTGTGGAGATGGTCTGGGACAACAGGGAAGCTATTCTAAACATTAAATGAGGTCTGGAACCTAGCAAATGGCACACTAGAAAAGTCACATACTGGCCAGGCACAGTGGCTCACGCCTGTAATCCCAGCACTTTGCGAGGCCGAGGCAGGTGGATCATTTGAGGTCAGGAGTTCGAGACCAGCCTGGCCAACATGGTGAAACCCCGTCTCTACTAAAAATACAAAAATTAGCCAGGCATGGTGGTACATGCCTGTAATCCCAGCTACTTGGGAAGCTGAGGCAGGAGAATTGCTTGAACCCGGGAGGCGGAGGTTGCAGTGAGCCAAGATTGTGCCACTGCACTCCAGCCTGGGTGACAGAGCGAGGCTCCATCTCAAAAAAAAGAAAAATCACAGACCACAAGGCCCTTAATGTTACCTCCTAAGAGGTCTTCTCAGTTGCAGTGAGAGGCTCAGCTGTTCTCAGTTGCTGCAGAGAATTCTGCAATCTGCGGAAGTGGCACAGGGTCAACAAGTGCAGCTGGAGGTGGGGTAGGGTGATGACCACAGAGTGAGGCCTCCAGCTGAACTGCTGAAGAATGCCCTGGTAGAACTTACCTTTCTTCAGCTGAATCTTCCTGCAGTGTGCAGCCCACAATCTGAAAAAGACAGGAAGGACAGGTCTCAGTCACGGCCCTAGGGAGCTCTGCAAATGCAGGTAAATGACAACGTGACTTGCTCTGAGGGACTGTGTTTGATGACTGGGGAGTATCTTCCCAAACCCCTCAACAGGACGACTTTGGTACACAGAAGCTAGAGTCCATCCTAAATCCAGCTGGCCTGTGCTACAAGAGTTAAACTTAAACACAACCCCTCCCAAACAAGCAAATAACATAAAAGAACACAACACAGAAATAAAAGAAAGCCCAAGCCTATTGGTCTATTATAAAGCTATTGTTTCTCTCCAAATCTCTCCCTTTGTCTTTGTGGAGGTGGAGATATGGGGGAGTTTCAAGATGGGGAGGTGGGAAGGCCTTTCAGGAATCTTCTCTGAAAGAACTGAAAGGGAGGAGCCACAGGGATTTCCTTCTGTATCTAGAAGTGGTGTCAGCTCCTTCCTCTGATAGGTGATAGTCACTAGGGAACAGGGCCAGGGTGCAGAATTTTTTTAAAAACTTCCAACCTAAGTAAAGGCTATCATGTAACTCAGAAAAACAACACAAACCAAACAAATAAATAAACTCTGATCAGAGTTGAGAAATGGGTAAGGTGGTAACAAAACCAACAAGGAGAAATGGCTTCAGGGTGGAGCCATGAGGCCAGCTCATGTCCTATTGGCCAGAAGCTTAAATAGAAAAACAGACAGTTATGGTCCACAGCACTGGGGGACAAGAAGAGGGCTGATCTAAGGCACAGACCCTCAGGGAGCACTCAGGAGGCTGGCTCTCAGTCATGTGATGCCAAGCTGATGGGCTCACACAGCCTGTGCGGTTGCTAAAGAGGGAGGCAGATGGGAACTCCAAGGGGAGGTCAGAGCACAGGGAACAGCCTGGCTGTAAAACAAAACACTTTGTCCAACCCTTCTTGCCTGTGCTTTCTTTTCTTCTTCTGTGAGGGGTTCATGAGCTCATCTGTTGGCAGCTTCAGGATAAGTGATTCTTTGACTGCAAACTGAAAGACCTGGAAGAGAAATCCAACGGGCCTGTCACTCCTCGAGCAAGGGGGTCAGGTAAGTGGCCCAGCTGGGTGCTGGCCTTGGGAGGGTTCTGAGAAACTCAGGCAGCTGACCAAGCCTCTCATCAGTCAGGGAGAGACAGAGTGCCACTGGAACATTGGGTTACTGGCTCTGAAGTTCATTCCTAATTATTTATCCTGACTCAGGAAAGGAGAAATACTGAGCACAGTAATACCGCCCCTGGTCAGAAGCTGTCACCTACTACTCTTTCTACCAAGCCACGGGTAGAAGAGTGGGCTGACTGTGACCAACAGTATCTTCTTCTTTTTAGGAAGGGCAACGCTGTGCCTTGTGTAACTGAGTGTAAGGCAGGACAGGACAGGACAGGAATGGTTTCAGTGGGCTAAATATTAGCTCCCTCTGTCAGTATAAAGATACCGGAGCCTCAGCCATTTCAATAGGATGTGTTTTTTCTCTTAAAGCACTGGTTTTTAGTTTTTCCTTTTCTTTGTTGGGGCTATTGGCCCTTTGTGGGGGATCTTTGAAAACTGTAACTATTCTCAGGAAAATACAGACAAGAACATTCTTGCATACAAATCCATAGATGGTTACGTTGAGAACCTGTGATCAGGGAAATAGGTATGAGCTCCAAAATGAAAGCAAAGGGCACTTCAGCTCATGGTTCTGTTTTTGTTTGTTTTTTTTTTTTTTTTTTAAGAGAGAGGGTCTCATACTCTTGGCCAGGCTGGAGTGCAGTGGTGCCATCATAGCTCAATGTAGTATAGAACTCCTGGGCTCAAGCCATCTTCCCACCTCAGCCTCCTGAGTACTAGGACTACAGGTACGTGGCTTTTTTTTTTTTTTTTTTTTTGTAGAAATGGGGTCTCACTTTGTTGCCCACACTGGTCCTGAAATCCTGGCTTCAAGCGATCCTCCCACCATGGCTTCCCAAAGCACTGGAATTCTAGGTGTGAGCCACCTTGCCCAGTCCATGGTTCTATTAATTGTTCTCAGTACAGGAAGCATGAAGAAGAGGCCACAGAGTCTCCTCCAGAAGGTAGGAAGCCAAAGCATTGGGGTTCCTTTCCTGTTGGACATGCTGGCCCTGACAGCTGCCTCCTTGTCCCTGTTCTTCAGTCTGTCTTCTCACTGTGGTCTTTTCCTGTCTTTTCCTGGGCCAATCACTTGAGGTCAGGAGTTTGAGACCAGCCTGGCCAACATGGTGAAACCCCATCTCTACTAAAAAAAAATACAAAAATGGCCAGGCACATTGGCTCATGCCTGTAATCCCAGCACTTTGGGAGGCCGAGGCGGGTGGATCACCTGAGGTCAGGAGTTTGAGACCAGCCTGGCCAACATGGTGAAACCCCGTCTCTATTACAAATACAAAATTAGCCGGGCGTGGTGGTGCACACCTGTAATCCCAGCTACTTGGGAGGCTGTGGCAGAAGAATCACTTGAACCTGGGAGGCGGAGGCTGCAGTGAGCTGAGATCATGCCACTGCACTCCAGCCTGGGCAACAGACCGAGACTCCATCTCAAAAAAACAAAACAAAAAAAATTAGCTGGGTGTGGTGGTGGGCACCTGTAATCCCAGTTGCTTGGGAGGATGAGGCAGAAGAATCACTTGAACTTGGGAGGCGGAGGTTGCAGTGAACCAAGATTATGCCACTGCACCACTCCAGCCTGGGCAACAGAGCGAGATTCTGTCTCAAAAAAAAAAAAAAATTAGCTGGGCATACTGGCCTGCACCTGTAGTCCCTTGCTACTTGCTTGGCTGAGGGGAGAGGACTGCTTGAGCCCAGGAGGCGGAGGTTGCAGTGAGCTATGATCATGCCACTGCACTCCAGCCTGGGCGACACAGTGAAACCCTGTCTCAAAGACAAAATAAAGATAATCTAGTGATAGAAAATGTGGAGAATAAAATGACTGAAGAGGCTGGCGGAGTGGTGGAGGGAGCAGCAGCTGCAGCAGCTGCAGCAGCAGCAGCAGTGTGCTCATTAACAAGAGCCACAGAAAGACCTGGGAGTCCCTTCTGGGAAAGGGGTACACATTTAGAAAGGAGGCCAGAGCCAAAAAAAAGAAGCGAAAGAGTGTAGGACCCAGAAGCATTAAATAGAGTCCAGACAGAAATGAGCATTCAGCAAGGAGGAGGCGGGTCCCCAAACATCATTAGGCCTGGCACTTGCAGAAGGGCCATGTTTGGGAAACTCACAGAAGCACAGGCTCATCAGGGACTGAACTTAAGACAACTTCTCTCCAGACCCAGACACACAGCCTGGTAAGATGGCAAAGGGCTGGACAGAGCAATGCGTGAAAGGAGGGGCCCATTTGTTCTGCTGCTTCCAGATGGTACCTGCTTGCACGTCTTGGTCCCCAGAAGCCTGGCTATTGAACAGAAGTTGTTGAAGTAGGTGCCATGGAAGACTCGAAAAAGAGATTCTTCAGCCCCAGTCCATTCCACAGGCTCCGAGGGTGCTTCCACTACGCAGAGTTGAGGTGGGGCTGGACTAGCCTTCTGTTTTGTGGGAGTCTGACAGCGAGAGTTAGCCTCTGAGAAGGGAAGAAATAACAGAATCAGAAGAAGGTAGAATGCAGTTGTCATCAGTAGTTTGTCACAAACTCAGAAGTACTTCATTCTACTTTAAAAGGTAGAACAGTTAGGAATGAAAATATTCCCTATCTTTAGGCCAGGCATGGTGGCTCACGCCTGTAATCCCTGCATTTTGGGAGGCCGAGGTGGGTGGATTGCTTGAGCTCAGGAGTTCAAGACCAGCCTGGGCAACATGGCGAAACCCTGTCTCTACTAAAAATACAAAAATTAGCCAGGCAGGGTGGCTCACGCCTGTAATCCCAGCACTTTAGGACGCCGAGGCAGGCGGATCACCTGAGGTCAGAAGTTCAAGACCAGCCTGGCCAACATGGCGAAACCCCGTCTCTACTAAAAATATAAAAATTAGCCGGGCGTGGTGGCAGGCACCTGTAATCCCAGCTACTTGGGAGGCTGAGGCAGGAGAATCGCTTGAACCTGGGAGGTGGAGGTTGCAGTGAGCCAAGATAGCACCACTGCACTCCAGCCTGGGCAAAAAAGCGAGAGACTGTTTCAAAAAAAAAAAAAAAAAAAAAGAAAATATTCCCCATCTTTACTGTTTACAAAACTTGTAGAAAGAATTTATAATTTTTAAGAGGTAGTAAAGTTAAGTGTCAGGCAGTGATCCTGGGTTTACCAGAGTCCTTGCATGGAAAGAAAAAGTCTTCATTTTCTGTTCATCGTACCTGAAGAACTGGAGGCCCAGTCATTGCCTGTGTCCCTGTCACTGTCTCCTTCTTTAGTCTCAGCCACAGCAGAGGCTGAGGCATTGGAGCAGGAAGCACTGACTATGTGGTGCCTTCTCCGGCGACGACCAGAGCACTTGGAGCGGGGGTTGTGGAGCATGGCATACTCCTTTGCTCCTTCCTGCAGTGGACACATTACAGACAGGAAATAGGAACAGGCCCATCACCATATTGATCTCATCATCACAAACTTTCATCTTTACAACATCTGTCTACAATAATAGTGTCTTTTCTTTTTCTCTGTACCATATAATAAGTATGATCATATAACAATGAGAGCTGCTTAACAAAACTTACGTACTTTTTCACAAAAGAGTTGTCCTATAATGTTTTTTTGTTTGTTTGTTTTTTTGAGACAGGGTCTCTCTCTCTTGCCCAGGATGGAGTGCAGAGGCCTGCTCACTGCAGCCTCGAATTCCTGGGCTCAAGTGATTCCCTTGCCTCAGCCTCCCAAGTAGCTAGGACCACACGCACATGTCACCATGCCCAGCTAATGTCCTATAATCTTAAAAAAGATATAATCTATGCATCTGTGTCTTCAATTTTCCAGTGAGTTGTATCTAAAATTAACTTGCGTGTTACTTGTTTGGAATTTGAGAACACATTCTCCTATGGATGAAGAAATGAGATTCAGAGAGGGGAAGAAACTAGCTTGAGAGTATGCAGCTAATAGTTCCAGAGGGGTATAGGAATCAGGGCTCCTTGTCTCCCTAGGCCACTATTCTTTCCAGTCTACCACACTTTCTCTGTTTCCTTAATAAAATGTGTAATGCTTAATCTGTACAATCTTACTACTTAATTTTGAAACTTCCTCCCAAATCTGTGTATGAAACTCAGAAGAATATTGTTTCATTATTTTACAGCTATCACCCCCTTTTTTAAAAAATGAAATAATTATCACTCACCTAGATCATCAATATTTTCTCATCAGACTTGGTTTTCAAAGACTTCCTAGCTGTTTCTGAAAACTAAATCTATTTCTACAAAATAAAGGTTTATCTTCCAGTGACATTGTCTAGAGGCACTCAGAATGGTCCAGCATTTGACATACATGTAGGCTTTCCTACAATATAGCTTTTAACAAAACTAGGCTGTCCTGAGCCCCTGGTAATAGAATTGATTACCTTTATACCAAGAGGGTTGGGAAAGCACTGAAATCTGCATGTGGCGTGTGCCCAGCAGACTTCGGGGGGTTTGTGCTATGAGACCTAAAGTTCCTATGAGATTGTCCAAAACAAAAAAGCATGTCAGCAGGGCCTATGGTGGATCCGTGTGTGCTGAATGTATTGGTGCAGGAGCAAGTGTGCTTTCCTTAGCAAGCAGCAGAAAATTGTTGTGAAAGTGTTGAAGGCACAAGCAGAGTCAGAAAGCTCAATTTAAAAATGAAGTTTTTTTGAGTAATAAAAATGAAAAAAAAATAAAGGTTAACTATCATTAAGGGTATCTGGAATTTGGAATAATATACAGTAAGGCCTAAAGGAAATTCCAAAAGAGAAGTTTCAAAATTAACTGAACCTGATATTATGTGCCTATGCTGTGTATGAAGTATACAGTATCAATTATACTATTTTAAACATTTATATATATTTACATATAATTTTTATATATTATATATATAATATATAATATGGAAATATATTATATAATTATATAATTTATATAAATATAAAATATATATTTATATAATATATAAATATATGAAATTTATATAAATATATTTATATATAATTTATATAAATATAAAATATATATAATTTATGTAAATATAATTTATATATTATATATGTATTTATATACTATATATTACATGTATTTATATATTATAGATTATATGTATTTATATATTATATATAATAGATTATATGTATTTATATATTATATATTATAGATTATATGTATTTATATATAATATATATCATAGATTATATGTATTTATATATAATATATATTATAGATTATATGTATTTATATATAATATAATATATAATAGATTATATGTATTTATATATATATATATTTTTTTGAGACGAGGTCTTGCCCTGTCACCCAGGTGAGTACAGTAGCATGATCTCAGCTCACTGCAGCCTTGACCTTCTAGGCTCAACTGATCCTCCCACCTCAGCCTCCCAAGTCCAGTCCAGCTAATTTTTGTATTTTTTATAGACATGGGGTTTTGCCATGTTGCCCAGGCTGGTCTCGAACTCCTAGGCTCAAGCTATCCACATGCTTCAGCCCCCCAAATTGCTGGGATTACAGGCGTGAGCCACCATTTTAATATAATGGCCAAACATTTTAACATAAATAAAATCAAGTTTCCAGACCTAATTTCTAGGTTATAAGAAAGAGGAGACAGAAGAACACAGAAATGACACTGTGAAAAAACAACAGATGAATCCAGGATGTGGGTCATCCTACAAGACAACCAGCCTGGAACTTTTAAAAAGATTTTAAAAGTGATAGAATTATTTGAGATTAAAAACGAGTAAAAAGACATAACAAGGCCGGGCGCCTTATTACACCTGTAATCCCAGTACTTTGGGAGGCCAGGCAGTCTGATCACCTGAGGTTGGGAGTTCAAGACCAGCCTGACCAACACAGAGAAACCCTGTCTCTACTAAAAACACAAAAATTAGCTGGGCGTGGTGGCGCATGCCTGTAATCCCAGCTACTTGGGAGGCTGAGGCAGGAGAATCGTTTGAACCCGGGAGGTGGAGATTGTGGTGAGCTGAGATTGCACCATTGCACTCCAGCCTGGGCAACAAGAGTGAAACTCTGTCTCAAAAAAAAAAAAAAAAAGACATAATAACCAAATATGATGTCTGACTGGATGATCCTGGTTTGGAAACAAAACAAAACAAAACACAACACAAAAATACCTATTCTTGGTACAGCTGAAAAAAAAATTGAATATATTAATAGAATGGGTAATAGAGGATACTATACAATTTTTATTAATTGTCCTAGGTGTAATAATGTGGTTATGTAAGAGAATGTCTTTATGCTGAAACATTTACCAAATGAGCATCACAATGTCTGCAACTTATTGTCAAATGGTTCAGCAAAAGATATACATACGCAAATTTATGGAGAAAGGAGATACAGAAAAAAATGTTATCAAATCCAGGAAGAAGGTATCTTTCAACTCTGCATGATTGAAAATGTTCTTAGTAAACAGTTGGGGGAAAATAGTCCAGCATTATATTTAATATGCACTCAAACCTAAAACGCAATAAAAGAAAAATTGTGCATACATTATCTCTGTAAGTTAAACATGCATACATTTCAGGCATTGGCAGCATCTTCGTAATACATGTACAGGGTATCAAGGTGACTCCTGTGAGAAGGGCAATGACCTTTTGACTTATATAAATGCTGGTATGTTGACATAACATGGCATATATATTTTTTTAAGGATGAAGTAATTTCATTTTATTATTATTTTTTTTTTGAGATGGAGTCTCACTATCTCACCCAGGCTGGAGTACAGTGGCGTGATCTCGGCTCACTGCAGCCTCCACCTCCTGGGTTCAAGCAATTCTCCTGTCTCAGCCTCCTGAGTAGCTGGGATTACAGGCGTGCGCCACCACACCTGGTTAATTTTGTATTTTCAGTAGAGACAGGGTTTTTCCATGTTGACCAGGCTGGTCTCAAACTCCTGACCTCAGGTGATCCACCTCCCTCAGCCTCCCAAAGTGCTGGGATTATAGGTGTGCACTACGACGCCTGGCTGAAAAACATGGAGTAATTTTAAAAGCATGATCTGTGGAGTTAGACCCTGACTTGAATTTCATCGCTGCCATACCGCTGACTTATCAACAAACTTTAGGCAAAATATATAACTTTTGTAATCCAGTTTCCTCTACCTCATGACACTGTTATAGGATGAAAATAAGACAAGGTATGTTAAGGGTCTACTATGATACTTGGCACATAGGAAGGAGTCAATACACATTAGGAAAAAATAAACCCAATAACGTCTATTCTTTTGCTTTTACAGTACGGCCCATTTTCCACATGTGTGCCCAACAGCATTCTCTACCATCTTTCCATCTATTATCCCACTAAAGATGGTTCCAAAAGCACTTGGCTGGTTGTATAATATAATTTTAATAGGTGGCAGAAATTTTATCAAGGTATTTTATTCATCGCCTAGGCTCATCCTATTGTGTAAAAAGCCCAACTGTGTCTTTGGCAAGTCCAGTTGATCTATTTCCTTCTAGCTCTCAATATATGGCTTCCCCACAGGTATGCCAGACCATTTATGCTGCTTCTTAAGGTCTGTCCATCAGGGAACGGTCCATCTGGTTGATCACAACAAGACATCAGCATCATCACGTGCTATTCGTCTCATAGTTATATGCATTTATAACAAGATAGCAAAGAAACTAGAGTGTGTACCCACCCCCCCAGCATACACTTTGCTCCAATTCTAACAATACAGTTTTAGGCTCTGAAATCTAAGCAGATGATATTTAGAGCAGGCAAGCCTTTAATGATCTTCGAATCTGCACTCCATCAGACTAACTTTATAGTGCTACCATGTCTGGGGAGTTCCTTAAGAGCGGTCCCACAGTAACTGGGGAGCTCCTTAAGAGCAAAAGCCATGTTTTATTTGTGCTATATGACCCCCAGAGTGCTGTGTACTGGCTCACGTGGCTTGTGTTCCCAGAATGAAGTTAATAATGCCAGAACAGCTTAAGAACATACCAGCAAAAGGAAGCAGTCTGTGCCACATGGTTCTGGTTCAATCTTGATTTCTTTATTCTTGCGTTTATATACATTAGGGGTGGCATGAAAAGCTGGAAAACAAAAACTGTCTTGTTGCCAGTGGTCTATCCACTTGACAAGATGGGGAGAAACAAAAGTGAATTAGAGAGCTATTGTAGGAGTTAGAATTCGATATAAACGGCTACCATCAGGGTGCACAAAATTCAGTCATTTCTGACATCAACACAATGCTTTCAAAGCTAAGAGGTACTGAGGGACAGATAAGTTGCTAGTTAGTCTGTCCCTATCATGCAAAGCATGTTGCACTATAATTGAGCAAGGGAAAATAGAACTGGCCCTTTGTAAAACGTTAGAACAGAAGCCAGGAACTCTATACGAGAAACCAGAACAAAGAGAAGGAAATGGTGGCTGGGGATGGAAGAGAGGAGAGCATTTCAAACAGAGTAGCCCCACTCACGGTGAAGGAAGCAGTCGTATTTAAAGCAGCGCCGGCAAAAAAGTGTGTGGAAGGAGTGCAGAGATTGCTCCCGCTGCACAGACTTGGCATTGGGGCCATCGATGTTGGGTGTGCACTGAGGGGGAAGTGCATTGGGGTCTGACATCTCTGTTAGTTCTCGATACCTATTTAAGAAAAGAGAGATAAGAGTTCCTCCGAGGAACTGCCTCCACTGAGGAAATACAGATTGGGTACTGACAGTAGCTCACCTACGGTCTGCCAAGGGAGGATGGGTGTTTTTTATAGGTCTGGTTGATAAGAGAATGGTAGATAACTAGAGTGGGTCCACCATTGTAATTATGCTGGGTTGGGCAAATGTTGGAAAGTAAGGGGAGGGAAGGATTTGTTAAGATGGTGCTGGAGTTAACTCTCCAGAAAAATGGCAGAGTAAATGTTCTCTGCCCAGACTCACTCAAAAGCCAGTATACGATGACCCTTAATATAGTAAGGGGGGCATTTAGAGGTAATTGAGTAAGCAAGAAATAATCAAATTGCGGGCAAATCATAATGCCCTTACCATAAACAAAGCTTTTTACTAACCAAAAATTAGGAGGGAATAAAGGTTTTGTCCGAGCACTCTGTATATGGCCTAAGTGGGACAGCTTTCCCTACCTCTCCTTCATGTCATCTGGGACACCATTCTCAGGGAACATTGAGGCAATTGCACTGAAGATCATGTCATTTGGGAACTGTTTCTTGGAACTCTTTTTGTTGCCTGAATTGGAAATGATAAAAAGCTCCTGAGTGCGATTATCAGAACACGTAAACAAATCTGTGTGATCTTTTTTCCTTTTGTCATAGCATTTTGATTACAGCTGCTTTGTTAACCTAACCACTGATTGTTTGGAGATATATAAACATCAGTGCTATCTGGACTTATCTGATATATGCTACCAGTAAATAAGGAAGTTAGAGTAGTCTACATATTAACAACAAAATCCACAGTCCCAATTAGAATCTGGATGTGAGGTGGCTCACGCCTGTAATCCCAGTCAGTACTTTGAGAGGCCGAGGGGAGCGGATCACTTGAGGCCAGGAGTTTGAGACCAGCCTGGCCAACATGGTAAAACCCCAACTCTACTAAAAATACAAAACTTAGCTGGGCATGGTGGTGCATGCCTATAGTCCCAGCTACTTAGAAGGCTGACACACAAGAATCACTTGAACCAGGGAGGTGGAGGTTGCAGTGAGCCGAGATTGTGCCACTGCACTCCACCTTGGGTAACAGAGCAAGACTGTGTCTCAAAAAAATAATAAATAATAGATTTTAAAAATAAAAATAAGAATTTGGAGGTGAAAAGAGTGTTCATAGAGAGGCCTGAACATAGAAGAATCCTATCATGAAGTGGATGCTGAAGAACTACACTGATACTATAATTATGATACAATAAAAGAGAATACACTATGTCCCTGGACATATAGTATAATTAAACTATTAAATTTTAAATTAAACATTAGTGACATGGAAAAGTACTCATAAGATTAAATAAAAAGGGATATAAAATTTGATATATACATATATATAAATTGGCATGATCCCAATTTCACATGAGACATATAATTAGAAATGAATAGCAATGATTATTCTATCAGTTCTTCTACTTTCTTCTTCACCCAAGTCACAGCTATCTGAAGCTATCACTTAATGATCATGTTCTCCTTTTAAGTGAACCAACAAGAAGCACCAACAGCCTTTAATAGGCAACAAATCTTTCCAGTTCTTCCTTCTTCCCTATCCCTGTCACTTTAAAAAAGGAATAAGGGAGCCAGTGCTACGTACCTTCAATAGCATGTCGCTTTCTCTTTCTTGTTACTGGCAGATCTTCTTTGCTGTCATCCTGCTTTCCATCTGAGGTGTCATTGTGCCCTTCCTCCTCCTCATCTGAGTACTGATTCAGGGCATCGACCAACTCCAGAAAAACAGCATCACTAATCAGAACGGATCCAGGGATCATCTCTGAAACATGAGGATTCGAAAGATGAGCAGTGGTCACTTCACATTCCATTAGTCCTCCTAGGCAGGTTTTCTTGTACTCACTCCAGAGGCCCAGATATGTCACATGTGTACATTTTTACATGGGAGATCAGGAAATTACAATCATTTGATTGGCTCCTACACATGCAGTGGGCAGCTGGCTAGAGTAGGAATACAGCTATAGGCTTTATTTATTTTTATTATTTTTTTTAGACGGAGTTTCGCCTTATTGCCCAGGCTGGAGTGCAATGGCGCGATCTTGGCTCACCGCAACCTCCACCTCCCAGGTTCAAGTGATTCTCCTGCCTCAGCCTCCCGAGTAGCTGAGATTACGCATGTGCCACCACCCTGGCTAATTTTGTATTTTAGTAGAGACTGGGTTTCTCCATGTCAGGCTGGTCGTGAACTCCAGACCTCAGGTGATCCGCCCGCCTCGGCCTACCAAAATGCTGGGATTACAGGTGTGACCCACCGTGCCCAGCCATAGGCTTTATTCTTACTGAAGAACTTCACTTCCTCAGTCACAAGTCAACTCTGAATTTCTGGTTCAAAATCTCATGAAAGTGTTCAAACAATCTCCAAGTAGGGCAGAGAAAAATAATAAAATGAAAATTCTCTTGGCTTTGCTGCTGATGGGTCAGTAATGACGTCTCTAAATCAAAAGACAGCAATTTTTCCTAAAATTGTACTTTATGGAGATGTACTACAATTTAGGAGGTCTTTGAACACTAGGAGGCACTGTGGACAAATAATGTAGTTCAACAGCATCACAACAGTGCCCACAATTGTCAAAAGAGCAGGTGGGGCTGTTGGTTTATGAAGTGATGGAGAGCCTCTCCTCTTTCCATTTCTTACACACGGACAGACTTTTCTAGAATTATGACTAAATCCAAACAATTGGCTTTTAGGAAATTCAGATTATTAAAACCAACTTCTGGGAGATTCAGGGGATGCCTGGATCAAAGAAGTATGACAGAGAGCCTCATTGCCATTCTCAGAGAAAGAGAAATAAAGAACAAAATGGTCTTGGATGTCCTTATGGAAAACTCCTAAGCCCTAAGATTAAACTTATTTGTACAATAAACTTTCTCTCCAGCCACTGATTACTACATAATCCTTTTATGTCCCAACTCCTTTTAAAATTTAACTAGGATACTTTAAATAATTTTTATTTCTGTTTCTGCTGCTTGAATCAGAAATAACTAGGGTAATAAAAAAAAAAAAGAAAGAAAGAAAAAAAGAAATAACTAGGGTATTTTGGGCCAGGCATGTTGGCTCACTCTTGTAATCCCAGAGCTTTGGGAGGCCAACGTGGGAGGATTGCTTGAGGCCAGGAGTTTAAGACCAGCCTGGGCAACGTGGTGAGACTCCATCTCTACAAAAAATTTTAAAAATAAGCCAGGGCCGGGCACGGTGGCTCACGCCTGTAATCCCAGCACTTTGGGAGGCTGAGGTGGGAGGATCACAAGGTCAGGAGATCGAGACCATCCTGGCTCACACGGTGAAACCCCATCCCTACTAAAAATACAAAAAAGTAGCCGGGTGTGGTAGGCGCCTGTAGTCCCAGCTACCTCGGGAGGCTGAGGCAGGAGAATGGCATGAACCCGGGAGGCGGAGCTTACAGTGAGCCGAGATTGTGCCACTGCGCTCCAGCCTGGGTGACACAGCGAGACTCTGTCTCAAAAAAAAAAAAAAAAAAAAAAGCCAGGTGTGGTGGAGTGCACCTGTAGTCCCAGCCCCCCAGGAGGCTAAAGCAGGAAAATCACTTAAGCCCAGGAGGCTGAGGCTACAATAAGCTATGATCATGCCACTGCATTCCAGCCTGGGTGACTGAGTGAGTCCCTGTCTCTAAAAAAAAAATAAAAAAAAAAATTGGGCTAGGCATGGTGGCTCACGCCTATAATCCCAGCACTTTAGGAGGCCGAGATAGGTGGATCACCTGAGGTCAGGAATTCGAGACCAGCCTGACCAACATGGTGAAACCCCATCTCTACTAAAAATACAAGAATTAGCTGGGCATGGTGGCAGACACCTGTAGTCCCAGCTACTTGGGAGGCTGAGGCAGAAGAATCACTTGAACCCAGGAGGCAGAGATTGCAGTGAGCCTAGATTACACCACTGCACTCCAGCCTGGGCAACTAAGGCAAAACTCCGTCTCAAAAAAAAAAAAAAAAAAAAATTAACTCCCAGCCATGTGATGACATTGAAATATTCTGCAGTGTGTACCCCATGGGGCAGAAGATAAAAGCAAGATGGCAAGATGATGAGGTACCAAAGAAGAGGCCTGATTCTAACAAAATTTTCTCCAAGGAGTTCAGTACCACTACCTTCTTCACCATGGACTTTCCCATCATAGTTATTGATCAGCTCCTCAATAAAAGTCTCATCTTCTTCTTTCACTTCATCTCCCATGTAGGGAATATTGCACAAAACCGTCTCATCTTCTACCTGAAACCAAACCAGATGTGATTTATTCCATGAAGCCATCATGCATCTGCTCTTTCCTATTTAGTGGAATCTTTGCTGAGCTTTGTTTGTTGCTTGAGTCTCCTGAAAATGCCTTTGTCCCAGAGTTTCCTGCATTTTAAACACTGGCCATTTTGTTTGGCCAAAAAAACCTCAAATGGGGCCAAGTGTGGTGGCTCACGCCTGCAATCCCAGCACTTTGGGAGGCCGAGGCAGGCGGATCATGAGGTCAGGAGATCGAGACCATCCTGGCCAACATGGTGAAACCCCATCTCTACTAAAATACAAAAAATTAGCTGGGCGTGGTGGCGCATGCCTGTAGTCCCAGCTACTAGGGAGGCTGAGGGAGGAGAATCGCTTGAACCTGGGAGGCAGAGGTTGCAGTAAGCTGAGATCGCGCCACTGTACTCCAGCCTGGCGACACAGTGAGACTCCGTCTCAAAAAAAAAAAAAGTTTCATAAGTAGAGAGACAGATGGATAAATAAAAATGAAGGCTTCTAAGATTATGATCTGTAATTTAACTACAAAATAAACTGGGCAATCATAAGACATGGGTATTCTATAAGATGGACTAAGATTCTCCAATAATAAAAAAAAATTATGATTACAACTCATGCCAGTCACACTCAATGGGAACCTAAAGTCAACTGCAGCCTAGGCTATGGATATTTTCTGGCAATAAACAATAGTAAATAATTTTGGGGGAGTGGGGTGCTCAGCAGAGAATATAGTCATTCTAAAATCCCCAAGTAGCAAGTAAAATTATTCTGAAGTTTTATTCTAAGAGATGATTCCCTTCTATAAACCTCGACCTCATTCCAACCAGTAGTACGGCTATCTGTCACCAGGCAGATGATAAGCAATGGCAGTATTTAGAGAGGAATGATTATCAAAACCACAAATAATCCTAGTAGGAGTCAGCACAAAGGCCCAGATGAAAGGACTGTGTGCACGTCTGTTGTCTCAGTTGTTTTTGTAGCATCTTGCATTTAGAGAATTCAGAAAGGATTACTCCATCAACAGGGAGCAGACAACCTGCTCAAGCCTCAAGAGTCTGATTTAGACTGCATTTAACTGTACATAATATTGGGCCAAGGTACTAAGAGAAAATTGAAATCTTGCCCAATATTATTCATTTAAAAAAGAACCAGCATCAATTCCAAAGCACACATCAGAGAGCATAAAATCTGACAAGTTAGAACAACTTGCAATATATATTGTTTAGAGTAAGTAAATTACAACCTTGTTCTGCCCTGCATGTCCTAGCTGTGTTAATTACTGGACAATCTTTACCCTAAGAGGAGCTCTGGCATATCAACATAACACAATCATACAGTTTAAATAACCACCACAGTGCTTTCAATACATACCATAAAGTTCTGTTGGAGAGGGGACCAGGAATACATGATGGGAACCAATGCAACTGTGTTCAGTGACCTCATTAACATATGTTGGCTTGCAAATCCCGGGAAAATGCTCTCTATGGTACACTGAAATATAAGCAATGACATGGAGAGGGAAAGACGGGCATATAACCCAAGAAAGAAATGTAATTTCCTTCCAAAATTGGCTGGGCATAGTGGCTCATGCCAGTAATCCCAGCACTTTGGGAGGCCAAGACAGGCAGATCACTTGAAGTCAGTTGGAGACCAGCCAGGCCAACATGGTGAAACCCCATCTCTACAAAAACATAATACAAAAATTAGCTGAGCATGGTGGTACACACATGTAATCCCAGCTACTTGGGAGACTGAGGTATGAGAATCACTTGAACCTGGGAGGCAGAGGTTGAGTGAGCCACTGCACTCCAGCCTGGGTGACAGAGCGAGACTCTGTCTCAAGAAAAAAAAGAAAAAAAAGAGAAAAAAAATGATCTTAGTAGCCTCTAGTTCTTACAAGCTAATAAATTAAATTTTTAAAATTCAGATGGCATTTAAAATTATAAAAAATTTGACCAGGCATGGTGGCTCACGCCTGTAATCCCAGCACTTTGGGAGACCGAGGCGGGTGGATCATGAAGTCAGGAGATCAAGACTATCCTGGCCAACATGGTGAAACCCAGTCCCTACTAAAAATACAAAAATTAGCTGGGCGTGGTGGCACATGCCTGTAGTCCCAGCTACTCGGGAGGCTGAGGCAGGAGAATTGCTTGAACCTGGGAGGTGGAGGTTGCAGTGAGCCAAGATCACGCCACTGCACTCCAGCCTGGCGACATAGCGATACTCCGTCTCAAAAAAAACAAAAACAAAATTTTAAAAACAACTTAATAAATTCAGAGTTTTGTAACATCATCTCCTAAAAGGAATCCCTAGACTGCAAACTTGTGGAAAGTAGAAACTCTTTTTTTTTTTTTGAGACAGGATCTCACTCTGTTGCCCAGGCTGAGTGCAGTTGTGCAATCACAGCTCACTGCAGCCTCTGCCTCCCAGGCTAAAGCCATCCTCCAACCTCAGCCTCCCGAGAAGCTGGGATTACAGGCATGTGCTACTACATCCAGTTAAACAGCTAATTTTTCTTTTTTTTTTTTGTAGAGACAGGGTCTCGCTATATTGCCCACGCTGGTCTCCAACTCCTGGACTCAAGCAATCATCCTGCCTTAGCCTCCCAAAGTGCTGGGATTACATGTGTGAGCCACTATGCCCAGCCAAAAGAAGGGACTCTTATTCACCTTTGTGTCCTCTATAGAGTTCAGCACAGTACTTCCCATACTCAGCTGATGTTTACCTCAGCTCAAACTGTTGGTCTACCTGGGTTATACACAACAGTAAAGAGCCTCTGAAAGTCCTAAAAGATGAGGAAGTTTTCTGAAGACCTAAACTTTAAGACAGTGGACATCAACTTAGCTGCATAGGTGATAGGGATAGTACATGGAGAAGCAAAGTGGTATAGAAATTATAGTAACATTCTGCTTCAGGAAAGATATTTGCTCTCAATACACTATCTGCTTTTCGTTTTTTGTTTTGAGACAGGGTCTCACTCTGTCGCCCAGGCTGGAGTGCAGTTGCACGATCTTGGCTCATTGCAACCTCCGCCTCCCAGGTTCAAGCAATTCTCCTGCCTCAGCCTCCTGAGTAGCTGGGATTATAGGTGCACGCCACCACGCTCGGCCAATTTTTGTATTTTTAGTAGAGACAGGGTTTCACCATGTTGGCCAGGCTGGTCTTGAACTCCTGACCTCAGGTGATCCACCTGTCACAGCCTCTAAAAGTGCTGGGATTACAGGCATGAGCCACTGCACCCAGCTTCTGCTTTTTTTTTTTTTTTTTAAGAGACAGTCTCTTTTTTTTTTTTTTTTTTGAGACGGAGTCTCGCTGTCGCCCAGGCTGGAGATCATAGCTCACTGCAGCCTTGAACTCTTGGGTTCAAGTGATTCTCCCACCTCAGCCTCCCGAGTAGCTGGGATTATAGGCATACACTACCATGCCTAGATAATATTTACTTTTTATATTTTAAAAATATTATCTATTTCCCAGGTGTTGGAGGTTACAGTAAGCTATGATCATGACACTGCACTCCAGTCTGGGTGACATAGTGAGATCTTGTCTCTAAATAATAATAATGATAATTTATTTTCATAAAGTTTCTTTTTTTTTGGAGATGGTGTTTTGCTCTTGTTGCCCAGGCTGAAGTACAATGGTGCCATCTCAGATCACTGCAACCTCCACCTCCCGGGTTCAAGCAATTCTCCTGCCTCAGCCTCCCTAGTAGCTGGGATTACAGAAGTGTGCCACCATGCCTGGCTAATTTTTTTGTACTATTAGTAGAGATGGGGTTTCACCATGTTGGCCAGCCTGGTCTCAAACTCTTGACCTCAGGTGATCCACCCACCTCGGCCTCCCAAAGTGCTGGGATTACAGGTGTGAGCCACCGCGTCCAGCCAAAGTTTCTTAACTAGAAAATTCTTTTATTTATTTATTATTTATTATTTTTTTTGAGACACAGTCTCACTCTTTCACCCAGGCTGGAGTGCAGTGGTGTGATCTTGGCTCACTGCAACTTCTGCCTCCTAGGTTCAAGAGGTTCTCAGGCCTCAGCCTCCCAAGTAGCTGGGATTATAGGTGTGCACCATCACACGCAGCTAACTTTTGTATTTTTAGTAGAGACAGTGTTTCGCTATGTTGGCCAGGCTGGTCTCAAACTCCTGGCCTCAAGTGATCCATCTGCCTCAGCCTCCCGAAGTGCTGAGATTACAGGTGTGAGCCACTGCGTCCAGCCCCCGTAATTATTCTTGAAGCTGCAGATTTACTATCTTAATTATTCAAAGTTGACTAAAATAGCTGTATCTATTAACCTTAACCTTATTTATTTATTTCCTTTCTTTCCTTTTTCTTTTTTGGACATAAGGTCTTGTCTGTCAACCCAGACTGGAGTGTTGTGGTGAAATCATAGTTTATTTCAGCCTTGAACTTCTGGGCTCAAGAAATCCTTCCACCTCAGCCTCACAAGTAGCTAGGACTACACCACCATGTCTGGCTACTTTTTTAAAAAATTTTTTAGAGACACAGTCTATGTTGCCCAGGCTGGTCTCAAACTCCTCACCTCAAGCGATTTTCCCACCTCAGCCTCCCAAATAGCTGGGAATACTTGTGTGAGCCACCATACCTTGTCTTACTTATTCACTTTCTAAAAAGTCACAAATATAGGAAAAAGCTTTAAGCCCAAGGAAGAGAGGAAGACTGAGCTTAAACTCCCAAAAGTACCTTTTTGAGAAAAGGGTGTCCACTCACAGGCTTCATTGACTGAACAGGTTGGACACGAAGCTTCTTCCATTCTTCATTGAGGATCTGGGTTTTTTCTTGAACCTTTGCAAAATTTGCCACATACAAAGCCTAGCAAAGCCATGGAAAAGATTAAGATATATTGTTATTTTATTAATTAATTAATAATTTATTTTTTTGAGATGGAGTCTTGCTCTGTTGTCACCCAGGCTGGAGTGTAGTAGCGCGATCTCAGCTCACCACAACCTCCGCCTCCCGGGTTCAAGCGATTCTCCTACCTCGGCCTCCCAAGTAGCTGGGATTACAGGCACAGACCACCACACCTGGCTAATTTTTGTATTTTTGGTAGAGACAGGGTTTCACTATGTTGGCCAGGCTGGTTTGAAACTCCTGGCCTCAAGTGATCTGCCTGCCTCAGCCTCCCAAAGTGCTGGAATTACAGGCATGAGCCACCGTGCCTGGCCTTTTTTTTTTTTTTTGAGATGGAGTCTTGCTCTGTCACCCAGGCTGGAGTGCAGTGGTGCCATCTCGGCTCACTGCAACCTCTATCTCCTGGGTTCAAGCAATTCTCCTGCCTCAGCCTCCCAAGTAGCCGGGATTACAGGCATATGACACCACGCCCGGCTAATTTTTGTATTTTTAGTAGAGACGAGGTTTCACCAGGTAGGACAGGCTGGTCTCGAACTCCTGACCTCAGGTGATCCACCTGCCTTAGCCTCCCAAAGTGCTGGGATTACAGGTGTGAGCCACCGCACCTGGCCCTGTTACGATTTCAAAACAAAAGTTAAAAAGAAATTCCAACCCCTGGGCCAGGCGCGGTGGCTCACACCTGTAATCCCAGCACTTTGGGAGGCTGAGGCGGGCGGATCACGAGGTCAGGAGATCGAGACCATCCTGGCTAACATGGTGAAACCCCATCTCTACTAAAAATACAAGAAAATTAGCCGGGCGTGGTGGCAGGCGCCTGTAGTCCCAGCTAATCGGGAGGCTGAGGCAGGAGAATGGCGTGAACCTGCGAGGTGGAGCTTGCAGTAAGCTGAGATTACGCCACTGCACTCCAACCTGGGTGACAGAGTGAGACTCTGTCTCAAAAAAAAAAAAAAATTCCAACCCCTTTACACTGGGTCAGTATATTGAAATATATAAACTTTCACTTGGGAATTATTTTTTACCTTTGCACCCATATTTGCCTGAAGCCGTTTAAGTTGTCGAAGTCGCATGTATTCAGATTTCACTTTTCTTTTCCAGTAAGTGATACATTTGGAGGTAGGGGGATTTGGTATTTCCATCTTGCTGTAATCTAAGAGAGACAGAGATGAGAAATAGCATTTTATTGCCTGGAAATAAAGCATTCCTCAAATACAAAAAAAAAAAAAAGATCAATTATGCTTTCATTCCCATTAAATTTACTCATAAAAACACACATTTAAAGAACCCAAATGTGTGAGTTCAACAGAAAGTTTCAATTTAAAAAAAAGAGGCAGGGGCTCACACCTGTAAAACCAACACTTTAGGAAGCCGAGGTGAGAGCACTACTTGAGCCCAGTGATTTGAGACAACCTTGGGCAACATGGTGAAACCCCATCTCTACAGAAAATACAAAAGTTAGCCAGATGTGTTGGCCAGTGCCTGTAGTCCCAGCTACTCAGGAGGCTGATGTGGGAGGACTGCTTGAGCCCAGGAGGTCAAGGCTGCATTGAGCCGTGACCACGCCACTGCACTTCAGCCTGAGTGACAGAGTGAGACCTTGTCTCAAAAAACAAAACAAAACAAAAAAACAAAAAACAACAAGAAGTCCAGGCACGGTGGCTCACGCCTGTAATCCCAGCACTTTGGGAGGCCAAGGTGGGTGGATCTTCTGAGGTCAGTAGTTCAAGACTAGCCTGGCCAACATAGTGAAACCCCGTCTCTACTAAAAATACAAAAAAAAAAAAAAATTAGTCGGGCATGGTGGCTTGTGCCTGTAATCCCAGTTATGTGGGAAGCTGAGACACGAGAATTTCTTGAACCTGGGAGGTGGAAGTTGCAGTAAGCCGAGATCGCACCACTGCACTCCAGCCTGGGTGACACAGTGAGACTCCATCTCAAAAAAGAAAAAAAAAAAAGTCCGGGCATGGTGATTCATGCCTGTAATCCCAGCACTTTGGGAGGCCAAGGTGGGTGGATCACGAGGTCAGGAGTTCAAGACCAGCCTGGCCAAGATGCTGAAACCCCGTCTCTACTAAAAATACAAAAATTAGCTGGATGTGGTGGCACACGCCTATAATCCCAGCTACTCAGGTGGCTGAGGCAGGAGAATGGCTTGAAACCGGGAGGTGGAAGTTGCAGTGAACCGAGATCACATCACTGCACTCCAGCCTGGGCGACAGAGCAAGACTCCGTCTCAAAACAAAAACAAAAGACAAAAACAAAACAAAAAAAAACAACAACAACAAAATTTCACATCAGCAATTTGTGGTCCAATTATCAAAAAGCTTAGCCTCTGTCCTCCTGTGGTATCTTGTTTTTAATTTAGCACTCAAGAAGTTCTCCCACAGGTACTAGGAACTTGGATTACTTCAAGATATGGAAGTCTTCTCTTTACTTTGAGTAAGAGAAGTGGTCAGCAAGAACCAAGTTTGCATCCAAGGGTTTCATGGAAAGATCCACCCATGCTACAAAACCATACTGCCAAATGGTCTAAATTTACCACATGCCTAGTAATAAAAGTAGGATATGACAGCAGTATAATCTCATCTCCAAGTCAGCAGCAAGACATATGGAAATAGATAGCAATGCAAATCCCCCTTTTTGGTATTTGAATTAAGGTTCAACGTTTTAAAGAAGTATGTATTCTTTTTTTTTTTTTTTTTTTTTTTTTTTGAGACGGAGTCTCGCTCTGTCGCCCAGGCTGGAGTGCAGTGGCGCGATCTCGGCTCACTGCAAGCTCCGCCTCCCGGGTTCACGCCATTCTCCTGCCTCAGCCTCCCGAGTAGCTGGGACTACAGGCGCCCGCTACCACGCCCGGCTAATTTTTTGTATTTTTAGTAGAGACGGGGTTTCACCGTGTTAGCCAGGATGGTCTCGATCTCCTGACCTCGTGATCCGCCCGCCTTGGCCTCCCAAAGTGCTGGGATTACAGGCGTGAGCCACCGCGCCCGGCCAAGAAGTATGTATTCTAATATACTTTACCTACCTTATAGAATGCAAGGGGAAGTGTTGGGTTTTACAGTGTGCCTCTGTTCTTCAGGAGAATGGCAGGACACAACAGCAGAACAGGTGTCCAGCTTTTCAAAAGAGAACAGACAGTGGTTCTATTAAGTTAGTGCAGCAAGTTAGACCCTGACACCCTCAGTAGGATTTTCCCCCAGAATCAGAAAGACTTCAAGGTTTCTCCTACTATTTTTGTATGTCTAAGACAGGTCCCTATAATACTTGATGCCATTTGGGAAGAGGCCCTTTACTTTATTAAATTCTATTTTTTCATAATGCTTTTTTTTTTTAAAGACAGAGTCTCACTCTGTTGCCCAAGCTGGAGTGCAGTGGCACAATCTTGGCTCACTGCAACCTCCGCCTCCTGGGTTCAAGCCATTCTCCTGCCTCAGCCTCCCAAGTAGCTGGGACTATAGGCGCGCACCACCATAGCCGGCCAAATTTTTTTGTATTTGTAGTAGAGATGGGATTTCACCATCTCTACTGGGGATCACCTGACCTCAAGTGATCTGCCTGCCTCGGCCTCCCAAAGTACTGGGATTACAGGTGCAGGTGTGAGCCATTGCACCTGCCCATAATGCTTTTCTGAACCAATTTCTAGGCTCAGCTAACAGGCCTGCCAATTATTTTAGAGAAAGTACAAACACTAAATACATGTAAAAATTCAATAAAATCCACAAGATGATGCTTTTACTCTATAATAACTACTTGGGTTTCTTAGATAACTAGCTCTATTTATTCCACCTAACATTAAAAATGTTTAAAAACATTACAAGGAGCTAGCCAGGTGCAGTGGCTCACGCCTGTGATACCAGCACTTTGGGAGGCTGAGGTCAGGAATTCAAGACCAGCCTGGTCAACATGGTGAAACCCCGTTTCCACTAAAAAATACAAAAAAAAAAAAAATTAGCCAGGTGTGGTGGCAGGCACCTGTAATCCCAGCTACTCGGGAGGCTGAGGCAGGAGAATCATGTGAACCCGGGAGGCAGAGGTTGCAGTGAGCTGAGATCACGCCATTGTACTGCGGCCTGGGCAACAAGAGTGAGACTCTGCCTCAAAACAAAACAAAACAAAACAAAACATTACAAGGAGCTATGAAGAGCCAAAATTTGAAACAGAAACTAAAGTTTCACACCCTATTTTTTAAAATTTCCTACACATTTATTTTTTTCGCTGAGGTGAGAGGATCACTTAAGCCCAGGAGATTGAGGCCACAGTGAGCCATGATTGTACCACTGCATCCAGCCTGAGAAACTGAGCAAGCCCCTGTCTCAAAAACAAAAACAAAACAAAACCAAAAAAAAAAAAGGAAAAGAAAAGAAAAATAAATGATCAGGCAATGTGCAGTGGCTCATGCCTGTAATTCCAACACTTTGGGAAGTCAAGGCAGGAGGGTTGCTAAGAGGCCAGGAGTTTGAGATTAGCTTGGCCAACACAGTCAGATCCTATCTCTATTTTTCAAAATTTTCTTTTGCTGTTGTTTTTGTTATTTTTTAAAGGAAAAGAGGCTGGGTGCAGTGGCTTACATCTGTAATCCCAGCACTTTGGGAGGCCAAGCTGAGAGGATAGCCTGAGCTCAGGAGTTTGATACAAGCCTGGGTAACATGGTAAGACCTCATCTCTATTAAAAATCAAAAACATCGGCCGGGCGCGGTGGCTCACGCCTGTAATCCCAGCACTTTGGGAGGCCGAGGCGGGCAGATGATGAGGTCAGGAGATCGAGACTATCCTGGCTAAAACAGTGAAACCCCGTCTCTACTAAAAATACAAAAAATTAGCCTGGCGAGGTGGCGGGCGCCTGTAGTCCCAGCTACTTGGGAGGCTGAGCCAGGAGAATGGCGTGAACCCCAGGGGGCGGAGCCTGCAGTGAGCCGAGATCGTGCCACTGCACTCCAGCCTGGGCGATAGCGAGACTCTGTCTCAAAACCAAACAAAACAAAACAAAATCAAAAACATCATCCGGGCATGGTGGTGCATGCCTGTAGTTCCAACTACTCAAGAAGCTGAGGTAGGAGGATCACTTGAGCCTAGGAGATCAAGGCTAGAGTGAGCTACTGAGATTGCACCACTGCGCTCCAGCCTGGGCAACAGAGTGAGACTCTGTCACGTGCAATGGCTCATGCCTATAATTTCAACACTTTGGGACTCTGAGACCAGCCTGGGCAACAAAGTGAGACACCATCTCTACAAAAAAAAAAAAAAAAAAGAAAAAGCCAGGTGCGCTGGCTCACGGTTGTAATCCCAGCACTCTGAAAGGCCGAGGCGGGCAGATCACCTGAGGGTGGGAGTTTGAGACCAGCCTGACCAACATGGAGAAACCCCGTCTCTACTAAAAATACAAAATTAGCCGGGCGTGGTGGCGCATGCCTATAATCCCAGCTACTCTGGAGGCTGAGGCAGGAGAATTGCTTGAACCTGGGAGGCAGAAGTTGCGACGAGCCGAGATTGCGCCATTGCACTCCAGCCTGGGCAACAAGAGCAAAACTCTGTCTCAAAAAAAAAAAAAAAAAGGTCTGGGCGCGGTGGCTCACGCCTGTAATCCCAGCCAGCACTTTGGGTGGCCGAGGTGGGCGGATCACGAGGTCAGGAGATCGAGACCATCCTGGCTAACATGGTGAAACCCCGTCTCTTCTAAAAATACAAAAAATTAGCCTGGCATGGTGGCAGGCGCCTGTGGTCTCAGCTACTCGGGAGGCTGAGGCAGGAGACAGCCGTGAACCCGGGAGGTGGAGCTTGCGGTGAGCCGAGATCGCACCACTGCACTCCAGCCTGGGCGACAGAGCGAGACTCCATCTCAAAAAAAAAAAAAAAAAAAGGCCGGGCAGGGTGGCTGACGTCTGTAATCTCAGCACTTTGGAAGGCTGAGGCAGGCAGATCACGCGGTCA
This sequence comes from Homo sapiens, assembly GCF_000001405.40. Taxonomy (NCBI): domain Eukaryota; kingdom Metazoa; phylum Chordata; class Mammalia; order Primates; family Hominidae; genus Homo; species Homo sapiens. Next base: position 42,733,731 of record NC_000017.11, read on the forward strand.
AGAGATTGAGACCAGCCTGGCCAGCATAGTGAAACCTTGTCTCTACTAAAAATACAAAAAATTAGCTAGGCATGGTGGCGGGTGCCTGTATTCCCAGTTACTTGGGAGGCTGAGGCAGAAGAATCGATTGAACACAGGAGGTGGAGGTTGCAGTGAGCCGAGACAGCATCACTGCATTGCTGCCTGGTGACAGAGCGAGACTCCATCTCAAAAAAAAAAAAAAAAAAAAAATCATCAGCACGGACAAGAAAACAACAAAATTTAACCCATTACCACACATATACCACAATAAGCTCATGATTATATCTCATGCACATGGATTTTTTTTTTTTTTTGAGACGGAGTCTCGCTCTGTCACCCAAGCTGGAGTGTAGTGGCACGATCTTGGCTCACTGCAGCCTCCACCTCCCAAGTTCAAGCGATCCTTGTGCCTCAGCCTCCTGAGTTGCTGACATTACACCACCATGCCCGGCCAATTTTTGTATTTTTAGTAGAGACAAGGTTTCACCATGTTGACCAGCCTGGTCTGAAACTCCTGGCCTCAAGTGATCTGCCTGCCTCAGCCTGCCAAAGTGCTGGGATTACAGGCATGAGCCACCGCGCCTGGCCAAAATAATGGTTTTAAATTGCAATCCCTCTTCCGTTCCTTTTTGGCATTCATTTTCCTTTTTTCCTATTTTCCTTTTTGAAATAGTAAGCTTAGGTTTCTCCACGTATTTGAAAATGAAGATTACCAGCTGGGACAACATGCCAAAACCCAGTCTCTACAAAAAAATTACAAAAATTACCCGGGCATGGTAGCCTGTGCCTGCAGTCAGTCCCAGCTACTCAGGAGGCTGAGTTGGGAGAATCACCTAAGCATGGGGAGGTAGAGGCTGCAGTGAGCCATGATTGTGCCTCTGTACTCCAGCCTGGGTGACAGAGTGAGGCCTTGTCAAAAAAAAAAAAAAAAGTAAAGAAAGAAAGAAAGAAGGAAGGAAGGGCTGGGCGCAGTGGCTCACACCTGTAATCCCAGTACTTTGGGAGGCCAAGGTGGGCGGATCACCTGAGGTCAGGAGTTCGAAACCAGCCTGGCCAACATAGTGAAACACATCTCTACTAAAAACACAAAAATTAGCCGGGTGTGGTGGTGGGTGCCTGTAATCCCAGCTACTTCGGAGGCTGAGGCAGGAGAATCGCTTGAACCTGGGAGGCAGAGGTTGCAGTGAGCTGAGATCGCGCCACTGCACTCCAGCCTGGGTGACAGAGTGAGACTCGGTCTCAAAAAAAGAAGAGGAAAGAAAAGAAAAGAAAGGAAGAAAGGAAGGAGGGCGGGAGGGAGGGAAGGAAACAGAAAGGCAGGGAGGGAAAGAAAAGAAAAAAGAAGTATTAAGTAATGGAATAGAACATAATCTACAGATGCTGTCGTGTCTGGCTGGCTGTGGTGGCTCATGCCTGTCATCCCAACACTTTGGGAGGCTGAGGCGGGTGGATCACTTGAGGCCAGGAGCTCGAGACCAGCCTGGCCAACATGGTGAAACCCTGACTCTACTAAAAATACAAAATTTAGCAGGCCATGTTGGCACACACCTGAAACTCAGCCATAAGATGAGTTTTCACCACAGCTGGACCCTAACCAACAATTATCATATCAAAGTTAAAAAAAAAAAAGGGAACAAATAAAAAACTTAGCATTCACTAGAACAGGCAGATTTGGAGAGATGGATTCATTGGTGTTGGGCAAAGGGAGTGGCACACAAAAAAATACTTTATATTTCTACCAGATCTATTATTTAGTTACTTACACATGCAAAACAGCACTTATATTCCAGTTAGGTACTTAGCTAGTACTTAACAGCCTTTCATTATGTTCATCTACACATTGAAGATAAACTCCAAAACATATGCTGTTTTGATCAAGAAATTAAAAAATATTTATATAAGCAAGTCCTATAGCTCAATAATAAGACAAATCACCAATAAAAAGTGAGCAGAAGGCTGGATGTGGTGGCTCATGCCTGTAATCCCAGCACTTTGGGAGGTCAAGGCGGGTGGATCACAAGGTCAGGAGTTCGAGACCAGCCTGACCAACATTGTGAAACCCCATCTCTACTAAAAATACAAAATTAGCCAGGCGTGGTGGCGTCTGCCTGCAATCTCAGCTACTCAGGAAGCTGAGGCAGGAGAATTGCTTAAACCCAGGAGGCAGAGGTTGCAGTGGGCCAAAATCGTGCCACTGCACTCCAACCTGGGAGACAGCGAGACTCCGTCTCAAAAAAAAAAAGAGCAGAAATTTGAACAGCTATGTCACCAGAAAAGATACAGGAATGGCAAATGAGCACACAAAAGGTTGCTCCATATCATTAGTCATTAGGGAAATGCAGATGAAAAATACAATGAGATACTATTAAACACCACTACCATGGCTAAAATGAAAAAAGACTGATAATACAACTTGTTGGTGAGGACGTGAAGCAACTGGAATCCTCATACACTGCTGGTAGGAATGCAAAGTGATATAGCCACTGTGGAAGGCAGTTTGCCAGTTTTTCAAAAATAAAGCTGAATATATACTTACCACAGAACCTGGCATACAATTTCTAATTATTTATCCAAGAGAATTGAAAACCTATGTCTCCACAAAGATCTGTACCCAAATGTTCATATTTATTTATAATAGCCAAAAGTGAAAACAACACACATATCAATGGATTGGCTAATGGATACAAAATGTAGTGTGTATAGATATATACACACACAATGGAATACTATTCAGCAACAAAAAGCCATGAATAGTTTCTATACATTCACACCACATCTCAAGACCATTAAAAGACTATGCTGGTTGAGTGCAGTGGCTCACGCCTGTAATCCCAGCACTTTGGGAGGCTGAGGCAGGCAGATCACTTGAGATCAGGAGTTCGAGACCAGCCTGGCCAACATGGTGAAACCTCATCTCTACAAAAATACAAAAATTAGCTGGGCATGGTGGTGTGCACTTGTAGTCTCAGCTGCTTGGAGGCTGAGGCAGGAGAATCGCTTGAACCTAGCAGGGCAGAGATTGCAGGGAGGTAGAGATTGCAGTGATCTGAGAATGCGCCACTGCACTCCAGCCTGGGGAACAGAGCGAGACTCTGCCTCATTAATAATAATAGTAATAATAAAATGAAACCACCATACTAAGTGAAAAAAATAAGACGCAAATAACTGCATATGATTCCACTTAAGATGTTCTGCTGGCCAGTTGCAGAACAGGAACTCCCTGTACTAGCTTTACAATTTTTTTTTTTTTTTGAGACAGAGTCTCGCTCTGTCGCCCAGGCTGGAGTGTAATGATGCAATCTCGGCTCACTGCAACCTCCACCTTCTGGGCTCAAGCGATTCTCCTGCCTCAGCCTCTTAAGTAGCTGGGATTACAGGCACATGCCACCGCGCCGAGCTAATTTTTGTATTTTTAGTAGAGACAGAGTTTCACCATGTTGCCTAGGCTCGTCTTGAACTCCTGACCTCAGGTGATCCACCCGCCTTGGCCTCCCAAAGTGCTGGGATTACAGGCGTGAGCCACCGCGCCCAGCCTACAATTTTTAAAATAAATCTAAAACTATTCTAGGGCAGGCGTGATGGCTCATGCCTGAAATTCCAACACTTTTGGAGGCTGAGGCAGGTGGATCTCTTGGGCCCAGTTGTTCGAGACCAGCCTGGACAACATGGTGAGATCCCATCTCTACAAAAGAAATACAAAAATTAGTTGGGCATGGTGGCGTGTGCTTCTAGTCCCAGCTACCAGGGAGGCTGAGGTGAGAAGACAGATGGAGCCTGCACGATCAAGGCTGCAGGAGCAAGCTGTGACTGCGCCATTGCACTCCAGCCTGGGTGACAGAGTGAGACCCTGTTTCAAACAAACCAAAAACAAACAAACTATTCTTTCTTTTTTTTCTTTCTTAAAAAACAAACTATTCTAAAAAATAGAGTTTATTTTTTAAAAAGATTAATCATTGGAAATACGAACCACTTTATTTACTGTCACATCTCTACAGGAAAAGAAAGCTATAAAAATGTAGCAATCTTTCCCCAGAAAACTGGATCTCAATTTGCTGCAAAGGCTAAAACTAGAATGTAGTCTGTCACTAGGTGGAAATGGGAAAACATTACTGAAATTGTATGGCAATAAAAAATTTAAGGAACGGCTGGGTGCGGTGGCTCACGCCTGCAATCACAGCACTTTGGGAGGCCGAGACAGGCGGATCACGAGGTCAGGAGATCAAGACCATCCTGGGTAACACAGTGAAACCCCGTCTCTACTAAAAATACAAAAAATTAGCTGGGCATGGTGGCGGGCACCTGTAGTCCCAGCTACTCAGGAGGCTGAGGCAGGAGAATGGCGTGAACCCAGGAGGCGGAGCTTGCAGTGAGCCGAGACGGTGCCACTGAACTCCAGCCTGGGCGACAGAGCAAGACTCTGTCTCAAAAAAAAAAAAAAAAAAAAAATTTAAGGAACAAGTTCTTAAACTTAGAGAGACTGAGATCAGAATACAAAAGTTCCAAACTATTAAATTTTTTCATCTACATAAGGTGTCCCTTTGCAGAAACAGCTTCTTTGTCTTAGGGGCAAATTCAGTGTCTTTGATAGTTTCTCTTGAATAATAATTTTATTAACCAGCAAGGCTAAGTAAGCCTTTGGAGGCAGATGGCACTACAGATTTTTATTTTTTAATTTTATTTATTTGTATTTATTATTTGTATTTATTATTATTTTTTGAGACGGAATCTCGCTCTGCTGGGATTACAGACGTGAGCCACCGTGCCCAGTCTATTTTTTTTATTTTTTTTTGAGATGGAGTCTCACTCTGTTGCCAGGCTGGAGTGCGTTGGTGCAATAACAGCTCACTGCAACCTCTGCCCCAGCTAATTTTTGTATTTTTAGTAGAGACAGGGTTTCACCATCTTGGCCAGGCTGGTCTGGAACTCCTAACCTCAGGTAATTCACCCACCTTGGCCTCCCAAAGTGCTGGGATTACAGGCGTAAGCCACCGGGCCTGGCCTAGATTTTTTTTTTTTTTTTTTTTTTGAGAAGGAGTCTCACTCTGTCACCCAGGCTGGAGTGCAGTGGTGCTATCTCAGCTCACTGCAATCTCCACCTCCTGGGTTCAAGCGATTCTCTTGCCTCCACCCCCCCTGAGTAGCTGGGACTATGCTCGCCACCAAGCCGGGTTAATTTCTGTATTTTTAGTAGAGGCGGGGTTTCACCATGTTGGCCAGGATGGTCTCCATCTCCTGACCTCGTGATCCACCTGCCTCGGCCTCCCAAAGTGCTGGGATTACAGGCGTGAGCTACCACGCCTGGCCCCTGGCCTATATTTTTAAATATTTCATCCTATTCCTTTTTTGATTCATAGTGTAATTGAAACCTGAATGATAGGGGTGAACCTATCCCTGCAAAGAGCTCTAGTAACACACCTTTGGGTCATTCTGGTGATCACCAATTTCATCAACATTTCAATTAAAATCAATTCTGTGACTAGGTACACAGCCTGATCTCTCAGTTAGGATCTATAAAGCACATCTCTAATTTATACCCTCCAACTTCTCTGAGGTATTTTCATCTGTCATTAGTTTGAGCTTCTGGGCACTACACACAGAAAGAACCTTCCTAACAGGAACCTGTGACTCTGAATTCTAATTTAAAATAAAATTATAACATTAGTATTTCCTAGTGTTGCTTAATTAAGAGAATCAGATCAGCTGGGTGCAGTAGCTCACACCTGTAATCCCAGCACTTTGGGAGGCCAAGGCGAGTGGATCACCTGAGGACAGGGGTTCGAGACCAGCCTAACATGCAGAAACCCCGTCTCTACTAAAAATACAAAATTAGCCGGGCATGGTGGTGGATGCCTGTAATCCCAGCTACTCGGGAGGCTGAAGCAGGAGAATCGCTTGAACCCAGGAGGCAGAGGTTGCAATGAGCTGAGATCGTGCCATTGCACTCCAGTCTGAGCAACAAGAGTGAAATTCTGTCTCAAAAAAAAAATTAGATCGTATGCACTGGAGGTAATGGTAACAAAAATCTAAACAGGATTAGTTTTTTTTTTTTTGAGACAGAGTCTCGCGCTGTCGCCCAGGCTGGAGTGCAGTGGCGCGATCTTGGCTCACTGCAAGCTCCATCCCCCAGGTTCACGCCATTCTCCTGCCTCAGCCTCCCGAGTACCTGGGATCACAGGTGCCCACCACCATGCCCAGCTAATTTTTTGTGTTTTCAGTAGAGACAGGGTTTCACCATAAACAGGATTAGTTTTTATGAGACCCAAAGGAAAATGCTGGCTCACAGGATTTATAACTCTGGTTTAATTTTATTTCATTTTATTTTGTTTTTTGAGAAAGGGTCCCACTCTGCCGACCAGGCATGATCATAGCTCACTGCACTTCGACCTCCCAGGCTCAAGGGATCCTTTGGCCCCAGCCTCCCTAGTAGCTGGGACTACGGGCACATGCCACCATGCCTGGCTAATTTTTTATATTTTCAGTGGAGACAAGATCTTTTTTTTTTTTTTTGAAACGGAGTCTTGCTCTGTTGCCAGGCTGGAGTGCAGTGGTGCAATCTCAGCTCACTGCAACCTCCGCCTCCCGGGTTCAAGCGATTCTCCTGCCTCAGCCTCCCGCGTAGCTGGGACTACAGGTGCAAGCCACCACGCCCAGCTAATTTTTGCATTTCAGTAGAGACAGGTTTCACCATGTTGGCCAGGATGATCTCGATCTCTTGACCTTGTGATCCACCCGCTTCGGCCTCCCAAAGTGCTGGGATTACAGGCGTGAGCCACTACGCCCAGCCTACAAGATCTTGCTATGTTTCCCAGGCTGGCCTTGAACTCCTGACTTGAAGTAATCCCCCTTCCTCAGCCTCCCAAAGGGTTGAGATTACAGACATGAGCCACCGTGCCCAGTGAGAACGCTGACTTGGAAGAGTAAAAGCAATCTCCTAACAGGCTAGAGCCCTATCTTGACTGGTTCTGTACTGTGTCAGCCCAAAGTTTAATACTGTACTGTATTTAGTGCCTGCTCATATCATCCAATAAAAATAAGACTTTTTAGTCTATTTTGAATCAAATTATTCGGGTAGGTGAGTTAGAGAATAAAACACACTAAAGGTACTGAATTCCAACTACCCATTAAGTAACTCATGACTTTAGGGTGTAGTGTACTCAAGTCTCAACTGATGATTGACTGATAGACTAAGGAGTAGGAAAGAATCCAATATGTACACAGTTTGGACATAAAACAAAACAAAGAAAAAGCTGGGGACTTTCCAGAATGGAGAAGCACAATTTTTCTTTTTTTAACCTTTAACCCTTCCCCTCAATCCCAACCTATCTAATTATCTTCACTTTTCTCCACAAATTGTTTTCTCTTTTCTCTTTAGTTTATTCTATGTAGAAATGGAATTAGTGTGTTTTTAGTGTTGCTACCTCAAATCTTTTCTGGGACGCTACTAGTGAACAAAATAGAAATAGTGAACAAAGTGGAAACTGTTTTTGAGACAGGGTCTCCCTTTGTCGCCCAGGCTAGAGTACAGTGGTGCCATCTCAGCTCACTGCAACCTCCGCCTTCCAGGTTCAAGGGATTCTCGTTCCTCAGCCTCCCAAGTAGCTGGGATGACAGGTGTGGGATGCCCACGCCCAGCTAATTGTAGAAACGGGGTTTCACCGTGTTGGACAGGCTGGTCCCAAACTCCTGGCTTCAAGTGATCAATCCCTCGGCCTGCTCCCAAAGTGCTGGGATTACAGCTGTGAGCCACAACGTGGGGGGCCCAAAGTGAAACTTTTTAAACTTAATCTAAGACCAGAAAAAGATATACTTAATGACATGAATTGTTACATGTTTCATATAAACAGCAAATCAAAGGGAAGGAACTGTTGCCTACAGAGTAATGAAGCCAGGTTTCAGACCCTAGGAATTAAAAATAGACAAAATTAATATTTTGAATCGGTTTCTTATTTTGTTTTGAGACAGGGTCTTGCTCTGTTGCCCAGGCTGGAATGCAGTGGCTTGATCTCGGCTCACTGCAACCTCTGCCTCCTGGGCTCAAGCAATCCTCCCTACTCAGCCTCCTGAGTAGTTGGGACTACAGGCCCACACCACCAGGCCTGGCTAATTTTTGTAATGTTTTTGTAGAGACAGAGTTTTGCCATGTTGCCCAGGCTGGTCTCACACTTCTGAACTCAAGTGATTCGCCCACCTCGGCCTCCCAAAATACTGGGATTACAGGCATGAGCCACAGTGTCCAGACTTAAATTGGTTGTTTGAAGGTATCATCCAAAGGCAAATATATAAGAAACAAGCCCGACCACATTTTTCTTAACTTTCCCTTCTCCCAAATGTCTTCTTGGGAGTAAAATTTCATTTTTAGTTCCAGCCTCCTTATTCCAGTGCTGTCTCTCTTTTTTTTTTTTTTCCCAAGACAGAGTCTCACTCTTTCGTGCCCAGGCTGGAGTGCAGTGGTGCAATCTCAGCTCACTGCAACTTCCCACTCCCAAGTTCAAGCGATTCTCCCACCTCTGTCTCCCAAGAGCTAGAATTATAGGTGTCCGCCACCACGTCTGGCTAATTTTTTGTATTTTTAGTAGAGATGGGGTTTCACCATATTGGCCAGGCTGGTTTTGAACTCCCCGACCTCAGGTGATCCAACAGCCTCAGCCTCCCAAAGTGCTGGGCTTATAGGTGTAAGCCATCAGCCCAGCCTCTAGTGCTGTTTCAAAGGGCACTAATGTAACCATCATAATGAAGAAGTCATTTACACTTTAAGGAATTTTAAGCTGGGCCTTAGCATCAAGTTCCACGATTAGCATACAAGTACTCTGCCAGTTACTGACAATACTAGCATCCGGATCACCTGACTCCCAGTGCCAGAAATTTCCCCACTATTTATTCCACAAATATATGTTGAGCACCTACTATTATACTTAATAGTAGTATCTACTATGTGTTACCATTTTAGGTGTTTGGGGTACATCAATGAATAAAACATATATCCCTGCCTTTGGAGTTGATTCATTATGTTTGTGACACACAACAATAAGCATAAACCTTGACAATGATAGCATTATTACAGTTTTATAGATAGTCCTTTCTCCTATTATGTATGTGCGTTTTTAAGTACTTCTCTCTCCCTTTTTTTTTTCTTTTTTGAGATGGAGTCTTGCTCTGTCACCCATGCTGCAATGCAGTGGTGCATGTCGGCTCACTGCAACTTCCACCTCCCAGGTTCAAGCGATTCTCGTGCCTCAACCCCCTGAATAGCTGGGATTACAGGCACCCACCACCACGCCCAGCTAATTCTTGTATTTTTGTAGAGAAGGAGTTTCGCCATGTTGCCCAGGCAGCTCTCGGACTCTTGACCTCAAGTGATCCGCCTGCCTTGGCCTCCCAAAGTGCTGGGATTACAGGCCTGAGCCACTGTGCCAGGCCTCCTTTTTTTTTTTTTTTTTTTGACAGAATCTCACTCTGTTGCCCAGGTTGATGTGCAGTGGTGCAATCTCGGCTCACTGCAACCTCCACCTCCCGGTTCAAGCGATTCTAATGCCTCAGCCCTCCCGAGTAGCTGGGACTACAGGCGTGTGCCACCACACCTGATTAATTTTTGTATTTTTAGTAGAGATGGAGTTGTCCCATGTTGCCCAGGCTGGTCTCAAACTCCTGGGCTCGAGTGAACGGTCCACCTCAGCCTCCCAAAGTGTTGGGATTACAGGCATGAGCCACCGTGCCAGGCTTTTTTTTTTTTTCTTGAGACAGGGTCTCAGGTGCTGTCACCCAGACTGGAGTGCAGTGGCAGGATCAGAGCTCATTGCAACCTTGACCTCCCAGTCTCAAGCAATACTCCTGCTTCAGCCTCCCAAGCAGCTGGGACTATAGGAGAAGGCCACCACATCTGGCTATTTTTTTTTTGTAGAGATGAGGTCTCGCTATTGTTGCCTGAGCTGGTCCCAAACTCCTGGGCTCAAGCTATTCTCCTGCCTGGGCCTCCCGAATGCTGGGATTTCAGATATGAGCCACCGAGCCCAGTCTAAAGTACTTATCTCCTAACACACACTCTCTCCTATGTAAGTAATCTCTTTTATCAGTGGCATATCTGGGGATTCCAAGACTTAAAATAGACAAGCTTTCACAGAAACCTCTAATAGGGTTAGCACCTTCTCAGGCTGGAAACCTCCTTCAATATCAGTTTCCTAAATTTAAAAAACATGGGGTGTGGGAATTTTTTTATTCAGCGGCAGTATGGCAGCAAACGTGGAGGAGACTCGCGTTTTCATTGCCATCCTTGCACCCACCTAATTGTTAGTGTACCTGAGCTCCTTTGCTTTCATCCTCCCCTGCCAAGCGTCAGGTTCCTATCGGCCTGGGCTACATCACATACAACCCTGTATTTCACCCTCCATATTCCTTCACATTCCACGGGGGGCACTAACATCCTTCAGGTATCCCTTCCCTTCCCTGCTCAAGAAACAATTCCTCAGTAGTCACTTTTTATTGAAATAAAAGTTTGTCCCACATTTCCTAACAGGCATGTCCCAAATACAACACCTTGTCTGTGCTTCAAGGCACTTTTATTTATATCATTTGATCCTCGGTTGAATGGTGGGGGTGAGCGATCATTGGCGTGAGACCAAAAGTCTGGAGTGAAGGAGATTCTTGCTCAGGGCCAGGCCTGGGGTGAGGCGACCGAGGCACCCAGGACGCACGTGAGGAGGCGCTCACTGCACTTGCGCGACCCTGAGTCAGTGCTCCTTTACACTTTGTGCCTTGGGAGCCTTACTCACCTCACCCTAGTCCCGGCCTTGTTTTTACTGCTACCCCTCCTCAACATCCCCGAAAGCCATCGCAAGATCAGCCCCGGTCTCTAGCCCTCCCCAAGCACAGCTCCAGGTCCCCAGAGTCCACCTCGCTAAAGGCCCCCGCAGGTGCCACCGCCCTCCCGCGCCCTTTGGGCGCTGGGGCTCCCGCCCACCGGCCCACACCGCCATCCAACGGGATTCCCCGTCCCCGAGCCCGCCCCCGCCGCTCCTCCTCCCGGGCACACAGCCCTCGCAGCCCCAGACGCTGTCCTCGCCTGGGTCTCTCTCGCCCCGTCGCCCCCATTCCCCCACCCTCGGAATGAGGAGGGGCGCCTGCTACCCCCGGCCAGGCAGGCAGTGTGTCCCTCGGATTCCTTCCAATTTCCTGATCCCTCCGCCTCTCCCTCCCTCAGGCCCAGGGCGGCGAGGGGAGGAGGCCCGGCCCCACCGCCCGGCCCAGGCTTGTTTACTCACTCACCCTCCATCCCGAGCCGCGGGTCCCGCTGCTAGGACGCATGCGCGCCGCGGCCCCACCCCTGCGCCGTGCCCCGCCCCGCGCCTCCTGTCGGCGCGTGCGCATTGACTTACCCGTGCCGCGCGGACGCACTACTGTCATTTGCCGCCAAAACCCCGCACTCAGGAGTCCTGGCGGGTGCAGCCTCCCAGACGGCTTCCAAAGCGGCGCTGGCAGGGGAGGGGAAGGGCTCTGGGGAAACCTTCGCAGAGCCACTAATATCTTCCTGAAGACCCTATTCAGCGGATTTGCCATCCCCACGCGCTGGTGACAAGCCACATCTCACTTCAGCGTTTGAAGCCAACCCAGATCACCTTCATACCGATGCTTCACCCCTACCAGTTCTCCAGACACCGGTCTATGGGTTCTAAGCCCTTTATTTATGTCTGATCTCCCTATTTCTGTTCATAGTTTTCTAGTCACTTAGAATCAAAATTATAGCCTTGTATCGAAATAAATCCCCACAAGACACCTGCTAGTTACAAAGGGAAAAAAATAGCAACTTTACAGATAAGAATCTGTCAGACACCACCTTAACTAAGTGATCAAAGTTAGCATCACTAGTGATAAGAGGTATTGTTTTCTTCTTCTTTTTTTGCCGGGGGGCGAGGCTGGACGGAGTCTCGCTTTGTTACTTACACAGGCTGGAGTGCCGTGGCGCGATCTCGGCTCACTGCAACCTCTCCCTCCCGGGCTCAAGCAATTCTCCCGCCTCAGCCTCCCAAGTAGCCAGGAATACAGGTTCGTGCCACCACGCCCGGCTAATTTTTGTATTTTTAGTAGAGATGGGGTTTCACCGTATTGGCCAGGCTGCTGTCAAACTCCTGACCTCAAGTGATCTGCCTACCTCGGCCTCCCAAAGTGCTGAGATTACCGGCATGAGCCACCACGCCCGGCCTCCCTCTTCTTTTTAAGGAGACAGGGTCTTGCTGTGTTGCCTAGGCTGGTCTTGAACTCCAGGGTTCAAGCCATCCTCCCACCTTGATTTCCCAAAGTGTTGGGATTACAGGCATGAGCCATTGCCCCCAGCTGAGAGGTATTCTTACCAGGTCCCTCTGAACATGATGCAATGAGAAGCGCACAAAATCACTTCTGTGGTATTCTTGACGAACACGCATAAGCTGATTTTTTGTGCGTGTTGTTTGTTTGTTTGTTTTGAGACAGTTTCACTCTTGTTGCCTAGGCTGGAGTGCAATGGTGCAATCTCGGCTCACTGCAATCTCTGCCTCCTGGGTTCAAGCGATTCTCCTGCCTCAGCCTCCCAAGTAGCTGGGTTTACAGGCATGCACTACTATACCCGGCAAATTTTGTAATTTTAGTAGAGATGGGGTTTCACCATGTTGTCCAGGCTGGTCTCGAACTGCTGACTCAGGTGATCCCCCCACCTCTGCCTCCCAGTGCTGGGATTACAGGCATGAGCCACAATGCCCAGCCTGCATAAGCTGAATTTAATTATGAGGAAACATCAGACAAATCCAAAATGAGAGACAATCTACAAAATAACTGGCCAGTATCTTCAAGTGTCAAGATCATGAAAGACAAGGGGTGAGAAACCATCTCAGATTGGGAGACTGAGGAGATATGACAACTAAATGTAATGTGTGATCCTGGCTTGAATCCTGGTCCAGAAAAAGAACACCAGTGGGATAATTTGATGAAATTAGAATAAAATCTCTAGATTAATTAATAGTATTTTATCAATCTTATTCCTGGTTTTAATCATTGTAATTGAGGAAGTTTGATGGACATATAGGAACTCTACCATATTTGCAACTCTATTAAATCTGAAATTATTTCAAAATATAAATTTTTAAAATTACAAATTAAAATGCAAAATAATAACATCTTGATTTTGATTTTGTCTCAAAGTGTATAATTAGAAAAGCTTATAATGTTCATTTTTTCAAGTAATCTTCATAACAACTGTATGAAGTACGTAGGGCAACTTCAGTTTACACATCAGGTTATTCTGGCCTAAAGGAGTTAGAAGACTTGCCTTACACAGATGAATAATTCTGTCAGGTCTTAAACTCAGGTCGCTGGATTCCAACCAGATTTAGTGTTCTTTTCCTTATATAAAAACTTTGCTGTTTTTCCCTTGCCCCTATCCATTTAACTACCAAATCAAGGAAAATATTCCTTTATACTGGCATTCCTTTCTGTTCCCGCTGCCTTCAAGATAAGTGGTTCTCAAACTTGGCTCACACTTGGGGAGCTTGGGGAACTTTGTTTTTGAGATGGAGTTTCACTCTTGTTGCCCAGGCTGGAGTGCAATGGCGCGATCTCAGCTTACCGCACGCAACCTCTGTCTCCCAGGCTGAAGCGATTCTCCTGCCTCAGCCTTCCCGAGTAGCTGGGATTACAGGCATGCGCCACCATGCCTGGCTAATTTTGTATTTTTAGTAGAGACAAGGTTTCTCCATGTTGGTCAGGCTGGTCTTGAACTCCCGACCTCAGGTGATCCGCCCGCCTTGGCCTCCCAAAGTGCTGGGATTATAGGCGTGAGCTACCGTGCCCAGCCAAGGAGTTTTAAAACTACTGATGCCCACCTCCCACACCCAAAAGTCTGATTAATTGATCTAGGGTATGGCCTGAGCTTCAAGAGTTTTTAAAGCATCCAGGTGATTACAATGTGTAGTGAAGTTTGAGAGCCACTGCACAACATTAATAATTGTTGGGAGAAAGACTGTGGCTTTAGCTAGGGAGAGCTGTCCAGAAGATCTGAATGTCAGGAGAGAGACTAGTGAGAGATTTGGAAACCATCAACATATTGATGGTAACTGAAGCCACAGAAGTGGACAACACTGCCTTAGGAGAAGATGCCAAATAACAAGAGAGTAGATACAAAGACATTTTGACATAACAAAGTATGGTTACAGAAATATTTTCAGGTGGAAAGGAAGTTGAAGGGATTTATGCCAAAGCTGTAGATCAGAATCTGATCTACAGCCTAACCTAAGTTCCCTCTCTTCATTAAACCTTCTAGCCCTCCTGGATTTCCCAGCCCTTCAACTTCAGTATCACTTTACACTCACTACTACACTGTATATCTCTTTCACCTCCACCATGATAGGACTACACACAGGGCTTAGTAACCCTCATTCATGGAAGGATTACAAAAATAACTTTCAGCCAGGCTCAGTGGCTCACACCTGTAATCCCAGCACTTTGGGAGAATGAGGCAGGCAGATTGCTTGAGTTCAGGAATTTGAGACCAGCCTGGGCAACACGATGAAACCCCGTCTCTACAAAAAACACAAAAAAATTAGCCAGGCATGGTGGTGTGGGCCGGTAGTCCCAACTACTCAGGAGACTGAGGTGGGAAAATCGCCTGAGTCTGGGAAGTCAATACTGCAGTGAACCATAATTGCATCACTGCACTCCAGCTTGGGCAATGGAATGAGAACCTGTCTCAATAATACTAACAATAATAATAAAAACAACTTTCCACACCACCAATAAGCGTGAGGTTCTTGGAGGAAAATTTGTTTGCCAGTTGCTTCCTCCTTATTGTGATGAGAGAGTTTTTCCTGAGACCAGACCCTTTCTTAGCTGACATTTCCTGAGACATTATCAGCCAAACTTTAGCTAGCTCTTCTTCTACAATTCTTTTTCTTTTGCAACCCTTCAGGTCTTTGTCCTGTAAATTCGTAGAAAAACTGCTGGCAAGTGGTCAGCAACTGGACCTTTGAAAAACAGTACAATCACCCCTGCCCCACTCCTCCCGGCCCCACCCCCAGGCAGTTAATGGGAGAAGGGAATAACTGTGTCACTCCTGGCTTCCAGTTGCTCATCTTGCTTTAAATTGGAGGCCTCTGGGGCTGAAAGAAACTGGACAAAGTGTGCTAAGTAGCCTAATAGGGCTGGTTCTTTTTCTGAAAGTTCCCTATTGCAGAAAAATAAAATTATGTGTTTAATTTTTGAAACCTGATGCCTGATTTGCCTTGGCAGCTACTCTCCTGGGCTTGGCCCAGAGTCCAGCAACCCTAGTATACTGATTAATACCAGCTCAACTTGCTCCCTGGGGAAGAAGAGCATTATTTACTTGACCGTTTTCTTAAATCCTTTTTAATTTCCTTATATTTTAGCATAATCTTCTTGGCTTTAACATGCTGTATCTTTGACCACTGGCCCCAGCGAAGCCTTAGGGAAGACCGCTCTGCTCTGTACACTCATATCCCCATCACAAAGCAAGATTGTGTTCAAGCCCATGATTAGAAATGACATGTCACGTGTTCTAGTCCTTCTGGGACGGGCGAGTTCTAAGTGTACTTTCGTCCCCTGCTGGTCCTCAGGCCACTGGTAGAAAGGGAAGGAGATGATGCTCCTCAGAATCCAAACAGAGCTCTCTGCACTAGTATTCCTGCCTTCCAACCTGAGCCCCCTTCGGACAGTGACCCATTGGCCTGTTGCGCCCCTCCCTTGTAATGCCCACAGAGATATCAAACAGCAATTTTCAGAGGGGACACAGCAGACTGAGGAAAGGCTGGGCCACAGACAGTCCCTGACAGGGAACTGTAAACACAGCTGTGGAGATGGGAGCAAACCATCCTCCCTCCCCCAGTTCCAACCCAGAAGCAGGGAAAGGCCACCCTGCCATGAAAAAACAAACAAGAAAACAAAGCAAAGCACAACCCAAAAGCTGCACGAAGGTCACCAGAAACTGGGGCTGCTGCCCAGGACTTGGTGGGGCCCGTTGAAGTGCCAGACCCCTCCCTGAACACTTAGAGGTGAAGGCAGCTCCAAAGCAGTTGAGATCTGGACATTACAGAGCCTGGAAACAGGGCTCAATTTTTGAAGCCTCTCCACTCCGGACACTTTGTCCTCTGATCGCAAAATCCTAGCTGTCTGTCTTACATACTTAGCTCCTGACCCCTAGTTGCTTAGGGATCATAATAATGAATTCAATTCAGCAAGTAAGAACAGGCCCGCAATAAACCCTTGTCCATGGCTGTTATAAGTTTAAACTCTGAGTCTCCAAACCAAAATATCAGAAAGGGCTTCCAGTCTTTGTTAATTACAAAATAAATAATTCCAGCAGGAAGGGACTTTCTCTTTTGGGCACTCATTTGGGTGGAAGTCATGCCTTGATTTGCACATACCCTCAAGCCTCCAACCCCACAGCTAGGGTGGTGCTGCTGGTTCTTGCTCTCAGCACAGTTAATGCAGGGTCTTGATCCCTAAGCTACAGCCCTGCCTGGGAAGTAGCTCTGATCGGGTGGACAGTTAACGAGCTGTGCTTCCTTTTTGGCCATTAGGGTCCTCAACTGTGAAAATGAAATGGCAGAACAAGAGAAAATGGTAACAGCTTTCAAATACTGAGTACTAACTATGTACATGACACTGTCCTGAGAGCTTTATATCTGATTTCATATGAATCAGGAATATTCTTTTTTTTTTTTTGAGGCAGAGTCTCGCTCTGTCGCCCAGGCTTGAGTGCAATGGTGACATCTTGGCTCACTGCAAGCTCCGCCTCCCGGGTTCATGCCATTCTCCTGCCCCAACCTCCTGAGTAGCTGGGACTACAGGCGCCTGCCACCATGCCTGGCTAAATTTTTTGTATTTTTAGTAGAGACGGGGTTTCACCGTGTTAGCCAGGATGGTCTCGACCTCCTGACCTCGTGATCTGCCCGCCTCGGCCTCCCAAAGTGCTGGGATTACAGGTATGAGCCACTTCACCCGGCTGAATCAGGAATATTCTTATCCCCACTTTACAGCTGAGGAAACTAGGGTTTAGAGAGATTCTATAACCTGCCCCAGGTCATCCAGCTGGTAAGTGGTATGGCCAGGATTTGGGCTGAGTTATTCTGACCCACCCAATCAATGCTCTGAACCACTCCACTATACTGCCTCCCTTCTCTGAGGTCGTCTAGCTCTGACATCATGATTCTGGATTTTCTCCATTGCTTTCTGCTCTCACCAGTGGTGCCAGAAAGAGAACGTGTTTGGGACTCTAGTCTGCAAGTCCAGAGGAAAACAGCTCCTGAAAGTTAAGGGGCTCCTTACTTCCTCTGTACTGGAGACGCCAATCAAAGCTGGACACTTGACAGACCCCCATATCAACAGGGAACATACAGCCTGTGTGGAAGAAAAACAAATCCTAGCCAGACAGGAAAAGGGAGTCCCCTGTTTCTGTGACTTCCCCTTCTCTCTTCCCTATCAGCAGGGTCCCACACTGCTGATGCTGTGGCCTTTTGAACCCTTCTGTGGCTAGGATGAAACACCAGGCTACAGAGACACTTTGGGAGCAAGAGAAGTGGCCATTGTATTCACAGTACACACATCTACAAATTATATCCATGATACTGTATGTAAAGGAGCAAAAATAAATCACATTTATTTATACATTTAACAAGTTGCTTTTAGTATTTATATTATCACTAGACATTGCACTGTGTAGGAATCCCATGTAATCCTGGCAAAATGCCTGGGAGTCAGGTATCATCCACATTTTACAGAGAAGAACACTGAGGCTCAGGGAAATGGACAACATTCTCCATGGCCCCAGGCTGGTAAGAAGGAGAGCTGGAATTCAAATCCAGACTAGGTCTGTCTGACTCCAAAATCTGTATTTGTTTCAATAAAAGGAGTGTTGTATAGTAAAAAGAGCAAAATTATGAAACTGTAAAGATCCCAGAATATCTTGGAAATATAATTGTCATAATTATATGTGTTACACATTATGATAGTAACTTCCATTTATTGCATGCTTAGCAGTGCCAGGCATTGGGCCAAATGCTTTACATAGTTCATCTGTACCGCTCAGCGAGATACACGCTAGTGATCCCATTTTGCAGATAAGATGACAAGCTCAGAGGAGTTAAGTAACTTACACAGTCTTTTTTTTTTTTTTAGACGAAGTCTTGCTGTGTCGCCCAAGCTGGAGTGTAGTGGTGCAATCTTGGCTCACCGCAACCTCCGTCTCCCAGGTTCAAGCAATTCTGCCTCAGCCTCCCAAGTAGCTGGGATTACAGGTGTGTGCCACTGCACCTGGCTAATTTTTTGTATTTTTAGTAGAGACAGGGTTTTACCACATTGGCCAGGCTGGTCTTGAACTCCTCACCTCAGGTAATCCGCCTGGCTCAGCCTCCCAAAGTGCTGGGATTACAGGTGTGAGCCACCATGCCCAGTCGCACAAAGTCTGATACAGCCAAATAAGCGATGGAGCTGGGATGCAAACCCAGGTTTACTTGACTCCAAAGTGTGTGCTCTTAAGCACTAAGGCAGTAGTAAGAATAATGTAGTATTAACTATGGGCCAAGTTGTGCTTTAAGTGCTTTATACCTTGTAACTTACAGATATTATTATCACCCCCATTTTACAGATGAGGAAAATATTGCCTTTTGTAACATTACTTATGCTCACATTACAGACATCACACCCATGTGTTAAACACCCATATGTTACTAGTGTCATGTTTGCTTAACATATGTTGGATCCTTGCTTATCATCTAGAAAATAATGTATTTTTTTTTCATTGTCCATCTAATGTGTTAATGTGTCTTGCAGGAAAGAATGTGAAAAGGTACTGTCTATAGACAAAGTAAGCATAATCAGGAGAGGGACAGTACTGAGTGGGGAAAGACCTGTGTGCCCTGAGGGGCCCTGTCAGGTTGCCCTTCTAGCCAATCTTCCTCATTCTTTCCTATTCAATTCTCTGTAGCAAGTTGACTTCTTTTTTTTTCAAGCTGTATCCAGCTTTATTAAAGATACGTTCCATAAACAATCATGGCATTTCAGGCAGGACATGGGCAGACAATCGTTAACAGTATACAACAACTTTCAAACTCCCTTCTTCAATGGACTACCAAAAATCAGAAAGCCACTGAAGTCTTCATCTGATGCTCTGAACAGGGAAAGTTTAGAGTGAGGGTTGACATTTCACATTTAGCATGTTGTTTAACAACTTTTCACAGGCTGAACCTGACTTTCATGAAGTGAAATGAAAATGGCAGAATTTATCTGAATATCCACAATCTAGAAATGGAACCACTACTCTTTTGACAGGTGCCATCTCAGCGGCATCACTGGAAAATCCAGATTGCCTGACACACTGGTAACCAATGACTAGAGGTCAGGTCCCAACAGATGTCTGGGCTTAAGGGAGTTAAGTCTATGCTGAAGGATGGAAAGGGAGAAGAGGACATAAAAACGAATTTGTTTTTCCATACCACAAGGCTTTTGTGCCAAGGTGGCCATGTGTGTCAAAGTCAGGGAATCCCTCCTCCTGGGAGCCAAGAGGAAATCTTTCAAAACTGGAAGGGAAATGTGTTTTCCCCACATCAATCCAGCTTTGGAGACATTCTACTAGTGACATATGCCCCTTCCCCAAAAAACAACAATGAAGTGTTCTGTGTGTTAACAACATAGCTTAAAAAAAAAGTAAAACAAAATTCTGCATTTTTATAAAACTTGATAAAAAATAGTATTTGAAATTGTACAGTCACCAGAAGTACACAGTTATCAAAAATGCACACACTTCACTTGGCAACTCCAGCACCTTCAGCTTTCTGTGCCTGGTCTGTTTTGGCATCTCCATTTTCTGCAGGGTTATTCCCCTCCTTGCCAGCATCAGCTTTTCCCTTTTTCCCTTTGGGTATCTTCTCTCCCTTCTTTGCAGGGGCCTTTTTAGGCTTGGGCTGTGGCTTTGGAGGAGCAGGTTTAGCAGACAACCTTGTGGATCTTCTCTATGGTTCGTCCTTCACCTTGGCTTTGTCTCCTTTAGCATCCCCTTTAGCCTTTCTCTTGGGCATGGTGGTGGCAGCGACGGTGGCAGGATGTAGGCGCTGGACGCGGGATGCAGTGGCATGTGGGCTTTGATCAGTCCGGGGGTTGTTCTCACCTCTTCTTCACACTGCTCCAACTTCTTTTTTTTTTTTTTTTTGTCTGTCGCCCAGGCTGGAGTGCAGTGGCACTATCTTGGCTTACTGCAACCTCCACCTCCCAGGTTCAAGCGATTCTCCTGCCTCAGCCTCCTGAGTAGCTGGGACTACAGGCGCCCACCACCACGCCCAGCTAATTTTTGTATTTTTAGTAGAGATGGGGTTTCACCATGTTGGCCAGGCTGGTCTCGAACTCCTGACCTCAGGTGATCTGCCCACCTTGGCATGTGCCACAATGCCCTGCTAATTTTTGTATTTTCAGTAGAGGCGGGTTTCACCATGTTGGCCAGGCTGGTCTCTAACTCCTGACCTCAGGTGATCCACCTGCCTCGGCCTCCCAAAGTGTTGGGATTACAGGTGTGAGCCACCGTGCCCAGCCTGTTTGTTTGTTTTCAATACAGGGTTTTGCTTTGCTGCCCAGGCTGGAGTACAATGGCATGATCATGGCTCACTGCAGCCTCAACTTCTGGGCTCAAGCAATCCTCCCACCTCAGCCTCTCAAGTAGCTGGGACTACAGGCACACATCACCAGGCCCAGATAATTTTTTGTAGAGATGGGGTCTCCCTATATTGCCTAGGCTGGTCTCAAACTCGCGGGCTTAAGCAATCCTCCTCCCACCTCAGCCTCCCAAACTGCTGGGATTACAGGAGTGAGCCACCATGCCTGGCCCTTACTTAACCTTTGAGCTTCAGTTTCCTTGTCTGTAAAGTGAGTTGCTATGATACTTAATTTAATAGTTCAGTTTTAAATAAAACAATTTGTATGATGCATTGAGCATATCAGCATATTGCCTGTCATCTTCAAGGCTTGGTAAACAAATATGAGTACCCTGTGTTATGCAGTATCCAGGCTCCTGGCATGCCGGGATGGGGTAGAAGGGTTCCTGGGGAGGGTTTCATGGGACAGTCCTAATGAATGGAGGGAGAAAGCAATCCTGGCATCTGGCATTGGGTCCTACAGCAACCATGAGTCAGCCCCAGGTGCTAAGGGACTAGCTATGTTCTCAGCACTGCTGGGTGTGTGCTATGGGTCACTTGGCCACGGTCCTTGACAGTCACGCTGCCTGAGCATCATTCTTGTAAATCTGGCCTGAGTTCTTTTTAAAAAACAGCCTCCACCATGTGATGTCATGGTCCAGCCAGGGTTGGAGAAGGAAGGAGGAGGAGGGTGTGTGCACACAGTCTGGGGATCTTCCTATTTGTGGAGGAATCAATTTGGTCCTAGAAGAAACTCTCTATCCTTCTCTCCTCCTTTCCAGACCCAGTAAGAAATTGGTATTCTGATCTGCAGTGAGAGGAGGTGATAAATCATAATGGTTAAGACATGAACTTTAGCATCAAGATATCCTGGGTTTAAATCCTGGCTCTGCCAATTACTAGCTCTGGGATTGTAAACTTTCTCCTCCTGTTTCCCCATTTCACACATGGAGAAGATAATTCTGATGTTATAGTGGTGTGGCTTTAAGACATACATGCAAAGCTTTCAGCACATGCGTCAGTAGGCACATTATGCAGCCCATAGTAAGTGTTCAATACATGGTAGTGACTGTTAGGTCCCCAGCAGTTGATGAGTAATATGACTTGATCAGCTTCTCTGGAAGGACCCCGTCTTCTCCAATGGCTTTTTTTTTTTTTCCTTCAGACAGAGTTTCACTCTTGTTGCCCAGGCTGGAGTTCAGTGGCTTAATCTCGGCACACTGCAACCTCTGCCTTTCGGGTTCAAGCGATTTTCCTGCCTCAGCCTCCTAAGTAGCTGGATTACAGGCAGGCACCACCACGCCCAGCAAATTTTTGTATTTTTAGTAGAGATGGGGTTTCACCATGTTGTTCTGGCTGGTCTCGAACTCCTGACCTCAGGTTATCCACCCACCTTGGCCTCCCAAAGTGCTGGGATGACAGGCATGAGCCACCGCACCAGGCCCAGTGACCATTTTTCCCCCTGAAAGGTAGTCAGGCCCCTCCCAGGTGTGCCATCATTCTGGAGATGAGGAGGCTGGGGAGAGATGGAGTAGTTGTGTCTCCACTCCTTTGTCTTCCCTCCCTTAGCTGGCTCCCTGGCTATAGCTCCTCTAGTTCTCCCTGCTATCTCCCTGCCCTCTCAAGAAGTGTGTCTCCTCTCTCTAGTTAGGAAGGATCAGCCCCTGCCAGCCAGGACTTCTGGCTTCCCCGACCCTGCCTCTTTCTCACATGTTCTCTTGTGCTCTGCTCTTCATTTTGCAGACAGCTGGGGGAGAGACCAGCAGGTGTGAATGACTGTGCATCACAGAGATGCTTATTGCAGGATGCTCCACATATAATTTCAAGGTGTAGAAGGCCCTAGCACTTTTTACTTCCTCCTGGGTGGCTCTGCATTTGTGTGTGTGGTGGTGGTGGAAGTTGAAGATTAGAGATGCCACTCTTCCTAAGGGTCAAGTCACCTCTTGCCCTGCTCCAGGCAGGATGACCCTTGGCCTGTAACAAGAAAGGAAGTGGCAGTAGGATGGTAGTAGGATCCCTGCTCATGAGGAATTAACCTACACTGGGGCCAGAAGTCTCAGGACAATGTTCAGCTGGACAAGAACCAGATCCCTCTCTTTCCAAGCCCTAGGTGGTGCGGGGTGGGGGCAGAGGAATAAGGAAATGTGTAAGAAATGTAAAAACTAGATGTATGGCCGGGGGCGGTAGCTCACGCCTGTAATCCCAGCACTTTGGAGGCCGAGGCAGGTGGATCACCTGAGGTCAGGAGTTCGAGACCAGCCTGACCAACATGGTGAAACCCTGTCTCTACTAAAAATACAAAAATTAGCTGGGCGTGGTGGTGGGCGCCTGTAGTCCCAGCTACTCGGGAGGCTGAGGCAGGAGAATCGCTTGAACCCAGGAGACGGAGGTTGCAGTGAGTCGAGATAGCACCATTGCACTCCAGCTTGGGCAACAAGAGCGAAACTCCATCTCAAAAACAAACAAACAACCAAAAAAACAAACAAACTAGATTTCCAGGCCAGGCCCGGTGGCTCACACCTGTAATTCCAGAATTTTGGGAGGCCAAGGTGGGCAGATCACTTAAGGTCTGGAGTTTGAGACAAGCCTGGCCAACATGGTGAAACCCTGTCTCTAGTAAAAATACAAAAATTAGCTGGGCCTTGTAGGGGGCATCTGTAATCCCAGCTACTGGGAGGCTAAGGCAGGAGAATTGCTTGAACCTGGGAGGCGGAGGTTGCAGTGAGCTAAGATCACACCACTGCACTCCAGCCTGGGCAACAGAGCAAGACTCTGTCTCAAAAATAAATAAATAAAAAACAAACAAAGAAAACCCCCTAGATTTCACTGGACATAAGGAAAAAAAAGACTAAAGGCAATACTACGTACAGTTAAAAAGAAAGAGGCATACATACATATGTAGTATCATGGAAAGATATCCAAGACATGTTACTAAGTGTTCCCTCCTTTCCTTCCTTTTTCCCCTTCCCCTTCCCCTTCCCTTCCTTTCTTTCTTCTTTTTCTATTTGGAGACAAGGTCTCACTCTGTAGCCCATGCTGGAATGCAGTGGCATGATCATGGCTCACTGCAGCCTTAAAATTCTGGGCTCAAGGGATCCTCCTGTCTCAGCCTGCTGTGGAGCTGGGACTACAGGCATGTGCCACCAAGCCTGGCTAATTTATTTTTATTTTTTGTAGAGACAGGGTCTTGCCATGTTGCCCAGGCTGGTCTTGAACTCCTGACTTCAAGTGATCCTCCTGCCTTGGTCTTCCAAAGTGTTGGGTTTACAGGTGTGAGGCACTGTGCCTGGCTTCTTTATTATCATTATTATTATTTTAGACAGAGTCTCGCTATATCACCCAGGTTAGTCTCCAATTCCTGGGCTCAAGTTCCTGCTTCAGGCTCCCGAGTAACTGGGATTACAGGCATGAGCTGCATACCCAGCAATAGTATCACATTTTTTAAAAGACACTGAGGCCAGGCACAGTGGCTCACACCTGTAATCCCAGCATTTTGGGAGGCCAAGGCAGGTGGATCCCTTGAGGTCAGGAGTTCAAGACAAGCCTGGCCAACCTGGTGAAACCCTGTCTCTACTAAAATACAAAAATTAGCTGGATGTGGCGGCGTACACATGTAATCCCAGCTGCTCAGGAGGCTGAGGCAGTAGAATCACCTGAACCTGGGAAGCGGAGGTTGCAGTGAGCCAAGATGGCGCCACTGCACTCCAGCCTGGGCAACAGAGCAAGACTCCATCTCAAGAAAAAAAAAAGTCACTGAATAATAGGAGTATCAAATCCCATTTATGCTTTCCTTTAAAAAAATCCAGAATATGTGGGAAATGAGATATGAGTGGGGATACAAAGTTTTCTGGGTTAAATATTTTGCAACAAGTATATACTTACATATTACTTGCAATTTAAAAACTGTATTTTTTAATAGCAAAAGCAGAAAGGGGCTTAGAAAGGGAATGTGAGGGCCCTCAGGAGTGGAAAACAGGGGACTTCCCATGACGAAACTAGCTTCTGTTCCTAATACGGCCCTTCCTCTACCCATTGCTACAGATCATCAGATCGTGGGACTATCTCCTATGGCTACATGGAAAAGAAAGGTGAGGTCTCCTGTCCCTATTCATCTCCAAAGACCCCCAAAGTAAACCCTCAGTTACCCGGATGCTCTCAGAGGTCGATAAAAACATTCAAACATCCAACTGGCATGGAAAAGTGGAAGAGGAAAATCAAAACGAGAGAAAATTCCCAGATTCTCCAATTAGACAGTTTGGACACCTGAGCTCAGGAATGACTACAATAAGTTCTCCTTTGGAGGTCTCAACATCATGATGCAAACTTAACCCCAACCCTAGGCTAAAAATAAAACTTCCCAAGGGCCAGGTGCAGTGGTTCATGCCTGGAATCCCAACACTTTAAGAGACTGATGCAGGAAGATTGCTTGAAGCCAGGAGTTCGAGACCAGCCTCGGCAAAAAAGCAAGACCCCCATATCTACAAAAAATATGCCTGCTGTCCTAGCTACTTGGGAGACTGAACCAGGAGGATCTCTTGAGCCTAGAAGCTCAAGACTGCAGCATGCCATGATTCTTCCACCGCACTCCAATGTGGGCAACAGAGTGAGCCCCTGTTCCTAAAAAGTAAAGTAAGATAAAAATAAAATAGGAACTTCCTACCAAGTTACCTATATTTTCTTTTTTGATCTTAAGGCCATTTTACATATGAAAATCTTGAGCTCCAGAGATGTGAAATAACCTGCTCAAGTTACTTGCAGTAAGACAGAGGCAGAACCTACCTTCAGAATCCTCATCAGTTTTTTTCTTTCATCCGTTATGATTATCCATTATCATTATGCCATATTGTCCTTTTTTTTTTTTTTTGAGATAGGGCACAATCACAGCTCTCTGCAGCCTCAACCTCTGGGGCTCAAGTGATCCTCCTGCCTCAGCCTCCCGAGTAGCTGGGACTACAGGTGCACACCACTATGCCAGGCTAATTTTTTAAAAATTTTTTTATAGTTTTTTTTTTGTAGAGACAGGGTTTCACTATGTTGCCCAGGCTCTATTTTAAATCTAACATTTGCTTTTGTCCCCTTTAATCTTGACCCCAACCCCAGTCCTAACCCATAGTGGGCTCATGTGCTTCTGGCCCCAACCCAGTGAAAATGGCTTGTTTTGCTTTCTGCACCTCCTTGCTCCTTCCTCCCATCTTATCACTCAGAAATCTCCCATGCTTCCTTCTTGAAAGGAGCAATCCTAGGCAGGCAGGAAGGACTAGATTTGGTCCCAGCCTGAAATGTCTCAGAGACTGCATGGCTCTTTTCTGCATCATTGTAGAAATGATCCTTACCAGGAGGACTTTGGAGTTCACGTCAAGCAGGCCATTGACTCTCTCCCACTGGATTCTTTGCAAAAGCAGCCTCTTGACCATAGAGGAGGACAACAGGTTATCCGTGCCCATGATCCAAGAGCTTGAGATCCTGAGATGAAGACTTCAGGAGAGATCAGGACAGATAATTTGTGGTGGGCAGGAATCAGTAAACTGGGACAACAGCAGCAGCTGAGTCCAAGGGTCAGTGTCTGGGAGTAATTTAGGAAAGTTTGGTGCTGACAGCTGTGTCTGGGACTTGAACGTCATGGCCAAACCAGCTCCTGGGCTCCTCAGCTGCTTCAGACTAATGAACCTCTGGCCCAGGACACAAGAAGCAGCTGTGGTGTGGCTGAAGTCAGGACCCCCGGAGGCCCAGACTCAGCCTTGCTGCTTCCTTAACAGTGTGACCTTAGATAAGTCACTTAGGAAAAGAGGAAAGGAAACTAGCATTTAGCGAGTGCAGTGCCCTTTCACAGCTGCCATCATACAGTGAGGAGGGGAATGTCCCTATTTCACATGAGAAGTCCTGAAGGTAAACGTGTCATTCAAGGCTCTATAGCTGGGGAGTAAGAAGACAGAATTAGAACCCAGAGCTTCTGAATTCAAATCCCGGGCTGTTGGCCCTGAGCTTTAGCTTCTCGGTCTGTAAAATGGTGTTACACTCACCTGGCACATGAAGTCGCACACTGAAGGTTCTAAAACCCCTCCATTCTTTCTCCCAACCGTGGTCCTGAAGAGCTGTGGCACCTTCTTCCTGGGAACGTAGTCATCGTATTTTGCCCTCCCCACAACAGGTTTGTGGGGTCTAGGCCCCAGGAGGTGTCTGAAGGGAAGGTATTTGGACTTTGCTTTCCCCTCTACCCCACTCCCCAGACCTTCTCCCGACTCCAGAGGGCTGGCTCCCGCTTCTCCTCCCTGGTTTTGGCTGGCGGACTGACATCAGCTGGTATTCCTAGGGATAGGATAAGGAACCCTGAGCTGCATGGCTCAGCTCCAGGCGCCCCTTCCCCCACAACCCAGGACAGCCCCTTAGAAGCAGCGGCGTCGAGAGGCCGCTGGAGCTCCCAGCCCCCTCCCTCTTCTCCACGTCTGGGAGAGCAGCTTGCCGACCCCTCCAGACCCGAAAGAGAGAGGGGGCGACTCGAATTCGGGGAGCGATCCTGGGAGACCCTGGAGAGTCCTGGGCGCCACGCAGCCGAGCCCCCGAAATAGATCCCGGTTCCGGGGTTCCGGGAGCTGTCCAGCCTCGCGGGGTGAGCTACGAGAGGGTGGGCCAACGCCGGCGAGGCGGAGGGAGCCGCGGGCGCCAGGCGCGGGTGAGGCAGCGACTCCCCCTCCAGCCGCGGGCCCCGAGCGTCGCCCCCGCCCCCCACGTGGCCGCCGCCGTCCCAGCCCCTCCGAGGAAGCGGCGCGGCTTCCTGCAGCTTGGGCTGGGGATATAGGCGCCCCCACACCCGGGCCCGGCTCAGCGCCGCCGCCGCTCCTCGCCTCCTTGCTGCACGATGGCCTCGCTCCGGGTGGAGCGCGCCGGCGGCCCGCGTCTCCCTAGGACCCGAGTCGGGCGGCCGGCAGCGCTCCGCCTCCTCCTCCTGCTGGGCGGTGAGCGCGGCGCCCCGAGGCCCGGGCGGGAGGCGCGAGAGGCCCCGGAGGGGAGAGGGGAGAGGGGAGAGGGGCTGGATGGCCGAGGCCGGAACGGGCCCTGGGGTGCGGGTTAGGACCGACGTACCTAGCAGCACTGGCCCTCGGACGGTCCCTGACCCCACCTCGGGGCGGGCGCAGCATGAGCTGCTTCCCACCCAGGGAAAGCTGGGGTGCTGGCCCCGGCCCCTCGAAGAGGGCTTAGGAGGACGGAAGCTGGCCAGAGATGAGGGGGCTTTGGGCCTGGGTGTGAGTGACAAGGAGCTGGTGCCAGCCCCTCCCTCCCCGGCACTGAGGCGTCCGTGGGGGCTAGATTATTCCTCCTTTTCTTCCAAGGTAGCCTATTTTCGGAGGGTCTCAGTCCCCCAACCCCCCTCGCAGGCTCCACTGCCGGGGTCCCCGCTATGTTACCCTCCTCTCCCGTTTCTTCCCACAGCTGTCCTGAATCCCCACGAGGCCCTGGCTCAGCCTCTTCCCACCACAGGCACACCAGGGTCAGAAGGTGGGTACCCAGGGTGTGGAAGGGTGGCCGAGGGTAAGGACGAGAGCAAGTTCAGTGGGGAGGGTTCCTTTCCCACGAGGCCTGCCCAACCCCAGCTGATGCCCCACTACACTCCCCTCTGTTCTTTCTTGGGGTTCCTCGTGGTCTTTCTCCCTGTCCTCCTACAAAGCCCCTGCACGGCTCTGAGCTGCCCACCTCACAAGTGGGCGAGAAGACCCCAGGAAAAGGTGTACGTGGAAGTTCTTATCAGGCTGGGATGGAAAGTGCTTAGCACATGGAAGTCATTATAGGATTCCTGAGCTGGGACTCTGTCCTCAGCCAGAATGTTTTGCTAGGGAAACTTTCTGAAGGGTTCCCACGTTTGAAGACAGGCAGTTCACCTTGCAAGCACCTGGGCAGGAGGGTTTGTAGGGAGGGGTAGGGGTGTGGTCATTGTGTAGCATCTGTACCTACAGGGGGGACGGTGAAGAACTATGAGACAGCTGTCCAATTTTGCTGGAATCATTATAAGGATCAAATGGATCCTATCGAAAAGGATTGGTGCGACTGGGCCATGATTAGCAGGTAGGGGCAGTGATGGAGGGTGGCTCAGGCCAGGGGGTGGACCTGCTCATTGCAGGTAGACCCTGAGTGAGAGTGGGGCACTCTTCTCCCTGGGTCCACCCCCTCTCTCACTCAAGTCCTCTTCTGCCCCTAGGCCTTATAGCACCCTGCGAGATTGCCTGGAGCACTTTGCAGAGTTGTTTGACCTGGGCTTCCCCAATCCCTTGGCAGAGAGGATCATCTTTGAGACTCACCAGATCCACTTTGCCAACTGCTCCCTGGTGCAGCCCACCTTCTCTGACCCCCCAGAGGATGTACTCCTGGCCATGATCATAGCCCCCATCTGCCTCATCCCCTTCCTCATCACTCTTGTAGTATGGAGGAGTAAAGACAGTGAGGCCCAGGCCTAGGGGGCCACGAGCTTCTCAACAACCATGTTACTCCACTTCCCCACCCCCACCAGGCCTCCCTCCTCCCCTCCTACTCCCTTTTCTCACTCTCATCCCCACCACAGATCCCTGGATTGCTGGGAATGGAAGCCAGGTGGGGTCATGGCACAAGTTCTGTAATCTTCAAAATAAAACTTTTTTTTTGTACAATGTCCTTCTCCCCATTTCAGTGGAACCTGTGTCCTTCCCTGCCACTGCCACAGGCCCTCAGCCCTGGGTAGTAGAACTGGAAAAATCTGGATGGCCCATTGTTCTGTTCATTTCACCTGCCCCCCTGCTCCCTGCCTCCATGAAGGTCACACCCCTATATTCTTTCCTCCCAGGCGGGCCTTTCCTGCCTATATCCAAACTCGGCTCCAGGAAACAAGCAGGAAGAGACTCCCTTCCGGTCTGGACAGCAGCTGGGGGCCTGCAACTGGGGAGGTGTGGGGGAAGGGGCAAGGGAGGAATCTCTGCTTGTGACTCCTGCAAGAGGAGCAGGAGGCTGCCCAGGAGCCCTGACTATTCCTCTTCTTCATGCTTCAGTTTACTCACAGGGCCTGGGAAGAGGAACCCTGACTGAGCAACAGGAATCCATTCCTAAGGCCCTCACAATTGAGGGAGAAAGCAGTGGGGGCTTCCTTTACTAGGTTCACCACCCCTCTCCATGTCCCTTGCCCTCATCCTACATTGTCCTGGACTGGGTGTGGCCTGCAGCCTAGCAACACACTGCCCCCTGGTGTCCACTAAAGCCAGCAACCAGAAGACGTATCTGATCTGGAAGAAGCTCAAGGCTGAGGAGCACTGGACCCTGGGGTCAGAAAACTGCCATCTCTACAGCAATCACTAGTTCCTTGTTTGTTTGTTTGTTTGTTTGTTTGTTGAAACAAGGTCTCATTCTGTCACCCAGGCTGGAGTTCAGTGGCACAAACATGGCTCACTGCAGCCTCGACCTCCTGGGCTCAAGGATCCTCCCATCTCAGACTTCCAAGTAGCTGGGACCACAGGCGTGAGCCACCATGCCCAGCTAATTTTTTTTTTTTTTTTTTTTTTTTGAGATGGAGTCTTGCTCCGTCACCCAGGCTGGAGGGCAGTGGCATGCTCTCGGCTAACTGCAAACTCTGCCTCCTGGTTCATGCCATTCTCCTGCCTCAGCCTCCAGAGTAGTTGGGACTACAGGTGCTCGCCACCACGCCCGGCTAATTTTTTGTATTTTTGGTAGAGACAGGGTTTCACTGTGTTATCCAGGATGATCTCGATCTCCTGACCTCATGATCCACCCACCTCGGCCTCCCAAAGTGCTGGGATTACAGGCACGAGCCACCACACCCGGCCTAATTTTTTTTTTAAGTTTTTTTATACAGATGGGGTCTCACCGTGTTGCCCAGGCTAGTCTTGAACTCCTGGCCTCAAGTGCTCCTCCCCAGTCAGTCTCCCAAAGTGCTGGGATTACAAGCATGAGCCTGCTGTGCCTGCACAACCACTAGTTCTTAGCTGGACCCCGCTATCAGCTTCCTGAGACAAACAACACTCTCTTCAGATACCTTCCTACTTTCTAGGATCATACCCAGCCCCTCTCTACAAGTCACCATTGCTGTATATGAACACACCTATATGTTCCCTGGATAGTGAGGCCCATTTCTTACCAGGTAACCTACACCTTCAACTCTCCATCAGACACAACTGCCAGGTCTCCAAAAATATCTCCAAAACAACTTTATTCTCCATGGATACATCTGTTTACTCCTTGTGGCACCCCGAGCCTCTTTAGGGACTTTCCTTCTTGTTGAAATATCTGCCTTCTTGAGTACATGCATGTCCATTTCTTGGGGTATCCTGCCTTTTCCATATATGCTTGTATGATTCCTGGAACATGCCTATTCATTCTCTGAGACACACATCTCTCAGGGTGCATCTGTTTTTCTAGGCACACATATGTTCCCTAAAAATATTTTGAGTTTTCTGACCGGGCGCGGTGGCTGACACCTGTAATCCCAGCACTTTGGGATGCCAAGGCTGGTGGATCACCTGAAGTCAGGAATTCGAGACCAGCCTAACCAATATGGTGAAACCCGTCTCTATTAAAAATACAAAAATTAGCCAGGCGTTGGGGTGTGTGTTTGTAGTCCCACTACTTAGGAGGCTGAGATAGGAGAATTGCTTGAACCTGGGAGGCAGAGGTTGCAGTGGGCCAAAGATCGCTCCATTGCACTCCAGCCTGGGTGACAGAGCGAGATTCTGTCTCAAAAAAAAGTATATATATTTTGAGTTTTCACCTGAAATACAGGTTTCCTTAATTTCCATGAATGCATCTGTCTTCCCTAAAGGTATATCTACTCCCTTTGTAGCATGTATTTGCCTTCATGCATTTTATTAATATACATCAAGGACCTGCTGGTATAAAACACTGTGTGTGCCGGGCACAGTGGCTCACGCACTCCCAGCACTTTGGGAGTGTAATCCCAGCACTTTGAGAGGCTGAGGCGGGTAGATCACAAGATCAGGAGTTCAAGACCAGCCTGACCAAGACAGTGAAACCCCATCTCTACTAAAAATACAAAACTTAGCCAGTTGCAGTGACAGGCGCCTGTAATCCCAGCTACTCGGGAGGCTGAGGCAGGAGAATTGCTTGAACCTGGGTGGCAGACGTTGTGGTGAGCCAAGATCACGCCACTGCACTCCAGCCTGGGTGACAGAGTGAGACTCCATCTCAAAAACAAAACAAAACAAAACAAAAAAGACACTGTGTGGTGTATTATGTTGGAAAGATAGGTTAGATAGAGTCTGGTTTTCTGCCCTCAGTGGCTTTCATCTAGTGAGAAAGTTGACGTGTACAAATTAACAAACCAAAACAAAAGTGTAATGAGAATCATGCTAGGGATACAAACCAAATGTTATCTGAGTGTGAGGGAAAAAGGGATCACATCTGGCTGAGAAGATCACAAGGGGTGTGATCACAGGAGGGTGACTGCAGAGTTGGTAGATGACTAGGCCATAGCTGGAGTACGTTCTTCTAGGGGAGAGAGTAGAAAGGGAGGTGAATTAGGAAATTATTGCAATAATCCAGACCTGAGAAAATGAGGACATGGGGCAAAGGAGTGTTGAATGGGGTAATGGAAAATAATTATAAAGTAGAGGATAGGATTAAAAACGGGAGGAAGAGGCCAGATGTGGTGGCTCATACCTGTAATCCCAGCGCTTTGGGAGACTGAGGTGGGAGGATCACCTGAGGCCAGGAGTTCAAGACTAGTCAGGGTAGCATAGTGAGACCATGTCTCTACAAAAAAAAAAAAAAAACACAGGCAGGGCGAGGTGGCTCATGCCTGTAATCCCAGCACTTTGGAAGGTTGAGGTGGGTGGATCACTTGAGGTCAGGAATTTGAGACCAACATGGCGAAACACCATCTCTTTTTTTTTTTTTTTTTTTGAGACACAGCATTGCTCTGTCGCTCAGGCCAAAGTACAGTGGTGCAATTTTGGCTCACTGCAACCTCTGCCTCCCTGGTTCAAGCGATTCCTGTGACTCAGCCTCCCAAGTAGCTAGCACTACAGGCATGTGCCACCATGCCCAGCTAACTGTTATATTTGGAGTAGAGACGGGAGATTTCACCATGTTGAGTTGACCAGGCTGGTCTCGAACTCCTGAGCTTAGGTGATCCACCTGCCTCGGCCTCTCAAAATGCTGGGATTACAGGCGTGTGCCACTGCGCCCAGCCCGAAACTCCATCTCTACTGAAAATACAAAATTAGGCCAGATGCGGTGGCTCACGCCTGTAGTCCCAGTACTTCGGGAGGCTGAGATGGGCAGATCACCTAAGCTCAGGGGTTCGAGAACAGCCTGGCCAACATAGTGAAACCCTATCTCTACTAAAAATACAAAAACTAGCTGGGCGTTGTGGTGCATGCCTGTAATCTCAGCTACTCCGGAGGCTAAGGCAGGAGAATCGCTTGAACCTGGGAGGCAGAGGCTGCAGTGAGCTGAGAACGCAACATTACACTCCAGCCTGGGCAACAGAGCGAAACTCTGTCTCAAAAAAAAAAAAAAAAAAAAAAAAAGCTGGCACAGTGGCTCACGCCTGTAATCCCAGCACTACTTTGGGAGGCCAAGGTGGGTGGATCCACGAGGTAAGGGGATTGAGACCATCCTGGCTAACACAGTGAAACCCCATCTGTACTAAAAATACAAAAAATTAGCCGGGTGTGGTGGCACGCGCCTGTAGTCCCAGCTACTCAGGAGACTGAGGCAGGAGAATCGCTTGAACCCAGGAGGCAGAGGTTGCAGTTGCGCCACTGCACTCCAACCTGGCGACAGAGTGAGACCCCGTCTAAAAAAAAAAAAAAAAGCTGGGTATGGTGGCATGCACCTGTAGTCACAGCTACTCAGGAGGCTGAGGCAGGAGAATCACTTGAACCTGGGAGGCGGAGGTTGCAATGAGCCAAGATCGTGCCACTGCACTCCAGCCTGGGCAACAGAGTGAGACTCTGTCTCAAAAACAAACAAACAAACAAACAAACAAATAAGAACTCAGCTGGATGTAGTGGCACATGTCTGTAGTTCCAGCTACTTGGGAGGCTGAGTGGGGAGGATCAGGGATTCAAGGTTATGGTGAGGTATGATTGGGCCACTGCACTCCACCACTGGCAACCCTGTCTCTAAAAAAAATAAAAAAAATACCAACAGACCCTTGATGTATATTCATGAAATGCATGAAGGCAAATACATGCCATGAAGGGAGTAGATATATCTTTAGGGAAAACAGATGCATTCATGGAAATAAAGCAAACCTTTATTTCAGGTGAAAACTCAAAATATCTTTAGGGCATATTGTCCACTTCCCCATTCAACACTCCTTTGCTCCATGTCCTCATTTTCTCAAGCCTAGATTATTGCAATAATTTCCTAATTCACCTCCCTTTCTACTCTCTCCCCTAGGGAGGAAATTAGCAGGACTTGGATAAAACAGGAGGGAGAGGCCAGGGCTGAGGGAGAGGAGAGGTTAGGGGTGACTCAGGCTTTGGACTTGAGTTACTAGGACAATTATGGCAGTAATAATAGAAAAGAGCCATTGAGGAGGAAGAACTGTCCTGAAGAAAAGAATGTACAATTATAAGGTAACAGTGGAACAAGCTGTTATGTTCCACAGAGAGTTAGAAATGGGGGGATGGGAGTGGAAAGAGGTTGGGTCTGGAAATATAGGTGTGGGAGTCTCCTGCACGGAAGTGCGCCGTAACGCCATTAGATAGATGAGAACTCTAAGACAGAATGGTTCATTGAAAAGAGGAAGGCTGGCCGGGAGCAGTGGCTCGTGCCTGTAATCTCAGCACTTTGGGAAGCCAAGGCGTGCGCAGATTACCTGAGGTCAGGAGTTCAAGACCAGCCTGGCCAACATGATGAAACCCTGTCTCTACCACAAATACAAAAATTAGCCAGGCATGTTGGTGTGCGCCTATAATCCCAGTTTCTAGAGAGGCTGAGGCAGGAGAATTGCTTGAACCTGGGAGGCAGAGGTTGCAGTGAGCCAAGATCATGCCACTGCACTCCAGCCTGGGCAACAGAGCGAGACTTGGTCTCAAAAAAAAAAAAAAGAAAAAGAAAAGAAAAGAAGAAGGCTGAGTTACACTCTTAGGAAACATCACACTTAAAGAATGAGAAAAGGGCTGGGTGCAGTGGTTTATGCCTATAATCCCAGCACTAGGAGGCTGAGGCAGGAGGATTGATTGAGTTTAGGAGTTCGAGACCAGCCTGGGTAACATGGCAAAAACCCATCTCTACAAAAATTTTAAAAGTTAGCCGGGTGTGGTGGTGCATGCCTGTAGTCCCAGCTACTCAAAAGGCTGAGATGGGAAGATCGCTTGAGCCTGGGAGGTCGGGCTACAGTGAACCAAGATCACACCACTGCACTCTCCAGCCTGGGCAACAGAGTAAGACCCTGTCTCAAAAAAACAAATAAATAGGCTGGGCGTGGTGGGGTCACGCCTGTAATCTCAGCACTTTAAGAGGTCAAGGCAGGCGGATCACGAGGTCAGGAGATTGAGACCATCCTGGCTAACACAGTGAAACCCCATCTCTACTAAAAATTCAAAAAATTAGCCGGGCGTGGTGGCGGGCGCCTGTAGTCTGGAGAGCTAATGGAGAGGCTGAGGCAGGAGAATCGCTTGAATCCGGGAGGTGGAGGTTGCAGTGAGCCAAGATCATGCCACTGCACTCCAGCCTGGGCGACAGAGCAAGTCTCCATCTCAAAAATAAATAAACAAATAAGAGGGACAGAGGGAAGATCAGAGATGTAATAGCAGAACAAGAATAAAGGAGTGTCAAAGGCCAGCCATGGTGGCTCACGTCTGTAATCCCAGCACTTTGGGAGGCCGAGGCAGGCGGATCACCTGAGGTCAGGAGTTCGAGACCAGCCTGGCCAACATGGTGATACCCTGTCTCTACTAAAAAATACAAAAATTAGCCAGGCGTGGTGCGGTGCCTGTAATCTCAGTTACTCAAGAGGCTGTGACAGGGAGAATTGCTTGAACCCGGGAGGCAGAGGTTACAGTGAGCCAAGATCACACCACTGCACTCCAGCCTGGGCGAAAGAGCGAGACTCCACCTCAAAAAAAAAAAAAAAAAAAAAAAAAAAAGGCTGGGCCGGTGGCTCACGCCTGTAATCCCAGCACTTTGGGTGGCCAAGGCAGGCGGATCACCTGAGATTGGGAGTTTGAGACCAGCCTGACCAACATGGAGAAACCCCGTCTCTACTAAAAATATAAAATTAGCTGGGTGTGATGGCACATGCCTGTAATCCCAGCTACTCGGGAGGTTGAGGCAGGAGAATTGCTTGAACCCAGGAGGCGGAGGTTGCAGTGAGCTGAGATCTTGCCATTGCACTCCAGCCTGGGCAATGAGAGCAAAACTCAATCTCAAAAAAAAGGAGTGCCATAAAGTCAACGGAAATAGTGAGCTTTGAGAAGGTATTATCAACTGAATGGTTCATTCATTCATCCATTTAACAAATATTTGTTGGTCATTCTGTGGACTAAGTACAGTGCACAGTGTTTTTACTTATTTTTTTTTAATTTCTTTTTTTTTGAGACGGAGTCTCGCTCTGTCACCCAGGCTGGAGTGCAGTGGCGCGATTAAGCTCCCTGCAACCTCAGCCTCCTGTGTTCCAGCAATTCTCCAGCCTGAGCCTCCCGAGTAGCTGGGATTACAGGCGTGCACCACCATGCCTGGCTAATTTTTTGTATTTTTTGTAGAGACGAGGTTTCACCATGTTGGCCAGGCTGGTCTTGAACTCCTGACCTCAAGTGATCCGCCCACCTCGGCCTCCCACAGTGCTGAGATTACAGGCGTGAGCCACTGCAGCTGGCCTTTTCTTTTTTTTTCTTTTACCCAGAAACTAAGGTCACAGGAACTGTGCGCGTGAAGGATTTGGGTGAGGGAAAGGTTGGAAATCAGACAGAAAATTGAGATCAGATGATGACAAGGTCAAGGTTTGTACTTATTTATTTATTTATTTATTTGATACAGAGTCTCGTTCTGTCTCCCAGGCTGGAGTGCAGTGGTGTGATCTAGGCACTGCAACTTCTACCTTTTGGGTTTAAGCAATTCTTGTGCCTCAGCCTCCTGTATAGCTGGGATTACAGGCATGTGCACCAACACATCCAGCTAATTTTTGTATTTTTAGTAAAGACAGGGTTTCACCATGTTGCCCAGGCTGCTCTCCAACTCCTGATCTCAAGTGATCCGCCCGCCTCAGCTTCCCAAAGTGCTGGGATTACAAGTGTGAGCCACCACGCCCAGCCTGTACTTTTTTTTTTTCTTTAAGAGAAAGGGTCTTGCTCTGTCATCCAGGCTGGAGTGCAGTGGTGCGATCATACCACACTGCAGCCTCAAACTCCTGGGGTCAAATAATCCTCCTGTCTCAGCCTCCCAAAGTGTAGGGACTACAGGCATGTGTCACCATGCCTGGCTAATTTTTAAAATTTTTTGTATAGATGGAGTCTTGCTATGATACCAAGGGATGTAAATATCATTATTATTGGGCCAGGTGCAGTGGCTCACGCCTGTAATCCCAGCACTTTGGGAGGCCGAGGCGGGTGGATCACGAGGTCAGGAATTCGATACCAGCCTGGCCAAGATGGTGAAACTCCATCTCTAGTAAAAATACAAAAATTAGCCAGGTGTGGTGACGCATGCCTGTAGTCCCAGCTACTTGGGAGGCTGAGGCAGAATTGCTTGAACCTGGGAAGCAGTGGTTACGGTGAGCCGAGATCGCGCCATTGCACTCCAGCCTTGGTGACAAGAGCGAAACTCCGTCTAAAAAATATATATATATAATTATTATGATTATTTTTTGAGATGGAGTTTTGCTCTTGTCGCCCAGGCTGGAGTGCAATGGCGCGATCTCGCGTCACCGCAACCTCCGCCTCCCGGGTTCAAGCGATTCTCCTGCCTCTGCCTCCCAAGTAGCTGGGATTACAGGTGCCCACCACCACGCCCGGCTATTTTTTTGTATTTTTTAGTAGAGACGGGGTTTCACCATGCTGGCCAGGCTGATCTTGAACAACTCCTGACTTCACGTGATCCACCTGCCTCGGCCTCCCAAAGTGCTGAGATTACAGGCATGAGCCACCAAGCCTGGCCAAGGGTTTACATATTTTTAATTAAGGAAGACCTGTGCATATTTATAGTATATGGGAGAGGAGCTAAGGGCAAGGGCGAGAGGGAAGATGATAGAGAAGTCCTGGAGGAAGTTGAAAAGGGGAGGCAAGAACATATGCCAAAGGGTGCAACACTTCTTCTGAGTCCAAAAGGAAGGAGTAGGCTGGATGCGGTTGGTAATCCCAGCACTTTGGGAGGCCGAGGTGGGCGGATCACTTGAGGTCAGGAGTTTGAGACCAGCCTGACCAACATGGTGAAACCCCGTCTCTACTAAAAATACAAAAATTAGCTGGGTGTGGTAGCTCATGCCTGTAATCCCAGCTTCTAGGGAGGCTGAGGCAGGAGAATCGCTTGAACCAGGGAGGCAGAGGTTGCAGTGAGCTGAGATCAAGCCACTGCACTCCAACCCGGCAACAGTGCAAGACTCCGTCTCAAAAAAAAAAAAAAAAAAAAAAAAAGAAGGAGTAAAAGTGGAGAGAAATTTTTGAGCGATGAATCAAGTATAGAGACAGACAGAGGGAAAACTTAAAGGGTTCACATGCATGGCCTCAATCTCATAAAGCAGGAATGAAAGGCGTTCTGCAGAGAGCAGAGACATGGGGACAGGTGGAGTGCCTTGATGAATGTGGAAAAGTTTGAATAGTTATCTTGAGGGTGACGGAGTCAATAAAAGACAAAGGATCACAGAGCTGCCCTTAGAGCCCGGTAGTGAGGCTAGTCAGGGAATCTAGGGCTTGGCAAACATGTTCTGGTTATTTTTCTTCCAGCAATACTCCAGAGCCCAGGAGTGAAAAAAAGAGGTGGGGGAAATGGAGCAACGATCATTGGTTTGGGAACTGACCTGTAGGTAGGTAGGTAGGTAAGGGGACAGAATTGAGTAGTTTAGGCTGGGTAAGGAGTCTGATAAAACCAAAAGGGGTCCTAGGTCTTGAGACAAGAAAGGCGAGGTCATGGCAGAGGTGAGAGATGGGTGGTTGTGGTCAAAGCCTGCAGCTCTGAATCATGGAAGTAGGGCTGTCTCTAGTGATTCAAGCTACAAAGTGTGCTCCCATGGGTGCTGCAGGAGCCTGAGGAATGGTGAAGTCAAAGGAAATTGGAGGGCCGGGTTGGTCACCTGTTATCCCTTTGGGAGGCTGAGGTCTGGAGATCGCTTGAGCCCAGGAGTTTGAGACCAACCTGGGCCAACATAGTGAGTGCCCATCTCTAGAAAATATTAGCCGGGTTGCTGGGAGCGTTAACTCACTCCTGTAGTCCCAGCACTTTGGGAGGTCGAGGCAGGAGGATCACTTGAGCCCAGGAGTTTGGTGAGACGCCCATCTGTACCAAAACAACAACAAAATGTATTTAATAACTGGGTGCGGTGGTGTGCACCTGTAGTCCCAGCTACTCAGGAGGCTGAAGCCGGACGGTCGCCAGATCTCAGGAGGTAGAGGCTGCAGTGAGCTGTGATTGTGCCACTGTATTCCAGCCTGGGCAACAAAGGGAGACCTTTCTCAAAAATAAATAAACAGATAAATAAATAAAAAATTAAAAATAAAACAAAGGACATTGGAATTGAGCTTGGGTAATTGTGAGTTGATCAAATTAAATGGCAATTCACAGAAATGTTAATATTAAAAGAAGCCTAGTATAGAGGAAACAAAGGTAGGCTGGGATCTGGAGATCTGGGCTTTATTTGCCGTTCTACTTCAGCAACAAAAATTCGCCGCTTTGGGGAAGACATGACCTTTCTCTGGGGTTGAACCAGAAGACTTCCCAGGACTCTTCCTGCTCCAAAAGATAGGGCTTTTTAGGATAACAGCGAGGGACTGGGTCATGACGAGGACTCCTCCTGCCGGTCTCTCTCTTTCCAGAAAGGCTTCCGGAACCTTTCTGCATTGCCTTCTGCCCGGACGTGCGGAAGCGAAGGCCGGAAGTCCTTAGCCGGTAGCTTCCGGGTTTCCTGGGCTACTACGATGGCGATGAGTTTCGAGTGGCCGTGGCAGTATCGCTTCCCACCCTTCTTTACGTGAGGCTCAGACCCCAAGAAGCACCGCTGTGCCTCCCTCCCCTCCCCCGGACCCTGGGCTCAGCCCTGATGCTTCATATGGGGAGGGGGAGAAAAGACCCGTCGGCCAACACCCTCAGTCCCTTACTTTCTTCCTGAAATGCGTCCCGGGCAAGTGCTGCCTCCCGCCCTCTAATTCTGCGCCCCACTCCCTTCACCCGGCAGGTTACAACCGAATGTGGACACTCGGCAGAAGCAGCTGGCCGCCTGGTGCTCGCTGGTCCTGTCCTTCTGCCGCCTGCACAAACAGTCCAGCATGACGGTGATGGAAGCTCAGGAGAGCCCGCTCTTCAACAACGTCAAGCTACAGCGTATCCTCCCTCAGGCTCTTCCACAGCCCATACACATGCACTTCTGCGCTTTCACACATGCCCAGACGCCCCCCCGCGCCAGCCCCCTTTTACCCATGGTAGGCAGATTCCCACCCAAACTGGACTTAAAGAGTGAAAATGTGTAGCTGACATTTTCCCCTGGCAAATGCAGTACCATACCCTCTTGTTCTTGGCAGTGATGACTGCTCGGATGTCATTAAGGTCTTAGAATTTCTGCCCTGAAGCCAAGTTCCAAGTTTTTTAACCTAAACCCTTTTGACTATTTGTATCTTCCATCCTTTTCTGTGTGAGGCCCAGACTTGGGTAACTACCTTTAATTATTTTCTCTGCCCCCCTCCTGCCAGGAAGTAAGGGTCATTTGTTTTTGCTGCCTGATTCATCCCTAAAATATCTGTGGAGAAAGGCTGAAGGAAGGCAACAGACAGAGGGTGAGGAATGACAGTACCTTTCATTTTCTAAAGCTTCTTTCTTTCTTTTTTTTTTTTTTTTTTGGAGACAGGGTCTTCCTCTCTTGCTCAGGCTGGAATGCAGTGGCACAATCACATAAAGCTCCTTTTAATTGGAAGAGTTTCTCTTTACCTTCCTCCTTTGAATATCCAGGAAATGCCAATTCATATCATGTTGGGAAATTGCACACATATGTGTGTGGGAGAGGAAGGGGCAGGTGTTTCTCAACATGGGACTGGCTCTGAAAATTTTTATCCTACCCAACTCATGTGTATGCCGTTCCCTTAACCTTAAACCAGGAAAGCTTCCTGTGGAGTCGATCCAGATTGTATTAGAGGAACTGAGGAAGAAAGGTGGGTTCAGTTCCCCAGATTCCTTATTTTTCTTCCTAGTTGGGTTTTCCTGAGGGCAAATTAGGATAAGTCTTTTTCCCTTTAATAACTTTTTCTCTCTCCTGGCTTGAAGGCCAGAGTCTTCTGTAAAGTAGGCAGCCCAATTCCCAAGTCCTTTCTTCTTTGTACACAAAATTGAAATCTCTGTCTGTGCCCTAAACCTGAAGAGAAGTGGAAGAAGGATGAGTGCCTTGTAGATAATAATAGTAAAATAAATATTGAATCTTTCTTTCTGAAAGCTGAGTCTCTTCCACTCTGTCCCACCTTGGTATTTTTTTGCCTCTTTGTTTCTTTTTAGTTCATGATACTTTTTTTTTGGGTGGGGAGATAAGGTCTCACTCTGTCATCCAGGCTGGAGTGCAGTGGCTCAGTCCTATCTCACTGCAGCCTCGACTCCCAGGCTCAAGTGATCCTCCCATCTCAGCCTCCTGAGTAGTTGAGACCTCAGGCATGTGTCACCACACACCTGGCTAATTTTTTGTATTTTCTATAGAGAGAATTTTTTTGTATTTTCTGTAGGGTCTCATCATGTTGCCCAGGCTAGTTTCGAACTCCTGGGCTCAAGCAGTCCTCCCGCCTTGGCCTCCCAAAGTGTAAGCCACTGCGCGCCTGGTTATGCTTTCATAAGTATCTGTTTTACAGGGAACCTCGAGTGGTTGGATAAGAGCAAGTCCAGCTTCCTGATCATGTGGCGGAGGCCAGAAGAATGGGGGAAACTCATCTATCAGTGGGTGAGATCATTATTCTGCCAAGTATTCAACAGTGACCCATGGAAAAGGTTAACTATATTAGGGCCTAGCAGATAGCCGGTGTTCCCAGATCCAGACTGAGCAAAATGGGGAGGGGGCAGAAAGAGGAAGTGTAGGCCTTCTAGGGAAACCTCTTTAAGTGACTCAATGTCTTTGGCTGCATAGAACCTCCCTTTCTTTGCCTGTAGGAGGCCGGGGGCTATGTGAGGCCATATTTGGAGAATGCAGAACTGGGAACCCTGAGTGCTATTGTTGGCTGGAGCCTCTGGCCACAGGAGATAAATGGGGAAAGGAAGGGAAAAAACCTGGGGCCCCTCCCCCACTGCACTGTTATGGGACTGTCCACAACATGAATGAGATATTCTGAATCAGTGTGGGTGTGGGGACAGAATACTCTTCCCCCTAAACCACCAGTCCCAAACATTCCCAAGGAAGAGAAGAGGGTAAGAAGCATCAACATTCTAAATATAACAAATACACACCATCCATTCTTGAACAGGAAAACAACCAGAATGAGAGGTCAAGGTCACTCCTCAGACACGTGAAGACCTGTGGTTTAGTGGTTCCAAATGAGTGTGTACACATATAAATATAGCACTTGTAGGGTTTATGGCTTTTAGGCCACTCTGCAGAGGCGACAGTGAGTCCTGGTTTGGGAATAGGTATCATTCCTGGATCAGAGGGGTGGAGCTGATGAATTTACTGTCTCCCAGGAGATTCTTGGTTCTAATTCACTCCTCATTTTCTGTATTCACAGGTTTCCAGGAGTGGCCAGAACAACTCCGTCTTTACCCTGTATGAACTGACTAATGGGGAAGACACAGAGGATGAGGGTAATGCCTTTCCCTTCCCACTCATAGTTAATTTTTTGTTTTGTTTTGTTTTGTTTTTCCGATATGGAGTCTTGCTCTGTCACCCAGGCTGGAGTGCAATGTTGCAATCTCGGCTCACTGCAACCTCCGCCTCCTAGGTTGAAGCGATTCTCCTGCCTCAGCTTCCTGAGTAGCTGGGATTACAGGTGTGCGCCACCACGCCTGGCTAATTTTTTGTATTTTTAGTAGAGATGGGGTTTCACCATGTTAGCCAGGTTGTTCTTAAACTCCTAACCTCGTGATCCGCCTGCCTTGGCCTCCCAAAGTGCTGGGATTAGAGGCGTGAGCCACTGTGCCCCGCCTGTTTTTTTTTTTTTTTTTTTGAGACAGAGTCACTGTATCCCAGGCTGGAGTGCAGTGGCGCAGTCTCTGCTCACTGCAACCTCCGCCTCCTATGTTCAAGCGATTCTAAGTTCTTAACCCATGTCCAAGGATTCCATAAGCCACCTGAATTCACATGCAAAAAATCCCAAATTTTGTTTTTGTGGATGCATGTGCATTTTTCTAGGGATAGAT
Organism: Homo sapiens; assembly: GCF_000001405.40. Lineage (NCBI taxonomy): Eukaryota > Metazoa > Chordata > Mammalia > Primates > Hominidae > Homo > Homo sapiens. The sequence goes on from NC_000017.11 coordinate 42,776,876, forward strand.
TAGATATTACAAGATTTCCAAGGGCATCTATGACCCATGAAAAGTTAAGAATTTCACTTTCAGCTGGGCACAGTGGCTCGTGCCTGTAATCCTAGCACTTTGGGAGGCTAAGGTGGGAGGATTGCTTGAGGTCAGGAGTTTGAGACCAGCCTGGGCAACACAGGGAGATCCTGTCTCTACAAAAAATTTAAAAATCAGCTGGGCATGGTGCTGTGCACCAGTAGTCTCAGTTACTCAGAAGGCTTAGGTGGGAGGATCACTTGAGCCCAGGAGGTCAAGGCTGCAGTGAGCTATGATCACGCCACTGCACTCCAGCCTGGGCAACAGAGCGAGATGCTATCTTAAAAAATAACAATAGGCCGGGTGCAGTGGCTCACGCCTGTAATCCCAGCACTTTGGGAGGCCGAGGCAGGTGGGTCACCTGAGGTCAGGAGTTCCAGACCAGCCTGGCCAACATAGTGAAACCCCGTCTCTACTAAAAATACAAAAATTAGCCGGGCATGGTGGTGCATGCTTGTAATCTGAGCTACTTGGGAGGCTGCAGCAGGAGGATCGCTTGAACCCGAAGGCAGAGGTTGCAGTAAGCCAAGATCGCACCACTGCACTCTAGTCTGGATGACAGAGCGAGACTCCGTCTCAGAAAATAAAAATAATAACAATAAAAAAAATTATAAATAACTTTCTTCATTCAGCATCTGCTATAGATGCCGAATGAGAAACAAGGGCAGGGGATTAAGCTTGAAATCTCATTCCTTGCTGACTCAGGCTCTCTTTCACCCTTTATTCTTATAGAGGGCTCAAGATCTGTGGGTGTCAGCTGAAGAGATTAGGCCAACACCCCCAGCCCATTTATATACTTTGGTTTCTGGCCAGGCAAGGATTTGTATAGTGTTTGATTTTTACATAGCGTAAACACTCTTAGTTCTTTTTCTCCGACTCCAGATTCTGATCCTCTGGATCACCACAAGTTTCGATCTTAGCTGGGATAACAGAGGGTGTCTCCCCTTTCTGCCAGGCCCTGGCTGCCCTAGCAGAGTTTATAGCTCTTGGCTGTTCCCCCTGCTGCCCTGCAGGTCTCTGCTTGCTACTCCCACCATCACCCCATGATTTCAGCACTGTAGCCTTGCCTAGCCCACCACTCAGGTTGGGCAAAGTTGTAGGTTTCCTCAGAAAGCAAGCTCCCTGACTTAGCTGAGCCCCCACAGGGGGTGAGGTAAGCAAGCCTGTCAGGGCTTGCCTGCTGCCTCCCACATCTCCCTGCAGTATCTTACCATATCTCCACATACTCAGCTAGCCATAGGCTCCCCAATTTTTTTGGTTTTTTTTTTGAGACAAAGTCTTGCTCTGTCCCCCAAGCTGGAGTGCAGTTGCACGATCTTGACACTGCAACCTCCACCTCCCGGGTTCAAGTGATTCTTCTGCCTCAGCCTCCTGAGTAGCTGGGATTACAAGTGACCACCACCATGCCCAGCTAATTTTTTGTAATTTTAGTAGAGACAGGGTTTCTCCATGTTGGCCAGGGTGGTCTAGAACTCCTGATCTCAAGTGACCCTCCCACCTCAGCCTTCCAAAGTTCTGGGATTACAGGCGTGAGCCACCGCGCCTGGCCTGTGCTCCCAGCTAAAAGCTAGAAAAAGGGCAGATAATAGTGCTGGAGTTTAACAGTCTCCTGGCCAGGGGTACTGGCTATATTCTTTGTGTTAGGATAGATCCTCTAGGGTCAGTGTCTAGTGACAATGGCTCCGATCTCCCTAGGCCTGATTTTCACGGCCCCTTTGTGGCCCTGAAGCAGATGGTGTCATTCTCGTGCATCAGACACAAATGCTAGGTGTGGGGGAGGCTGAGTCTGAGAGGAGAACCAAGAAGGGGGAAATAAGCACAAACTCATTTCATGCTGATTCAGGCTTTCTTCCACCCCTTACTCCTAAGGAGTGCCTGGGAAGTGTGGATGGCAGCTGTAGCAGTATAGATGGCTTATGCATACCCTGCCTCTGGGAGGTCTCGGCTTCCAGCCAGAGCACTCTCCTCAGAGGCCTTGGGCCTCAGGAGCTGATTGTCTCTGCCTATCTCTCCCTGTTCAGAGTTCCACGGGCTGGATGAAGCCACTCTACTGCGGGCTCTGCAGGCCCTACAGCAGGAGCACAAGGCCGAGATCATCACTGTCAGCGATGGCCGAGGCGTCAAGTTCTTCTAGCAGGGACCTGTCTCCCTTTACTTCTTACCTCCCACCTTTCCAGGGCTTTCAAAAGGAGACAGACCCAGTGTCCCCCAAAGACTGGATCTGTGACTCCACCAGACTCAAAAGGACTCCAGTCCTGAAGGCTGGGACCTGGGGATGGGTTTCTCACACCCCATATGTCTGTCCCTTGGATAGGGTGAGGCTGAAGCACCAGGGAGAAAATATGTGCTTCTTCTCGCCCTACCTCCTTTCCCATCCTAGACTGTCCTTGAGCCAGGGTCTGTAAACCTGACACTTTATATGTGTTCACACATGTAAGTACATACACACATGCGCCTGCAGCACATGCTTCTGTCTCCTCCTCCTCCCACCCCTTTAGCTGCTGTTGCCTCCCTTCTCAGGCTGGTGCTGGATCCTTCCTAGGGGATGGGGGAAGCCCTGGCTGCAGGCAGCCTTCCAGGCAATATGAAGATAGGAGGCCCACGGGCCTGGCAGTGAGAGGTGTGGCCCCACACCGATTTATGATATTAAAATCTCAACTCCCACTGCCTGCCTCTTAAATTACTACAGTACTGGAATGGGGATGGGGAGGGCTGTGAAGTGTTGCCACCTGAGTAAATCCCAGCCTGGGAGAGGGGAGAGAAAAGAAAGCTTATGGCTTTTGTAGAAGAAAAGGTCCTCCAGGGCCCTGTGGGCTCCAGTGAGCCTGTGGTTTTACATCTGCTGGGTGGGCTGTGTGGAGGAGTGCTGATGGAACACAGCTTGGGGACAGACTGCTTTCTCTCTGAATTGGAGTCACTTAAGGGCTCCCCCTTCCCTCACCATCTCCCTCATGGAAGTCCTGAACTACTCTGAAGCCCCTCCCTCCACCCATCTGGTCTGGGTGGGGTAACTGTGGCCAAGGGGAGCTGAGGGGGGTAAGCCGGATGTGGACTTTGGTTTATTGGAGACTGGCAAACAGAAGGGGAGGAAGGAGAGCCCATATAGCAAAAACAGCCACTCTGGCCAGGGTTAGGCTGCGGCCAAGGTGGCCTGGAGGGGATGGATGACCGGGCTCTCGGTTTGGGGGAGGGACTTATCCTGGGGAGTACACACCCATTCCCTATGCAGACCAGAGGGACAACAACGTCAGACCTTTCCACTGACCTCTCCGTTCGGCCTGGGGCTACTCCGGACAGTTAGGAGGGGGTGGTGCTGCCTTATCTGGGGTGTGCAGGAGGGTGGTAGCCTCCCCCTAAGTAATCCCCCACTAGGGTCCGGGTGTCGTTCTCTCCTGCCCTCCTCCGCGCACAAACAGGTTTGCTCACTCTTAGTGCGGGAGGATGCTCCGCGGTCTCCCACTCAGTTCTGGCCTCAGAGTGAGACTGCGGCCGGGGGCTCGGGAAAGAAGGGGACGCGGCTGGGCGGGGCGGTGACTAAGGTGAGGGGCTGCTCGCGGGATCCGCACCGCGGGAGCAGCTCGGAGGGGCGGCCCTGGGGGGCAAGGGCGGGCCGCGGGGCGGCGACGGGGGCGGGGCCAGGCCGAGCTGGGGGCTGGGGCCGCAGCCGCTCAGCCGGAGCGCAGCGCACCCAGCGAGTCCGTCTGTCAGGCCGCCTCCTCTCCGGCCGTCTGATTTTCTACCCTTCGGCGCCCTGCTCTTCCTCATGTTGGCATCCCCGGCCACGGAGACCACCGTCCTCATGTCCCAGACTGAGGCCGACCTGGCCCTGCGGCCCCCGCCTCCTCTTGGCACCGCGGGGCAGCCCCGCCTCGGGCCCCCTCCTCGCCGAGCGCGCCGCTTCTCCGGGAAGGCTGAGCCCCGGCCGCGCTCTTCTCGTCTCAGCCGCCGTAGCTCAGTCGACTTGGGGCTGCTGAGCTCTTGGTCCCTGCCAGCCTCACCCGCTCCGGACCCCCCCGATCCTCCGGACTCCGCTGGTCCTGGCCCCGCGAGGAGCCCACCGCCTAGCTCCAAAGAACCCCCCGAGGGCACGTGGACCGAGGGAGCCCCTGTGAAGGCTGCGGAAGACTCCGCGCGTCCCGAGCTCCCGGACTCTGCAGTGGGCCCGGGGTCCAGGGAGCCGCTAAGGGTCCCTGAAGCTGTGGCCCTAGAGCGGCGGCGGGAGCAGGAAGAAAAGGAGGACATGGAGACCCAGGCTGTGGCAACGTCCCCCGATGGCCGATACCTCAAGTTTGACATCGAGATTGGACGTGGCTCCTTCAAGACGGTGTATCGAGGGCTAGACACCGACACCACAGTGGAGGTGGCCTGGTGTGAGCTGCAGGTGCGGCTGGGAGCCCCCTCGGTGGCACCTTGGGATGGGACTCTGGAGGTCTTAGGATGACAGACAGAGGGTGGGGGAGACAGCATCAAGGGAAGCATGTATTTTTCCAGTCAAATGTCTATAGACACCTCTGCTGTCTTTGCCCTGAATGATCTGGCTGACTCTGGGCTGCAGAAGGAGAGATTGAGGCAGGTGGTGTCTGGTGACTCCCCCATGGGTATGAACATTCTCACTTTAAAGTCTCCATACTCAACCCTGAGAGGTGGAAAATAGGATGGGAAGTTAGGCAGGGGAGCCAGTTCAGGTCAGTTTCCTGCTGGTGGGTACCCGCAATCCCTTCCTCTCCCCTAAGTCCTGAGATCCTCAGTTATGACCCTGGTCCTCTTGATCCCCTCACTCCTCCCGTCCCCCACCTATTTGCAGACCAGGAGGCTGGGATGCGGGAAGCCAGGAGCTGGGCAAGGGTCATCTCCAACTCCAGAAGATTTAGGGCAGTTGTGGCAGAATAGGGCCCCCTAACCCCTTCTGGAGCAGTCAGACTTCTGGACTTCTCCACAGCTGCGAGGAGGGGGACATAGGGAGCTCCAGCTCTCGAGTGAGTCCAGTTCTGCTCCTCATCCCACTGCCTACCTGTGCTCTCCCTTCCCAGACCTAAAGGCACTAAGCCCATGGGCTTTAGGGGGACCTTCCTCCCATTGCTCCCATGCTACATATGGGTTAGGAGAACCCAGTCAACTTGGGGCCTGAAGCTTCCGATTCAGATCAGGGGACAGAGCCTAGGGGAAGGGTCCCTCTCCAGCCCTGGCACAGGGCTCGCCCCTTGCGCCTGCCAGTGCCGCGCCCCAGGCTCTGGGCCAGGCCAGGAGAGGCAGCCAAATTGGGGGGTGAGGGGAGGGAGAGGAGCCGGGGCGGGACGACTATGGGGGTGGGCAGCCTCCTGGCGCCTAGTCCTGGATCTTTTCTTTCCTTCTCAGTACCTCCCTCCATATCCCTCCCGCCTTCCGTCTGGATCTAGCAGTTCTGTTTCTGGGGCCAACCCCCTTGCCGGCCCCAATTCCCTGCCCGCAGTATCCTGCTGCCCGCCTGCTGCCTGCTCACTGCCAGCCCCCGGGTGCCCCCTCCCGCCCCATGGCCGGCCTGGGCAGCCACAAAGGCACTATTGAGCTCAGGGCTCTGGGACCGGGCTGCATAAAGGTGCTTGTGTCCAGCAGGGGGTCTAGGGGGCTGCCCCAGGCCCAGGTTGGGTGTGTCCTTGGATCAGCTTACGTGCGGGACTGTTGGAGAGTTCAGGGTCTGCAGCCCACTGGGCAAGTAATCCCATTAACCCCACCCCATCTGTGGGCTCCAACCCTCACCTCTTCCCCCAACCCCACTCCAGGTGTCCCTCTTCCTTTCTGTGGGTGTCCTGGGCCTGACATGACACCCGTCCCCCATCCCACAGACTCGGAAACTGTCTAGAGCTGAGCGGCAGCGCTTCTCAGAGGAGGTGGAGATGCTCAAGGGGCTGCAGCACCCCAACATCGTCCGCTTCTATGATTCGTGGAAGTCGGTGCTGAGGGGCCAGGTTTGCATCGTGCTGGTCACCGAACTCATGACCTCGGGCACGCTCAAGACGTGAGCTCTGCGCATGAGTGGGTGGGGAGAGGGAGGCTGGGATGTGTGCCCACTGCTTCCTGAACTCCCAGGCTCCTCAAACTCTCTAATATCCAGGTGTAAAACCAGGTTCACCATCTCCCTCTCACCCAACCTTTGTCCCTGCCTCGGTGAGTGGCAATGTCCACCCAGCACTCCAGTAAAATACTTGGGTGTCTCCCCAGACTCCTCTTTCTCCACTCTGCCCCCTCATCAGTCTGTCCCCAAGTCTTTCCTTAACCTCTCCCCACCTGGCTTTCACTGCTTCATCCATGCCACCACCTCAATGCCATCTCGCTGATCTGGAGCCCTGCAGCAGCCTCCTAAAGGGCCTTCCCAAACTCTGCCACCCTCTAAGCGATCCTATCTTCCTGCAGCCTGGAGAATCTTTCCCAGTTGAAAATCTGAACTGTCACTCCCCTCCTTAAAACCCCTTCAAAGTTTCTCATGGCCTTGGAATAAAGCCCACACAGGCTCACCTGTTCACAAAGTCCTTAGGATACAGCCTCACTTTCAGCCTAAGCTCCAGACACACCAAATTCCTGGCACCTCCTCCCACCCTGCCTTGTCACTGGCTTTTTCTGTGCCTTTGAGCACGGTGTCCTGTCTGCCTGGGAAGTCTCCATCCCTTCCCCCTTTCACCTTTGAGCTCCTACTCATCATTCAAGATGCAACACAAAAGTATTTCCTCTCCGAAGCTCTCCCTCATGCTTGGGGCAGTTAGTCATCCCTTCCTGCGCTCCCACAGCACCTTGGCCGAGGCCCTATCTATCAATTTACTTCCCAACCCGTTTGGTAACGTCATGTCTATCCACCATGCCCCCTGACTCAGTTTCTCCCTGGGGCCGGGCAGACATAGGCTAGGAGAATGCTGGCAGAAGATGCGGAGGCGGCAGCAGGGTGCGGCAGGGGGGAACTTCCCAGTGGGGGGCTCCTTCCCGGAGGACGTGTCCCCCCACCAGGACTCTGGCTATGCGCCCTCCCCCAGGTACCTGAGGCGGTTCCGGGAGATGAAGCCGCGGGTCCTTCAGCGCTGGAGCCGCCAAATCCTGCGGGGACTTCATTTCCTACACTCCCGGGTTCCTCCCATCCTGCACCGGGATCTCAAGTGCGACAATGTCTTTATCACGGGACCTACTGGCTCTGTCAAAATCGGGGACCTGGGCCTGGCCACGCTCAAGCGCGCCTCCTTTGCCAAGAGTGTCATCGGTGCGTCTCTCCAGGAGGGTCCATGCCATTCCTTCCTCCCCCACCTCAGAAGAGAACCTGGGGACTCCCTCCCCTCAGCAAGGGCCTTCAAGGTCCACAAAACTACCAGACGACAGGGAAGCTGAGGAGACCTATGGCACCCACCTCAACCCCACTGTGGGCCGGGGTCACTTGCACTCGCAGGGTTGCCTGGGGCTGCCTAGCCCAGTGGGAAGGACGAGGCCAGAGTGCCCAGCAATCTGATCCCTGCTGTGGACCCTACAGGGACCCCGGAATTCATGGCCCCCGAGATGTACGAGGAAAAGTACGATGAGGCCGTGGACGTGTACGCGTTCGGCATGTGCATGCTGGAGATGGCCACCTCTGAGTACCCGTACTCCGAGTGCCAGAATGCCGCGCAAATCTACCGCAAGGTCACTTCGGTGAGAGGGATGGGGCTGGCGGGAAAGGCAATTCCAGGGCCACTTCCCCTTTTCCTGCGCCGGCCAGCCCGCAGTCAATGCCCTTTGCCTGCACGAAAACAGGCTAGACACAGAGTCGCCTTGGTGAACACAGAAGGATATTGAGTGCACACGCGCCCCCACCAGTACACGCTATTTAGAATAATAATATGTGTGGTGCTCCCAAGAGTTCACAAATGATTTCGCATCCCATCTCTCATCCAATCCTTCCAGCTGCCCTGTGAGGTGAGCGGGGCAAATGTTCCACCCTGCGATTTACAGATGAACAAACAGCGGGAGACTTGTTCAAGATCACACTGTAAATACTTGGGGGGGGGGCGGGGATTAGGATTTGAAATCACATCTTCCAGTAGCAGTCAGGCTTTTGCAACTGCACGCGCAGCTGCCTAAGGAGGGAGTGGAGTAAGGGGTGGGGGGTGGTGTCAAGCCGAGAGCTGGGGATCAGAGGACGGGAGGTGTCATGCAACCCCTTCCCCAGGGCAGAAAGCCGAACAGCTTCCACAAGGTGAAGATACCCGAGGTGAAGGAGATCATTGAAGGCTGCATCCGCACGGATAAGAACGAGAGGTGGGGGTGAAAGGGCAGAGCGTGGGTAGAATAGGGCCGCGGGCCGCGGCGGGCTCGGCTCACCCACGCGTCACCCTCAGGTTCACCATCCAGGACCTCCTGGCCCACGCCTTCTTCCGCGAGGAGCGCGGTGTGCACGTGGAACTAGCGGAGGAGGACGACGGCGAGAAGCCGGGCCTCAAGCTCTGGCTGCGCATGGAGGACGCGCGGCGCGGGGGGCGCCCACGGGACAACCAGGCCATCGAGTTCCTGTTCCAGCTGGGCCGGGACGCGGCCGAGGAGGTGGCACAGGAGATGGTGAGCGGAGGACAGACTGTGCTGCCACTGGACGTGTAAAGGACATTGACTCGAGGGGACAGTGCAACAGGGATGGGGCGCAGGAGGGGTGGCAGCGATGGGGGCGGGGCACCTCACCCCTCTCAAAATCTCCTGCAGCGTCTCCCTACCTCTCCAGCCCTAACTTACCCGCACGCACACCCAGTTTTCCTTTACAGAGGGAGCCCTGGGTCCTCCAGCGTCCCTGCTTTACCTCCAGCTGATCTGTTCTTCCTGGGATGCCCTTCTTGCCAATTCATCTTTTCCTTCTTTCCTCCCTCCCCATTTTTCTTTTTCTTTTTCTTCCAATATGATCAGAACCATCGATTTCGGGAAGCCGTCCCCTTTGGAGTCAAACTTAAATGCTTCTTTCCACTTCAGCATGTTCTCGGTTACAGCACTCCCCACTATCGGTCCTGTCTTAAACCTGAATAAGTTCCTATCTTTCTTCTCCACTAGACTATAAACTCCCTGAGGGCAGAGACTGTGTTTTATCGATTCTTCTATCCCTGGCAGTGCTTGGCACATAGTAAGAGCTCATTAATAGCCTACATCTGTACATGGCTTAAAGCACTTTCACATGCATTTGATCTTTGCTACCCATCCTGCATAGGGGGCAGTTTTATCTCAACTTGTTGATGAGGAAATGGAAATTCAGAGAGGTTGAATACCTTGTCCAGGGCCCCAAGTAAGTAAGTGGAAGAGCTGGATTGAAACTGAGGTGGTTCAGATTTTAAATCAGGTTACCCTTCCCCACCTCCTTTACTCATTCAGCAAAGCTTGCGGCTAAAAGGAATGAGGAGGTGATGAATGGAAGCTGGTAGAAGGGGAGAGGCATAAGATGCAAGGGCAGAAGCTTGGGGGCTGGCTTAGGAAGTCCTGAAGGGAGTATGGGATTCTTTTTTTGGGAGTAATGGAGTCTCACTCTGTCACCCAGGCTGGAGTGCAGTGGCGCTATCTCAGCTCATTGCAACCTCCGCCTCCTGGGTTCAAGCAATTCTCCTGCCTCCGCCTCCTGTGTAGCTGGGATTACAGGCAAAAGCCACAACGCCCAGCTAATTTTTGTATTTTTAGTAGGAACGGGGTTTCACCATGTTGGCCAGGCTGGTCTCGAACTCCTGACCTCAAGTGACCCACTAGTCTTGGCCTCCCAAATTGCTGGGATTACAGGTGTGAGCCACCGTGCCTGGCCGAGTATGGGATTCTTAATAGAGACATGACAGTTGCAAGGGTGGAGACCACCTACGGTAGGTCAAGAATCTGAGAATGTGTTAGAAATTTAGAGCAGGTCTCCATAGCACGGCCCAACCTGACCTGAGATCAAATCTTGATCCATTGCTGACAAGGGATTCTTGGCCTTGGCACTGTTGACATGTTTGTTTTAGGGACTGTCCTGTGCATTGTAGGATGTTGAGAAGAACCCCTGGCTTCCGCTCACTAGATTCAGTAGCACCTACCCTCCAGTTGTGGCAACTAAAAATGTCTCTAGATAGTGCCAAACATCTCTTCTTCCCATTGGAAACCACTGACTTACTGTATAACTATGAACCAGCTACTTCATTAATCTCTAAAAATCGAATGGTAAGATTTATCCCACAAGGTTGTTTGGAGGATCTAGTGATGATAATGTAAGGAGCTGCCAGTTAACAGACATAGTGGGTAATCAGTAAGTGTTGGTTTTCTTCCTCCCATATCCTGGAGTTCCCAAGAAGGCGTCCTGATGGATCTTTGATAGGGGGTCCCAAGCTGTGTTCCTCATCCCCCACCCCAATTCCAGGTGGCTCTGGGCTTGGTCTGTGAAGCCGATTACCAGCCAGTGGCCCGTGCAGTACGTGAACGGGTTGCTGCCATCCAGCGAAAGCGTGAGAAGCTGCGTAAAGCAAGGGAATTGGAGGCACTCCCACCAGAGCCAGGACCTCCACCAGCAACTGTGCCCATGGCCCCCGGTCCCCCCAGTGTCTTCCCCCCTGAGCCTGAGGAGCCAGAGGCAGACCAGCACCAGCCCTTCCTTTTCCGCCACGCCAGCTACTCATCTACCACTTGTAAGTCACCCCTGATCTTGAGACGTAGGTCCCAGAACACCTTGGCCTCTGCCCCCTACCCAGAAGTTCACCCCCACAGCAGTCACTTACCCTGCCTTCCACCTCTAGCCATGAAGCTCCCTCCAGGAAGGAACTCTCCCACAGCTCCAGGCCCCTCCTTGCTTAGGCAGGCCCCATCCTCTGCCACTATTCCCTTTTATTTCCCCTTTTTTTGATCCTCTCCCTCCCCAACCAGCGGATTGCGAGACTGATGGCTACCTCAGCTCCTCCGGCTTCCTGGATGCCTCAGACCCTGCCCTTCAGCCCCCTGGGGGGGTGCCATCCAGCCTGGCTGAGTCCCATCTCTGCCTGCCCTCGGTGAGAGGGGGTCGCATGGGGGGCTCCCAGCCATTCCAAGCCTATGACCTATCTCCCTCCTTGTGAAACCCAATCTCATGATCCAGTCCCATGTCCCTGGAAATCCACCATTCTTGCCCTCCTCTTCCCTAATTCCATCTCCCTAATATCCTCCCAGCATCCTTGACACCATCTCCCTAGATCTCAACAGTTATCTTCCCCTGACCTCATGAACCCTTATCCTGTTTCAGGCTTTTGCCCTATCCATTCCACGTTCTGGCCCTGGAAGTGACTTTTCCCCCGGGGACAGGTATGTTCTGGTACAAGTTGGGGTGCCAGGGTGAGACACCTGGGGCACTGGGGTCCCAGTGTCTGCTCTGACAGTCATTCTCTCTCCTTTCTCTTTAACAGCTATGCCTCAGATGCAGCTTCAGGCCTTAGCGATGTGGGAGAAGGGATGGGACAAATGAGGAGACCCCCAGGGAGGAATCTCCGGCGCAGACCCCGATCCCGGCTGCGGGTCACTAGTGTAAGGATGGAGTACAGGAGATAGAGAGTAACCTACAGGGCCAGGAGGGAAGTGTCAGGGGGAGGCGGGGGAGGTCACCCAGAAAACGGGAGAAGCAGTGTATGACTAGTACTCAAGAGGCGGCCAGTCTGGTTTCTAATACCAGACTTTAGAGGTGGGGTCTACTTATCTCCAAGTCCATTGTGGCTGCTGTCACTTGGCTGGGGTAGGGTGGAGACACAGCATGATGAAGAGGGCTTGACCTTCTCCCCTCTGCTGACTTTGAATCTGAAGGTCTCAGACCAGAATGACAGAGTGGTTGAGTGCCAGCTACAGACCCATAACAGCAAGATGGTGACCTTCCGATTTGATCTGGATGGGGACAGCCCGGAAGAGATTGCAGCTGCCATGGTGAGGGGGAGAGAGATGAGGACAGAGTGTTTGGATCTGGAACAAGAGTCTCCTTCCTGATGTCCGCTGGGGCTGAAACCCACTGATCCGACAGCAAGCATTTTTAAATCTCTGGTTGACACTTAGCACAGTAACGCTGAAGATGTCTCAGCCCTTGTTTTGGGGGAGATTTCTGTTTATCCAGTGAGGTTTGGCTTCTCAGCTGGAGCAATTTGAGACTCACATTGACCGGGTACACACAAGTGCTACGTATAAGTGCCTGGTAGATGTGCAATACTGTGGCTGTAGGTGAAGGATGGACTGGGCAGCAGGGGCAATGAGCTTACCCAGGATCTTGGCAAATGGGCAAGAAAGGCTGTGAAGGGTGGAAAGGCCATGAAGGGTGTCCCTGTGCAGGGACAGCATAAGCAAAGGCATTCCAAGTAGAGAGTGTCTTGGAATATGGGGCTGGGAGGGCTTCATGAGGAAACCACTATCACTGGAAGTAAAGATTCCTATAGGAGAGTTGTGGGGAGTGAAGCCGGGTAGGTAGAGTGGGCCCAGATTGTAGAATAGACAATGTTAAGAGTTAGGCAGAGGCCAGGCGTGGTGGCTCACACCTGTAATCCCAGCACTTTGGGAGGCCGAGGCCGAGGCAGGCAGATCACCCGAGGTCAGGAGTTCAAGACCAGCTTGGCCAACATGGTGAAACCCCGTCTCTACTAAAAAATACAAAAATTAGCTGGGTGTGGTGGCGCATGCCTGTAGTCCCAGCTACTTGGGAGGCTGAGGCAGGAGAATTGCTTGAACCCGGGAGGCGGAGGTTGCAGTGAGCCGAGATCACACCATTGCACTCCAGCCTGGGCGACAAGAGTGAGATTCTGTCTAAAAATAAATAAATAAATAAATAAATAAATAAATAAATAAATAAATAGAGAGGCAGAGCAGGCTAGGTCCAGTGGCTCACACCTGTAATCCCAGCACTTTGGGTGGATGAAGTAGGAGGATTGCTTGAGCCCAGGGGTTCAAGACCACCCTGGTAATATAATGAGACCCTATCTCTACAAAAAATTTAAAAAATTAGCCGTGTGTGGCGGCACATGCCTGTCATCCCAACTACTTGGGAGGCTGAGGTGGGAGGATCACTTGAGCCTGGGAGGTCAAGGCTGCAGTGAGCTTTGATCACGCCACTGCACTCCAGCCTGGAAGACAGAGTGAACTTTGTCTCAAAAAAAAACAAAAACAAAAAAACAAAAAGGCACAGTGTAACGTGACAGTAGGCTTTATGAAAATCATCTGCCATGGGATGTGGAAGGGGGAAGGGAAAATACCTGGGAGGTAGACCCAGGAAGCCATCTGTGGACAAAGGAGAGAGTGGCTTATGGGAGGGAAGAGGAGAAAGGGTGAATCTGAGGGTTGTTTCGGGAAAATAAGTTACTCTGTAATCCAGTAACCTATTGACGTAGTAGAGAACATAGTACATAGTAGATGCTCAATAAATATTTGCTGAGTTGATATGATTGGGAGTTAGGGAGAAGGGATGTCAAGGACAACTTGTAGGCCACCAAAGGAGAGTAGGAGAGTAGGCCACCAAAGGAGAGAGGAAATTAGAAATGAAAGAAGGTTTTTTTTAAGGAGGTCATGATGAGCTTGAGTGAAGAAGGGACAGCCAAGACAAGACCCTCCATAGCCATGGATATGGGTCAGGCAGGGCTGGAGAGATGTGGATGGAGGAGTAGTCAGTACAGAGTTGAGAGTGAAGGGAGATGAGCCGGCAAAGCCAGAGACACAGAGGGTTGCAGAGTGTGTCTCAGCGCATACCACCAGTTCTGGAGTGGGAAGCGGGAGGGTAGGTCATCGAAGGACACAGAGACAAAGCCAGAGACGTAGGAGGATGTTAGTCAAAACTGAGTGAGGAGAGAGTTTCAAGGAGGTGGCATAGGATGAATCCTCAGGCAAGACCACACTGGCTTTTGTTAGGAGATCTTTGTGGGAGACCAGTTTCAGTGGAGTGGGGGTGGTGGATGCCAGCCCATGGGGTGAAGGAGGGAAAGGAATGGGAGAAACACCAGGCATCAGGAGCCCTCTCTAAAGCATCTCCTCCATCATGTCATTCACCTTGTGTCCAGGACAAAGACACAATATCACCTGGCACACAAGGCTCATCACCTTCCGTCAAACCACTTGACTCTTTCAGAGTCTTCCATCCAGCCACACTGGTTTCAAAATGGGCCTCTGAAAAGGCTGGGTGCCTTCCTGCCTCTGCCTCCACCTCCTTAAGGGTCTCTCACTCGTAGAGCCTTCTGTATTGGGCTTTCAAGTCCCCTCTGATCCTGCACAGCCAAAGTGACCCCACCCCATGCACCCAGAGTCCTTTGCCCTCTTTTCTCTCCTTACCCAGTCCACCCTCCACTCCTCTGCAGCAGAATTCTCCTGAGACTTGGATCTGATCTCTTGATATTCACCCGAAATTATTTAGTGGCTACTTGTGGTTGTAGAGTAAGGTCCAAATTCCAAAGCCTTTAAAATTCACAGCACATTCAGCTACACTTGAGTCCTCACTATTTTAAGAATAGGCTGTGCCGGGCATGGTGGCTCACGCCTGTAATCCCAGCACTTTGGGAGGCCGAGGCAGGCAGATGACCTGAGGTCGGGAGTTCAAGACCAGCCTGACCAACATGGAGAAACCCCGTCTCTACTAAAAAATACAAAATTAGCTGGGCGTGGTGGCGCATGCCTGTAATCCCAGCTACTTGGGAGGCTGAGGCAGGAGAATCACTTGAACCCAGGAGGTGGAGGTTGCGGTGAGCCACGGTCATACCATTGCACTCCAGCCTGGGCAACAAGAGCGAAACTCTGTCTCAAAAAAAAAAAAAGAAGAAAGAAAGAAAGATTGAATAGGCCGGGCGCAGTGGCTCACACTTGTAATCCCAGCACTTTTGGGAGGCTGAGGCAGGTAGATCACTTGAGGTCAGGAGTTCGAGACCAGCCTGGCCAACATGAAGCCCTGTCTCTACTAAAAATATAAAAATTAGCTGGGCATGGTGCCAGGCAGTCCCAGCTACTCAAGAGGCTGATGCAGGAGAATCTCTTGAACCCAGAAGGTGAGGTTGCAGTGAGCCAAGATTGTGCCACTGCACTCCAGCCTGGGTGATAGAGCAAGGCTCAGTCTCAAAAAAAAAAAAAAATAATAATGTACCATGCCTTTCATGCTTCAAAGCTACTACACTGTTCTCTCTGCCTAGACTGCTCTTCTCTTCCTGATGAACAGCCTGGAATAGAGGAAGGGGTCGCTTTCATGTAATACCTAAGTTCAAACTTCAGCTCTGTTATTTACTAATCCAATGAACTTAGGCAAGTTTCTTAACTCTGTAAACTTCAGTTGCATGTAAGTAAAATGCAGATGATAGTATTTGTTTTGCAAAGATGTTCTGATACGACACAGTGTAATGTAGAAGTGTCCACACATGGTAGGTCCTCAATAGAGATTGCTTTTCTCATCTGTCAATGTTCAGCTCCAAAGACTTACTCTGTGAAACTGCTCCAGCTTCCCCCTATCCCCAGGGTGGTATTCTGTCTTTGGAATAGCATTTTAAAAAATTGTGATTAAAAAACCATAAATATAAAATTTACCACCGTAACCATTTTTAAGTGTACAGTTCAGCAATATTAAGTATATTCACATTGCTGTGAAACAGATCTCCAGGGGTTTTCTTACCTTGCAAATCTGAAACTCTGTACCCATTAAACAACTCTGCCTCTCCACACCCCCATCCCCCCAACCCTGGAACAACATTTCTATCTATATCTCACTTGTAAGTGCCTTACGTATTACGGGCTGCCTTGCAGTAAGTTTAATTACGTATTTATGTGTCTCCTCCACTAAGTTTTGGGCTTCGTTAAGCCTAGGACCTTGTTTCATGCTTCCTTGTATTCCCACAGTACCCAGCACAATGCCAGCACATAGTAGGTGCTCAATAAGTATTCATGGATTTGAATGTGACATTTGCCATTTATTGCCTTATTCTGACTTAACCGTGTGGGATGGGTGTATGTGGGCCTGTGTGTTATACTTTATAAACACTATGGGGCAGAAATTGTGTCCAAAACATGGGAGGCAGCAGTGAAGATAACTCAGGCTCTGGCTTTAGGTAGATGTGGGTTTAAATCCTGTGACCTTAGGCAGACGGAACTTAACCTCTTTGAGCATTGGTTATCTTAATTCTACCATAGCAATATTAATGTGGGCCCCAGAAAGTTACTGGTGGTGTTAAATGTGATAATATACGCAAAGCAGCTGGTATATATACGCATCCTATGAATGTTAGCACCTTTCCTTCTAGGCTGTATTTCTCCTTACACCACACAGTGCCTGGAACACAATAGGTATTTACTTGTTTTAGGTTGGTGGTTGGCAGGAGCAGTAGTGTGAAGGGTGGATTTTTTATTTTTATTTTTTTGAGACGGAGTCTCGCTCAGTCGTCCAGGCTGGAGTGCGGTGGTGTGATCTTGGCTCCACCGTTTCCCAGGTTCAAGTGATTCTCCCGTCTTAGCCTCCCAAGTAGCTGGGATTACAGGTGCCCGCCATCATGCCCAGCTAATTTTTGTATTTTAGTAGAGATAGGGTATCACCATGTTGGCCAGGCTGGTCTTAAACTCCTGACTTCAGGTGATCCGCCCGCCTCGGCCTCCCAAAGTGCTAGGATTACAGGCGTGAGCCACCGCGCCCAGCCTGATGTTTTAAGATCAGAAGCAGGGGGAGAGGGATGAGTGAGATAACAAGCTCTCCCTCCCCATCCTGTTGACCCTCGCAAGGTATATAACGAGTTCATTCTGCCTTCGGAGCGAGATGGATTTCTCAGACGGATTCGGGAGATTATCCAGCGAGTGGAGACCCTGTTGAAGAGAGACACTGGCCCCATGGAGGCTGCTGAAGACACCCTAAGCCCCCAGGTCAGACCCCTTGGTGGACACTTCCAGGGGAAATGGACTCTCTGCTCCAGGGTTTATTACTCTCTGCCCTCAGCGGTCCCCTTGGATTTAACTCCTCTTCATCTCTGGGACCCTAAAACAGTGGCGCTTTTTTTTTTTTTTGAGATGGAGTCTCACTCTGTCGCCCAGGCTGGAGTGCAGTGGCACGATCTCGGCTCACTGCAAGCTCCGCCTCCCGGGTTCACGCCATTCTCCTGTCCCAGCCTCCCGAGTAGCTGGGACTACAGGCGCTCGCCACCACACCCGGCTAATTTTTTTTGTATTTTTAGTAGAGACAGGGTTTCACCGTGTTAGCCAGGCTGGTCTCGATCTCCTGACCTCGTGATCCGCCCTCCTCGGCCTCCCAAAGTGCTGGGATTACAGGTGTGAGCCACCGTGCCTGGCCTAAAACAGTGGCTCTTAGCCCATTTGAGAATATGATGAAAGCCATGGACTCTTGTTCTAGAAAACTTGTTCAATACATACTTTTCTTTTAACTCATTATTTTGAAATAATTTCAGACTTGTGGAGAGAAGTTGCAAGAATTATATAAAGAACCACTGGATACCCTTTGCCCAGATTTGCCACTTGTTAGTGTTTTGCCACCTTAGCGTCATCATTGTCTCTTCCTCTCCCCTCTGTATGTGTGCATACATAATATATTTTTCGGAACCACTTAAGAGTAAGTTGCAGACATCATGCCCTTTTACCTCTATACATTTCAGCACATATGCTTCTGAATCCCTTGAAACTCATGTACAGACTCCTATAGGTTCATGGGTCCTAGCTTAGGAACCCCGGTCTGACACCTTCCATCTCAGACTGCTCTTCCCCACTGTGACTGCGGACTCCTTTTTCTGCCTCAGGAGGAGCCAGCACCATTACCTGCCCTGCCCGTCCCCCTCCCAGACCCATCCAATGGTATGTACTGAGTTGTGTCCTTGCTCATCCCAACCCCTGGGGTTGCTCCTGGGAAGGGCATAGGGCATGTGGGACTGTGGTCTCAACATACCCTCCTTCCCAGAAGAGCTCCAGAGCAGCACCTCCCTGGAGCACAGGAGCTGGACAGCCTTCTCCACCTCCTCATCTTCTCCTGGAACTCCTTTGTCTCCTGGAAACCCATTTTCCCCTGGAACCCCCATTTCCCCAGGTCCCATCTTCCCCATCACTTCTCCCCCATGTCATCCCAGCCCCTCCCCATTCTCCCCCATTTCTTCCCAGGTCTCCTCAAATCCCTCTCCACACCCCACCAGCTCTCCACTTCCATTCTCCTCCAGCACACCCGAGTTTCCGGTCCCACTCTCTCAGTGTCCCTGGAGTTCTCTCCCCACGACTTCTCCACCTACGTTCTCTCCCACTTGTTCTCAGGTCACTCTTAGTTCCCCTTTCTTTCCTCCGTGCCCCTCCACTTCTTCCTTCCCCTCCACCACAGCAGCCCCTCTCCTTTCTCTGGCTAGTGCCTTCTCACTGGCTGTGATGACTGTGGCCCAGTCCCTGCTGTCCCCCTCACCTGGGCTCCTTTCCCAGTCTCCTCCAGCCCCTCCTAGTCCCCTCCCTAGCCTGCCCCTTCCCCCTCCCGTTGCTCCTGGTGGCCAGGAAAGCCCTTCACCCCACACAGCTGAGGTGGAGAGTGAGGTGAGTAGAAAACCAAGAGGGATGATTAGGGAGACTCCACTCTGCACTCTTCCCTTCTCATGGCCCCCCACTTTCTAGGCCTCACCACCTCCTGCTCGGCCCCTCCCAGGGGAAGCCAGGCTGGCGCCCATCTCTGAAGGTAAGGCCTCTGACCACTGACCTTCCCCTGCCATTATCCCTACTCACTGTCTGTCCTGTCACTGCTCTCCTTTCCTCATGCCTTCTTCCTCGTCGCCCTACAGAGGGAAAGCCGCAGCTTGTTGGGCGTTTCCAAGTGACTTCATCCAAGGAACCGGCTGAGCCTCTTCCCTTGCAGCCAACATCCCCCACTCTCTCTGGTTCTCCAAAACCTTCAACCCCTCAGCTCACTTCAGAGAGCTCAGATACAGAGGACAGTGCTGGAGGCGGGCCAGAGACCAGGGAAGCTCTGGCTGAGAGCGACCGTGCAGCTGAGGGTCTGGGGGCTGGAGTTGAGGAGGAAGGAGATGATGGGAAGGAACCCCAAGTTGGGGGCAGCCCCCAACCCCTGAGCCATCCCAGCCCAGTGTGGATGAACTACTCCTACAGCAGCCTGTGTTTGAGCAGCGAGGAGTCAGAAAGCAGTGGGGAAGATGAGGAGTTCTGGGCTGAGCTGCAGAGTCTTCGGCAGAAGTGAGTCTCGGGAGGATGGAGGAGTGAGAGGAGAACCTGGGAGAGCAAGGTGTGTGGCTAGCCCTTTCATGCCCTCCGTGCATCCTCAGGCACTTGTCAGAGGTGGAAACACTACAGACACTACAGAAAAAAGAAATTGAAGATTTGTACAGCCGGCTGGGGAAGCAGCCCCCACCGGGTATTGTGGCCCCAGCTGCTATGCTGTCCAGCCGCCAGCGCCGCCTCTCCAAGGGCAGCTTCCCCACCTCCCGCCGCAACAGCCTACAGCGCTCTGAGCCCCCAGGCCCTGGTGAGACTGCAGTCACCCAGCTTCCATCTTTTCCCTGAGACCCCTTTCTGTCGACTGTTTTTCTCCAGGCCCTGGGGGTCTGCCCCGGGGGAATAGACCCCCTCTCCCCACCTCCCCTTTCCTCACTTAGTGCTCTCCTTCCCCCATCCTGCTCCCAGGCATCATGCGAAGGAACTCTCTGAGTGGCAGCAGCACCGGCTCCCAGGAGCAGCGGGCAAGCAAGGGGGTGACATTCGCCGGGGATGTTGGCAGGATGGTGAGGGCGGGCCCAAGGGAGGGAGAGCCCAGGGAATGGTACCTGGCTGCAGCTTCGCCTTCCTCCCACCTTGGAGGTTTCTTCATCACTTTTTCTTTTCCCTCCAGTGAATTCAGAACAGAAGCCATGTATCTCCCCCACACCAGGGCCCACCATGGAGCTTGTGTTCTCAGAATCTGATGCTTTCTGATCAACAAAACTGAGCAAGGAAGATCCCAACACTGAAGGGGTAGAAGGCCAGGGGGGCATGGAGAGTGCAGCTCCATTATAGTGAAGAGCCAAACATATGTGAACTGTTTGCTGTGTGGAGGTGTTAGTTCTGCTGCCTACCATCTTCATCTCTAGCACCTCCCCTGCCAAGAGTCAACCACTAAGCAATCCCACCCAAGCCTGGATGCTTCTAGAGGGGCCCACTCCCAGCTGGGAGAGTGTAGGGGATATGCTCACACCACATTAGCAGCAACCAATAAAAATGCTGGAAACAAGAACGCCGTGAATCCATATGCCATGCCTTAGGAATTGGGGGAGCAAAGACTTGTGGGGTGAGGCAGGGGAGGATTTAAAAGGGACTTTCTTTTCACAATGGGAGGCAGGGGTGGAAGCTGCCCAGCCCTCTGGCTTCCTGCCATCAGTTAATGAGGAAACTGCAAGGTCAGTGATCCACTTGACTAAGTTAGGATCCCCTCCAGACCCCACCCTAGACCTGTATAGGCAGGTACCAGGGAAAGTTAAAAGAATGAAGACTGCTTGTCTTTCACCCTTCATCCACCTCTCTCTCCCTCCCTCTCTCTGGGGATGGGAAAAGCAGTAGAGTTACAGTATGTTCTTGTGGGTAGAGGACAGAAGAGTGACCTTCCTTCCCCTAAGACGTGGGTTCAGTCTCAAACTGCCCAGTGATCTCTCCCTTAAATCAGGTGGAAAGATCTCATGGAAAAAGTAATTCTAGTTAAACATTTACAGCTCCCTGGGGCAATGCCACCACTGCAGCTACTGCTTGTGAAGCTTTCCAGCATGAAGTGCCATATGCTGCCTCTCAGCCTCCATACTCACTTGACTCCAGGAGAATGACTCAGTTTATTATTCTCAATTTGACCCTATGTATCCCACTGTAGGCTCAAACACTGCACAGAGCTGCCACGTCTAACCTCGTAACAACTGCGTCCCTGGAAGGTGAAGGGGGTAAACCACAAAGTCAGAAACTTTGGGAAAAGCCACGGTCGCATGCACACCTCTCAAACAAGGAAACAAACTACAAGAAAGGGCTCAGTCATTGTACACAGCAAGTGTGCAGTGGGCAAAGTTCTGTTCTTTTGACATTGGCCAAATGCGTAAGTCCCTGGTTTCTTGGGCTCAATCACGGTCCAAGGTTAGTAAGAAGGCCAACAATGTTGTGAGCAGGATTCAATTTCTACAGGGTCATGGGGCATCATCCACCATGTGAAGGGGCTCCAGCAGGTTGGACATGATCAATACCCATCCAGATTAGGACCCTGACGCCCTTGCCAGAGCTCGGGCTCGGGCAGCTTTGGCCTCGTCTTCTAGCTCATCTAGGAAACGCTCCTGGGAAATCGAGTAGAAGGTGTAACCATCTGGGGAGGTAGGTTCAGGAAACCACACAGAATATGCACATTCCCCTTTCCTAGATTTGCTCTACCACTCTTGTTACTCTCCCAAATCAGTGATTCCGGCTTCCCGCCGCTGCTGTTTCTAAACCCTGAACCCCAATTCCGTTATTATTAATAAATCAAATTAAAAGAGTACCTTAGGAATAACAAAGGAAAGTACTACCCATTTTACCCCAAAATTAAACGGGTGGTTCAGCCCTCTTGCACACTCTGTTCCCCTGCCCCTATATGCGGTCCCCTTGAGTCTACAACACGGACGGATACAAATAGCCAACACCAGGGCCCCGATGCCTAGGCCGGTCACGATGTTCCGGGTTCGCCGCCGTGGTAGGACCTTCTGCCACTGGGCAAGCTCCGCCTGCCGCATGGAATGCAGTTGCTCGGGTGTCAGCTTCTCCCGAGTCGGGTCGATACGCTGAGCGAACGGGGCCTCTCCACGCTTAGAATCCAGAGGGTCACCAGCTCCCGAAGACGCCATGTTGCCACTCCTCCCTTCGCGGTGCCGCCGCGCGGGCCTCGCTGGGAACAGTAGCCCTTGGCCGCTGCAGTGGACTCTGGGAGTTGTAGTCCGCGTGCCCTTTGCGGGGCAGAGCCGCGGTTCCCGGGCACAGGGGATGGACGCGGGAGGTGAGAAGCGGACGTGCTTTCTGATTGGCTGAGGAGTCCGTGGCCGTTGGGGCGGGAAAAAGCTGTGGAGGGTTCGAGGCTGTGGTGGTAATTGGGTTTTCCTCAGACTTGAGGCGACGACACACTCATTGGAAGGGGACGAGGAATCCAGGGTGTGGCAGAAGACTGGAGAGGAGCTAAGGGGGTCGGTATGTGGATCCAGTGAACCCGTCCAGGTGCCCCAAGAGGCTCGTGAATATGGACGGACCCATGAGGCCACGATCGGCCTCCCTCGTTGACTTTCAGTTTGGAGTTGTCGCCACAGAGACGATTGAAGACGCCCTGCTTCACTTGGCCCAGCAGAATGAGCAAGCAGTGAGGGAGGCTTCGGGGCGGCTGGGCCGCTTCAGGGAGCCCCAGATCGTGGGTGCGGCTGCAGGGCCGGGGTGCTGGGTTCTTGGGAGACTGGGGCTTGTGTCTTTCAGGCACCGACCTTGAGATTCCGTTGATTTTATTCATTCAGAGAATGTTTGCTAACACCTCTCTGTGGGGTGCTGGGGATATAGTGATGGATAAGTCACAACAGTGCCCTCCCCTTGATTTCTTCGACATGTATGGAATACTTGAGTGGCACCGCTTGGCTAGAAAGATGAAATAGAGGGCCAGGCATGGTGGCTTACACCTGTAATCCCAGCACTTTGGGAGGCTGAGGTGGGAGGTTCACCTGAGGTCAGGAGTTCGAGACCAGCCTGACCAACATGGTGAAATCCTGTCTCTACTAAAAGTACAAAAATTAGCCAGGACTGGTGGCGCGCACCTCTAATCCCAGCTACTCGGGAGGTTGAGACAGGAGAACTGTTTGAACCCAGGAGGCGGAAGTTGCAGTGAGCCGAAATCGTGCCATTGCACTTCAGCCTAGACGACAAGAATGAAACTCCGTCTCAAAAAAAAAAAAAAAAAAAAAAAAAAAAAAAGGCTGGGCGCGGTGGCTCACGCCTGTAATCCCAGCATTTTGGGAGGCTGAGGCGGGCAGATCACGAGGTCAGGAGATCGAGACCATCCTGGCTAACATGGTGAAACCCCGTCTCTACTAAAAATACAAAAAAAAGCCGGGTGTGGTGGCGGGCGCCTGTAGTCCCAGCTACTCCGGAGGCTGAGGGAGGAGAATGGCATGAACCCGGGAGGCGGAGCTTGCAGTGAGCTGAGATGGCGCCACTACACTCCAGCCTGAGTGACGGGTGACAGAGCGAGACTCTGTCTAAAAAAAAAAAAAAAAAAAAAGAGAAAAGAAAGATGAAATAGAGATAGAGGTCTTGCCTTCAAACCATGTGCAATTTGGGGGAGATATTAGAACAAATATGCAATGACTAGGTACTATGGTTAGATAAGAGACGTCAGAGAGAAATAAAACAAGCGTTTATGGGGGTTGAGAGGAGCGATGGGGTAATAGGAAGAATTCAGGGGATGGCCCAGGCATCGGGACATTTCAGGCAGACCTTGAAGGAAGGAGGACATTGGGTTGGTGAAGGGGGAGGAAGGAGACAGTGTTTCTACCAAAAAGAGGTAGCATGAGTAAAGCTATGGAAATGGGGTGCTTAGGGTGCATGTGGGTACAGTGTAGTCCATGTTGGCCAGTGCATGTGGAAGAATAGTTGAAATTAATACTGGAAAGGTAGTTTGGAGACATTCCATGTGGAAGTTTGAATGCCAAGGGGAAGAGTTTATCCTTGGTTTGGTAGGAAACCAAGAAGACATTGAAGGTTTTTAAATAAGGGAGTGAAGGTTTTAAAATAAGGGATACGATGGTAACCCTGCCTTAGTAAACATTATTTTGGCAGTGATGTAAAGGAGGTAAAGGATGGATTAAACCAGAGGGAGATGGGATGTAGGCAGACAGGTAGAGTCAATGTCAGTAGGCTAGGTGATAGGGCAGAGGGAATAACAAGGGAGGGTGGATTAAAAACATTCTAGAGGCAAAGTCTAGGGTTCTGCTGTGGATAAATTTAGGAAGTGAAGGAGGAAAACGTGACTATGCTAAACGGTTGAGCCTGGAAGACTGGAAGTATAGTGGTCATTAAAAGAAACACACAGACACGGCCGGGCACGGTGGCTCACGCCTGTATTCCCAACACTTTGAGAGGCTGAGGCGGGTGGATCACGAGGTCAGGGGTTCGAGACCAGCCTGGCCAACATAGTGAAACCCTGTCTCTATTAAAAACACAAAAATTAGCTGGGCATGGTGGCAGGCACCTGTAGTCCCAGCTACTCGGGAGGCCGAGGCAGGGGAATGGCTTGAACCTGGGAGGCGGAGGTTGCAGTGAGCCAAGATTGTGCCACTGCGCTCCAGCCTAGGCCACAGAGCAAGACTCTGTCTCCCAAAAAAAAAAAAAACAACAACAAAAAAAAACAACACAAAAAACACAGACACACTACATAAATAAAGCAGGAGGAAAAGTGACTTTTGTTTGGGAAAGATAATAATGGCTTTGGAGCCTGGCCAACATGGTGAAACCCCATCTCTACTAAAAATACAAAAATTAGCCAGGCATGGTGGCAGGTACCTGTAATCCCAGCTACTTGGGAGGCTGAGGCAGGAGAATGGCTGGAACCCGGGAGGCAGAGGTTGCAGTGAGCCAAGATCACGCCATTGCATTCCAGCCTGGGTAACAGAGTGAGACCTTGTCTCAAAAAAAAAAAAAAAATATATATATATATATATATATATATATATATATATAATATATGTGTGTGTGTGTGTGTGTGTGTGTGTGTGTATAATAGCTTTAGTTTTGGATCTGCTGAGTTTAAGGTGTTTGCAGAACATCTAAAAGAAGTGTTCTTGTAGACTATTCAAAGAGTAGGTTAGAAGAGAGGTCAGAAATGGAGATCAAGGTTTTCAAGTTATCTTCACAATGATATTGTTGAAACTGTGGCAGAGGATAAGCTCCTAGAAGGAGAAAAGAAAAGCAGGTCAAGGACAGTTCCTTGGGAAAACACTTTGTGTTCAGGGAATTGGAGTAAGAAGACTTGTGAAGGAAATAAAAGGAGGAGATAGGAACAGAACCAAGGGACTTTTGGCAGCCAAGAGGAGACTTTGAAAAGGATAATGGTCAGAAGTTTCAGATGCTTTAGGGATATCAACAGAACTAAAGATTGCAAAAAGCCATGATATTTAACAATTTGGACATATTTACTGTCCTCTGAGAATCATTTCAGCAAGTTAGGAAAGGTAGAAGCCAACAGATAGAAAATTAGGAAGTGAACGATGAAGTGGAAGCAGTGGGTGTGTAAGCCAGGCTTTCAAGTAATTCAACAGCGAGGCTGAGATGGGAGGATTGCTTGAGCCCAGGAGTTTGAGACCAGCCTGGGCAACATAGGACAATCCCGTCTATTTATTATTTATTTATTTATTTATTTAAAAAAAAATTCAACAGTGATGGGAAAGAGAGAGGTTAAAAGGGGAGGGTCTTTTAGTTAATAGCAGATCTGAGTATGCTTGTTATCGAGGAGGTGGGGCCAATAGCAAGGGAAAGGTGTAACCCTCATCCATTCCACCTAATCCAAGCTCAGTTTTTTTGGCAAATTAAAATGGAAAACAGAAACAAATGCTCAGATAATTCAGAGCAAAACCAAACCAAAACTTAACAACTGCACACATACACAAAGAACAAAACTAAGAAATAAAGCCTAAAGTCCAGCAAATAAAATGACTAATAAGAGACACAATTATATGTTCTAGGGTATTATGCTGAATTGCTTAAACTAATTCTGTCCTGCATTGGACATTGCTAGCCAAACTGTAGCCTCTGTAACGATGAGGTTTTGTACATCTATCTATGTGTAATGTGTGTTGAGTAGATTGTTACTTGTGTAAGCTTGACTAAATTTTCTAAGAAAGTTAAGTTTTCTCTGAAGACATATGATTATTTGACTAAATGTGTAATTCTCTACGGATCAATGCTAAAAGGTCTTCAGTCTGTAGGAGCTTTCTTTGTTGAGAACTGACATTTACCCTTGTTTCCACCCTCTAATGATATTGCAAGATAAATATAATTCTATCTGGAGCTGTTCTTTCAAAGAGAAACAGAGGCAGGCTAAAATCTTGCCAAGGTATCTCACCCTTCCCACCTTCCCAATGACTCCCTCCCCCTAAATTGGGCTATGTTCTCCAATTTAGGGGATGTTTCTTCAAAACAAGCCACTTCACAGTAACACACTTGCTCCTGGGGAGAGGCTCAGCCACCACAGATTTACCCAGCAAACTGGTGGTGGAGAGATGGTGTCCAGCTGTAAGGTGACTTGTGTTTGTAAAGCAATGGGAGTTCTCCAGAGGGTGGTTACTAAACAAACAGTGTCATAAAGAATATCAAAGCTCCAGGAGGGATCTTTCTGTTCCTGCCAACATTCCACAGAAAACAGAATATAGGAGTTAGGGTTTTTATCCATCCAAGAATCTTCCTTGAAGCTGGGGGTTCCCAGCATGGTGTAGAGGTCACATAGACCAGCTGGTATGTTTGTGTGTAACTGGCCAAGCCTTTTATCAGCTGAAACCCACAGGAAGGCTCAAGGGTCACTGAGGGGGCTTGGTAAGCCCTTGTCTTTGGCACTCAGTCAGCCTCCTTTACATGTCTCTGATCTGCCTATTGGCAGCAAAAGAAACTAAGCTCAGCTTTGGTTGTTTTAGTCTCATCTTTCTCACCTCCTGACCCTCTTCCCTTGGCCCCATCACGGCTTTTACACAATGCCAAGAGTTCACAGAGTGGTTTTGGTTGCATCTTGTGAATTAGGCTCTTTTTTCCTGTTTTGGCAGAGTTTGTTTTTCTCCTGTCTGAACAATGGTGTCTGGAGAAATCTGTGAGCTACCAGGCTGTAGAAATCCTAGAAAGGTAAAGCCCTGGCATAATGCCTTTTGAACGGCACCTCTCAGAGTGGCTAATGTACCTACATCTTTAAGAAAGTATGAGTAGTTGCCCCTTACCCTGAGACCTGGTTTTACACCCTCTCTAACTTGCAAATATAAATTTCTTTGTTGTTATTGTTGTTTTGAGACAGGGTCTTGCTCTGTCACCCAGGCTGGAGTGCCTGGTGGGATCTTGGCTCACTGCAGCCTTGACCTCCTGGGCTCAAGTGATCCTCCCACCTCAGCTTCCTGAGTAGCTGGGACTACAAGCATGTGCCTCCACACTTCGCACTTGGCTATTTTTTTTTTTTTAGAGATGGGCTTTTGCCATGTTGCCCAGGGTGGTCTTGAACTCCTGGGCTCAAGTCATCTGCCTGCCTTGGCCTCCCAAAGTGCTGGGATTACAGGTGTGAGCCACCATGCTCAGCCTCAAATGTAAATTTCTTAACCAGCAAGTTAAACTCCCTTTAGTTTGTGTGAGTGAGGATTGTTTACTCTCCCTCCCTTCCCTACAGGTTTATGGTAAAACAGGCAGAGAACATCTGCAGGCAAGCCACAATCCAGCCAAGAGATAATAAGAGAGAGTCTCAGAATTGGAGGGCTCTGAAACAGCAGCTTGTCAACAAGTTTACTCTCCGTCTTGTGTCATGTGTTCAGCTGGCCAGCAAACTTTCCTTCCGAAACAAAGTAAGGAGCTGGGGTTGCTCATGGGCACCTGAGTGTTAGGAAGAAACCAGCTTTTATACAAAGGGGGGCTGTGATGAGCTTCAAGTCAGTGACAAGAAGAAAATAAATAAATTACAAAGTAAAAACAACGGCCGGGCGCGGTGGCTCATGCCTGTAATCCCAGCACTTTGGGAGGCCGAGGCAGGTGGATCACCTGAGATCAGGAGTTCAAGACCAGCCTTGCCAACATGGTAAAACCCTGTCTCTACTAAAAATACAAAAATTAGCCAGGTGTGGTGGCGCACACCTGTAATTCCAGCTCCTCAGGAGGCTGAGGCAGGAGAATTGCTTGAACCTGGGAGGCGGAGGTTGCAGTGAGCTGAGGTCGTGCCATTGTACTCCAGCCTGGGCGACAGAGCGACTCTGTCTCAAAAAAACTAACAACAAAAAAACAAGGTAGCTGTAAGAAACCTACTCCTAGGTTAGGTGATACAACTCATGGAAATTCCAGAGTGTAATTATGCTTCCTAAGCATACCTTCTACACACACACACGCACACACATGATCTTTCTCCCCCTCTCACTCACACAGAGGCAGTTATTAAATAGCCTGAAGTTCTGTTCCCAAAGTATAATTGGGACAGATGCCATCATTCATACTGGTCACCTTTCCTCCCCCCTTGGACTCAAGGGCAGTTTACATAAGGTGCCTGAATTGCCAGCATACCTATCAACAGTAGAAGCAAACTATTACATTTATAAGGGAAAAAAATGTTTCCACATCACTACCCAATGCCTATACAGTAAAATATCATTCATTCAACAAATACTTTCTGAGTTTATTCTATGGCCAGATGCTGCACCAGGTGCCATGGCTACAACAGTACAAATATTGTCTGTGCTCACAAGGAACCTATTATGTAATGGGAAAAGACACATACAAATAGTGTGGAAAAAAAAGCTCTGATTAATGTAAATACAGAGGGCTATAAATGTACCTCATCAGCCTTGGAGAGTCAAGGAAGTGTATTTAGAGAAAATGACTTCTTGAAATGGGGTGGGTGGGAGATGGGAGGATCCTAAGAGAAGAGGGAGAGGAATTAGGGAGGAAAGGAAGGGAGATCCAGGTATAGAAAACAGCCTGTGTAGTGGCTTGGAGAGGGACAGCATGGTGGGTTTGGGAACTGTAAGCAATTTGGAATGACAAGCAGAGTGTGAGGGGGAATTACCAAGAGACAAGACTGAAGATGAAGGAATAGGCTGGATTATGAAGGGCTTTGTGCACTCTGTCAAGACGTATGAACTTTATCCTAACATTCTTCTTTCCCTCTCTTTTCTTTGCTCAGATAATCAGCAACATTACAGTCTTGAATTTCCTCCAGGCTCTAGGCTATCTACACACTAAAGAAGAACTGCTGGAATCAGAGCTTGATGTTTTGAAGTCCTTGAACTTCCGAATTAATCTGCCCACTCCCCTGGCATATGTGGAGACGCTCCTAGAGGTTTTAGGTATCTTACTGTGTTAGGGAATATGGGTTGGAGACTTCCATAGAAGGCAATACAAAATGTGCATGGGGGGGCATGGCTCATGCCTGTAATCCCAGCACTTTGGGAGGCTGAGGTAGGTGGATCACTTGAGGCCAGGAGTTCAAGACCAGCCTGGGCAACATAGTGAGACCCCATCTCTACTAAAAATACAAAAATTAGCTGGGTGTGGTGGTGGGCACCTGTAATCCCAGCTACTTGGAAGGCTGAGGCACAAGAATTGCTTGAACCTGGAAGGTGTAGGTTGCAGTGAGCCGAGATCATGCCACTGCACTCCAGCCTGAGCAACAGAGCGGACTCCTTCTCAAAAAAAAAAAAAAATGTGCACAGGGGTTTGGGAACAGTGGGCAGAACCTGCCAATGAGGAACAGTAGGAAGCTTGATGGTGTCTCTGGATGACTGAAACAGGTGTTCCCTCCGGCACTTGTCAGGGAAAGCTCAGAGGTCTTAGCAACTGGCTTCTGTTTGGACTCACTAGGCACTCTTATTGCAGGATCAAAGAGGTGACTTTATAGAGAGGCATAAGATAAGAGAGGGACAACTACATGCTAATTGTATGTATACTACAGATGGAGGTTTCTCTACCTCTACCTTTGTCCTTTAAAACTGATCTCCAGCTAAACAGGTTTCTTGTAGTAGAACATAGCAACCAGGAAGCACATTAGCACCTCAACAGCTTTATGTCACAACTGTGGTTATGATCAGAGAAGACATGATCATAAATTCTCCCTATCATTCCCATACTCCATCTAGGATACAATGGCTGTTTGGTTCCAGCCATGAGGCTGCATGCAACCTGCCTGACACTGCTCGACCTGGTCTATCTTCTGCATGAACCCATATATGAGAGCCTGTTGAGGGCTTCAATTGAGAACTCCACTCCCAGTCAGCTGCAAGGGTAAGACAACTCCTATAGGGTAGGCTCCTTCCAGGAACAGGGAAGGGGAGACAGACCACAAGAACTTGGGGAATGGAATTAGCCTAGCATGGCATCCAGTCCCAGATAACCTACTCAGGCTACCTGGTTCTCATTAGTTCCAATATGTTGTTTGGATGCAGGTGACTGAGCCTGGTCAGGAAAACCCTAAAGGCTTTTACTTTTAAATTTAAATTACTTTAATTAATATATTTCCTTTCCTAGTTTTTCCTTTATAGCTGCATAAAACTCAAGGTTACTGGACTGCTTTGGTCAGTCATTTAGAAAAAAAAACAGTCGCCGGCGCGGTGGCTCATGCCTGTAATACCAGCACTTCAGGAGGCTGAGGCGGGCAGATCACGAGGTCAGGAGATCGAGACCATCCTGGCTAACAGCGTGAAACCACGTTTCCACTAAAAATACAAAAAATTAGCCGGGCGTGGTGGCGGGCACCTGTAGTCCCAGCTACTTGGGAGGCTGAGGCAGGAGAATGGCGTGAACCCAGGAGGCGGAGCTTGCAGTGAGCTGAGATGGCGCCACTGCACTCCAGCCTGGGCAACAGAGAGAGACTCCGTCTCAGAAAAAGAAAAAAGAAAAAAAAAACAGTCACAAGGTTGCAACTTGGACAAGAGTGTTTGATTACTGTAAAGTCAGACTGGTTAAAAGCCTCACAGTTACAATTGTTAGGGAAACAGATAGAACTAAAAAAGGCCTATAAACCATTCAAGACATAAGGCTCATGTTAATCCCAGTTAAGTTGGGGGAGAATGGGAGAGCAGGTCAATGAGCTATTACTTGACCATTTCCTTCCATGTCTAAAAAATCCAAGATGATCGACACAAATAATTCATAGTTGAAGTTCCATGACCCTATGATTTGGAAGATCAAGTTCCATTCTAGCTTTAAAATTAATGTGGTTTTAATCACTCAGGGAAAAGTTTACTTCAGTGAAGGAAGACTTCATGCTGTTGGCAGTAGGAATCATTGCAGCAAGTGCTTTCATCCAAAACCATGAGTGTTGGAGCCAGGTATGCACCACTGAGCAGGACCAGCATGGTGAGAATTCATTTAACAGAAAGCATTTCACCCATCAGTTAAAGGAAAACAGAGGACAACCTACAGAAGTGCCAAGACCCAGGATTAGGATGGGTGTGCAAGATTTGAGAGGGAAAAATCTAGGATAGGGCTGAAATGTTTCCTTGTTTTCCTTTTATAAAACTGGAAATGGAGGCCCAAGTTCGGCTTGTTCATTTCCCTTTATAACGATAACCTGCTATTATGTTAAACTCCAGGCTGGGCACGGTGGCTCATGCCTGTAATCCCAGGATTTTGGGAGGCCAAGGCAGGAGAACTGTTTGAGCCCAGGAGTTCAAGACCAGCCTGGTCAACACAGCAAGACCTTGTCTCTACAAAAATTAAAAATTAGTCATGGCTGGGCGCAGTGGCTCACACCTGTAATCCCAGCACTTTAGGAGGCCGAGGTGGGTGGACTGCCTGAGCTCAGGAGTTGGAGACCAGCCTGGGCAACATGGAAAAGACCTGTCTCTACCAAAAATTTTAAAAAATTAGCTGGGTGTGGTGGCACATGCCTGTGGTCCCAGCTACCCAGGAGGCCAAGGTAGAAGGATCCCTTGAGCCTGGGAGGTAGAGGTTGCAGTGAGCCAAGATTTCACCACTGTACTCCAACCTGGGAGACAGAGTGAGACCCCATCTCATTAAAAAAAAAAAAAAAAAAAAAAAATTAGCCGGGCATGGTGGTGCATGTCTGCAGTCCCACAACTATGTGGACTACTTGGCTGAGATGGGAGGATCACTTGAGCCCAGGAGTTGGAGGCTGCAGTGAGCCATGATTGCGCCACTGTACTCTAGCCTGGGCGACAGAGTGAAACCCTGTCTCAAACAAACAAACAAAACAACAACAACAACAAAGGCCAGGCAGGGTTGCTCACGCCTGTAACTCCAGCATTTTGGGAGGCCAAGGCAGGAGGATTGCTTGAGCCCAGGAGTTGGAGACAAGCCTGGGCAACACAGTGAGACCTCATTTCTACAAAAAATAAACAAAAGTAGCTGGACATAGTGGCTTGCGCCTGTAGTCCCAGCTACTCCAGAGGCTGAAGTGGGAGGATCACTTAAGCCCAGGAGGTGGAGGCTGCAGTGAGCCAAAAATCACACCACTGCATTGCAGCCTGGCAGCCTGGGCAACAGAGTGAGACCCTGTTTCAAAACAAAACAAAGTCCAACAATTATATCTTCTCAAATAATGAAAATGTCAAGGCCCAAATATCATTCTTATATTTCACAAAACTTATCTCCAGCAGAGGGAAATGTCTACCAGAAAGTTTCCATGCTAACATTATCAGGGCAAAGGTATCCTAATATAATTTGGCCATTGGCAAACACTGGAATCTGGATTTCAGAAAAATGAATTTACAATTGCCTTGAGAGAACATCCCAAGTAATGTGTGTGTTTGTGCACTAAAATGTGTTGAGATTTTTTAGTAATAAGAAATCTGTCTCTATTTCTGAAGGTTGTGGGGCATTTGCAGAGCATCACTGGTATTGCCTTGGCAAGCATTGCTGAGTTCTCTTATGCAATCCTGACTCACGGAGTGGGAGCCAACACTCCGGGGAGACAGCAGTCTATTCCTCCCCACCTGGCAGCCAGAGCTCTGAAGACTGTTGCTTCCTCTAACACATGAGGGAGGCTGAATCCACCAAATATAAACAGCCATCCGTCACTGCACTCATGCCTCCCTCTGTTTACTTTCATACTAAGGGTACAAAAATTCCAAGTCTCTTTTGAACTGTATTTTGTATGCCAATTTCATGCTTATTTTTCCTTTATCAGAGAGAGTTAAGGTGGACGAGCATGCCCTTTTTGTCATATCAGCCTGAAAATGTTAAAAAGCTAGGTGGAGACAGATTAGTTGTTTCATTTTTGTTTAACAAGGTATTTATACTTTTAGCTTAATTTCATTAAGAGGAACATCAGGCATTGCAATCAGTATTAATCAGGGGCTCAAATACAGACTATCTGGGTGACCTTGACTAAGCATCAAGGAGGTAGCCTTTATTTCCCCTTAAAATTAGTTTAACATCTCTGTTCCATTATTCAGATCTACACAAACAAGGCTTCCTCAACAGCTATCTATTTTTACTAGAGTCTTTTTTTAAAACTAAAACTAACTCTAAAGAAGTTTCAACAGAATTTCCACATACCTGCATTCATTAGAACTTGATTCTCCCAGAATACAAAGTACTCTATTTTAAAGAAAAACCCAACAGTGCACCCCTGGGCAGTTTTCAGACTGCAGCAAATCTTTTATTACAAATAATTAAATCTCTCCATAATGTCTCAAACAGTATCAAACACCATTTCATATCTCTAACACAGAGCAGAGTCGGCATTCAGTATAAGAACCAAGTGAAAAGTGTTAAATTTCAAGCATCTGATCACATCACATGGTGACCAGGTAAAGCTTAGATGTCATTTTCCCACATTATCCAACTGTGCATCTCAAACATATCCTCATCTCAGTAAAGACAAAAGTTTCTATTTCATATTGTTAAGTGCAGGAAGTTGAGAGAGATAAAAATCCAGTGAAAACACATCAATCTCAATTCAACTCAGTTAAAAAAAAGAAAAGCAAATTTAAATTAGTTTTTTTCAGAGAAGAAAGGGAAAGGAGTCCATGGGGTTAAGAATCAAAACTGACCAGGGCTGGCAACTATAGATGGCATGTTGTAGCTCTGGAAAGTATCTGTCACATGATATTTTAAAATAAAGTGGCTTTTGTGGATTTTTTCTTTTTTGGTATTGTAAACATGTACTGTTTAATATTACCCGAATTTAATTTAAAACATGTTTGCAAACAAAACAAAATTAAAAGCCTTTAAGGCAAACCTCCCCCTAAGGAAAAAAGTCATTTGTTATAAAATTGTGAGGACACCCAAGCAAGACCCCACTTAAGATTCGTCAGCATGAACTTGAGAGCTTTTGTCCACTGCTCCTCAGAGTTAAACTGGGTTTTGATGGAATAGGAGCCGCCACTGCCTCCTGTGTCTTCAATCTTGCCTTTCTCCACATCCATCCTGCAGATGGACAGAGCAAAACTCATTAGTAACTGAGATCTGAGTTAAGTAAGTTCGGGGCAGGGACTTGATCATGGGACCATTCACGTCATTTTATCTATTAAAGAACACTTGGTGAGGAATGATAGTGTATTTTGGATTTGCTTGAAAGCCAAAAATCAAGAAGACTGTCACAAGAGCCTCATTGTCATTGCAGAGTACAGGGACAGGACACACACCCAAAGAGAAGAGAAGCCTGGAGTAGGGGTGAGTGAGGGTTACAGTACTTCTTGCTGTTTTCCTAGGCATCCCTGAACTTGGCGGGGGAGAAAGGAGGCAGAAGAAAAGAAATGCTTTGTTTTGGGGTGATAGAAGCAGCCTTACTCTAAGTAAAAACTAGAGTTTCCATCCATCAATGGGATCCTAGAAAAATCAAAAGAAGCATTCCTGTGTATTTCCAAGGGCTTCAGGGAAAAACCTTCTTGAAACTGGAGAGGAGGCTTGAGCTCTATGCCAAGAAAACCCCCTAAACCATCTAAGGCAACATTCTTCTACTCCAAGGACTAGGTGGTCACATTCTGTCCTGCTTGCAGTACTGGGTCAGTCTCTGCCCATCAATGTCATGTGATTCTGTGCCATTTTTTTGCTTTCCCACCATTTATACTGTTTTGCCTCCATTATTACTGCTGCTTCAATTCTGTTCAATTTGGTCCTATACAAGTTCACTCAGCATTGCGCTATACTGACCTGTAGGGAAGACAAAAACGTGTCTCGCCTTTCTCAACCTCTTCTTTGAACTGCTGCACACAGTCCAGGAAAGCCACCATTGCATGGTCAAACTTGTTGTCCCAGAAAAACCGCAACCCCCCAGAACAGTATAACGGCAGCTCCTGCCCAAGAAGAGAAAACTGGCTATGGATCTGGCACCAAGAAAGGCTTCCAGAGATTGTTCCCAATCCTATCAATCTCTCAAGTCATGTTCTGTCTGTATCCCACTGGAAACTTGTATTGTAGCTGGACTCTATCTTCCATAGATTTGAACAACTACAATAAGCTTGGGCAAGTAACAATGCACTTAGAACTGTTTCACTATCAATGAAAATGTACCATAGGTTGAGCATCCTTAATCCAAAAATCCAAATTGCTACAAAACCTTTCCAGGAAGAGTACATGGGAAAAGAAAAATAAATAAATAGACCAGGAGCAGTGGCTCACGCCTGTAATCCCAGCACTTTGGGAGGCCAAGGTGGGCAGATCACCTGAGGTTGGGAGTTTGAGACTAGCCTGACCAACATGGAGAAACCCCGTCTCTACTAAAAATACCTAATTAGCCGGGCGTGGTGGTGCATGCCTGTAATCCCAGATACTCAGGAGGCTGAGGCAGGGGAATTGCTTGAACCCGGGAGGCGGAGGTTGCAGTAAGCCGAGATCATGCCATTGCACTTCAGCCTGGGCAACAAGAGCGAAACTCCATTTCAAAAAAAAAAAAAACCCACAAAAAGAAAAGAAAAAAAAATAAAAATATGCCAGGCACAGTGGCTCACGTCTGTAATCCCAGCACTTTGGGAGGCCAAGGCGGGTGGATCATGAGGTCAGGAGATCAAGACCATCATGGATAACATGGTGAAACCCCGTCACTACCAAAAATACAAAAAATTAGCCAGGCATTGTGGTGGGCGCCTGTAATCCCAGCTACTCGGGAGGAGAGGAGGCTGAGGCAGGAGAACTGCGTGAACCTGGGAGGCAGAGCCTGCAATGAGCCGAGATCACGCCACTGCACTCCAGCCTGGGTGACAGAGTGAGACTCCGTCTCAAAATAAATAAATAAATAAAAATAATAAAAAATGCTACAAAACCTGAAACTTTTTGACCATTGATATGATGCCACAAGGGGAAAATTCCATACCTGATACCTTTGCTTTTTTTTTTTTTTTTTTTTTTTTTTGAGACAGAGGCTTGCTTTGTCGCCCAGGCTGGAGTGCAGTGGCGCAATCTCGGCTTACTGTAAGCTCTGCCTCCCAGGTTCACGCCATTCTCCTGCCACTGCCTCCCGAGTAGCTGGGACCACAGGCACCTGCCACCACGCCCAGCTGATTTTTTTTTTTTTTTTGTATTTTTAGTAGAGACGGGGTTTCACTGTGTTAGCCAGGATGGTCTCAATCTCCTGACCTTGTGATCCACCCGCCTTGGCCTCCCAAAGTGCTGGGATTACAGGCGTGAGCCACTGCACCCGGCCCTTTGCTTTCTGATGATTCAATGTATACAAGCTTTGTTTCATGCACAAAATTATTTAAAATATTGTATGAAATTACCTCAGACTACATGTATCAGGTATATATAAAACAGGCCAGGCACGGTGGCTCATGCCTGTAATCCTAGAACTTTGGGAGGCTGAGGCGGGTGGATCACCTGAGGTCAGGAGTTCGAGACCAGCCTGGTCCAACATGGTAAAACCCCATCTCTACTAAAAATACAAAAATTAGCTGGGCCTGGTGGTGGGCACCTGTAATCCCAGCTACTCCAGAGGCTGAGGCAGGAGACTCACTTGAACCTGGGAGGCGGAGGTTGCAGTGAGCCGAGATCGTGCCACTGCACTCCAGTCTGGGCAACAGAGCAAGACTCTGTCTCAGAAGAAGAAACATAAATGAATTTTGTGTTTAGACTTGGGTCCCATTCCCAAGATATCTTAGTATCTATATGCCAATATCCCAAAATCTGAAAAAAAAAATCCAAAATCTAAAACACTTCTGGTGATACTCAACCTGTAAACATCTATCTCACGGTGATTCTTTTCCTAGCCTAGTGCACACACCCTCTTCTGACCTGCCCATATCCCTTCTCAACAGACTGTCAAAACCTGATTTCTGTCTACAAGACCCCCAAAACTAAACCTGAACTAGACAAGATATTGAACAATATACTGGCTCTTCATATCTAGGTCTAAAAAATAAATTGAATGCCAATATCAAAGCAAACCATCCATTTTCTTAAGAGATATAAGAACTCTGTATTCCAGTGAAAATGGAGCTTCACAGAGTACCTTAGATTTGTCTGTCAGAGACTCCAGATATGAATGGTTTCCGTAAGGAACAAGTCGGTATCTAAAATAGAGATACAAACAGAGATGGATACAGGACTCCTCCCAAAGTGATTATTGGGAAGTTACAACCCAATGATTTCACTCTTCATTCTGGCCAAGGGCTTCTTTTATTATGCTCAACTCCCTCTCCCACCTCCCCATTGAATCCATGTTTAAAAGATTTTGTTTAATGAACAAACTACATTTATTATATAATTGCCTGGGGGCCTTCCATGAACAAATGTTATGTTTTGGTTTAAATTTAAGAAACAAAAACTGAAAATATCCTGAGGAACACTAAGGCTCTGGGGACTGTAGGCTGGGAACTATGCTATAGTCACGCAACTCAGTGACTGTGTGATCAGTGGAGAGAGCCCTGTGATGAGGGGAAAATCAGATGCTGACAGCTCTTCAGCCACAGAAAACTCCCAGTCTGTGGGCAGCAAGGGCTCCTGACATGGTGGACAGCAGTACCAGGTTGGAGATACAAATTATATCAATGCACATCACTCCCCAAGAAAGGGCTACACTTCCTACCTCTGAAATTTCAGACCCATCTTATTGGCCAGAGCATGGAGCAGCAACACAGTCTGGCCCCAAGCAGCATTAATCTCATTCCATTCCACGGGAACACTGGGCAGGCGACCCAGCCTGAAGTTATTGATTGTGCCAAACTGTCCACTGTGCCTACAGAGGAAGGCAGAAAGGTGGGGGGAAATACAGGGATTACTTAAAAAGTTTGACATTTCCCACTCTCACCCCAAACCTAGCTTAAATCTATCTTCAAGTCCATATATGCAAGCTGTACTTGGCACTTTAAATACATGTCCAAAACTTGAGTCATCATCTTTTTCCCTGCTGCTCAGATGCCAAAGCAGAAACCTGGGTGGTATCCTTGAATGCTCCCTCAGCTCCTTCCGTGCAAAACTGCCAACCTCTCCTGATTCTACCTGCTAAATATCTTGGATCTTTCCACTTTTCTCCAAATTCAATGCTACTATTCTTTTCCTTTAGATTCCTACTGATGAGTATCCTTTCCAACGATTCCACCCCTTTACCCCAAGTCATTCCCCATGGTGCAGGAAAAGCCATCATTCACGAATACAAGTGTAATTACGTCACTTCCCTAGCTAAAATGCTTCAGTGTCTCCTCTGCCTTTTGGATGAAGTCCAAACCTCTTAACGAGGCCTACGAGATCCTTCAGGAACTGGTAACTCTCCAGTTTCATATCCGGCCACTCTCCCCTTTACACTCAATCTTCAGTCACAATAAGCTCCTTTCTGTTCTCTGAATTCACCACTCCCTCTTTCCCATTTCTTTGCACATAATGTTCTCTCTGCTAGGAACAACCCCCTCTCTGCAGACTTCTACTTTACCTCTCAGTTTAAACGTAAGTCCCCTATGGGGAAACTCTCCATATGGCCTCCCCAAACTGGATCAAGTGCCCTTATGTGTTCCCACAGCACCCTGGGTTTACCATCATCACACTGCATTACAACTGCTTGTTATTTATCCATCTCTTCCACCAGATTATATGCAACTAGAAGGTTGACTGCATACTGTTTTGCTGTTGCCCTCCTAGCACTCAGCACAGTGCCTTTTCCAGAGTAGACACTCAACAGTTATTAAATTAATGGAACATCAAACACCGTGGGGATAAGAAATCAGCACCAGACAGCTTACCAGGTTTTTAAGTGGCTGAAGGGCTCAGGCCTTTTCCTTTCTTTAGAAGGGCGGATGTCACCAAGCTCTAGAATTCCAATCCCTACTGTGCCTATCCCATCACTATGAATGAAAGAAACCTAGTTGGGTGAAGATAACCTACAGTCCCTCTTTTGTGGGAAGTGGGCACCCAGGCTTAGTGGTCAACAGCTAAGGTCTAGATATGTGCAGTGCTCCTCATCCCCTAGCTCTCATTACCAGATGTGGAAGGTTGCATTAAAGACGTTGGTTTTCTTCAGCTTATCCAGCTGCGTCTGGGCATAACGCATCTGGTTTTCAACACTCTTCAGCTCATCATCCAGCTCCAGCTGCTGTCGTTTAAATTCACTGTATTCTCTCTGATACCTGTGAGCAGCCAAGGGGGCCATTGAAGGCTGTTAGCTTGGGGGCTAAAGTTTCTCTCTCACCACACTATGAACGATTCTTTAGTGATCATCGTTACATCTAGCTCTCGCATCTTTTATATTTGGCATAGATCCCATTCTGAGGAACATGTATGTCCTAGCTGTTTTGCCTGGAAGGAACAGAAATGTCTCAAATTCCAGCTGCCCATATGCAAAAAGGTGGAGGAAAAAAGAATTCTCCCAAACCAGGGCAAAAAACCTCTTATTTCTGATCTTTTTCAGAAGTGAGGTGAATGGGTTAGGAGTGGCTTCTTGGGGCCAGGCGTGGTGGCTCACACCTGTAATCCCAGCACTTTGGGAGGCCAAGACGGGTGGATAACTTGAGGTCAGGAGTTCGAGAGCAGTCCGGCCAATGTGGTGAAACCCTGTCTCTACTAAAAATACAAAAATTAGCCAGGCGTGGTGGTGCACACCTGTAGTCCCAGCTACTTGGGAGGCTGAAGTGGCAGAATTGCTTCAACCCAGGAGGCAGAGGTTGCAGTGAGCTATCACACCACTGTACTCCAGACTGGGCAACAGAGCCGAGACTCTGTCTCAAAAAAAAAAAAAAAAAAGAGTGGCTTCTGCTTCTTCTGGGCCGGGTGCAGTGGCTCACACCTGTAATCCCAGCACTTTGGGAGGCTGAGGTGGGCAGATCACCTGAGGTCAGGAGTTAGATGCCAGCCTGGCCAACATGGTGAAATTCCGTCTCTACTAAAAAAATAAAATTAGCCAGGCGTGGTGGCGCACGCCTGTAGTCCCAGCTACTTGGGAGGCTGAGGTAGGAGAATCGCTTGAACCTGGGAGGTGGAGGTTGCAGACAACTGAGATCATGCCACTGCACTCCAGCCTAGGCAACAGAGTGAGACTCTGTCTCAAAAAAAAACCAAAATCAAAAACAAAAAACAGTGGCTTTTTCCAGCTGGCCATGGTGGCTTATGCCTGTAAACCCAGCACTTTGGGAGGCTGAGGCAGGTGGATCACTTGAGCTCAAGAGTTCAAGACCAGCCTGGGCAACATGGGGAAACTCCATCTCTATAAAAAATACAAAAATTAGCCAGGTATGGTGTTGCGCGCCTGTAGTTCCAGCTACTTGGGAGGCTGAGGCGGGAGGATTGCTTAGGTGTAGGAAGTCAAGGCCGCAGTGAGTCATGACTGCACCACTGCACTCCAGCCTGGATGACAGAGTAAGACTCTGTTTCTAAAAAAAAAAAAAACAAAAAAACAGTGGCTTCTTCCATGAACTGGCCATAATTGGCCTTCTAAAGCTTCATTTCTATACACTTACTGTCCTTTAAATAGTTACTATACCCCACTTCCAGTGAAACTTGTTATACTACTGTGTGAAAAAAATGGACTTTTCTCTATCCTTCATTTCCACAACTTCAGTTAGTATGGACACTGTGTGTCCTCCACTAGAGAGAGGGTTCTCTCAGGTCAAGGACATCTATAATGTTTTTATTTTTTGAGACAGGGTCTCAACTCTGTTGCCCAAGCTGGAGTGCAGAGGTGTGATCACAGCACACTGTAACCTCAAACTCCTGGGCTCAAGTTATCCTCCACTTCAGCCTCCTAAGTAGTTGCTAGGACTACAGGTCTACCACAGCAGCCTAATTTTTTTTTAATTTTCATTTTTGTAGAGATGGGGTCTCACTTGATATTGCCCCAGATGGCCTTAAATCCTGGCTTTAAGTGATCCTTCTGCCTTGGCCTCCCAAAGTGCTGGAATTACAGATATGAACGACCATACCTGGCCCCCATGAAATGTTTAAGCTTGGAGGGAACAAATGTAGGCTAATTAGCTCATCTTTTCAGCTAAGGATGGCTAGAAAGTGGCTGATTCATCCAAATGAGCCCATTCCCTACAGGACAGAGCCAAGACTGGAGCTCTGGTTTCTGCACTATTTAACCAACATACTTTTTTCACTTAATCATGCTGAC
Source organism: Homo sapiens (assembly GCF_000001405.40). Classification (NCBI taxonomy): domain Eukaryota; kingdom Metazoa; phylum Chordata; class Mammalia; order Primates; family Hominidae; genus Homo; species Homo sapiens. Next base: position 42,818,034 of record NC_000017.11, read on the forward strand.
TCTTCATAGGTAACTCTCCCAACAAACCTCTAGAAAAAGGGCATGGAAGCAATATGCAGGATCTGGGGCAGGCATGCTGCTGACTGACAGCTGACTAGTTTACAAACTATTCAGACACATTCAGCTGGAAGCCATTTCCTCTCCTGGAGCCTCGAGTGTGAGAAGATAGAACAGGGTGAGCACTCACTGAGCTTCCTCCTGATCCAGTCTCTCAGCCTCAGCCTGGACCTTCTCGAGATTTTCTGCCACTATCTTGCGGTTCTTTTCCACGTCTTCCAGCTCCTGGATCAGCCTCTCCTCCTCTAGTGCCAGCTCCTTTAGCTCCATCTGTAACTGTTCACTGTCATCCTCATTCATTTGCTCTAAGATCTCCAAACAGCGTCTGCCAAAGACACAGGCAGACTATACTTACTAGAGCTCCATTTGCCTGAGTGGAGTACGGCTCTTGGGTAAGGGCCAAGCAGTCTCAGAGCAGTAACAGCTCTGAGCCCTGGCTCTGGAGACACTCACTTGTAGTTCTGACACTCATTTTCAGTGACGTTGAGCTGAGTGTCCAGCTGGTCTAAAAGAGTATCTGTGCATTCCTCACAGAGTGGGTGATCCACATCTGTCTGGCCCGACATGATGTCAAAAAGGTCCCCAGTGACCTGGAAGTGTGGGAGAGTCAGGGTAGGGCCTCCCCCATGCTTCCTGCTCAATTACCCACTCTCCCAGCCAGGCCTACTGCTTGCCACCGGAATGGGGCCGACTTGCCTTCAGTCTTCGGCTGAGGTTCTCCATGGTGCCGCCATCAGATGCCTCCCCAATCAGAGTGAAGCTGTTGGCACTTTCTGTGGACATCATCCTGCAGACAGCCCCCCGCCCACGGGCCACATGAGGGAACAGAGAGGCTTCCTCCACCTACTACAATGCCAGTGGCAGAGACTCTCAAGCACCAGCTGAGGGGCCTCAAGGAACATACCCACTCCTAGCCCGACTGACCTCCCAAGGGTACCTCTCTCCCAAAGGAAGGCCATGCTGGTCTTCCACAGGGACACTCAGCATGAAGGTTGGCCTTGGTGGACTAAGGAGGGAGAGGGAGCATAAAAAATTCATATGTCTACAGTGGAAAAGAAGGGAGAACCAGGAAAGGCCATTTTAGAAAATATTATACCCCTTGCCAGCAAGCTCTTTACCTGCAGCAATGAGAACTAAGGACCTGAACATCTAACAACATTTGCTAGTTTGAAACTTCTCAAGAGCCCATCTCTTGGTGATTGGTCAATCACTCCCTCAATTTTTTTCAATACTTCATCATTAAAGCTACTATCCTTTCCCACTCTGTGAACAGCTACAGGAAAAAATCCATACTGGAAGGTGACGGGCCAGGTATAAGGGAATACATCTTTTCTGAAAGGGCCAAAAGGCTAGGTGATGATGCATCTCTATCACCTGGCTCCAGGTCTCGATTCCTGGATTTAATTAAAATTCTACTAGCCTTTGGCAAGGAATGGGGGCTGAGAAGTAGTAGGCACCTGGCTGGGGGGATGAATCTGCGAGAGACACCATCCTGGCGAGGAGTTTCAATAAATGGCTCCTGGGAAAGAAATAAGAGGGCATTACAACTCTGGCAGCTTAGAGGTAGAGTTCATCTCCCAAACAGCCTCAGAACTATATGGCTTTAGTCTTGATAACCACAAGACTTGATAAACCACAGAGACTTAAAAAATGGGTATTATCGAAGCAATCCTTGTGTATGTGGACTAAGAAAGGACCCACGATACAGACAAACCTTAAGTCCCATTTGATTTTTTTTTTGTGGGGAACAGCATTTCCTAACTATGTTACACTCTATGTATGGTTAAATTTGCATTTCTCAACACTTAGCAGTCAGGGGCAGAGGACAGAATGCCCTAAATCATAGTACAAGGAAAAAGCCAGATCAGACTGCAATGAAGTCTGCCACAGTACAAAGTAGAAAATTTATATGTTTTCAGTATTTTGAGATTACTCATATGTGACCAAAATCTCACAGCATCTATTGACTTCAAATGCCAGACCCCTTTGCCTCCTTGCTTAAAGGCTTCTCTGGCTCCTGGACTCTTCACTGCCTGCAGGGGGCGCTGGCCAGAATTAATGACCTCCACTAAACCTGACATCAGCACTCCCCCAGTGACTGGCAGCTGTGGGTAAATAAATACTCCAGCTCCCTTGCTACTTGAGAAGAAATCTCAGGTGTGTATTCAATAGTATCTCACAGGATGTTGCTCCACAGGATCCCTGATATTATCACAGCTTAAAATGACATGTTCTCTAACACTGACAATTCTTTCTGTCCAGGGCAATCATACAATTCACTGTCCTAACCAGGATGCTTTTGAGAATGGAAAGGAGTGGATATTAACAACTAGCTAGAACAACAGATGCAAATCAATGCTCTAGAACGACCTGGACACACAGGTCATCCCATCTCCAACCTACAATAATTTATAATTCTGCTTCAAATAAAGAGCCCTTTCCAACATTTTAAAATGACTAATTCAGTAACCCTGTGACCTCAGGTGCAGATCTGTACCTCCAATGGTGCATAGCAGCCTGATCATGTAGAATGTCTCATTACCCAGAGATCCCAAAAGTCCGGGAGCTCTAGAAGCGCCAAGTAGCCTGCAGAAACCAAGCCTGCATTCCTGTTTTCATATCATATCTCTCATTTGGAATGTTTACTACATGAGGAGGATAGGGGAGAGGGCACTTCTATTACCTCTCCTGAGTTAGTCTCTTCCTCCTGGGTCTCTCCTGGTTTCGCCTGGGCTGTGGTAAGTAATGGAGCTAAGGGCAAGGAAAATATTGGGTCAGAAACAGTCTTATTAAAGCAGGAGGGCATCTGAAAGTATGGGAAAAGAATGTGAAATATTCTCATCACCACCCTCACCTCCAATTTTTCTTAAAGTACCATTTACACCAAAAGAATCTGTGGTCTTCCTCACCCCCATTAAATCAGATTAAAGAAATGTTCAATTTTTTAAGGCATAATGGTATCATTATTATTATTATTATTATTACTTTAAGATGGAGTCTTGCTCTGTCGCCAGGCTGGGGTGCAGTGGCACGATCTCGGCTCACTGCAATCTCTGCCTCCCGGGTTCGAGTGATTCCCCTGCTTCAGTCTCCCAAGTAGCTGGGACTACAGGCGTGCACCACCATGCCCAGCTAATTTTTTTGTATTTTAGTAGAGACAGGGTTTCACCATGTTGGCCAGGTCTTGATCTCCTGACCTCGTGATCCACCCGTCTCAGCTACCCAAAGTGCTGGGATTACAGGCTGAGTCACCGCGCCCGGCCGGTATCATTTATCTTTAAGAATCCTTATCTGTCAAAAATACAGAAATATTTACAGTATTTATGTTTGGGATTTGCTTCAAAACAATTCAGAGTGGGAAGGAATGGATGGGGCTGTAGACAAAACTTGATTAAATATGTGTTGATAATTGTTGCAACTAGGTGATGGGTACACAGGAGTTCATGATATACTCTGAAATTTTCCATCACAAAAGCAAACATCCTGTTTCCCCCAGAATAGCAAGGAGGGAACATAAGGAAACTTTCTAGGAAGATGAAACATTGCTAAATTGCAACGATCCAGATTACATCAGTGTATCCATTTGTCAAAAATGTACAGCTAAGATTCATACATTTCAAGTCATGACAATTTACCTTTCTAAAAAGGTGTGAAAAACATAATAATTGAGCAGAGGATGGGAGGTGAATGGAGGTGTAGACAACATAAGAATGTGAGAATATGGCTGATTATTGAAGCTGGATGATGAATACAAGGCAGGCTATGCTATTCTCTTGACTATATATGTCTCAAATTTTCCATAATAAAAAGTCAAAAATTGTTATTAAAAGAGTTTAAGAGGCGCGGTGGCTCACGCCTGTAGTCCCAGCACTTTGGGAGGCTGAGGCGGGCAGATCACAAGGTCAAGAGATCGAGACCATCCTGGCCAACATAGTGAAACCGTCTCTACTAAAAATACAAAAATTAGCTGGGCGTGGCGGTGTGTGCCTGCAGTCCCAGCTACTCAGGAGGCTGACGCAGGACAATCACTTGAACCCGGGAGGCAGAGGTTGCAGTGAGCCGAGATCGCGCCACTGCACTCCAGCCTGGCAACAGAGTGAGACTCCGTCTCAAACAAACAAACAAAAAAAAGAGCTAATTTCCCCTCAAGAAAGAGAAACCAGGTAATAATAGCAGCTAATACTTATTGAATACTATTTGCCCAGCAAATTCCTAAGTGTTTCTGTGGTTTGTCATATTTGAACTTTATAAATTCTTTATGAGGCAGTTTAACGTTTTACAGAAAAAATCAGAAACCAAGGCTTGGAGAAATGAAGTAACTTGCAAAAAGTTGTTCAGCTAGTAAATGACAGCCAGGATTTAAACCCAAGCAGGCTGACTCCAGGCCCATAAGCTTATTTAAGCTGCCTATTCAGTCTTCTCTTTTACTGTCTGACTTAATCTGAATTCTTCTGACTTTGCGGGATTTTGGGGTTTTTTATTTTTTTTAATTATAGAGACAGGGTCTTACTGTGTTGCCCAGGCTGGTCTCAAACTCCTGCTCAAGTGATCCACCTGCCTCAGCCTCCCATAGTGCTGGGATCACAGGTGTGAACCACCACTCCTGGCCTTTTTAATTAATTTATTTTTTGAGACAGGGTCTTGCACTGTTGCCCAAGCTGCAGTGCAGTGGCATGATCATAGCTTCCTGCAGCTTTGACCTCCTGGGCTCAAGTGATCCTCCTGCCTCAGCCTCCACCACCCACCACACCCAGCAATTTTTTTTTTTTTTTAGAGACAAGATCTCTGCTAGGTTGCTCAGGTTGGTCTTGAACTCCTGGGCTCAAGCGATCCTCCCACCTCAGCCTCCCAAAGCACTGAGATTACAGGCGTGAGCCATCACATCCAGCAAATTCTTCAGACTTTAAGACTCTACTCCATTTACCAGCTGTTGGACCTTAGGTAAGTCACTTAACCTCTCTGTGCCTCGGTTCTTCATCTGAAAAATGATGTAATGACGGTATACCCCGTACGGGTTGTTACAGGGACTAAATGAAGTAATACGTGTAATGCACTTGGTATTACTATATAGTAAGTCCTCAAAAAATACCATTTATTATTATATATACATATTCCTTTTCTCTGAAACAGCAGGAGCAGAAAATAAGGATCTTTCTTTTGCTACTGAAAGCTCTCTTTTTTTGAGACGGAGCCTCGCTCTGTTGCCCAGGCTGGAGTGCAGTGGTGCGATCTCAGCTCACTGCAAACTCCACCTCACCGGTTCAAGCGATTCTCCTGCCTCAACCTCCCGAGTAGCTGGGACTACAGGCACGTGCCATCACGCCCGGCTAATTTTTGTATTTTTAGTAGAGAGGGGTTTCGCCATGTTGGCCAGGCTGGTCTCGAACTCCTGACCTCAGGTGATCTGCCCGCCTCGGTCTCCCAAAATGCTGGGATTACAGGCGTGAGCCACCGCGCCCGGTCGGAAAGCTCTCAGAAGTCCACAATGTCAGAATGCTTTATGTTTCCAAGGAGAAAACAGGGAGCCAGATGAAGTGACTTTCCTAGGTTCACACGATGAGTTTGTGGCAGACTACACAGCCACCATAAGAATTATATCACCAAAGCTGCCCACCTTCCACATTCTTGACCACCCTCTTTCCAAGGGTCTCGCTGACCTGTGAGTTCCTGGATGGTGACACGGTCCAGGATCTTGAAACTCGTGTCCAGTTTCAGGGGCTGGCTGCAGCGCTGGCACACGAAGCTCACCTGCATGGTGCTGTTGTTGGACGTCTTAGACCCTTCCATCCCTGAGGCCGTGGAAAAGAGGCAACATTAGGGAGAAGCGACGCCCTTGACCTCCGGCCCGGGGTTACCACATGCCTTGGTGACGATGGTAAAGGGAGGGAAGTCCCAACCTGCGCCGTTCCCTCTAGGAATGGTATGATACGGGGAGGACCTGCTTCCGGGACAGCCTGAGCAAAGGCAGTTTAGAGCCCAGGGTCAGGGAAGGGACTCCAATAAGAGCCGTGAGGGTTCCCAGACTCCCTTCTAAGGTCCCACCTCAGCCCCCGATGCTCTTCACCTCGGGAGCCCGGAGCCCGTCACCCAAGTCCGGTCTACCGCGGAGGCACTGTGGCCTCGGGTCGGCCCCGGAGCGAGGCCTCCAGAACTACCATCGCTCTGTCTTCAGCGACTTCCCGGTAGCCGCCGGAAAACTTCCGCCCGAGACCGGACGTGACGCTACGACGGCAGCAGGAGCTCCTGGTCCACAGGCTCACAGGCCCGGCAGCGGCCCCCAGAGGCCGGGCTGGGAAAAGCAGCGGGCTTCAGCGGATGAACAAGGTTACCACGGGAAGTGTAGGAGCCAAGGCCGCAGAGAATGGGGAGGCTCCGCTATTCTCTAAATTCAGGGGGCGGCGGGCGCGGTGGCTCACGCCTGTAATCTCAGCACTTGGGGAGGCCGAGGAGGGCGGATCACGTGAGGTCAGGAGTTCGAGACCAGCCTGGCCAACACAGTGAAACCCCGTCTCTACTAAAAATACAAAAACTAGCCGGGCGTGGTGGGGCACGCCTATAATCCCAGCTTAATCCCAGCTACTCGGGAGGCTGAGGCAGGAGAATCGCTTGAACCTGGGAGGTGGAGGTTGCAGTGAGCCGAGATCGGGCCACTGCACTCCAGCCTGGGCGACAGGGCAAGGCTCCATCTCAGAACAACAACAGCAACAACAAAAGGCCGGGCATGGTGGCTCACGCTTGTAATTCCAGCACTTTGGGAGGCCGAGGCGGGCGGATCACAAGGTCAGGAGTTCGAGACCAGCCTGGCCAAAATGGTTAAATCCCGTCTCTACTAAAAAATACAATTAGCTGGGCATGGTGGCGTGCGCCTGTAATCCCAGCTACTCAGGAGGCTGGGGTAGGAAAATCGCTTGACCCCCGGAGGCGGAGGTTGCAGTGAGTCGAGATCATGCCACTGCACTCCAGCCTGGGCGACAGAAGGAAACTCCATCTCAAACCCCCCCCCCCCACACACACACACAAAACCAACAAAAAAAGAAAGTGATATTCAAATAAAAGCTTGAAGAAGGTGAGGAAGGAATTCTTACCTGCATCTTAAGGAAGAGCATTCTAGGCCAAGGGAACAGCAAGAGCACAGAGGGTACCTGTTTGGGGATTAGCAGAGGCTGGTGTGGCTAGAAGATGGGCAACGAAAAGAGATACAGAAAATGGGGTGAGGGAGGTAAGAGTGTTGAGCTACCACCTAGGCTCTTATAGGGATTGTAAAGCTCTGGCTTTCACTTTGAATGAGATGAGATGACTGGGTCTTGAGCAGAGGGACTTACTTCATTTTTAAAAACAACTTTATGGGGTATAATTTACATACCATAAGACTCACACTTTTTAAATGTACAGTTCAATAATTTTTAGTAAATTTACACAGTTGCCCAACTATCACCATAATCCAGTTTTAGAACATTTCCCATCTCCCCTTGCAATCCCCCACTGTGGCCTCCCAAAGTGCTGAGATTACAGGTGTGAGCCAATGTGCCTGGCCAAAAGTTTTTCATTTCAATAAAGTCCAATGTTTATGCTTTTGGTGTAAAAGAAACCACTGCTTAACCCAAAATTGTATGTAGTATTGTCTATTTTATTTTTATTTTGAGACAGTGTCTTACTCTGTTACCCAGGCTGGAGTGAAGCGGAACAAACAAACATGGCTCACTGCAGATTTGACTTCCTGGCTCAAGCAATCCTCTTGCTTCAACCTCCAGTGTAGCAGGGACCACAGGTGATCACTACCATGCCCAGCTAATTTTTAAAATTTTTTGTAGAGATGTGGTCTCACACTGCACTCCAGCCTCGGTGACAGAGCGAGACGCCATCTCAAAAAAAAAAAGAGATGGGGTCTCACTTTGTTGCCCAGGCTTCTGCTTTTTAAATTTAACATTTTTCTATGTTGCTACACAGTTATTGTAGTTATCATGGCTACATTACACTACACTAAATGTACTGCCTTAGTGTATTTTTTTACCGCTGGAAATTCTACTATTTCCCCTGTGGGTGATTACAATAATCCTGCAATGAAGAGCTGGCTACTTATGATAGAGACTCATAACTGGGACTACAGAATTAAGAGTGTGTCAGCTATTTAATGTCTCTTCCTTAACACTGGGAATCATTTTCCAAAGTGCTTGCACATAACTATATTCTGCTTCCAGTAATGTATGAGGAAGCCTGTTTTCATATTGCCTTGGCCAGTATTGGGTATCATATATTTGGGGAACAAAAGCAAAAAATGGCACTTCCTTGTTATTTTAATTAGCATCATTGATTGCTGGTAAGGCTGAACTTTTTGCTATGTATTTGCTTATTGTAGTTACTTTTTTTTTTTTTTTTGAGATGGAGTCTTGCTCTGTTGCCCAGGCTGGAGTGCAGTGGTGCCATCTCGGCTCACTGCAACCTCTGCCTCCTGGGTTCACGCCATTCTCCTGTCTCAGCCTCCCGAGTAGCTGGGACTACAGGCGCCCACCACTACACCCGGCTAATTTTTTATATTTTTAGTGGAGACGGTTTCACCATGTTAGCCAGGATGGTCTCAATCTCCTGACCTCCTGATCTGCCCGCCTTGGCCTCCCAAAGTGCTGGGATTACAGGTGTGAGCCACCATGCCCGGCCTTTTTTTAAAAAAAAAAAAAAAAAGAGACACGGTCTCACTCTGTCACCCAGGCTGGAGTGCAGTGGTGCAATATCAGCTCACTGGAATCTCCGCCTCCCGGGCTCAAGCAGTAGTTACTTTTTTCTGAATTATGTTTGCATTCTTTGATTATTTAGGTATTGGATTATTAGTATTTTTCTCAGTATTTTTAGTAATTTTTCATGAATGCTTTAATTATTTTCCAGATGTTCAGGAAGTTTTAAATTTTCAAGTCAAATCTGCTTATTTTTCTTGATGACTTATACTGCTTAGAAAGTTATTCCCACCTCCAGAAGTGTCTTTCTTTTCTTTTAAATGTATGTGGTTTCTTATAGTTGGTATTGGATGTGATATGTGGAACTAGATTGATTTTTCTCCCGGTTTTGTGACTAGGGATAGTGTTTACAATCCTTCTTCCTCTTGGCTCTTTCAGCATGAAAGCCCCTTTAGGGGAGGTGACTGGAATCATCCCCAAAGAATTCTCACCTAGTCCTGGTGTGGCTGCTTCATAGTCCTGCGTTTCTTCCTGCTTGGCTGTCCCTAACATCTCAGAAACGCATAGAGAAGTAACGGGCTTCTAGAGAGGTAGGGGGTATAGTGTTACAACTGAGGATTTGGAAGTTGAGACCACCTGGTTCTTTACCATCCACTAACCATGTGACCTTATGCAATTTATTCAACTGTTCTGTGCTTTGTTTTCTTATTTACAAAATGAGATTAATAGTATACAGTAGTAAATATCATAAAGGGTAGTGTGATAAATGAGCTGATACATTTGGAATGGAGGGGAATGACTGTTACATAGTGAATGCTCTGTGTATCCTCACACTTGGGAAGTATATGTAATCAGTGTATGTAGTGCTTGAGGGATTGTGAATAATACACAACATATCCTCAGTCATCGATTCAACAGATGTTTATTGAGCATCTACTATGTGCCAGTCCCTATTCTAGGTCTGAGAGGATATACTGGTGAACTGCTCTAATAGTTTATATTCCAGAGGAGAGAATTTGACAGTAAACATGTAACCAAGTTAATAAGATAATTTCAGATAATGGCAGATATTATGGGTTGAATGATGTCCCCCAAAAGATGTTGAAGTCCTAACATCTGGGACTAACACATGGGAATGTGACCTTTTTTGGAAATAGGATCGTTGCAGATGAGGTCATTGATGTTAGCCCTAGACCAATATGACTGCGTCCTTATAAATAGGGGCAATCTGGACACAGAGACAGACATGTACCGTGTCTGAGGGAAGATGATGTAAAGAGACACAGGGTGATCTGTAAGCCAAGGAAGACCTGAGGCTACCAAAAGCCAGGAAAGAGGTCTGGAACAGATACTTCTCTGGCTCCCTTAGAAGGAACATGGTCCTGCTGACACCTTAATTTTGGATTTCTGGCATCCAGAACTCTGAGACAATATATTTCTTTGGTTCTAAGCCATCCACTTTGTGGTACTTTGCTACAGCAGCCCTAGAAAGCTAATACAGTAGGTAAGAAGGTGATGTGATAGAGAGTAAGTGGGGGCAGGGTGGGAGGAGCTGCTTCAACTGGGGGATTCAGGAAGGCCTATGTTATCTGGAAACCACTGAGGGTGGTAAGTAGGGAAGAGACTTGACTGGCTGACTTAAAAAGAAACTATTTACGGGGGGATAGAATACATAGGGGAAAAGACACAAATCATACATGTATTTTCAATGAATTTTTACAAAATGAACACGTCAATGTAACCAGTACCCAACTCCCTCTCCCATGCCACCCTCTAATTGATGCCCACCCTAAGGGCAAACAATATTGTCAATTCTAACACCCTAGATTGAGTTTTGACTGTTTTTTGAATTTCATGTAAATGGAATCATACATGACATACTCTTGTTTCCTTTCGCTCATCATGAGATTCACCCACCTTGTGTAGTTTTAGTTCATACATTCTCAATACTTTGTAGTATTCCATTGTGTGACTATATTAAAATATAGATATCTCTCTTGCTGTTAAGAGGCATCTGGGTAGTTTCCAGTTTGGTCTATTGTGAATAGTGTTGCTATGAACATTCTTGTTCATGTCTTTTGGTGAATATATTTATGCATTTCTCTTGGGTGGGTCCCTAGAGTTGAGGTTTCTGGGATCTCTCTCTCTCTCTTTCTCTTTCTCTCTCTCTCTTTAGGTATATTCAGCTTGAGTAGATGCTACCATCTCTGTGGCTGACATATTAGCAGATTATTTTGAGCTGGCCTGGTGTGCACCTGTAATCCCAGCTCCTCAGGAGGCTGAGGCGGGAGGATCACTTGAGCCAGGAGTTCGAGACCAACTTGGACAACATAGCAAGACCCTGTCTCAGTCAGTCAATCAATCAATGATAAATTTTGGTGCTGAGTGAAGAACAGAATGTGACAGTTGGTGGGGGGTGGCAAGAGTGGAAATGGAGAGACCAGATAGGAGCCTATTGTAATAGTCCTAGCAAAGGATGACAGTGGCTTTGGCCAGGGTAACAAGAGATGGAGGAAAGCACACTCATACAGGATGCATTATACAGGGAAAGCTGACAGGACCTGCTGATGGGTTGAATGTGGAGAGACGAGGAAAAGAGAGGAATCAAGGTTGACTGTTAGGTTTTTGGTTTGAACAACTAGGTGGACAGTTATGTCAATTACTGAGATGGAGAAGAATAGGAAAATAACAGGTGTGTGGGAGAATCAAGAATTCTGGTTTGGCCATGTTAAGTTTGATATGCTCATTAGGTTTCCAAGTAGAAACATCAAATAGATGGTTAGAACTCAGTGAAGATGTCAGATGGGAGATACGAATCTGGGGCCCTCAAATCAGCATACAGATTTTTTTTTTTTTTTTTTTTTTTGAGATGGAGTTTCGCTCTTGTTGCCCAGGCTGGAGTGCAATGGCGCGATCTCGGCTCACCGCAACCTCCACCTCCCCAGTTCAAGTGATTCTCCTGCCTCAGCCTCCCGAGTAGCTGGGATTACAGGCATGTACCACCACGCCCAGCTAATTTTGTATTTTTAGTAGAGACGGGGTTTCTCCATGTTCAGGCTAGTCTCGAACTCCCAACCTCAGGTGATCTGCCTGCCTTGGCCTCTCAAAGTGCTGGGATTACAGGCATTAGCCCCCGTGCGTGTCTGGCCGAATACAGATGATACTTAAAGCTATGAACATGCATAGATCCTCTTTTTTTTTTTTTTTTTTTTGAGACGGAGTCTCGCTCTGTCGCCCAGGCTGGAGTGCAGTGGCGCGATCTCAGCTCACTGCAAGCTCTGCCTCCCAGGTTCACGCCATTCTCCTGCCTCAGCCTCCTGAGTAGCTGGGACTACAGGCGCCCGCCACCACGCCCGGCTAATTTTTTGTATTTTTGGTAGAGACGGGGTTTCACCGTGTTAGCCAGGATGGTCTCTATCTCCTGACCTCGTGATCCACCCGCCTCGGCCTCCCAAAGTGCTGGGATTACAGGCGTGAGCCACCGCGCCTGGCCGAACATGCATAGATCCTCTTAGGGAGAAAGTGTAAGCAGAGAATAAAGGACCTAAGTCTCCTGAAGCATGCCACCATTAAGAAGTGGAGCAGAGGAGGAAGAGCCAGCAAAGGAAATGGGGAATCACTGTTGAGGCTGGAGAAAGATCAGAACAGGTTGCTGTGTGTATTTTAAGAAGGGGAGTGGCTAATATATTGAGTACTACTGAGAGATTCAAATAAGATGAGAGGTGACCACTGGTGTCAACATGGTAGTCATTGGTAACCTAACAAAAATTATATCAGTGAGAAAGTGGGGTTGAGAAGTCTGATTAGAGTGGATTGGAGTAAATGGGGCATGAGGAAGTAGAGTAAGAGACAATAAATAATTCAAGAAGTCTTGCCAGGAAGGAGAGCACAGAAAGGGAGTAACAGCTACAGAGGAATCTGGATTCGGGGGGGAGTTTTCTCAAGATAGGGGATATTGGTTATGTCTGGAAATGACCCAGCAGAGGATGTGATGTAGGAAAAAGAGGGGCTAATCATGGGCACAGACATGGGATTGAGAAAGTCAAAGGGGATGGAATCCAAAGCACAAAAGGAAGAGATAGGAACAGGTTTGTTTCCTTCAATGAAAGAGGAAAGGCAGAAAGTATTTTGCAGATTGGCAGATTTGGTGGTGAGATGATGAGGTAGTTCTCATCTGCTTCTGTTTTCTCAATAAAGAATGAGCCCAGGCCATAAGTTGGAGGTGGGAGAGAAGGAATACTGGAGGTTCAGGGAGATGAGAAAGTATGATAGTCATTGGGAGGGTGGGAGAGCAAACTTGTCAGGAGCATGTAGTAGGAGCTCAGGCAGTGTTGTGCACTCATTTGAGATTTTGGGACATGAATTTAAAATTAGACCAGTCATCAGTGATCACATGTGACTTGTAAGCACCCAGAAATGAATAGTTATTGTTAAGTGTAGTGGTACTCTCCAGTTGTTCACTGAATAAACAAATGAATGGAGTATTATATTAAACACTTGGATGGGGAGGAGGAAGGGAAATAAAGAGAATGTGTATCTGTCTTATAACCTACTTGAAGGAGACAAAACATAATTATTTGAGAACAAAGCATATTTTAACAGGCACAAACATATTAGCTTTTCCAGTTGATGTTATAAATTCTGACTGGAATAAGAATAGTGGCATACTTAAAATAGAATGGAGTAAATGTGGGAAATAATTCCTGAAGTTTCAAATCGGATCTCAAAAGTTCCCAGGGAAATGTGTTAACAGAAAACATGTAAAAGGGGGAAAACTGATAGAGCATGATGTTATATGTGGCCTTCTATAAGCTGAAAAGGACTTTGAGCTTGAAAGCAGGAATGGAAATAATTACTGTAATTTAAGGAGTAACCTCTTCATGCTAAGCATTAACAGATCACTTACTTACCTGACAGTGGCTACTATTTATTTTGTGTCTAAGCACTGTGCTAATTGTTTTACATATATTATTTCTAATATTCACAACACTACAAAATTACATACTATTATTTATTACTAATTATTAAAATTCCATCTTACAGATGAGGGAATCGAGACTCAGCATTTCAATAATTTGCCCAAGATTCCAGTTAGTAAGGAGCTGAGGTGGGATTTGAAGCCCAGGTCTCTGATCCCAAAGGCCATAGTCAGTCTTCTGTGCTTTACTCCATTTAATTGTGTATTCCCCTCATTTTCCTAGCACTTAGTAGAGAGGCCAGCCTAGGATAAATGTTCAACAGCAAGAGCGACCCCAAAATACAAATCTGATGACCTCCTTTTGCACTTAATCTAGATTGTTTACTAACAACCCTCCTCACCCTCAGCTCACTAGTCTTTGTCTTCAAGACAATCTCTTTCCTTCCCTAGAGCATTTGCCTGAGCTGCCCTTATACCTCTCAAGGCTCTTCTCACTCTTTCCATGCTAACCTCTTTATATCCTTTAGATCACAGCTTGCCTGTTCAGAGGCCTTCCTTGGCCATTCGATCTAAAATAGATCTCTCGTATTTTCTATGTCATCCACTTTTTCCCTAACATTTATCAAATTTTGCAGTTACCTTGTCAGTTTACTTTCTGGTGTTTTTCCAATATTATGCCCCATGGGACCAGCGACCTTGAATCTTGTTTGCCTTTGATTTCCCAGAGCTGTGCTCTTCAATACAGAAGCCAGCAGCCACATGTGGCTACTGAGCACTGTACTACAAATGTGGTGTTGCCTTATTGAGATGTGCAGTTAAGTGTAAAATACGCACTGGATTTTGAAGACTTGGTATGAGAAAAGAATGCATAAGATCTCGATTTTTAAATGTTGATTACATGTTGAAATACTTGTATAAACTGGGTTAAATGTATGACTAAAATTTTCACTTGTTTTACTTTTTAATTGTGGCTACTAGAAGATTTCAACCTACATATGTGACTCACATATTTCTAGAATCTGACACAGTGCCCTGCCCCATTTTATTGAATGATATATCCAATGTCGAGAGAGAGAGATCGAATGAATGGGTGCATGAAGAGGTATAGTCTCATGCTTCCACTAGGCAAATAGATACAGCACTGCCGTAGAAGTTAGGAGATCTGGGTTCTGGCTCAGGATGTACTGGAAACGCCTTGGACAAGCCCTACCCTACTCTGGGGATCAATTTGCCAATTAGGTAGTTGATCTTTGAGGTCTGGAAGCTTACGAGAATCAGTTGGCAGGGAAATGTACCAGGAAAGCTTGGTACAACGGCGCTTGTCTTTTTCGCTCTAGCCTAAACACTTGAGCCTCGGCAAACGGGCAGAGGCAGCGGGAATCAGGGACTACACCCCCGAACCCAGTACCCGGGTCCCCGACTTCCCCGAGCCTACGTCACTGGGGCGCGACGGCGTTGTCCCCGGGAGTGCAGCGGCTGAGAAGGTCCCTTCGGTGAAGGCGAGTTCCGGGACAACAGAGAGGGCCGCACCGTTTCCGAGTCTCTCGGAGGCTCAGTTCTCAGCGCACCATTCCCCACAGCTCTCCTTTTTACTTTACCCCTACCCGACACTTGACCCCGGCAGTGTGAACCCCGCTGGGAGCGTCCAAAGCCATGCCTCATCGCGGCTGCGCAGCGCACGTGCACAGCCTCGCAGGAGTCTCGGCGATTGGCTGTGACGCAGTTTCCGGCGTGAGCGGCGAAAGCCGGGAGGGCGAGCGAGAGAGCAAGCAGGCAGCAGGCTGCCGGCGGGCGGGCGGACGGCACAGAGGGAGGGAGCGAGCGAGCAGTGAGTAAGCCAGCAAGGGCGGTCGGGTCCCGAGGTCAGCCGAGATTTCTCAGGTCCCTCCGGCCCCCTCCCTGGAGTCCACAGCGCCTCCGGTGTCCAGAGGATCGGACACGGCCCGGCCCGGCCATGGCCTCGTTGCTGAAGGTGGATCAGGAAGTGAAGCTCAAGGTAGCGGCACCGGTCCGGCCTTTTTGCCCCTCGCTTTGATCCCCCAGCAGTCTGACCGGCTTCCTACTCCCCATGGCGTCTTTGTCTCCCTGGGGATACCAGCTCTGAGCTTCCGCTCGGCTCAGCCCAGCCCCCAACTCCCGGGGTCGGCTTCGCGGGAGAGGAAAATATAGGATGGCTTTCTGTACCGCGTCTGATGATGGAGAGTCCCGGGGACACCTCCGCGGACACGTGTTGGACTCAGGGCTTTAGGCCCGTGACAGCTGGTAATCCCCCAGCCCAACAACGTCCCTGGACACTGCCCCTGCCCTTGGCGGCTGGCCTGCCTAGTATCATAGACTAGGTCTGGGTGGGGGTTGGCACGTTTGTGAGCTCACATCTTCCCTAACTACCTGTCTTTTGTCTGCTTATCAAATTCAGACAGCTTCAGACACAGGAGGAAGGGAGGGAAGGGGGAGGACAGAGGAGACAGGCAGGTGCTGTCCTCAAAGCCCTGCGTTCTTCTGAGATGGAAAAATGGATCCTCAAAAAAATAAAGTATTTGCAGTCTGGGGGCCTCTCAGCTTCTTATTACAGTTACAAGGTGAGGGAAAGACAGTTGGATTGGGATTCTCCATCCTGCTCTTACCTCTGTCCCCAGGTACTGAATTGCTCTCTTTGTTAATTTTAGGTTGATTCTTTCAGGGAGCGGATCACAAGTGAGGTGAGTGAAATAAATAGAAAAATGGTTGTTGGTTGAGAATTTCCCAAAGAGGAGATACCTGGAGAGAGAGAGAGAGAGAGAGAGAGAGAGAGACCTTCCCACAGATATTAATTCAGCTGTATTTTCCCTCTTCCTTAGGCAGAAGACTTGGTGGCAAATTTTTTCCCAAAGAAGTTATTAGAACTTGATAGTTTTCTGAAGGTGAGAGACCCTATTCTTTCCTCAAATTCCCCAATTTTTTTGGCCCTGGTATTACTGTCAACTGGGATAAACTGTTGATTCTTCTTCTTTTTATTTTTTTAAACTGTAAAAGCACTTTCATTTCTTGCTCTTCAAATCAAATACTTCTTTGTTCAGCTTGAAAAGATTAATGTTTTGGGGTGGGTGTCTTTCAGGAACCAATCTTAAACATCCATGACCTAACTCAGATCCACTCTGACATGAATCTCCCAGTCCCTGACCCCATTCTTCTCACCAATAGCCATGATGGACTGGATGGTGTAAGTGTCCTATATTTATCTTTGTGTTCTTGAGCAGTAGGTCCTCTGTCCTCTGTTTCCTTGTCAGTTTAAGATGTACAGAGGGAACAGTGGGATTTGGATCTGGGAACTAGGACTCTGTTACAGACATGATGACTCTAGTATAGTTCTTTTATTTCTTATTTATTTATTTATTTTTGAGAAAGGGTGTCACTTTTTTTGCCCAAGCTGGAGTGTAGTGGCGGGAATGCTGCTCACTGCAGCCTTGACCTCCCGAACTCAAGCGATCCTTCCTCCTCAGCCTCGCAGGTAGCTGGGACTACAGGAGTCCACCACCATGCCCACTGATTTTTGTATTTTTTGTAGAGATGGGGTTTCACCATGTTGCCCAGGCCGGTCTCAAACTCCTGAGCTCAAGTAATCCACCCGCCTCAGCGTCCCAAAGTGCTGGGATTACAGGCGTGAGTCACTGCACGGGGACTCCAGTATATTCCTTTTAGACCCTCAGTTTCATTTACGACGTGAAGTGAATGTGCTAATGCTACTGTCAGTGTTAGAGTGAGTTTCAAATAAAAGAGAACTAGCTTAGGCCAGGCACCTTGGCTCACGCCTGTAATCCCAGCACTTTGGGAGGCCGACGTGGACGGATCATGAGGTCAGGAGATCAAGACCATCCTGGCTAACACCGTGAAACCCTGTCTCTACTGAAAATACAAAAAATTAACTGGGTGTGGTTGTGGGCCCCTGTAGTCCCAGCTACTTCGGAGGCTGAGGCAGGAGAATGGCATGAACCCAGGAGGCGGAGCTTGCAGTGAGCTGAGATTGCGCCACTGTACTCCAGCCTGGGCGACAGAGCGAGACTCTGTCTCAAAAAAAAAAAAAGAGAACTAGCTTCATCAGGTTACCTGGTTTTTCCCATGGCTCTGAACAAGACTTTGCTTATATTTGTTTGCATGTCTTGAGTAGTGTTATGGGATATGCAGTTCTCGCTATGTAACTGCAATTGCTATCTTTGCTTTGCATCTCTAACACCTAGTCCTTATCAGTCATGTGTCCACATGCTACTATAACACTGATGATACCGTATTGTTGTCTGTAGTACTGCCTCATTGTTGAACTTGTACATCTGGAAGGCAGGAACTATCTTTTTTTTTTTTTTTTTTTCCTTGAGACAGAGTCTCACTCTGTTGCCTAGGCTGGGTGCAGTGGCGCGATCTCAGCTTACTGTAACCTCCGCCTCCCGGGTTCAAGTGATTCTCCCACCTCAGCCTCCCACGTAGCTGAGATTACAGGTGCACACCACCACGCCCAGCCAATTTTTTTATTTTTAGTGGAGACAGGGTTTCACCATGTTGTCCAGACTGGTCTCGAACTCCTGACCTCAGGTGATCCGCCCGCCTCAGCCTCCCAAAGTGCTGGGATTACAGCCATGAGCCATCGTGCTCGGCCGGCAGGAGCTATCTTAATCTTTGTATTCCCAGCACCTAGTGTTGATCCTGGTCCCTAGCAATTGCTGAATACATGTTTGTTAACTGAATAATGTGTTCCTTTGTGGAACCAGCAGATTTGTACGTATTCCCTTAATTATCTTCCCTGCTTTGATTGGTTCTTTTTTCCTATTCTTTATAATACTTAATGTATTGTGTTTCTGGAAAGATTGGTCTTCCCAACTAGAGCGTAATTTGCTTTGTGGTAAGAACCTTTTCTTTCTTTCTCTGAGGGGGAACCCAGTCTCACTCTGTCACCCAGGTTGGAGTGCAGTGGCTTAATCTCAGCTCACTGCAACCTCAAACTCCTGGGTTCAAGTGATCCTCCTACCTCAGCCTCCCAGGTAGCTGGGACTACAGGTACATGTGCCATCACATTCAGCTAGTTTTTGTATTTTTTGTGGAGACAGGGTTTCCCTATGTTGCCCAGGCTGGTCTCAAGCTCCTGAGCTCAAGCGATCTGTGTGCCTTGGCCTCCCAAAGTGCTGGGATTACAGGTGTGAGCCATGGCGCCCAGCCCAAGAACCTTTTCTTTATTTCCTTTTTTTTTTTTTTGAGGTGGAGTTTCACTCTTGTCACATAGGCTGGAGTGCAGTGGCACAATCTCGGCTCACTGCAACCTCTACCTCCCAGGTTCAAGCAATTCTCCTGCCTCAGCCTTCCGAGTAGATGGGATTACAGGTGCCTGCCACCACACCCGGCTAATTTTTTTTATTTTTATTTTTTGGAGATGGAGTCTTGCTCTGTTGCCCAGGCTGGAGTGCAGTGGTGCAATCTCGGCTCACTACAACCTCTGCTTCCTGGGTTCAAGCAGTTCTCTGCATCAGCCTCCCAAGTAGCTGGGATTATAGGTGCTTGCCACCACGCCCAGCTAATTTTTGTATTTTTAGTGGAGATGAGGTTTCACTGTCTTGGCCAGGCTGGTCTTGAACTCCTGACCTTGTGATCCACCTACCTTGGCCTCTTAAAGTGCTGGGATTACAGGCATGAACCACCGCGCCTGGCTAACTTTTTGTATTTTTAGTAGAGATGGGGTTTCACTATGTTGGCTAGGCTGGTCTCAAACTTCTGATCTCAGGTGATCTGTCCACCTCGGCCCCCCAAATTGCTGGGATTACAGGCATGAGCCACCGCGCCTTGCCTCCAATAACCTTTCTTAAAGCTTTGTATGTACTTAGGAAATTGTGCAGAAATTAATAACATAAGCTATGAGGCTGAGGAAGGGATTAAACTTGCTTGAAGGGTATCTTGTGATGGAGATGTGGGTGTCAAAACTAGGCTCATCCCTGCCTCTTTGTATCCTTAGCCCACTTATAAGAAGCGAAGGTTGGATGAGTGTGAAGAAGCCTTCCAAGGTAAGAGGCACCCTTACCTCACCTCCCCTCACCCCATCCCTGACTTGCAACCCTGAGAAGCAGGATGGATCTAGTGTTCTCCTGACCAGGAGGCAAGATCTAATCTTACTTCCCAGAGGTAGCATTCCCAGCTCCTCCAAACGTGCTTGTTATTGAGTGCTCTAAACCTGGTTTTCCAATAAACAGAGGATTTAAGACTTTTGTTATGTTTTAGACGCTCATCTGTAGTTCTTTTTTTCCATACATTCTCGTTGATTCTAATAGTGGTGTCATGGTAGGATTGTGACAAAGGCAGAGGTCATAGCATCTGATAGGTATAGGGAAAATGAGAGAGAGGCAGGGGATGCTGTGTCCTTCCCTCTTCCCTGATCATTTGACCTTCACATCTCTGCCAGGAACCAAGGTGTTTGTGATGCCCAATGGGATGCTGAAAAGCAACCAGCAGCTGGTGGACATTATTGAGAAAGTGAAACCTGAGATCCGGCTGTTGATTGAGAAATGTAACACGGTGAGGCACAGGCTGGTGACCTATGGGCCGGCCCCAAGTACCCCACCTGAAGTGCAAAAAACAGTGGATGTACGGGTGGTATGGGAATTGGCAGACTAGGTTTTTTTGAGTTTTTTTTTTGAGATGGGGTCTCGCTCCATCACCCAGGTTGGAGTGCAGTGGCGCCATCTCGGCTCACTGCAACCTCTGCCTCCTGGGTTCAAGTGATTCTCCTGCCTCAGCCTCCCGAGTAGCTGGGATTACAGGTACCTGCCAACACACCCAGCTACTTTTTGTATTTTTAGTAGAGACGGGGTTTCACCATTTTGGCCATGGTTAGCCAGGCTGGTCTCGAACTCCTGACCTCAGGTGATCCACCCGCTTCGGGGTCCCAAATTGCTGGGATTACCGGCATGAGCCACCATGCCTGGCCAGACTAGGTATTTTGACTTCTGTGTTCCTGGCATCTGGCTCCAGCCGTCTGAATTGTGTACTTCATGGCTTCAGCCTTCAGGCAAAGGTCCTCATATATGTTTTGACCTCCAGGTCAAAATGTGGGTACAGCTCCTGATTCCCAGGATAGAAGATGGAAACAACTTTGGGGTGTCCATTCAGGTAATGTACTTGAATTACATACTGGGAAGAGTGGCTTGGGAGATACTCTCATCTCCCCTGCGTTACCTTTTTTTCCTTTTTCTTTGGGGCTGCTGTGGATGACATGGAAGTGGCTTTTGATGCACCTGTTGTTTGTTTGTTTTAGGAGGAAACAGTTGCAGAGCTAAGAACTGTTGAGAGTGAAGCTGCATCTTATCTGGACCAGATTTCTAGGTAGGGCTGCTTGGGCTTGGCCGAGGCGTTGGGGGCTGATGAGGTGGTGGGCACCATCAAGGGTCTCCTGCATCTTCCTCCTCTTCTCTCTCTTTCCAGATATTATATTACAAGAGCCAAATTGGTTTCTAAAATAGCTAAATATCCCCATGTGGTAAGTAAGGGGTTTGTGGCCTGAGGGTGGAGGTGGCAGGATAGTGAAGAGTGACTGTTACTGGGAAGGAGCTGTCTGGAAACAATTGGGCTTTGGGGACTAGCTTTTTCCTGTACCCTCCTTGCAGGAGGACTATCGCCGCACCGTGACAGAGATTGATGAGAAAGAATATATCAGCCTTCGGCTCATCATATCAGAGCTGAGGAATCAATATGTGAGTAATCTCAGTCCTTGTCCATAGTTGCTGTGGCTTCTCTTAGTTCTGTTGAGAGTATTGTTAAAATTCTCTGAAGGGCTGAGATGAGGGTCTGAGGTAAAATGAATAGACCAAATTCTATTCATCACCTGAGTGTTGAGAACCATGAAGTCATCTAGCAGGGTATCTCTCTTTTTTCTACCTGAGTGGAGGGGTGTGCAGTACAATATGGTTAAGATATAGGTGTCAGAGTCAGACAGACTTAGGTTTGCAACCAGGCTCTACCTGTGTTGTGTGACCTCGAGCAAATTGTTCAAGCTTAAACTTCAATTTCTTCTTTAAAATGGGACTGGGCTGGGCGCAGTGGCTAATGCCTGTAATCCCACCACTTTGGGAGGCCAAGCCGGGTGGATCACCTGAGGTCAGGAGTTCGAGACCAGCCTGATCAACATGGCGAAAGCTCGTCTCTACTAAAAATACAAAATTAGCCGGGCCTGGTGGCACATGTCTGTAATCCCAGCTACTTGGGAGGCTGAGGCAGGAGAATCACTTGAACCCGGGAGTTGGAGGTTGCGGTGAGCCAAGATTGCTCCATTGCACTCCAGCCTGGGCAACAAGAGCGAAACTCCATCTCAAAAAAAAAATAAAAATAGGCTGTAATCCCAGCACTTTGGGAGGCCAAGGTGGGTGGATCACTTGAGGTCAGGAGTTCGAGACCAGCCTTACCAACATGGAAAAACCCCATCTTTACTAAAAAAAAAAAAAAAAAATTTAGCCGGGCGTGGCGGCACATGCCTTTAATCGTAGCTACTGAGGAGGCTGAGGCGGGAGAATTGCTTGAACCCGGGAGGCGGAGGTTGCAGTGAGCCGAGATTGCGCCACTGGACTCCAGCCTGGGCAACAAGAGCGAAACTCCGCCTCAAATAAAAATAAATAAAATAAAATAAAATGGGACTGAAGAGGCCGGGTGTGGTGGATCACACCTGTAATGCCAGCACTGTGGGAGGCTGAGGCAGGTGGATCACATGAGGTCAGGAGTTTTTGACCAGCCTGGCCAACATGGTGAAACCCCATCTCTACTGAAAATACAAAAAATTAGCTGGGCATGGTTGGCGGACCCCTGTAATCCCACCTAATCGGGAGGCTGAGGCAGGAGAATCGCTTGAACCCAAGAGGTGTAGGTTGCAGTGAGCCGAGATCGTGCCACTGTACTCCAGCCTGGGCAACAAGAGCAAAACTCCGTCTCAAAAAAAGAAAACAAAACTGAAGAGTACCTACTGCACAAAATTCATTCGCTTTTTTAAAATAAGTGAGATAACACATTGAAGGACCTGGTACAATTCTTACTATGTTAAGTGCACAATACATGTTAGTTGTTATTAGACACTTGGGGCCTTGGAAATACCCATTTATACCCAGTTGAAGTATAAGAGAGGTGGTGCTGCCACCCTGAATGCAGGCTCAAGTGAGATTAAAATTACAGTAAGTTGGCCGGGTGCAGTGGCTCACGCCTGTAACCCCAGCGCTTTGGGAGGCCGAGGCGGGCGGATCACGAGGTCAGGAGATCGAGACCATCCTGGCTAACATGGTGAAACCCCATCTGTACTAAAAATAAAAAAAATTAGCCGGGTGTGGTGGCAGGCGCCTGTAGTCCCAGCTACTCAGGTGGCTGAGGCAGGAGAATGGCATGAACCTGGGAGGCGGAGGTTGCAGTCAGCCGAGATCGCGCCATTGCACTCCAGCCTGAGCGATAGAGCAAGACCGTGTCTCAAAAAAAAAAAAAAAAAAAAATACAGTAAGTCTTCACTTAATGTTGTCCATAGGTTCTTAGAAACTGCGACTTTAAAAATGATGTATATCAAAACCAAGTTTTTTTTTCATTAACATTGTAACAAAATGACATCGAACAAAATGATGTTATTTGAAACCAGGTTATTTGAGGACCTTCTGTACTTGATTTGCTTACCTGCTGTACTTTAATTTCCTTCAAGTCGCAGTTGCTAAGAACCTATTGATGACATTAAGGACTTACCGTATGCAGATGATTGCTTGGGGATTTGTGAAGGGGTCTCTCATTTTCTTGATGAGGTAAGGGTTGTACAGATATGTGATTCCCCTGATCCCTCTTCTCTCAGGTCACTCTACATGACATGATCCTGAAAAATATCGAGAAGATCAAACGGCCCCGGAGCAGCAATGCAGAGACTCTGTACTGAGGCCAGGGCCAGGGCCAGGGGACTCTGTGAGTCTGGCTCAAGACCGACATTGCCTTGGTTTGTTACATGACTATCGTGATGGGGAAACTGGCTGGAAATAGTAATCACACCTCTCTGTTTTTAGTTAGAGTCTAATGAAACTCTCATCTAGTTCTGTGATGTGTTTACCTCTTTTTTCAGGCCTCAGGAACTCTTCTATTTCCTTCCCTAATACCCCACACCCAACCTGTCGTAATTTCTGGAGAACTCCAGGTTTGTGTGTGCAGGATGTTGGCACAAAAATACCTGTGTTTTCATTCTCCCCCTCTCTCCCTCCTGTGTCTTGCGCTTTATGTTTTCTTCCGTTTGATAATTAGTTGGTTAAAAGCTGAGGGAACCGGAAGGAAAGTGCTAGGTGTTTTTTAGGAACTAGGGTGGCGGGGGGACGAACTTCTCTTCCTCACATGAGGTTACTGTTTCTTTCCTCTGTGGGGCATTGGATCCTCCCACAGTTGCCCTGGTGATGACTTAGGGCTTCCCATCTGTGTACATCCCACTTTGAATCTTGATCGTGACAAGAAATACCTTAGGCCTTCAGTCAATTCCGAAGCTCCTTCAGTTGTTTTTATAATGGGCGTTTTCACATGCACATATGTGTATGCATGTATACGCCCATACAGACATGCACACACAGACTCCTACTCCATTAGCTAACATACCCTCCCTCTCCACAACCCCTGTCACATACCTTTCAGGAGGTGACAGTTGTCTTAGTTGTCATCTACCCAGACAAACGTCCTGGGCCCGTCCTCCCTCCTGATACTGTAGCCTCTTGGTACCCAGGGTGAGTTGGTGGAGAACAGAGAGATGAGAAGCAGAGGGCTTGGGGAAAGCCTGTTCCTCTCTGACTCAGCCCTTTTTGGCATTATTGCAAGAGCTTGACTCCTGGTTGCCTTTTCCCAGCCAGTTTTCAGTTGGGGTGAAGGTTTCTGCAAGTGTGAGGTCCAGATGCTGCTGCTCATGTTGGGCTTTCCTTTTGGGAACTATTTCTCTTTATTTATAGTGTCGGGCTTCCGGGGAAAGCAATCATTGGTGTGTATGTGTATGTGCATGCACACACGTGCATATACACATTTGTGTATGTGGAAATGTGCTGGGCAAGTCAAAACTATAGAAGAGTTGCCTCCTGTCTCTCGAATCTTCCAGAGATATCACTTAATTGTTAACAGCTTTTGTGTTAATCCCCTTCAGCCCCTAGCTCTTTTATTCTACCACGGCTGGAGAGTTGATACCTGCAGTCAGCCTGCCAGTGACTCTTAGTGTCTGTTTCTGACTTATTTTTCCTGTCTCTGTCTTCCAACCCCCAATAATATTTCCACCGGGGATGCATCATTTTTACTCCCAATATTCTGTAGAGAGGGAGTCAGGATGCTGTCTTCCCACGAATAGTACTCAGTAACAAACCAATTGCATTTTAGTTGGGCAGTGCTCCCACCCACCCTCCAGATCCCTTCCAGCTAAAACCCTTCCCCCTTCCCTCCATGTGTTTCTCAGTTTCCCGTTTCGTTTGTTGGACTGTTCCACTGCCCCTCCTCCTCACCCTATCACCCATGGATCGTAATGTAAAATTCTTTTACCATGTCAAGAAATTATTAAAAATACAGGTACTTTGACCTCTTTCTAAAGCCGCAGACCCTGGTGCAATGCTCTGGTGGCTAGGGATGTACTCATGCTCATATGTGTGCACGCTTGGACACCCACCTCCATGGACACCTAGCCACCCTGTTGTGTGTCCTTATGCCAGTTGAGCTGAATCTTTTCCCCAGTATAGTGGAAAGACTGAGGCTTCTGCCTACTGAGCAAGGTTGGGTGCTTCATTTGTGTTCAGTCTGAATTATGGGAAAGTTAGCTCTTCCCAGACCTAAGCTGCCTTCTCTCCCTACTTTCAGAAGATCCTAGTTCCTTCCTTCCCGAGTGATACCCATGAACTGCCAGTAGAGGCTGCTATCGTTCCATGTGTAAGGAATGAACTGGTTCAAGGCGCGTCCTACCCAGTCATTTTCTTTACCTTATACTAATTCTTCCTGAATAATGTCTTCAGTTTCTTGAGGAGACTCCTAGTTTTGGTTTTCAAATTACTTGGAGGGCTGCCTAGGAATCTATCTCCCTCTGAAATAAAGTTTCCTCATCTTCCACCTTGCAAGTAGCCTTCTGGTTTCCAATGATCCCCTCGTTGTCTCTGTAAAAAGAGTTTAAGGTCTTGAACAATGGAGGAGCAGCTGCTCTGTTCTGTTTCAGAGATGACTACCAAAAGCTAGCGGTTTGTGAGTGCCTCCCCTGTGCCAGGCTGTTAAGTACCTAATGTGCATGATCACATTTAATCTTCAGGAATCTATAGGATAGTTGTATCTATTTGTTACAGATGAGGACACTGAGACTCAGGATAAGTATTTCCGCTAAGGTTACACAGCTGAGGGAACTGGGATTGGTGGACAAACCTGATTACTAAGCCCAGGCCCTCAGCCACTCCACTGGTTGGAAATGGCCTGACTACAAATCAAGGGCTTGGCATTAGGCAACAAGTAGAATTCAGTGCTTACTGCTGAACATGGCAGTGAATCCTGGAGCTGTTGGGATGCAGTTCCTGCCAGGAGGTAGGAAAATGGACAGCTTAGTGCTTGCATGCAGGCTGCAGAACTTAATTGGGCATCTGAGGTTTGTACTCTTCCTGAGACCCATTCCAGGTGGAAACTGGAGGTTAGCATCGTTAACCCAGATTCCCTTTCATCTGGTCTAAATGATGGAAATCAGTAGTTGGTACTGACTGCTACCAGTGGGAGTTCAGGGGCAAGGAAGAGGCTATGCATGTGGAAGCAGTGCCCTGGGCCAAACCACAGGACAGAAAATTGGAACAGAATTACATAAATCAAGGTCAGAAATTTCCTGCCCAACCCATGGGGTGGAGTTTTCTCCCTTCCTATCCATCCTAGCGAATATAAACCCCGACTTGATGTCAGTAACTGGAAGGAGCAGCTGTTAGAATTCTGATTTCAGCTCTCAGCATCCACCATGCATCTCAAGATAGTCCTGGCGTTCCTGGCACTGTCCCTCATTACCATCTTTGCCCTGGCCTATGTTTTGCTGACCAGCCCAGGTGGTTCCAGCCAGCCTCCCCACTGCCCCTCTGTATCCCATAGGGCCCAGCCCTGGCCACACCCTGGCCAGAGCCAGCTGTTTGCAGACCTGAGCCGAGAGGAGTTGACAGCTGTGATGCGCTTTCTGACCCAGCGGCTGGGGCCAGGGCTGGTGGACGCAGCCCAGGCTCAGCCCTCGGACAACTGCATCTTCTCAGTGGAGCTGCAGCTGCCCCCCAAGGCTGCAGCCCTGGCCCACCTGGACAGGGGGAGCCCCCCACCTGCCCGGGAGGCACTGGCCATCGTCCTCTTTGGTGGACAACCCCAACCCAATGTGAGTGAGCTGGTGGTGGGGCCGCTGCCTCACCCCTCGTACATGCGGGATGTGACTGTGGAGCGTCACGGCGGGCCCCTGCCCTATCACCGTCGCCCGGTGCTGAGAGCTGAGTTTACACAGATGTGGAGGCATCTGAAAGAGGTGGAGCTACCCAAGGCACCCATCTTCCTGTCGTCCACCTTCAACTACAATGGCTCTACCCTGGCAGCTGTGCATGCCACCCCTCGGGGCTTGCGCTCAGGGGACCGAGCTACCTGGATGGCCCTCTACCATAACATCTCAGGGGTTGGTCTTTTCCTTCACCCCGTGGGGCTGGAGCTACTACTGGACCACAGGGCCCTGGACCCTGCCCACTGGACTGTCCAGCAGGTCTTCTACCTTGGGCACTACTATGCAGACTTGGGCCAGTTGGAACGGGAGTTTAAGTCTGGCCGGTTGGAAGTGGTTAGAGTCCCTCTACCTCCACCAAATGGAGCTTCATCCCTGAGGTCTCGGAACTCTCCAGGTCCTCTTCCCCCTCTTCAGTTCTCGCCCCAGGGTTCCCAGTACAGTGTGCAAGGAAACCTGGTGGTATCCTCCCTCTGGTCATTTACCTTTGGCCATGGGGTGTTCAGCGGCCTGAGGATTTTTGATGTTCGGTTCCAGGGTGAGCGAATAGCCTATGAAGTCAGTGTCCAGGAGTGTGTATCTATCTATGGTGCCGATTCACCCAAGACGATGCTGACTCGCTATTTGGATAGCAGCTTTGGACTCGGCCGTAACAGCCGAGGCTTGGTGCGGGGAGTGGACTGCCCCTATCAAGCCACGATGGTGGACATCCATATATTAGTGGGCAAAGGGGCAGTCCAGCTGCTTCCAGGGGCTGTGTGTGTATTTGAGGAAGCCCAGGGACTGCCCCTTCGAAGGCACCACAATTACCTTCAAAATCATTTCTATGGTGGTTTGGCCAGCTCAGCCCTTGTGGTCAGGTCTGTGTCATCTGTGGGCAACTATGACTACATTTGGGACTTTGTGTTGTACCCAAATGGGGCACTTGAAGGGCGGGTCCATGCCACGGGTTATATCAACACAGCTTTCCTGAAAGGGGGAGAGGAGGGCCTCCTCTTTGGGAACCGTGTGGGGGAAAGAGTGCTGGGAACGGTGCACACACATGCCTTCCACTTCAAGCTGGACCTGGATGTGGCAGGTGAGTGCTGAGGGGATGAGGATGGAGACTTGGGGGCGGGGTCAGGTGGGGTGGAGGGAAGGGAAGGGAATCTCCCAGGTCAAGCTGAAATAACAAGTGGCAAGAGCAGGGTGTTCCAACACCACAGCTCTAGTGGCAACAGGGCAGGGACTGTTTGAGCATATTCAGTGCAGTGAGTCTGGTACTGGGCTACTGGGTATCTGGTAAAAGGTGAAAAGAGTTCCCCCGCCCAGCCCCTCTGACTTGCTATGATTGTGAAACTAGTTTAAATGTAATGGCTGGGCATGATTGCCTTAGCCTCAAGTGACACTGGGTGGGTGAACTGGCCCAATGGGGCTGGAGTTGGAGCACTTTGCTTCTTCCTAATTCTGAGGGTCAGTAGGGGTGGGGAGGGCAGGGTCCTGAGCCGAGGTCGGAAGAAGTCTGTCCAGAGTCTTCAGGGTGGGGGTCGACCTGGGGCTTAGGAAGGAGAGGGTAGCAAAGCTGGGGTTGCTCCCCAGGATAGGGCCACTCCTCATCGGGAGGGCCATCCCATTCCTGTCATCACAGTTGACTCATGGCAGGCACACAGCTTGCTGCAAGTATGGAAAGAGATTTCTCAAGCACAAAGGGCTCAAAGCACACAGAGGACTTGCTGTTCCTGACAGACTTTGTCAAGGACAGAAAGGAACTTACAGACTCACACACTGATCCACAAAGAAAATTAGAAACTCACCAGACCCTCTCCATTTTAAGGGAAACTAAGGAGGGTGGCGGGAGATGGGACAGGAAATGACTGCCCAAGTATAATGCAACATAAACTAGTATTTCTTGTGAAATGTTTTCTTATCCTCAAGTCTAAAGACATGGCACGTGCGTGCCTGCGTGTGTCTCTGTGCATGCACTTGCACTTGTGTTCGCAGTGGTGTGGAGGGTAGGAAGGACTAATAGCATGATTGAAATGATCATATTAACTAGATTACTCTTTGACATACTTGGATTTTGACTTGTCTTCTGATTGGAAGTTTTTCTTCAGCATCTTTGGCATTAAAGAGGCTTGTTTTGGGAAGTAACATTTATTGGACCCCTAGCGTGTGCAGCATGGGCTGCTGCTGTGGGCCAGAGAGGCTGTGTCAGGCACCAGCTCACAGGATGGCTGCAGAGGCACCAGCTTCAGTGCAGTGCCTCCCGTGCCAGGTACCTTCATATAGGTCTCGTTGAACTTACAGTCCAGACCTGCAGAAAGTGTATGACCAAGTGCTGAGTTAGGCAGTGCAGGTTATGGATGCTGTAGAATTCCAAGGAACTCCCAGACAAAGGTATGAATGTGCTTGCTTCTGAAAAACACTGACAGTACTTCCCACCTTGCTGAGATCAAAAGTGAAGTCTCAGAGCTGGGAGGAGTATGCAGGGGACCATGGGAAGGGATTGGGTTTTCTTTTTTTGAGGCAGTGTCTCACTGTCACCCAGGCTGGAGTGCAGCGGTGCAATCACAGGTTACTGCAGCCCTGACCTCCTGGGCTCAAGCAATCCTCCTGCCTCAGCCTCCTTAGTAGCTGGGATGACAGGCATACACTACCACGCCCAGCTTTTTTTTTTTTTTTGAAGACAGAGTCTCACTCTGTTGCCCAGGCTGGAGCACGGTGGTGCAATCTCAGTTCACCGCAACCTCCACCTCCCAGGTTCAAGCGATTCTTGTGTCTCGGCCTCCAGAGTAGCACACCACCACACCTGGCTAATTTTTTTAAATTATTTATTTATTTAAGTAGAGATGGGGTTTCACCATGTTGGCCAGGCTCATCTTGAACTCCCGGTCTCAAGTGATCCACTCGCCTCGGCTTCCCAAAGTGCTGTGAGCTACCATGCCCGGCCTTTTTTTTTTTTTTTTTTTTTTTTTTAAGAGGCAGTGTTTCATTCCGTTACCCCAGCTGGTGTCCAGCACCTGGGTTCAAGGGATCTGCATCACCCTGCCACCAGCCTCCTGAGTTGCAAGCTGCCACACCCGGCTCAGGAGTCAGTTTTTCAGCTAGCTTCTCCAAGACAAATATCATTATCCCTTTCATAGTTAAAAGAATGTCACTAGTCAGCTGCAAGTGCTTTTCTGTTTATTGGGCACAGCCATAGAACAGCTTTAATTATGCCCAGTGTAGGGATTCAGAAAGTGAATCAGAGAAGCAAATTGGTCCAGGGACTGTTTGGTAGTCCAGTGCTAATAGAACTTTCTGTAGTGATAGAAATATTCCGTATTTGAGCTGTGGCTCTAAACAATAGTCACTAGCCATGTGTGGCAACTGGGCACTTCAAGTGTGGCTAGTGTGACAGAGGAACTGAATATATATATATATATATATACATATATATATATATATATATTTTAGACAGAGTCTTGCTCTGTTGCCCAGGCTAGAGTGCAGTGGTGTGACCTCAGCTCATTGCAGCCACAACCTACTGGGCTCAAGCAATCCTCCTACCCCAGCTTCCCAAGTAACTGGGACCACAGGCATGTACCACCATGCCTGGCTGATTTTTTTATTGTTTGTAGAGTCAGGGTTTCACCACGTTGCACAGGCTGGTCTCAAACTCCTGGGCTCACATGATCCACCCGCCTCAGCCTCCCAAAGTGCTGGGATTGCAGGTGTGAGCCACCTCAGCTGGCCCTAAGTTTTAATTTTCATAGCCACGTGTGGCTAGTGGTTACCCTATCGGATAGGGCAAGTTGGAAGAAGATAGGAGCTTGCTCTTGCCCAGACCTCCTGGCTCCCAGCACAGTGTGCTCTGATGCTCTCTCTGCCTTTTGTCACACCAGTGCAGTGGACATCATGGGGAAGACAGGGACCTGGCCCAGAGACCTTACCTGGTGTGGAACTCATCTCCTTTCCCTCCCCCTGGCAGGGCTGAAAAACTGGGTGGTAGCTGAAGACGTGGTGTTTAAACCTGTGGCTGCCCCCTGGAACCCGGAGCACTGGCTACAGCGCCCACAGCTGACTCGGCAGGTCCTGGGAAAGGAGGACCTGACAGCTTTTTCCTTGGGAAGCCCCCTACCCCGCTACCTCTACCTGGCTAGCAACCAGACTAATGCGTGGGGTCACCAGCGCGGGTACCGAATCCAGATCCACAGCCCCCTTGGCATACACATACCCCTGGAGAGTGACATGGAGAGGGCCCTCAGCTGGGGGAGGTGAGGAGGGCCCTGGCCTGGGTGGAAGGAAAGGACAGCCCCTCCCCTGCCCCAGTCCTTGGAGACAAACTCCCTTCCCACGGCTACCATTCATCCCTGTACCTCCCCTCAAACCCAAGTTAGATACACGGTGGGAAATGGTCTCACACAGAATCGGATCTAAGGGACTCCTGGGCCAGTAAAGGCACTTGACATTTCCCAAAACCACCTTCTTATGATTCCTGGCCAGATACCAGCTTGTGGTGACCCAGAGAAAGGAGGAGGAGTCACAGAGCAGTAGCATCTATCACCAGAATGACATCTGGACACCCACAGTTACCTTTGCTGACTTCATCAACAATGAAACCCTCTTAGGAGAGGTTGGTTGCCCTAGGGACATAGGAAAGGGACACCTGTGGGCATGGCATCTTGGCTGCCCAGCCTCTGGCCAAAGGTTAGAGGGAATGGCTGATTTCCAGTTCGCAGATTCAGAGGCCATGGAGTTTTCTGATGACCAACACAGGTCATCCCTCCTGGGGTGAGATTAGCTCTGGGACACTGGCTCCCCCCTCTCCCCGCACAGCTGCTTACATGGATTGCTCCACGTGTTGTATGGGCATGAGGCTGGGGAGAGTGGAAGCCAGGCTGAGACTGGAGGCTGGGATTGTGACTGAAGGGTGGTTCTTTGGGTCACGCTTCCATAGTCCTCCAGCTCCTCCTTCTTCTTGCAGGATCTGGTGGCTTGGGTCACAGCCAGCTTCCTGCACATTCCCCATGCCGAGGACATCCCAAACACAGTGACTCTGGGGAACAGAGTTGGCTTCTTGCTCCGACCCTATAACTTCTTTGATGAGGACCCCTCCATCTTCTCCCCTGGCAGTGTCTACTTTGAGAAGGGCCAGGATGCTGGGCTCTGCAGCATCAATCCTGTGGCCTGCCTCCCCGACCTGGCAGCCTGTGTCCCGGACTTACCCCCTTTCTCTTACCACGGCTTCTAGTCCTGAGGGTGTGGCGGGCGGCGTGGTTAGGCACATGTACTTTTCCCTGTTTCTACTTTCTATTCTCCGTGTTTTTATCACACCTGCTCCCCAGATTCCCACCCCCTCAATGTTCCTCTCACACGAAACCCCCATCAGTCCCTTTGGTTAATTCTTACTTCCTGTTCATCTCTAAAGTGTTAAATTATAAAAATGATTTTTAAATATTCAAAGAAAAATATCACAAATCCTACTACTCAGAAATAGGTGGTCACATTACATCAGACATCTCTTTATGCATGTGCATTCAAAAGGAAGAGTAGATAGAATTTTGTAAAACAGATGTTGTATGTAATTTATAATAAAAAGTATTAGAGGAATTTTACTTGAATTTATTGTTTGACCTGTTAAGTATCTAGAGTCCTCTGGAGAATACTAAGGAGTCTGGCCAGGGAAATTAGCGCTGGGGGCCAGAGGGCAAGGGGGATAGACCTGGCCAAGGAATGTCATTTGGAAAGCTAAAGGGGCAGGGGGTGGGGGTCTTTGGAAGGAAAACGATAGTTTGAAGTTACAGGAAAATATCTGGCCCTGACTAAGTGGGGGACTGGGGAAGAAGCTGGGCTGAGGTCAGGAGAGGCTGCTCTGCACAGATCCTGCTCCTTCCCAGTGCTGCATTATCTTGAAATTTTCCTTCCCCTTCCCCCTAGCCCCAACTCTCCCCAACTCCAACCCTGACCCAGAAAGTAGAGTGATTTGGAGGCTGGAAGACAAAACCATGTAAGGTCTGTGGAAATCACAGCTGTTCAGACCCGCCTCCAACCCCGGCCACCCCGCCCCCTTGCCCTAGCCTTCCTGTGTCCTTCCCACCCTTAGTCCCAGGCATCTGACTACCGGGAACCTCAGCCAGAGTCCGGGAGCCCCCCACCCCGTCCAGGAGCCAACAGAGCCCCCGTCTTGCTGGCGTGAGAATACATTGCTCTCCTTTGGTTGAATCAGCTGTCCCTCTTCGTGGGAAAATGAACCAGAAGACAATCCTCGTGCTCCTCATTCTGGCCGTCATCACCATCTTTGCCTTGGTTTGTGTCCTGCTGGTGGGCAGGGGTGGAGATGGGGGTGAACCCAGCCAGCTTCCCCATTGCCCCTCTGTATCTCCCAGTGCCCAGCCTTGGACACACCCTGGCCAGAGCCAGCTGTTTGCAGACCTGAGCCGAGAGGAGCTGACGGCTGTGATGCGCTTTCTGACCCAGCGGCTGGGGCCAGGGCTGGTGGATGCAGCCCAGGCCCGGCCCTCGGACAACTGTGTCTTCTCAGTGGAGTTGCAGCTGCCTCCCAAGGCTGCAGCCCTGGCTCACTTGGACAGGGGGAGCCCCCCACCTGCCCGGGAGGCACTGGCCATCGTCTTCTTTGGCAGGCAACCCCAGCCCAACGTGAGTGAGCTGGTGGTGGGGCCACTGCCTCACCCCTCCTACATGCGGGACGTGACTGTGGAGCGTCATGGAGGCCCCCTGCCCTATCACCGACGCCCCGTGCTGTTCCAAGAGTACCTGGACATAGACCAGATGATCTTCAACAGAGAGCTGCCCCAGGCTTCTGGGCTTCTCCACCACTGTTGCTTCTACAAGCACCGGGGACGGAACCTGGTGACAATGACCACGGCTCCCCGTGGTCTGCAATCAGGGGACCGGGCCACCTGGTTTGGCCTCTACTACAACATCTCGGGCGCTGGGTTCTTCCTGCACCACGTGGGCTTGGAGCTGCTAGTGAACCACAAGGCCCTTGACCCTGCCCGCTGGACTATCCAGAAGGTGTTCTATCAAGGCCGCTACTACGACAGCCTGGCCCAGCTGGAGGCCCAGTTTGAGGCCGGCCTGGTGAATGTGGTGCTGATCCCAGACAATGGCACAGGTGGGTCCTGGTCCCTGAAGTCCCCTGTGCCCCCGGGTCCAGCTCCCCCTCTACAGTTCTATCCCCAAGGCCCCCGCTTCAGTGTCCAGGGAAGTCGAGTGGCCTCCTCACTGTGGACTTTCTCCTTTGGCCTCGGAGCATTCAGTGGCCCAAGGATCTTTGACGTTCGCTTCCAAGGAGAAAGACTAGTTTATGAGATAAGCCTCCAAGAGGCCTTGGCCATCTATGGTGGAAATTCCCCAGCAGCAATGACGACCCGCTATGTGGATGGAGGCTTTGGCATGGGCAAGTACACCACGCCCCTGACCCGTGGGGTGGACTGCCCCTACTTGGCCACCTACGTGGACTGGCACTTCCTTTTGGAGTCCCAGGCCCCCAAGACAATACGTGATGCCTTTTGTGTGTTTGAACAGAACCAGGGCCTCCCCCTGCGGCGACACCACTCAGATCTCTACTCGCACTACTTTGGGGGTCTTGCGGAAACGGTGCTGGTCGTCAGATCTATGTCCACCTTGCTCAACTATGACTATGTGTGGGATACGGTCTTCCACCCCAGTGGGGCCATAGAAATACGATTCTATGCCACGGGCTACATCAGCTCGGCATTCCTCTTTGGTGCTACTGGGAAGTACGGGAACCAAGTGTCAGAGCACACCCTGGGCACGGTCCACACCCACAGCGCCCACTTCAAGGTGGATCTGGATGTAGCAGGTAAGACATTTTGGTGGGGAGAAGGCTTCTGGAAGAAGGGCTGAAAAGTTGTTTCCATTAGCTTTGGGTTTTATGTAGATTATCCCAGAAAGGAAGACGTGGATTTTTGTACTTCCCCTTTTGCTGGATGGGAGAGAGTTGGCTGCTGAGTTTTATTTGGATCTTAGCTCACTGGCTGGGTGCAAAGCTGCAGCCTTCCTCTACGTGACCTCATCCAAAGATCTTGGGAAATGGCCGAGCTCAGGGAGGAGGCAGGATTTGGGCTAACAGTGTCCCCATTGCCCTCTTCTCTCCCTTGTACTTATATGGGCTCTGCTGCTGGGAGCAGCCTTCTGTTTGTCAGCTCAGTTCTGTGTCTGGCCTGTGGTGGTGGTGTTTTGGAGGATCTCTTTGCATTCTACCACGTCCCTGGCATGTGCAG
The DNA here is from genome assembly GCF_000001405.40 of Homo sapiens. Taxonomy (NCBI): domain Eukaryota; kingdom Metazoa; phylum Chordata; class Mammalia; order Primates; family Hominidae; genus Homo; species Homo sapiens. Next base: position 42,853,365 of record NC_000017.11, read on the forward strand.
GTCAGTCATTCCAGGTTGTACATTTCCTTTGGAGATGGACCCTCCTCCCTGATTTTCCTTCTTTCTCTGGGCACAATTCACCTAAGTGTGAGGGGTCACATGGATCCCGTGGAGCATTCTGGATAGATCCTGGAGTCTGGTCACAGAGAGAGCCAAGGCTACATGATGGCTTGGAGTCTTCATCTTTGTCTTTTCACTGTCTTTCCCCACATTGAGTCAGTCACCAGGTGTTTTTTTTTGGTTTTGTTTTATTTTGTTTTGTTTCTGTTTTGCACCTGCAGTATCTCGGCAGGTCAGACTGTCATGCCGTGCAGGTGCCAGCCCTCTCTCTGCTGTTTTTGCTCTTGTTGCTCTCAGAGCCAAGAGCCACTCTGCACCCAGAGGGCCTCCCATCCACACCAGCCTGCCCTTTACTCAGCTCTCACTTTCGTCATCACCTGTGGGATCCTGTCTGCAGAACCCCCTCAAAACTCTTTCCTTCACGGTGCAGCTCCACCCTGCCTTGCTGTGCTCTGCACAGCTACACCCAAATTCTCCATGTCCCTGGACACGCACTTCACATGTTACAGTCAGGCATCCTCCTGTTTGCTTATGCTTTGTCTCTGCTTAGAATGTCCTTCCATATCATCTTTTCTGGTAATGTCCTTTAAGGCCAGGCTGAAAAGTTGCCCGGAAGGGCCCCCTTTTCCTGCCTGCAACTGTATTCCTGTGATCCGGAAGTTGCCTAGGCCATGCTCCTCTCACAGGACAGGCCAGTCAGTGGTTTGTCTGTCTGCGTGGAAAGCAAGAGGGTAAGGATGATCATTCATCTCTATCCCCAGGGACGAGTACAGTCCTCTCTGCTAATGAATGTTGAAAGAATGAATGAGTGAAATGGAATGAACTCCCTGATGAAGTATTTTAATTTACAGGTCAACAGCTTTGGCTAAAGGATTGGAGGTATCCTGGGGAGAGGGAAGAGAAGGAGGGGCACACTCAGTTCTGGGCTGCTCTTTGGCCCCCACTCTGAAGCCAGATGGGGGCAGAGTCCAGAGGGGCCAGGGCAGTTGCCTGACAGGCCCTCCCCTATCCCACCCTGAGCAGGACTGGAGAACTGGGTCTGGGCCGAGGATATGGTCTTTGTCCCCATGGCTGTGCCCTGGAGCCCTGAGCACCAGCTGCAGAGGCTGCAGGTGACCCGGAAGCTGCTGGAGATGGAGGAGCAGGCCGCCTTCCTCGTGGGAAGCGCCACCCCTCGCTACCTGTACCTGGCCAGCAACCACAGCAACAAGTGGGGTCACCCCCGGGGCTACCGCATCCAGATGCTCAGCTTTGCTGGAGAGCCGCTGCCCCAAAACAGCTCCATGGCGAGAGGCTTCAGCTGGGAGAGGTGAGTGGCGGGCAGTCAGAGAGGAGGGGGGCAGTGAGAGTGGGAAAGGAGTGTTGGCGGACACTCAGCTCACACTGTAGGTGAGGGGAGAGCTCTCTCAGGAAGGCTTTTCTTTTCCTTTTTTTTTTTTTTTTTTGAGATGGAGTTTTGCTCTGTTGCCCAGGCCGGAGTGCAGTGGAGCAATCTCACTGCATCCTCCGCCTCCCAGTTTCAAGCGATTCTCCTGCCTCAGCCTCCCCAGTAGCTGGGATTACAGGTGCACGCCACCACACATGGCTAATTTTTGTATTTTTAGTAGAGATAGGGTTTCACCATGTTGGCCAGGCTGGTCTCGAACTCCTGACCTCATGATCCACCCTCCTTGGTCTCCCAAAGTGCTGTGATTACAGGCATGAGCCACAATGCCTGGCCAAAGGTTTTTCTAGTTATCCAAAGAAACCATGATGGGCACATTTTCCCCTTGGAGGCTAAAGCCCAGGAGTGAGAACTCTCTTCTGTTTTGGATGGGAGAGGGGTTGTACTGTTAAATGGCTGGGGATAAACAGGAGGACTTGACCCCCCTTAGGGTGACGTCGGGGATTCTGTAGCGCCGAGTCAGTTGTGTGACTGCAATTGGGGAAGCTGAGCTCTGAGCACTCAGTTCCCTTTCATCATAATCAGGCAGCAGGATGGGGTCAATGGCCATGGAGGCCTGACCAGTGCCTCCCTAGGTACCAGCTGGCTGTGACCCAGCGGAAGGAGGAGGAGCCCAGTAGCAGCAGCGTTTTCAATCAGAATGACCCTTGGGCCCCCACTGTGGATTTCAGTGACTTCATCAACAATGAGACCATTGCTGGAAAGGTCAGCTGGCCGGGGTAGAGGGTACAGGATGAGCCTTGCTTTCTCTTGGGAGGGTCCCTGAAAACCACCTGCACTTCTCAGGGGTGGTGCTGATTCCTGCCTTCTGCACTTCAGTATATCTGATCATTATCCTTTGAGGGAACCTTCCTGAGCTGGGTGTCCATATGCAGACACTGAGTGAGGCCCTGGGCCTGTCCTTGAGATCTTAGAGCCCTCTTAGTTCCAGTTTCATGGACTGAGTCCTTTCCAGGCTCCAGGACTCAGGAGGGATGGAAGTTACCAGGGAAAATGACATCTCCTGTATCTGAAGCTTCTCCCATTCCTGACTTGATGAATTTCACAATGTTGGCCTGGTTCTGCTTCCCAAGCGCTGGTTCTTTTTCCTCCACCCTTCTTTCCTCAGTTGTGGGGAACTCTTGGAGAGTTAGGGGAAGAGGAGCTGAAGTAGCCTGTGGGTGTCACCCTCTGGGGGTAGATAGGCAATGGGCGATATGATGGGAAATGTCAGAGATGGAGGCTGCAAGCCAGGGACAGGGAAGCAGGTGTTCCTAATATGAAATGGACTACTTATGCTTTGACTCCTACCCAGCAGGAAAAAATGTTTAAAGACTCATGATCCTTGGGCTGGTGAGCTGAATCCCTACCAGGGCATGTCCTCAGCAAAGCCAGACCTCGTGATCCTCTTTCTTCTCCCCTGCTAGGATTTGGTGGCCTGGGTGACAGCTGGTTTTCTGCATATCCCACATGCAGAGGACATTCCTAACACAGTGACTGTGGGGAACGGCGTGGGCTTCTTCCTCCGACCCTATAACTTCTTTGACGAAGACCCCTCCTTCTACTCTGCCGACTCCATCTACTTCCGAGGGGACCAGGATGCTGGGGCCTGCGAGGTCAACCCCCTAGCTTGCCTGCCCCAGGCTGCTGCCTGTGCCCCCGACCTCCCTGCCTTCTCCCACGGGGGCTTCTCTCACAACTAGGCGGTCCTGGGATGGGGCATGTGGCCAAGGGCTCCAGGGCCAGGGTGTGAGGGATGGGGAGCAGCTGGGCACTGGGCCGGCAGCCTGGTTCCCTCTTTCCTGTGCCAGGACTCTCTTTCTTCCACTACCCTCCCTCGCATCCGCCTCTGAGCCAGGAGCCTCCTGACCCTGTGATGCCTGACACAGGGGACACTGAACCTTGTTGATGCCAGCTGTACTGAGTTCTCATCCACAGAGGCCAGGCATGGCCCAGCCTGGAGCCGTGGCCGAGGGCTTCCCTAGATGGTTCCCTTTGTTGCTGTCTGGCTTTCCCGAATCTTTTTAGGCCACCTCCAAGGACTCTAAAAGGGGGCTATTCCCTGGAGACCCCAGAGTAGGGTTGCCAGTCCTGCAAGTCCATAGCTGAGCTGGAAAGGATGCTTCTGCTCACATTCCCTCTCATCCAGGTCCTTTCCTTCTCGTCTTCCTCTCTCTCACCTACTTCCTCCTCCTCCTCCTGTTCCTGCCTTCTCTTCTATCCTGCAATTTCTCCCGAATCCTGAGGGGATATCCCTATGTCCCAGCCCCTGGTACTCCCCCAGCCCTCAGTTTTCAGTCAAGTTCCGTCTCCTCTCCAGCCCTATGGAAGTCTCAAGGTCACGGGACCCCTAATCAGAGTGGCCAATCCCTGTGTGTCGTTCCCTTGTGTCTGTTGCTTATTGGGAGTAGGAGTTGCTCCTACCCCTGTCCTGGGGCTGGGTGTGTTTCAGGACAGCTGCTTCTGTGCATTTGTGTCTGCCTGCCTCATGCTCTCTATAGAGGAGGATGGTCATCGTGACAGCAGCAGCTCAAGTTAGCATTTCAAGTGATTTGGGGGTGCAATGATAATGAAGAATGGCCATTTTGTACCAGGGCTCTGTATTCTGCAACAGCCTGTTTGGGAGGCTGGAGTGGAAACAAAGGGTGGGCATCAAAGATGAGAAGCCAAAGCCCCTACAACTCCAGCCACCCAGCCAGGAGGGGCTGTCCAATCACATTCAGGCATGCGAATGAGCTGGGCCCTGGGTGAGGTGGGGGTCTGGCCTAGTGGGGAGGGGCCTGGCCTGGGTGGGGCAGGGCCTGGCCTGGTCCAGGCTTGGGCTCCATTCCCATCACTGCTGTCCCTCCTGAGGTCTGGATTGGGGATGGGGACAAAGAAATAGCAAGAGATGAGAAACAACAGAAACTTTTTTCTCTAAAGGACTGGTTAAATCAATTCTGATACAGCCTTACAATACAATAGTATGCAGCTAAAAAATAATTGTATGTCTTTATATACTAATATGTAATAATCTTCAGGTGAAAAAGGCAAGCCACAGAAATGTGTATAGCGCACTTCCCATTTGTGTTTCAGAAAGGAGTAGAATATAAACACATAATTGCTTATGTATGCCTATTCAGAATAAATGGGTAACACTGATTACTTTTGGGAGGGGAACCAGTAGGTTGAGGACAGGAGAGGGAAGGGTCTTAACACTTACACCCTTTTGTACATTTTGAATTTTGAACCATGTGACTGTATTACCTATTCAAAATAAACAATAAATGGGCCCAAACAGGAATTGACTTTTTTTTTTTACTGACACTTTTTTTTTTGGTGGGGAACAGGTTGGGGGTAGGGTAAAGTGGGTTAAGGAATGGGACCAGGGATGAAATTTTCTCCAGTTCTTGAGATCCAGAGAAGCAGGTGTGGCCTCTAGTAACTCCTTTTGCCTTCTCATGCTTGTACATCTTTGAGGAAATGTTAAACCTCGGTTAATTCCCTGACACACACACACCCCACCCTTTCCCTCTCTCCTGTCTTCTCTCTCTCTCAATGAGGGGCAATGAGAAGCAGTGAGGAGGGGTGACTTCTGCTTGCCAGAAGCCCAGGCCAGGGCAGGAGGTAAAGTGCAGGAAACATTCTGGATGCCACTCAGCTTCTGACCAGAAAAAGACCAGAATATGTTCTGGGAGCTCCAGCATCATGGAAGCTTCTGCTACCTTCTGTTCTGCCCCAAGCCCAAGTTCTGCCGTAGGTCAGTGGAACAATGGATGGGGAGGAATCAATGAGCTGGAGAGAAATTAGGCTCTAAAGAACAGGAAGAAAGCCTTCAGTAAGGAGCAGGGGGCCTTCAATGGCATAGTAATTCATAATATGGCCAGGAGTGGAGGCAGGAGTGAAGGAGGACAGGGAGAGATGGAGAGAAGGGCAGACTCAAGACAGAGATGCAGGAGAAAGGGGGATGCTGTGGCCTGCTGGGACACTGATGCAGGCTTCATAATCCCTCTGACCTGAGGACTTGAACTTTCTTTTTTTTTTAATTTTTAATTTTTGAGATGGAGATTCACTCTTGTCACCCAGACTGGAGTGCAATGGCACGCTCTCGGCTCACTGCAACCTCCATCTCCCGGGTTCAAGCGATTCTCCTGTCTCAGCCTCCTGAGTAGCTGGGATTACAGGTGCTGCCACCACGCCCGGCTAATTTTGTATTTTTAGTAGAGACGGGGTTTCACTATGTTGGCCAGGCTGGTCTCGAACTCCTGACCTAAGGTGATCTGCCTGCCTTGGCCTCCCAAAGTGTTGAGATTACAGGTGTGAGCCACTGCACCCGGCCTGAACTTCTCATTTCAATGCATATCCTCTTGTCCCCACCTCCTTACGGCTCTTTCTTATGGCTACTTGCACCATCATCAGTGCTGGGGGAAGGGGAGCAAAGGAATTCAGATATCCACCCCCGCACCCTCACCATCTTGTTCACTGGAATTTAGTTGCCTTGAAACCCATCTCCAGACCAAAGTGTTTGTATGTGTTGTGTGTGTAGTTGTATGTCAATTCTCACAAGCTTTTATATGAAAACGTGACTGGTTGTGTCTGCTTCCTTATATCTCAGCATGGTGATGATGCCACCTGCCCCAGGCCCCAGATGAGGGGAGGCAGAATGGACATCTAGATTGTTAGAACATCAGTTCAGCTCGGGTCAGGAGGGCCGCAAGGTGGACCTCCAGCCCCACACCCCAATCCAATCTCTTCCTTAGACCACAGAAGTTGTCTGGAGTCTTGGCTTCAGACTTGTGGTCAATTGTCTAGGAGTGATTACTGGCTGAGGATGTCAGGTTCTGAAGGAACTGGTGCTGCCAAGGCTCAGATCTTCAGGACTTGGGGCCCAGTGGCCTGAGATAAAGGAGTTGGACAAGGGAATCCCTGAGGCTTGGGTCAGAGGGCATGACTAGGACTTCTCCAGGAATGTGAACATGGCAACCCCCTGTGAGGACATGAGGTGTGCCCACTCGCCTCACCTCTTTTATTTTTTTTATTTTGAGATGGAATTTCACTCTTGTCGCCCAGGCTGGCGTGCAATGGCATGATCTTGGCTCACTGCAACCTCCACTTCCCGGGTTCAAGTGATTCTCCTGCCTTAGACTCCTGAGTAGCTGGTATTACAGGCACCTGCCACTACGCCCGGCTAATTTTGTAGTTTTAGTAGAGACGGGGTTTCACCATGTTGGCCAGGTTGGTCTCGAACTCCTGACCTCAAGTGATCCGCCTGCCTTGGCCTCTCAAAGTGCTGGGATTACAGGTGTGAGCCACAGCACCCGGCCCCCAGTGACTTCTTAAACACAAAATCAACAGGAGCTCCTGGCCGCCTACTTTCTGGACCTCTCGGTGGCGTTTGACAACACCAACTGTCCTCCCTCTTGGAACCCTCTCCCATCTTGACTCTCCCACATTGTCCCCTTTTCATCCATATTTGCTCCTTCTCAGTCTTCTCAGGCTCCTTGACTTCTGCTCCCCCTACCTACTCATGGAGCCCCAAGCTCTTGCCTTTTCTAGGGTTCTGTCCTTGGTCCTCCTTTCTCCTCTCTCCAGAAGTCCTCTGTGGGTGATCTCAGCCTTTCTTTCTTTCTTTTTTTCTTTTCTTCTTTCTTTTTCTTTTTTTCCCCCCTTAAGAAAAGGTCTTGCTCTGTCACCCAGGCTGGAGTGCAGTGGTACCACCATGGCTCACTGCAGCCTCAACCTCCCAGACTGAAGCGATCCTCCCACCTCAGCCTCCCGAGCAGCTGGAATTACAGGCGTGTGCCACCATGCCTGGCTAATTAAAAAAAATTTTTTGTAGGCCAGGCGCGGTGGCTCATGCCTGTAATTGGAGCACTTTGGGAGGCCGAGGCAGGTGGATCACCTGAGGTCAGGAGTTCAAGACCAGCCTGGCCAACGTGATGAAACCCCATCTCTACTAAAAATACAAAAAATTAGCTGGGCATGGTGGCGGGTGCCTGTAATCCCAGCTACTCCGGAGGCTGAGGCAGGAGAATCGCTTGAACCTGGGAGGTGGAGGTTGCAGTGAGCCGAGATCACATCACTGCACTCCAGCCTAGGCAACAAGAGTGAAACTTTGTCTCAAAAAAAAATTTTTTTTGTAGAGACCATGTCTCGCTCTGTTGCCTGGTCTCAAACTCCTGGGCTCAAGTGATCCTCCCACCTCAGCCTCCCAAAGTGCTGGGATTACAGGTGTAAGCCACCACGCCCAGCCAGCCTTTCTTACTTTAACTGTCAATATTTGTCATTGGCCAAATCTCTTTCTACACGTATGTTTTTGGTGTTTTGTTTTGTTTTTGAGAGAGGTTCTCACTGTATTGCCCAGGCTTCAGTGTAGGGGTGCAATCTTGGCTCACTGCAAACTCCACCCTGTGGGCTCAAGTGATCCTCCCACTTCAGCCTCCCAAGAAGCTGGGACCACAGGCATGCACCACTATACCTGGCTAATTTTTTATATTTTTGGTAGATAGGGTTTTGCCATGTTGCCCAGGCTGGTCTTGAACTCCTGAGCTCAAGGAATCTGCCCATCTTGGCCTCTCAAAGTGCTAGGATTACAGGTATGAGCCACCACGCCAGCCTATATATATATGTATTTTTTAAGTTATTGTAGAGATGAGGCCTTGCTATGTTGCCCAGAGTGGTCTTGGACTCCTGGGCTCAAGCCATTCTCCTGTCTCTTCCTCACAAAGTGCTGGAATTACAGGCATGAGGCACCACACTCAACCAAAATAAATCTTTTCTCTGTTTTTTCTTTTTTTAGTGACAAGGTCTTGCTCTGTCACCTAGGCTGAAGTGCAGTGGCACAATCATAGTTTATTGCAGCCTTGAACTCCTGGGCTCAAGCAATCCTCCCGCCTCACCCTCCCAAGTAGCTAGGATGTGCCTGGCTAATTTTTTTTTAATTTTTTGTAGAGATCTCTATATTGTCCAAGCTGGTCTTGAACTCCTAGGCTCATGTGATTCTCGACTCTTGGCATCCCAAAATGAAGGGATTACAGGTGTGAGCTGCTGCACCTGGTCAACATTAGTTGTCTTTTTTTTTCTTTTGAGACAGAGTCTCGCTCTGTCACCCAGGCTGGAGTGCCGTGGTGTGATCTCAGCTCACTGCAACTTCTGCCTCCCAGGTTGAAGCAATTCTCCTGCCTCAGCCTCCTGAGTAGCTGGGATTACAGGTGCCCACCACCATGCCCAGTTAATTTTTGTATTTTTCGTAGAGATGGGGTTTCACCATGTTGGTCAGTCTGTTCTTGAACCTTTGACCTCAAGTGATCTGCCCATCTTGGCCTCCCAAAGTGCTGGGATTACAGGCGTGAGCCACTGTGCCCAGCCCCAACATTAGTTGTCTTAATGGCATGTTCTTAGCCAAGAGCTGGAGGTAACTTCCCCGCTATTGACCATAACCTACCAAAGGACCAGACACAAGTTCCCTGGCTGGGATGGATTGCCTTGTGGCTAGGCCTTGACATTAGATTTTATTTCCTTTATCCTAAAGGTCACACAACTGTTGCAGGACACAGAGGACTAGAGAGACTAGTATGGGTGAATACAGGAGGATATTTATTAGGTGTGTACCAGCTCAGTGGACTCACAGCTAAAAAGCTGAGCACTGAACAAAGACAGAGTTTAGCTTATACAGGCTAGTACACAGAAACAGGACAAAGGCAGTAAACTATGTAGTGACAAGTCACATAATCTATAGCATAACTGTTGACTTGGCATAACTTGTAAAACAGAAACTTATAAATTTTACTGAATACAAGTGTTGGCAAACATAGTCATAATTAATTATTTAAAGGGGAGACAGCAAAGGAATTTGTTCTTCTTTTAACTTTGCTCGGGGGTGTCTGGAGCCTATTTCTGCAGGCTAGGTCACCATGACCTGTCTATAGCCTTGCCTACAGTAGAAGAAAACTTCTGTTTTTCATTTAACCTTTACTTTTCTTGGAGTGAATACATACAGTATTTATTTTCTTTAAATTTCTGATTCACAACCTGTTTCCAATGACCCTTTCCTGCCTTAGTTACAGTAATTCCATTGTCTGTCTTGACTTCAAGAAGCTTTCTAGTTCTTCATCTCCATGTTACTGCTCATTGATGGGAATATTGGGTGTGAGTTTTACTCTCCAACATTCGGGCGTAAGTATTAAATGTCACTTTTCTTTTTGTTTCTTTTTCTGAGATAGCATCCTCCTCTGTTGCCCAGGCTGAAATGTGATGGCATGATCATGCCTTACAGCAGCTAATTCTTTTTTTTTTTTTTTTTTTTAAACTTTTTTGTAGAGATGTGGGTCTTGCTATGGTGCCCAGGCTGATCTTGAACTTCTGGGCTCAAGCAATCCTCCCACCTCACCTTCCCAAAGTGCTGGGATTACAGATGTGAGCCACCATGCCCGGTTACCTTCCTTTCTTTCTTTTTTCTTTCTTTCTTTTTTTTTTTTTTTTGAGACGGAGTCTTGCTCTGTGGCCCAGGCTGGAGTGCAGTGGCATGATCTCGGCTCACTGCAACCTCTGCCTCCCGGGTTCAAGCAATTCTCCTGTCTCAGCCTCCCCAGTAGCTGGGACTACAGGCGCCTGCCACCACACCCAGCTAATTTTTGTATTTTTAGTAGAGACAGGGTTTCACCATATCGGTCAGGCTGGTCTCAAACTCCTGACCTCAGGTGATCCGCCCGCTTCAGCCTCCCAAAGTGCTGGGATTACAGGCATGAGCCACCGTGCCTGGCTTGCTTGCTTGCTTGCTTGCTTGCTTGCTTGCTTTCCTTCCTTCCTTCTTTCTTTCTTTCTTTTTCTTGTCTTTCTCTCTCTCTCTTCCTTCCTTCCCTTGCCTTCCCTTTCTTTCCTTCCTTCCTTTCTTCCCTCCTTCCTTCTTTTCTTCCTTCCTTTCCTCCCTCCTTCCCTTCCTCCCTCCCTCTCTCTCTCCTTCCTTCCTTCCCTCTGTCTCTCCTTTCCTTTCCTTCCTTTCCCTTCCCTTCTCCTTCCTTCCTTCCTTCCTCCTTTCTTTCTTTCTTTCTTTCTTTCTTTCTTTCTTTCTTTCTTTCTTTTCTTCTTTTTCTCTCTTCCTTTCTTTCCTCTTACTTTTTTTCTGAGATAGAGTCTAGCTCTGTCACCCAGGCTGGAGTGTAGTGGCACAATCTTGCCTCACTGCAAACTGCACCTCCCAGGTTCAAGTGATTCTTGTGCCTCAGCCTCCCAAGTAGCTGGGATTACAGACGTGGGCCACCACGCCCAGCTAATTTTTGTATTTTTAGTAGAGACGGGGTTTCACCATGTTGGCCAGGCTGGTCATGAACTCCCAACCTCAGGTGATCCGCCCACCTCAGCCTCCCAAAGTGCTAGGATTACAAGCATGAGCCACCACTCCTGGTCTTTTTTTTTTTAATGTTCAATAACCAGCTCTGTGCCCTCAGCTACTCGGCTGGCAGGAAATTAAACTCCAGGCATGTTTGTTGAGGGTGCTTATCTTTAGGGTTAGGTAAGACTCTGGAATCTGGGAATTTTGGGGACTGTCAGCTAGTCTTCAGTGGACAGTGATCACTGCTGTTAAACTCACTTTCCACTGCCTTGCCAAGTCTTGCCAAGGCGGGGACAGAGGAGGGGCCTAGGCATGAGTTCCACTCTGAGGCTATCACTTCCCTAAGGCCTTGCTGGGCGGGAGAGTGGGCTCTAGCCATTCTTTCCCTCCATACACACACACACGCATACACACACAGACAGACACACACACACACACTCCCTACTTGTGAATCCCACAAAATTCCCCGAATATCTGCCCTCACTCTGTAGGGGATCTCTCAAAAACCTTCCTCCTTCCCAAGTTGATCCAGGGAGCTGTCATCTGTAATCCAAGAGCTTAGAGAGGCTGCAGCGGGAAGACTGCTTGAGCCCAGGAATTTGAGGCTGCTGTGAGCTATATATGACATCACTGCACTCCATGCACGCTAGCCTGGGTGACAGAGCGAGACCATGTCTCAAAAACAAAACAAAACAAAACAAAACAAAAAAAACCAACTTTTTTTAAAACAGTTTTTTTCATGAAGAGCTTCTACAGAGCATAAAAACCAGATCAGCAAGAGAAAATGTGGTTCTTGGTTTCCCTGAGGACAAGAAGGGCTCACATGCCTGGAGGGAGGAGTTGTTATATTGAAATTCCATCCCGCAGGAAAGGGGAGCCCTACTTTTCTTACAGCCTTGAAATGAGCCCCACTACTTCTACAGCTTTAAATAACAAGAGGCCGGGCTCGGTGGCTACGCCTGTAATCCCAGCACTTTGGGAGGCTGAGGCGGGTGGATCACTTGGGGTCAGGAGTTTGAGACCAGCCTGGCCACATGGTGAAACTCCATCTCTATTAAAAATACAAAATTAGTCAGGTGTGGTGACTCGCGTCTGTAATCCCAGCTACTTGGGAGGCTGAGGCAGGAGAATTGCTTGAACCCGAGAGGTGGAGGTTGCAGTGAGCTGAGATTGAGCCACTGCACTCCAGCCTGGACGACAGAGCAAGACTCCATCTAAAATAAAATAAAATAAAGATACAAAAAGTAGCCGGGTGTGGTGGCATACGCCTGTAATCCCAACTACTCTGCAGGCTGAGGCAGGAAAATTGCTTGAACCTGGGAGACGGAGCTTGTAGTGAGCTGAGATTGCACCATTGCACTCCAGCCTGGGCAACAGAGCAAGACTGTCTCAAAAAAAATAAAGTCAAATAAAAGAACAAGAGGCAGGAAAACCAGGCAAGTTTCCTTATCAAAATACAACCAATGGCATAAACATTTCTGGATAGCCTGACCCTTCTGGTGTTGATTTATCTGGAGGGTCCTGGTCTCTGTGTGGTGCTGCCAGTCAAGAGGAATGATGGATATTGTGAAAAACCCAAGGGCAGAGGGGTCGGGGGTGGAGCTAGAGGGGACTAGGAATCAGGTCGTGTTCAGGAGGTGGGGCAGAGTTAAACTTTGACTTTAAATGACCCACATAAGCCTCCGTCCTCCTGTTCCAAATAAAACAACGCACTCAGGGTCAGGGTCAATGACCTGGTCTAGGTTTCCAGGTGTCTGTCTCACTGTCTTTCTGCAATGACTACCTTGCTGAAAACATGCGCCACGCGTCTTCATGATCTTACCTCCTCTGCTTACTCCCCTCCTCCCCAACTCCCACCAAATAGGCTGATCCTTGGCTGTTCCCTGCTTGTGCTGAGCTGTTTCAGGTTTCTGTGCCTTTGCTGGAATATCCTTCCTCTTCTCTGCCAGGTGAATGCATCATCTTCAAGGTCGGCTCGAACATCTCTTCCTGAGAAGTCTTCCTAGATGTGTCCAGGTTGGAGAGGATTCTTCCCCAGGTACACGAGGGAAGCACATCCCCCTTCTGGAACCCTCAGTCTCTTCCAGTTCCCCTCAGGACCTGGCTGCCCAAATGACAGTGGCTTTCCACATGTTTGTCACCTGGAAAAGAAGCCGCTCAGCCATTGGCTGTGAAGGACAGAGGTGGCTTCACTCTCCATGTCGGCACCATTTTGGAAAAGGATTTTCAGGCCCGAGATAAGTCCACAGCCAGTTTCCCAGCCCCACCTGACCTCTGCCCTGGCCTATCCCTCAGTCCAGTACAAGGGGAGGCATGAAGGTCTCGGTTATACTCTGGTTCCTGCCCCCACACTCACCCCCACCCCAATGAACCAGGCAGCTTCTAGCTTGTTCTGCACCCTGCACACTCCCCTACAGTGACTTAGGGCACTTGGGGCCTCCACAAAGCTGACCTGGCTCAGCCTCTCAGCCCCCCAGCTCCCTGCTAGATGCTTTGCTTTCTCATCATTACCCTCAGGCTTCCCTCAGGCTGCTGCTAGGATTCTAGTGGATGGATGGAGGCAGGAGAGAGAGGTGGGAGGCAGAGCCTGGAGGACATCAAAAACTAGAGGAGGGAAGGAGGGAATCTGGCTGTGGAGGTGTGGCCAGGTGATTTTCCCTTGCAGCCTTGCAGCCAGGAGAAAAGTTCCACCTGGAGGGAAAAGAAAGGAGAGCCGCAGGACAGTCGGCGCCCCCCACTTCCTCTTGCACCTTGCTAGCTCTTATCTCCAAAACACACCTCTCTGCCTACTTGGTTCATTGACCCTGACCCTGAGTACGTTGTTTGATTTGGAACAGGAGGACAGAGGCTTACGTGGGTCATTTAAAATCAAAGTTTAACTCTGCCCCACCTCCTTAACACGACCTGATTCCTAGTCACCTCTAGCTCCACCCCTGACCCCTCTGCCCTTGGGGTTTTTCACAATATCCATCATTCCTCTTGACCAGCAGCACCACACCAGGACCCTCCAGAGGCTGTGAGAAACATCCTGCACCCAGGTCCTCTCTATCTGTTTATCATTGTCTATTTTGTATTCTGCATTCAGAACCAAGAGCCTGAAGACGACCCAGGAGCTTTAGCTATGGCTGTCTTCATTATTTTGTCCCTGTTTAGTGTTCTGGTGACAGGCATGGGTGAAGGTGGGGCTGGGAGTGAGAAAGGAGGTGAGAGGGAATGTAAGCTGAACCAGCTTCCCCATTGCCCCTCCGTATCTCCCAGTGCCCAGCCTTGGACACACCCTGGCCAGAGCCAGCTGTTTGCAGACCTGAGCCGAGAGGAGCTGACGGCTGTGATGCGCTTTCTGACCCAGCAGCTGGGGCCAGGGCTGGTGGATGCAGCCCAGGCCCAGCCCTCGGACAACTGTGTCTTCTCAGTGGAGTTGCAGCTGCCTCCCAAGGCTGCAGCCCTGGCTCACTTGGACAGGGGGAGCCCCCCACCTGCCCGGGAGGCACTGGCCATCGTCTTCTTTGGCAGGCAACCCCAGCCCAACGTGAGTGAGCTGGTGGTGGGGCCACTGCCTCACCCCTCCTACATGCGGGACGTGACTGTGGAGCGTCATGGAGGCCCCCTGCCCTATCACCGACGCCCCATGTTGTTCCAAGAGTACCTGGACATAGACCAGATGATCTTCGACAGAGAGCTGCCCCAGGCTTCTGGGCTTCTCCATCACTGTTGCTTCTACAAGCGCCGGGGACGGAACCTGGTGACAATGACCACGGCTCCCCGTGGTCTGCAATCAGGGGACCGGGCCACCTAGTTTGGCCTCTACTACAACATCTCGGGCGCTGGGTTCTTCCTGCACCACGTGGGCTTGGAGCTGCTAGTGAACCACAAGGCCCTTGACCCTGCCCGCTGGACTATCCAGAAGGTGTTCTATCAAGGCCGCTACTATGACAGCCTGGCCCAGCTGGAGGCCCAGTTTGAGGCCGGCCTGGTGAATGTGGTGCTGATCCCAGACAATGGCACAGGTGGGTCCTGGTCCCTGAAGTCCCCTGTGCCCCCGGGTCCAGCTCCCCCTCTGCAGTTCCATCCCCAAGGCCCCCGCTTCAGTGTCCAGGGAAGTCGAGTGGCCTCCTCACTGTGGACTTTCTCCTTTGGCCTCGGAGCATTCAGTGGCCCAAGGATCTTTGACGTTCCCTTCCAAGGGGAGAGGGTGGCCTATGAAGTCAGTGTCCAGGCGGCCTTGGCCATCTATGGAGGCAATTCTCCTTCTGCTCTACGAAGCCGGTACATAGATAGTGGCTTTGGCTTGGGCCACTTCTCCACGCCCCTGACCCATGGGGTGGACTGCCCCTACCTGGCCACCTACGTGGACTGGCACTTCCTTTTTGAGTCCCAGGCCGCCAAGACAATACGCGATGCCTTTTGTATATTTGAACAGAACCAGGGCCTCCCCCTGCGGCGACACCACTCAGATCTCTACTCCCACTACTTTGGGGGCCTTGCGGAAACGGTGCTGGTCATCAGATCTGTGTCTACTATGCTCAACTATGACTATGTGTGGGATATGGTCTTCCACCCTAATGGGGCCATAGAAATCAGACTCCACACCACCGGCTACATCAGCTCAGCATTCCCCTTTGGTGCTGCCCAGAGGTATGGAAACAAAGTTTCAGAGCACACCCTGGGCACGGTCCACACCCACAGCGCCCACTTCAAGGTGGACCTGGATGTAGCAGGTAAGGCATCCTGGCAGAGGCAAAAGTGCTGGAGGGGTGAGCTGAAGTCTCCATGCCTAGCTTTAAAAGTTTTCGTTGGGCTGGGAGCAGTAGCTTATGCCTGTAAGCCCAACACTTTGGGAGACTGAGGGGGGTGGATCACTTGAGGTCAGGAGTTCAAAACCAGCCTGGCCAACATGGCGAAATCCTGTCTGTACTAAAAATACAAAAATTAGCTGGGCATGGGTATGCTGTAATCCTAGCTACTCGGGAGGCTGAGGCAGGAGAATCACTTGAATCTGGGAGTCAGAGGTTGCAGTGAGCTGAGATTGAGCCACTGCACTCCATCCTGCGTGACTGAACAAGACTTTGTCTCAAAAAAAAAAAGTATTCCATGCTTTAAAAAATTACCTCTGTGATTATAGAATTTATTATATTGTATACTATGTATAAATATGATATATTGATATAAGTATTTAGATTTCTATATTCAAATGTTATCATAATGTACCTACGTTTTGCCACTTCTGTTTTTTCATATAACAACATTATTCAAGCAAGCAACAAAAATGTATGAATGCACACTTGTGCCAAGCACCCAACTATGCAATTTAACAAAAGAAACAACATTGTTGCTCTCAGATGGTTTACATTCTTTTTTTCTTACCTTTTGTTTTTTCTTTTTTCTTTTTTGAGACAGGGTCTCACTCTATCACCCAGGCTGGAATGAGGTAGTGTGATAATAGCTCACTGCAATCTCCAACTCCTGGGCTCATGTGGTCCTCTCACCTCGATCTCCCAAAATGCTGGGATTACAGGTGTGAACCACCATGCTCAGCCCTTATCATTTTTTCGTGGTGAGAACACTTAAAATCTACTCTTAGCAGTTTTCAAGAATATATAACATATTAACTGTAGTCACCATGTTGTACAATAGATCTCTTTGGGGTTTTTGTTGTTGTTTGAAACAGGGTCTTACTCTGTCACCCAGGCTGGAGTGCAATGGTGTGATTACAGCTCACTGCAGCCTCAACTTACTGGGCTCAAGCAATCCTCCCACTTCAGCCTCCTGAGTCACTGGGACTATGGGCACATGCCACCATGCTCAGGTAATTTAAAATTTTTTTTATAGAGATGGGGATCTCGCTATGTTTCCCAGGCTGGTCTTGAACTCCTGGGCTCAAGCGATCCTCCCTCCTCAGCCTCCCAAAGTGCTGGGATTACAGGCATGAGCCACCATGCCCAGTCCAATAGATCTCTTGAACTTCTGAAATTTTTTATTCATTGAGCTACATCTTCCCAACTCCACCCTCCTTAAGGCCCTGATAACCACCATTCTATTTCCTACTGCTATGAGTTCAACTTTTTTTAGATTCCACATATAAGTGAGATCATATAGTATTGTCCTGCTGTATCTGACTTATTTAATTAACATAATGTCCCCTAGGTTCATCCATGTTGTTGCAATGAGATTTTATTCTTTTAAGGCTGAATAGTATTTCATTATGTATATATAGGACATTTTCTTTATCCTTAAAATTTTTTCCTTATTCCTTATACATTTATTAATTGGAATTTTCCATAAGGAAGAGTTGTCCTTCCTTTTTATTTCTGTTTTCAATTATTTATTCAAATTGTATAGACTCATGGTTTTTTATTGTACTCTAAGGGTTATAACCCAGTACTTCATTTATTTTGTTCCTTACATTTTTCCAACTTTGGCCATTGGGAGATCCTTCAGATTAGTTCCTATGTCCTTTTCACATACCTCCACACGTTTTTGAGCACTTCTTTACTTTCTGGCACCCAAAAATGTTTCAATTTCATCTGGCATTTTCCCTGCTTCTACCCTGGAATCAACCTTGTCTCCAGGGAGATCGGGTTCACTTTATTGGAGAATGGTATTTAGAAACCAATATCTGGGCACCAAGTGTGCTCATTATTACTGGGATGTCATTGCTTTTAGGCCCTCTCAGTGGACTTAGCTAGAAAATTTAAGCATATATTCCAACCAACCCATACACACACATCTATCTTTATCTCTGTTATTAAATGATGACAACTTTTAAAACACTTGGAACAGTGCCTGACACATAGTGGGCCCTTGAGAAATACTAGGTATTGTTGTGATTAGCCACAGGAGCCTACTTGTGTGTGTGGACCATAAAGAACTCTTAGTCTCTGGCCGGGCACAGTGGCTCACGCCTGTAATCCCAGCAGTCTGGGAGACTGAGGTGGGTGGATCTTCTGAGGTCAGGAGATCGAGACCAGCCTGGCCAACATGGTGAAACCCCGTCTCTATTAAAAATACAAAAATTAGCTGGGCATGCTGGTGTGCACCTGTAATCCCAGCTACTTGGAGGCTGAGGCAAAATAATCACTTGAACCTGGGAGGCAGAGGTTGCAGTGAGCCAAGATCATGCGACTGTACTCCAGCCTGGGCAACGAGAGCGAAACTCTGTCTCAAAAAAACCAAAAAAACAAAAAAAACTCTTAGTCGGCAATTGTCACCTAAGGGTGGAAACACTGGGATATGGAGTAGGGGCAGTGAATCTACAAAAGGAAACTAAGGGTTTGCTGAATCAGTCTCTCCTCTCTCCTGGTCTTTGGAAGGTGCAGAGGGAGCTACCAGCATGTTTTGATTTATTGCTCCTTGTCTCAGATCACTTAACTTGACTCCTAATATGGGACCTAGTTAGACTCAAATAAAATCATTCAGACTCCAAAAGTTCAGGAAACAGATTGTGTCTTAAGCCCCGCTCCCTGCTCCCTGCCAAATTTCAAACTGCGAAAGGTATCTCCAAGCCCCAACAGCGTCGGGCCCAGTATTGGTTTTCCTTCCCCTTGGTCCCCATGTCTGCTGTTCTGTTGTGGTGTCTCTCTGTGCTGTCTTCCTCTATGTGCTGATGTGTGGGCAGTGTAAGGCCAGACTAAGAACCAGGTCCCCAGCACTGCCATGATATTAACCGTGTGTCCTTGCTGACCAACCAGGGTACATTATTGAATGCTCTAAGACTCAGTTGTCCCATCTGTAAGATGGAGACAATGATAGTTCCTCCTTTTTGAGATTGTTGTAGAAGTGAAAGCATGAATACACAGAAGGCACTCGGCATGCTCCCTACACAGCTCCTTCAGGTTGAGTCAATGTGAGGCTTATTTTCATGATAAGGCAGTCCTGGCAATGCCACAGGGCTTCACATGTGAGGAGAAGTCTTCAGGTCAGAGGGAGTGCCACCTGCCTATTGCCCACAGGATTGTTCCAACCTCAGGTAAACACCCTCCCATGCAGCCCCTCAGAGGGAGGACATTGGTGGAGGCCCAGTCGCAAGGCATCTGGGATTATTACCAGAGAAGACAGAAGGGAGAAAGCCCTCCTCCAAATCCCTGGACTGGGACTATCTTGGGGAGAGGGAAGAGAAGCAGGGGCACACTCAGTTCTGGGCTGCTCTTTGGCCCCCACTCTGCCCCCACTCTGAAGCCAGGTGGGGGCAGAGTCCAGAGGGGCCAGGGCAATTGCATGACTGGCCCTCCCCGATCCCACCCTGAGCAGGACTGGAGAACTGGGTCTGGGCCGAGGATATGGCCTTTGTCCCCATGGCTGTGCCCTGGAGCCCTGAGCACCAGATGCAGAGGCTGCAGGTGACCCGGAAGCTGCTGGAGACAGAGGAGCAAGCCACCTTCCCCATGGGAGGCGCCACCCCTCGCTACCTGTACCTGGCCAGCAACCACAGCAACAAGTGGGGTCACCCCCGGGGCTACCGCATCCAGGTGCGCAGCTTTTCTGGGGAGCCACTGCCCCAGAACAGCTCCGTGGAGAGAGGCTTCAGCTGGGGGAGGTGAGTGGTCGGCGGTCAGGAGGGAGTGGGGCAAGTAGAATGTATGAAGGGCTCCACACTGCTCCACCTCCCACAGGTACACACAAACACACACACACATTCCTGTGGCCGCAATCTGTAGGCACTCAAAACAAAGCCTAATGGGTGGGTGGAGGAATGCTGAGATATGAGGCATTGAAGAAAATCTAGGAAAATGTTAATGGTAGACGCTAGACTTGAGTATGTGGATGTTCACTATACAATTCTTCCAATTTTTCTGTATGTTTAAAATGTTCACATTAAAGGTTGGAGGAAAAAAACAGTGAGATGGGAACACAGATCGGAGGGAGGATTCCCTGAAATCTAGGTATTTGAGATACTGAACTTGACCTAGGATGGGAAACAGGCCATGTCCATATGTATGGTTCCAAGGCCCAGGCTCAACATCATGCTCTGATCCAGATGGATGGATGAGCAACATTTCTACCTGAAGCCTGGTGGGCCAGTTGATGTTTAAGGTACAGGACAGTGGACAAGTGGGGGAAGTCTGCAGAGGAGAGAGAGAGAGACAGAGACAGGCAAGGAGAACTGGACAAAGAATGATACAGAGGCTCAATACTCCAAGACTTTGGGGCTCATTTCCCCCTAGTGTTCACTCTTCAGTGCAGCTTCAGGCAGTGGGACAGTTGACGAACTTGTAGGTCTAATAAAAAACTCCTGTAGGTACCAGCTGGTGGTAACCCAGCGGAAGGAGGAGGAACCTAGTAGCACCAGCATCTACAATTTGAATGACCCTTGGACACCCACTGTGGACTTCACTGACTTCATCAACAATGAGACCATTGCAGGGCAGGTTAGTTGCGCGGAGGGGTGAGCAGGCAGCTGGAGAGGAGGGGAGGAGTCAGGGGGACAAGATGAGCCACTTCACTGCCTCAGAAGCGAGATTCCTCAGGGATCTTCAGAAACCACTAACAATGAAACTTTGGCCGGGTGCAGTGGCTCATGCCTATAATCCCAGCACTTTAGAAGGCTGAGGCAGGTGGATATCTTGAGCTCAGGAGTTCGAGACCAGCCTGGGCAACATGGTGAAACTCCATCTCTACTAAAAATACAAAAATGAGCAGAGTGTGGTGGCGCGTGCCTGTAATTCCAGCTATTCGGGTGCCTGAGGCTTGAACCCAGGAGGTGGTGATTGCAATGAGTCGAGATCACACCACTGCACTCCAGCCTAGGTGACAGAGCGAGACTCTGTCTCAAAAAAAAAAAAAAAGAAAGAAAGAAACTTTATGATTTCAGATTTTTCCTGAGAAACTAAGAACATACAGGTGGGTGAGCTGACTCCCTATCTGCAAGGTCACTGTGGGAGGCAGGGCATGTCCTCAGCAAAGCCAGACCTCGTGATCCTCTTTCTTCTCCCCTGCTAGGACTTGGTGGCCTGGGTGACAGCTGGTTTTCTGCATATCCCACATGCAGAGGACATTCCTAACACAGTGACTGTGGGGAACAGCGTGGGCTTCTTCCTCCGACCCTACAACTTCTTTGACGAAGACCCCTCCTTCTACTCTGCCGACTCCATCTACTTCCGAGGGGACCAGGATGCTGGGGCCTGCGAGGTCAACCCCCTAGCTTGCCTGCCCCAGGCTGCTGCCTGTGCCCCCGACCTCCCTGCCTTCTCCCACGGGGGCTTCTCTCACAACTAGGCGGTCCTGGGATGGGGCATGTGGCCAAGGGCTCCAGGGCCAGGGTGTGAGGGATGGGGAGCAGCTGGGCACTGGGCCGGCAGCCTGGTTCCCTCTTCCCTGTGCCAGGACTCTCTTCCCTCCACTGCCCTCCTTCACATCCCCCTCTGAGCCAGGAGCCTCCTGACCCTGTGATGCCTGACACAGGGGACAGTCAGCTTTGTTGATGCCAGCTGTGCTGAGTTCCCATCCAGAGAGGTGAGGCATGGCCCAGCCTGGAGCCTGGAGCCGTGGCTAAGCATTTCTCCAGACCACTCCTGGTTTTCTTAACAGTTTGTTTTTTTTAATGAGACATAATTCACATACCATAAAATTCATCCCTTTAAAGTATACAATTTCAGCCGGGTGCAGTGGCTCACGCCTGTAATCCCAGCACTTTGGGAGGCCAAGGCGGGTGGATCACGACTTCAGGAGATTGAGACCATCCTGGCTAACACGGTGAAACCCCGTCTCTACTAAAAATACAAAAACAAAATTAGCCAGGTGTGGTGGTGGGCGCCTTTAGTCCCAGCTACCTGGGAAGCTGAGGCAGGAGAATGGCGTGAACCCAGGAGGCAGAGCTTGCAGTGAGCCGAGATCGCGCCACTGCACTCCAGCCTGGGCGAGAGAGTGAGACTTCATCTCAAAATAAAATAAAATAAAATAAAACTAAATATACAATGTCATGATTTTTTTTTTTCCTGAGACAGAGTTTCGCTCTTGTTGCCTAGGCTGGAGTGCAAGGGTGCGTTCTCAGCTTACTGCAACATCTGCCTCCTCAGTTCAAGTGATTCTCCTGCCTCAGCCTCCCGAGTAGCTAAGATTACAGGTGCCCACCACCACGCCTGGCTAATTTTTTGTTTTTTCTTTTGTATTTTTAGTAGAGATGGGGTTTCACCATGTTGGCCAGGCTGGTCTCAATCTCCTGACCTCAGGTGATCCACCTGACTCGGCCTCCCAAAGTGCTGGGATTACAGGCATGAGCCACTGTGCCTGGCCCAATTTCATGTTTTTTAGTATACCCACAAAGTTTTGCAACCATTGCCACTAATTCCAGAACATTTTTTATCACCCCAGAAGGAAACCCTGTATGTGTTAGCAGTCACTTTCTATTTCCCCCCAATCCCTCTCCATTTCTAGATAACCACTTCCCTACTTTCTGTCCCACTGGGCTTGCCTGTATTCTGGCATGAAAAGATTCAAACAATACGTTGTCTTCTGTGATTGGCTTCTTTCACTTAGCGTAATGTTTGTGAGATACATCCATGTTGTAGTGTATGTCAGTGCCTCACTTCTTCATGGTTAAATGATATCTCATTGTATCAATATATCTCATTGTGATTATCCATTCATCCGTTGGTGGGTATTTGAGTTGTTTCCACTTTTTTGGTCATTATAGATAATGCTGTTATAAACATTCATGCACAAGTTTTCTTGTGGATATGTGTTTTCACTTCTCTTGGGTATATGCCTAGGAGTAGAATTTCTGGGTTATGCGGTAATTCTATGTTTAGCCTTTTGGGAAACTGCCAGATTGTTTTCCAAAGTGACTATACTTTTTTCCTTCTTTTAAAATTGTATAAAATATATGTAACATAAAATTTGCCACCTTGGCCCAGGCGAGTGGCCCACACCTGTAATCCCAGCACTTTGGGAGGCTGAGGCAGGCGGATCAACTGAGGTTGGGAGATCGAGACCAGCCTGGCCAATGTGGTGAAACCCCATCTCTACTAAAAATACAAAATTAGCTGGGTACGGTGGCATGCGCCTGTAATCCCAGCTACTTGGGAGGCTAAGGCAGGAGAATCACTTGAACCCGAGAGGCAGAGGTTGCAGTGAGCCCAGATTGCACCATTGCACTCCAGCCTGGGCAAAAATAGCAAAACCCAGTCTCAAAAAAAAAAAAAAAAAATTGGCCACTTTAACCATTTTTAAGTGAGAGTTTAGTGGCATTCAGTAAATTTGGAAGCTCTTTTGGGCCACCTTAGCTCTCCTCTGTCCTGTTTTGTTTGTTTGTTTGTTTTTTGTTTTTTAAGATAGATTCTCACTCTTGTTGCTCAGGCTGGAGTGCAGTGGCATGATCTCGGCTCACTGCAATCTCTGCCACTCAGGTTCAGGCGATTCTCCTGCCTCAGCCTCCCAGGTAGCTGGGATTACAGGTGCCCGCCACCACGCCTGGCTAATTTTTGTATTTTTAGGGGAGACAGAGTTTCATCATGTTGGCCAGGCTGGTCTCGAACTCCTGACCTCAAGTGATCCACCTGTCTTGGCTTCCCAAAGTGCTGGGATTACAGGCGTGAGCCACCATGCCTGGACTGCCCTGGGTCTTAAAGGTGAATAGGGAGCCTCTAGAGACCAGACTGTTCTCCCAAAGCCCCAGAGCAGGTTCCCCAGTAGATGTGCATCTCAGTTTTGGGCCTTGAATAGCAGGTCCTTCTCTCTGTCTGTTCCCTCTCATGCTGACAAAGTCCTCCTCCTCTCGGTTTTCCTGCTACTTCAGCTTCTATTCCCTGCTGGTTTTTGTTTTTTGGTTTTTGTTTGAGATGGAGTCTCTCTCTGTCACCCAGGCTGAAGTGCAGTGGTGTGATCCCGGCTCACTGCAACTTCCACCTCCCAGGTTCAAGTGATTCTCCAGCCTCAGCCTCCCAAGTAGCTGGGACTACAGGCGTGCGCCACCACGTCAGGCTAATTTTTGTATTTTTTGGTACAGACAGGGTTTCGCCATTTGGCCAGGCTGGTCTCAAACTCCTGACCTCAAGTGATCCTCCGGCCTCGGCCTCTCAACGTGCTGGGATTACAGGTGTGAGCCCCTGCGCCTGGCCTGTTCCCTGCTGTTTGTAGCGGAGGTCCTGTGGGAGCGTCCCTGCTGCCTCAGGTCTTGTAGTTCCTTCCTGCATTCCTTACTTCTGGTGTCCTCCTCTGCCCCTGGGCTGGGTTAGCCTTGGATCTGCAGGTACTGTCTTGTTTGAAGAAGGACAATGCTTGGTTATCTCCTTCTGGGGGACCTATGTCTCTGAACAGCTTTCTTCATCTTGCCTCTCTGCATTTCATTGTCATAAAAAAATGTTTCTCCTGTCATCTTGTCATCTGCCTATACTAATAATCCTCTTACAAGTTCCTGCCATTTACACAGGCCATGCGGAATATGCATTTGTGAGGGGGAAGGATGGTCAAGTGTCAGCAGCAGCCCAGGGGTTTTGTGGGTGGAAGGATGAAAAAGATGAAGGGTCATCTGGTCCCAGGGCCCTGGTGACAGTAGCCTCTGTTACTCTGCAGCAGTCAGCATAGGTGACCAGAAAGTCACTGAGGGTAGGCACTAAAAAGCCTCAGGAGTGGCCAGGTGCAGTGGCTCACACCTGTATTCCCAGCACTTTGGGAGGCTGAGGTGGGCAGATCACGAGGTCGGGAGTTCAAGACCAGCCGGACCAGGGCTGCCCCTCATGGGCTGTGGACTTTGGACTTTGGATTGGCATAAATAAGAACCGGGACAATTCCCAGGAAGGGATTTGGGGGTGGGAGTAAGGTGGGGAGGAGGTAGGGCTCAAACACCAAGCTTTCTCAGGTGTGTCAAGGCAAGAGAAACTTACGCAGTATGAGGCGTCCACACCTCTGCTCCTTCAGTGTCTTTTCTGGGAGTGAGATCAAGAAGAGAGGGTGTCCCGTCCCAGCAGATGGTGAAACCCCGTCTGTAGCAAAAATACAAAAATTAGCCGGGCGTGGTGGTGCGTGCCTGCAATCCCAGCTACTCAGGAGGCTGAGGCAGGAGAATTTCTTGAGCCTGGGAGGCGGAGGTTGCAGTCAGCCGAGATCGCACCACTGCACTCCAGCCTGGGCAACAGAGTGAGGCTCCGTCTCAAAAAAAAAAAAAAAAAAGTCTCAGGAGCTCGGGCAGCCAGGTGGGGAGCTGGCCCATCAGGAGTTGGCATGCAAATGAGCCACGTGCCTCCCAGCGGGGGACCAGAGGCCAGGTCAGGGCAACAGCCTCCAGGGCTGCCCGTCATGGGCTGTGGACTTTGTATAGGCATAAATAAGAACCGGGACAATTTCCAGGAGGGGATTTGGGAGTGGGAGTAAGGTAAGGGGGAGGTAGGGCTCAAACACCAAGCTTTCTCAGGTGTGTCAAGGCAAGAGAAACTTACCCAGTATGTGGCGTCCACACCTCTGCTCCTTCAGTGTCTTTCCTGGGAGTGAGATCAAGAAGAGAGGGGGGGGTCCCGTCTCAGCAGGAAGCCCAGGCTGCCCACCCAGTCTGAGGGGACGGCACTGACTGGGCAGGATCTGGCAAGAGGGGAGTTTAGGGTGCAGATTTGGGTCCAATTCAGCTTGTGACCAGAAGAGGGATCATCAACTGGGATCCCAGATCACATGGAATCCTGTGGTTCCCTTGAGAACTGCCTGGACCCCCAGGTCAACCATATGGGCTGGAAAGGAAGTAAGTTCTAGCAAAAGGACCTTCATACAAGGACTAAAGCCGTGGGAACCACACTTCAATTCATGACTTTCAGCATATCTTGAAAGCACTTAGATAGGGAAGGTTTGGAAAGGCAGAACTGCTACTGCCGCTGCTGCTGCCTCTTCTTTCCATTTTGTGTCTCAGCTCAAAGATAGAGCTTCTCTTTACCCTCTCAGCCCAGATAAATATCTTGTTTTGCCTTTCTTGCATTTTTTTTTGTTTAAAGAAATTTGGAGGCTGAATTGGGAGGATCACTTGACCCCAGAAGGTCGAGGCTGCAGTGAGCCATGATTGCGCCACCGCACTCCAGCCTGGGCAACAGAGTGAGACCCTGTCTCAAAAAAAAAAAAAAAAGGCCGGGGGGGGGAGCATAATAGTGGAAATGCTCTGTCTTGCCCTGAAAATGAATGCTGTAGAGAGCCAGGGCTGCCACTCTTGGCTGCTCCACAGGTTGCTTCTCCAGATGCGGAGATGGGGAGAAGGGACCTGTGGCCCCAGGCTGAGGTCTGTGAGGGGCCTGCTGCTGTGGCTCACTTGCTGACCAAGGAGGATGCCATACGGCCCCCCACTGGGGTCTGAGGGCGCAACCCAAGCCACCCTGAAGGGGTGTGTGCACAAGGAGCTCTCAGGAGAAGCCCCCAAGGTGGCCTGTTGGAAGGCTCTGATGGGAACATTTCCTTCCACCTTCAAGAAAGAAGCAATGGGACCCTGAAGAATGCAGCCCAGAGAGATCCAAAGGGTCAGAAGCTCTGGGGCAAATCTGGTAAACTTCCTGGGGGTGCCACAGACTCATCTCCACCTTGCCCTGTGGTCTGGCCCCGCCTTCTGGTGGAGCCTGCCCCCGCCTTCTGGTGGAGCCTGCCCCGTCCCCACCCTGACACTTGACCTGTGGCTGACAGTGGGCCACCTCTGCTCCACTCAGGCTCCGTGGCCGGAGAGTCTGCAGCTTCTCTGGCATTCCTCCTCCCCGTCTGGGTCCTGTGATGGAAACAGTCTCATTCAGCTGCCCCAGAGACTCACAAGTCCTTTACTCATTCAGCAAGTATTTTCCAGTCCCTGCCATGTGTTGGGCCCCTGTTAATTCTATAGTAATATTTGTTGTGGTAAATAAAATTGCCTTCATAGTGATGTCATGGTGGAGGGAGGAACACTCAGGAGAAGAGGGTGTCTCTGAGCCCACAGAGCTCCCACTGCTATTTCTAAGAGGCCAGCAATACATCTTTGCATTTCAGAAAACTGGGTCTATTCAAGAAATAAAGATGGATGGAGGTCAAAATGGGAATGGATTTGGAGAACAGAGTGGGGGTGGGGATGGAGCAGGATGGAAATGAGAGGGGGTGGAGAGGGAATAGGGGGGAGGTTGGTGATGGGGAGGGGACAGGATAAGGAACAAGATGAGGAAGGGGGAAGGTGGAGTTGGAGTGGAGATGAGGATCAAAGTGAGGAGGGCTGGGTCATCCTCTGGCCTCTCCTACCATGCCCCATCTACACGGATGCAAAGAAAACTTCATTCACTCATCGAACGTTTCTGGGACTCTTCCTGAATGCCAGACTTGCATTGGTACAGAAAAATGACTCTCTTCATACTTGCCTTCAAAGAGCTCAGAGTCTGGGCTGCGGAGAGGTCTTTTTATAAACAAAAACACTGGCCGGGCACAGTGGCTCACACCTATAATTTCAGCACTTTGGGAGGCCAAGGCGGGTGGATCACATGAGGTCAGGAGTTTGAGACCAGCCTGGCCAATATGGAGAAACCCTGTCTCTACTAAAAATACAAAATTAGCCAGGCGTGGTGGTGCATGCCTGTAATCCCAGCTACTTGGGAGGCTGAGGCAGGAGAATCACTTGAACCCAGGATGTGGACGTTGTGATGAGCCGAGATCGTGCCATTGCACTCCAGCCTGGGCAACAAGAGTGAAACTCTGTCAAAAAAAAAAGAGCTATGACAGACAAGTGGGGCACAGAATGAGGAGCCATCTATCCCTGGTGGGAGTCTGGGAGGACTTCAGAGAGGAAGTGATGGTTATGTGTGTTTAATTGGATTCATTTATTTAATTCAATTAGTAATACATTCACATGTTCGAAATCCTAAAGGCACAAAAGAACTTGTGTCTGGTCATGGTTGCATAATTCTGTGAATGTACCAA
Source organism: Homo sapiens (assembly GCF_000001405.40). Lineage (NCBI taxonomy): Eukaryota > Metazoa > Chordata > Mammalia > Primates > Hominidae > Homo > Homo sapiens. The sequence goes on from NC_000017.11 coordinate 42,880,988, forward strand.
ACACCATGGAAACCATTGAATTATGTACTTTAAATGGGCGAATGATACAGTATGTGACTTATAGCTCAATAAAATTGTATTTCAGAAAAGGGTTTATGTCTCCATCCCACATCTGATAATAGTTCCTCCCTGAAGTCAAATAATATGGTGAGTTTCTTCTGTATCTTTTTTGTTGGGAGTTGGGGAGTGACATTTGAAGTGGTGAATGAGCTGAATTTAGTCAAGTAGTGGACTGCGGAATACAGTGTTCTGGCAGTGACAGAGGCACGAAGGCTCGTGGTTCTGTGAATGCCCCAATGGTTGGAGCATGGGGTGAGGGTGGCAGAATGGCAAAGGCTGATTGGGGGTGGGGTGAGCAGAGCCTTGGAGGCCATGCGAGGCAGTGTGTACTTCATCTGTAAGCAGTGATGATCCAGACCTTTAAGCTGCATGAAAAACAATGTGACAATAATTTAAAGACACCCAAATCTCCTTCCAACATCCCGTTGTCATTCACCTAAGTGAAACTGCAGTTCTTGTCTCTATGCACTCATGCGTTTACCTAGTTAGGTAAGCACAGTCTAAATACACTTTTGTATTCTACTTTTTCCATTTAATATTAATCATAAGCATCTTTACAGGTTGTCATGTAATACTCAAATGGATTTTTTTTTTTGAGATGAAGTCTCGCTCTGTTGCCCAGGCTGGAGTGCAGTGGCACGATCTCCGCTCACTGCAAACTCAGCCTCCTGGGTTCAAGCGATTCTCCTGCCTCAGCCTCCTGAGTAGCTGGGATTACAGGCACCCGCCATCGCGCCTGGCTAATTTCTGTATTTTTAGTAGAGACAGGGTTTTGTCATGTTGGCCAGGTTGTCTCAAACTCCTGACCTCAGGTAATCCACTCGCCTAGGCCTCTCAAAGTGCTAGGATTACAGGCATGAGCCACTGCACCCAGCCAAATGGATGGTTTTTAAAGGATAAGAGGTACTCTATCAAGTCGATAGTAAACAAATCATTCCCCATTGGGCAATTGGGTTGGTTCCAATTTGCTATCAAGTGGAAGAATGACCCAGTTGGATCTTGGCTTTGGACAATGGCTTTTACATGGCCAACTCACAGGCTCAGAGCTAAAAGGGATTCAGGGAGTCAGCTGGGCTCATCCTTAGGGTTTCTGTGGCCGTGAGTAAGCACCCCATCTGAACCCATTTCTTCATCTGGAAAGTGATAATGTATTTAAATCACTCAAAAGCTTTTTAGGCCTTGGTAGATTTCTCTGACACTGGAAGGTCCAACCACAGCCTACCTGTTACGCATCAAAGGAACTATCTGAAGACACTGGAATCCTAGCCAGGCAGGGTGACTCGTGCCTGTAATCCCAGCGCTTTGGGAGGCTGGGGCAGGAGGATCGCTTGAGGCCAGGAGTTCAAGGTCAGCCTGAGCAACAGAGTGAGATTCTGTCTCTACAAAAAATTATTAAAATTAGCCGACCGTGGTGGCACATGCTTATAGTTCTAGCTACTTGGGAAGCTTGAGATAGGAGGATCAAGTGACAAGCCCAGGAGTCCGAGGCTGCAGTGAGCTATTATTATACCACCGTACCCCAGCCTGAAGGACAGAGTACCCCAGCCTTGTCTAAAAAAAAAAAGACATAAGACTTTGACGTCCAGATGCTCTCTCCATATTCTGGCCTAGAAAAGTGTCCCCATCACCCTCTTGCCTTCCTTGGTCAGATGGCAAATGAGTGTCTGGGGCAGATGCACTCTGGAGGCTCAAGAGGAAACATTCGGGGCTGCCTGCAGCAGTGCTGAGGCTGCAGTTTAATTTTCTTTGACATCAGTGGTAGAATTTGTCCACTAGGGGCCGGGCGCAGTGGCTCACAACTGTAATCCCAGCACTTTGGGAGGCCGACGTGGGTGGATCACCTGAGGTCAGCAGTTCGAGACCTGCCTGGCCAACATGATGAAACCCTGTCTCTATTAAAAATACAAAAAATTAGCTGACCGTGGTAGCAGGTGCCTGTAATCCCAGCTACTCGGGAGGCTGAGGCAGGAGAATCGCTTGAACCCAGGAGGCAGAGGTTGCAGTGAGCTGAGATTGCACCATTGTACTCCAGCCTGGGCAACAAGAGCAAAATTCCGTCTCAAAAAAAAATAAAAATAGAATTTGTCCACTAGGTACTGTGCTAGGTGCTGGCGGGGGAGACAGTGGGTCCCAGACAGACAGACATGGCCCCCCGACTGGCTTGGCCCAGGGGAGATGCTGCTGGAACAAGAAAACCTCTCTGATGGTTCTTGGAAGTGGGAGCTGGCCCGAGGCCCTCCATCTGCCCCTCATCTCCCTCTCAGAGGCTGTTGCTTCTTCTCTCAGACCCTCTGGCCCCAGCTTCCCTGTAGCTGCCACAGAAACCTCATCATATGAAGGGAAAGAGGCTGTAGCATTCTCAGTAGGGCCCGGGTCTCAAACACCTCCATGCTGCATGTCTCTTATACCACTTTTTTTTTTTTTGAGACGGAGTTTTGCTCTGTTGCCCAGGTTGGAGTGCAAGTGCCATGATCTCGGCTCATTGCAACCTCTGCTTCCCGGGCTTAAGCGATTCTTGAGCCTCAGCCTCCCAAATGGCTGGGACTACAGGCACGCACCACCATCCCCAGCAAATTTTTGTATTTTTAGTAGAAATGGGGTTTCGCCATGTTGCCCAGGCTGGTCTCAAACTCCTGAGCTCAGGCATTCCATCTGCCTTGGCCTCCCAAAGTGCTAGGATTACAAGCATGAGCCACAGTACCCAGCCCCTTATGCCTCTTAACTTTACATCTCCGGGTCAGAATATGATGGGGAATTCTCCCTTTCTCGAGGACCTCCAAGGAATGTGATGTCTGTCACTCCCAATTCTCCTATTGAGAAGGAAAAGCCAGTACAGGACAGAATACTCTGGGCCAGATAATTTCCATCTTTGTTTCACTTAATCCGCATAACAACCTTGAAAGGCAGATGTTAATTACACCCATTTCACAGATGCAGAAACTACAATTCAGAGAGATTAGGAAACATGCCCACAGTCATCTGGCTGGTAAAAGGTGGGGCTGGGAGTGAACCCAGATCTTTGCAGAATTACACCTCACGGCCTTCCCTGGGCCGTGGCTCTTTTTCCACTGCCTGGTAGGCCTGTTTGAAGAATTAAACAAGGTATCAGACTCATCTGAATATTGTAAGAAAAAAAAAAAGAATGAAACAAGGTAATGCTTGAGAAACCCTTGGCACCTGATCCATATTAAGTGACCCTCTCAGAGCAAAGTCATCACTCAAATGACAAGGGCAGAAATATGCAGAGCTGCTTTTCACAAAGGTGCTCAACCTTGACTGCACATTGAAATCACCTGGGAAGCTTGTAAAACTCCACATACTCGGACTGCGCCTCAGCCTGATATGATCAGAGCCTCTGGGGGCAAACCACAGACATGACTGGCTTTTAAATTTCCCCGGGTGATTCTACTGTGTAGCCAAGGTTGGGAGAACTCTGGAGATGGTAGTTCAGTTCCAAGCCTCCCAAGAGGAAGCTGACTAGAGAGTCTAAGACATAAAGAATGTGTCCATCAGAAGGTGCAGAAAGGGGCCAGGCACAGTGTCTCACCTATAATTCCAGCACTTTGGGAGGCTGAGGCAGGCAGATCACTTGAGTCCAGGAGTTCGAGACCAGCCTGGCAACATGGCAAAACCCTCTCTCTACAAAAATACCAAAAAAAAAAAAAAAAATTAGCCAGGATGGTGACATGCACCTGTGGTCCCAGCTACTAGGGAGGCTGAGGTGGGAGGATCATTTGAGCCTGGGAGGCAGAGGCTGCAGTTAGCCAAGATCATGCCACTGCACTACAGCCTGGGCGACAGAGTGAGAAGACCCCGTCTCCCTCAGAAAGAGAGCATCACAGAGCCTGCCCTGACAGTGACAATCAGCCACATTTGGAGCAGAGGACCTGGCCAGGGCCAGGACACGTCCTGTCCTAGAGGCACTTTAGCCATGCACATGGAGTCATCGGGCCTTATTGAAGCTATATTGTGACCAACTGCTGGTTCTGATTCCCAGCTCGACAGGCCAGCTTCCCACCACATCATGGTGATGGGAAGAAAATGGACACATCACTTACATCTCTTTTTGTAAATGAACTAATTGACATTCTAATAAGAATTACTTTTGCTTTGACAGTTACAGTAAATCAACAGATTGACCTTCAGGTGTAATTTTGGTATATATAGACCTTCCCTGAAAGACAATTCCCATTGGTGAGCTGAGGAATCTGGTTTCTGATTCAGGCTTCTCCCTTGGAGTGGGGTGAATTCACCAATAAACCATCTTGAGATATCTTGGGAGATGTCAGCCAGCCTCATCTGATGCAACCAGCCTAGCCACGGACTTCACGTCTAACTTTCAGAGCAGAGACTCCATGTCAGCAAATTCCTCGCCTCCTTCCCTCCTCTCCTATAGTTTTGGCTTTTTGTATTGTTTTGTTTTTGTTGTTGTTTTGTTTTGTTTTTGTTTTTGTTTTTGAGACAGAGTCTCACTCTGTCACCCAGGCTGGAATGCAGTGGCGCGATCTTGGTTCACTGCAACCTCCGCCTCCAGGTTGAAGTGATTCTCCTGCCTCAGCTTATTGAGTAGCTGGGATTACAGGCGCCCGCCACCACGCTCAGCTAATTTTTGTATTTTTAATGGAGATGGGGTTTCACCATGTTGTTCAGGCTGGTCTCGAACTCCTGACCCCAGGTGATCTACCCACCTTAGCCTCCCAAAGTGCTGGGATTACAGGCTTGAGCCACTGTGCCCAGCCTGTTTGTTTTCTGAGACAAGGTGTTTCTGTGTCACCCAGACTGGAGTGCAGTGGTTCAATCTTGGCTCACTGCAGCCTAAACCTCCTGGGCTCAAGTGATCCTCCCAACTCAGCCTCCTGAGTAGCTGGGACTATAAACGCATGCCACCACCACTGGCTTTTTTTTTTTTTTTCAACAGGGTCTCGCTCCATCACTCAGGCTGGAGTGCAGTGGTGCGATCACAGCTCACTGCAGCCTCAGCCTCCCAGGCCCAAGCAATCCTCCTGCCTCAGCCTCCTGAGTCACTGGGATTACAAGTGTGCACCACCATACCCAGATAATTTTTAAATATTTTGTAGAGACAGAGTCTCCTTATGTTGCCCAGGCTGGTCTTGAACCTTGAGCTCAATGGATCTTCCTGCCTTGGCCTCTGAAAGCACTGGGTTTATAGGTGTGAGCAACTATGCCTGGCCCCCTCCTATAGTTTTTCCCTGGCCAATATCCCTCTTATAAATCCACAGAGCTTCTCACTCTCTGCAGGGAATATTAGGTCATTCACATACCTGGGTTCAGTCCCTACACCGCAGTCATCGTGATGCTTACACCCCAGACACCCCAGACGTGTGTCCTCCTTCAAACAGCCTATTCCCACCCACTAAGCCTCTGCCCATGTGTTCCGACTCCTCCCTCCCTTCCTTCCTCTGCTTCCTTCCTCTTTCCTCTTCCTTCTCCATCTAGTGACAGCTTATTCACTGTCTAAAACCCAACTCGAATCCCACTCTCTCGACCTTTCCCTGAACAACATTATTTACTTTGTTGTCTCTGCTCCCATAGTACTTTGGACAGAACTCTGCCATGGAGGTTCACAAACTGAACTCTAGTTCCTTGACCACGTGTGTCCTCCCCTCACTCCCCACACTGAACCTGGCTTTGGTGGCCTGGTGCCCAGCATGGTGTTGTGCCCGTGTGTGGATGCTTAAATACATCTTTGAAATTTGAATAAATAGTAAACATTGTTATACATGAGTCATGTTTTTCTCTTTAAAAGCCACATCATATCCATTTGCTCATTGGACTACTTCAAAAGAGAAGCTCTAAGGACATCCAAAGATCCTAAGTGAAAAATCACCCTGGCTGCACGGGTCAAGCCAGGACACAGGGCCAAAGGTCGGTCAGCACTGACACGCTGAGCCCAGGCGTTTGCTTTCCAGATGAGACCTGCACCGCTGGACCAGCAATGCAGCAGAGGCAGCAGGAAGAGGGAGATGGAGCCAAAGGGTTTCTGGACAGGCGGTTGCTGGCAGATCTATAAATCGATGCCCCACAATGGGCTGTCACTGAAACAGGCCAGGAGTAGCCCAGAGCCTGGAGGTAGACCTGAGAGGGCAGGGTGTGGGAAGATTAGAAGCATAGGCTAGGCCAGGCACAGCGGATCGTGCCTGTAATCCCAGCACTTTGGGAGGCCGAGGCAGGTGGATCACCTGAGGTCAGGAGGTCAAGACCAGCCTGGACAACATGGTGAAACCCATCTCTACTAAAAATATAAAAAAAAATTAGCTGGGCATGGTGGCACATGCCTGTAATCCCAGCTACTCGGGAGGCTGAGCCAGGAGAATCACTTGAACCTGAGAGGCGGAGTCTGCAGTGAGCCAAGATCGCGCCATTGCACTCCAGCCTGGGCAACAAGAGGAAAACGCTGTCTCAAAAAAAAAAAAAAAAAAAGCATAGGCTAGAAATTGGACCACAAAATAATATAGAATTTGACATGTGGGTGAAGATGGGTGTTTTGGGGGCTGCAAATCAGTCATGTTCTCCTCAATCTGCGTAAGCAGAGGCAATGCGGTATAGTGGTTTACAGTGTGGCTTCTGGAACTAGGTTCCTGGGGTTTGGATCCAGCACATGTGACACATGTGACCTTGAACAAGTTATTTAACTTCTCTGGACTTCACTTTCCTCACTTGTAAAAGGGGAACAGTAATAAAATCTACCTCAGGATTTTTATGAAAATTAAATTAGTAAATCCATGTAATTTTTCTTTTTTTTTTTTTTTGAAATGGAGTCTCGTTCTGTCACCCAGGCTTGAGTGCAGTGGCATGATCTCGGCTCACTGCAAGCTCTGCTTCCCAGGTTCATGCCATTCTTCTGCCTCAGCCTCCGGAGTAGCTGGGACTACAGGCGCCCACCACCACACCTGGCTAATTTTTTGTATTTTTAGTAGAGACGGGGTTTCACCATGTTAGCCAGGATGGTCTCAATCTCCTGACCTCATGATCCGCCCGCCTTGGCCTCCCAAAGTGCTGGGATTACAGGCGTGAGCCACCGTGTCTGGCCCATGTAATTTTTCAGAACAAGTCCCTAGCTTATAGTAAATGCTCAATGAATGTGAGCTATTATTTAATATTTTATTAAGTAGCATCTATGAGGTATTGAAGTGACTGTGTAAGGAAACCACGGTAGCTCACATCTATAATCCCCATACTTTGGGAGGCCGATGCAGGAGGATTCCTTGAGCCCAGGAGTTCAAGACCAGCATGGACACTCCAGTAAGACCCTGTTTCTACCAAAGAAATTTTGTTAAGTTAGCCGGGTGTGGTAGCAAGCACTTGTAGTCCTGGCTACTTGGGAGGCTGAGGCAGGATGATCTCTTGAGCTCAGGAATTCAGGGCTGCAGTGAGCTATGATGGATTGCACCATTGCACTCTGGCCTAGGCAGCAGAGCAAAACACTGTCTCTAAAAAAAAAAAATAGAAGGAAAGAAAAAGGAAACCACCCGAAAACATAGTGGCTTAAAACAACAAACCAATACCTTGCTCACAGTTCTGTAGGTCAGCAACCTGGCTCAGGCTCTGTTGGGCAGTTCTGCCAGATTCTCCTGGGATTGCTCCATGGATCACTCACATGGACTGGGGCTGGGTGGTCTAAGGCGGCCTCACTCTCAGCGCTGGTGACTGGGGGTGGCTGTCAGACAGGCCCCATGTTGTAGTAACCTGTCTCCAGGAGGCTGCCCGGACTTCTCCCCCTTGTGAGCTGGGGTTCCAATTGTAGCCCAAAGAGGGTAAGCCCTGGCTTTTCAAGCTTTTGCTTAGATCACATTTGTTTTTTGTTGTTTGTTTGTTTTTCTGAGACAGTCTCACTCTGTCACCCAGGCTGGAGTGCAGTGGCGCGATCTCAGCCCACGGCAATCTCCGCCTCCCAGGTTCAAGCAATTCTCCTCCCTCAGCCTCTTGAGTAGCTGGGACTGCAGGTCCCCGCCACCAGAGCCGGCTAATTTTCGTATTTTTAGTAGAGACAGGGTTTCACCATGTTGGCCAGGCTGGTCTTGAACTCCTGACCTCAAGTGATCTGCCCGCCTCGGCCTCCCCAAAGTGCTGGGATTATGGGTGTGGGCCACCACACCTGGCCTACTTATATCACATTTGTTAATGTCCCATTAGCCAAGGCAAGTCACAAGATCAAGCCCAGATTCAAAGGATGAAGACATTTACATCTTGATGGGAAGAGAGGCAAAGTCACAATGCAAAAGAGCACACGTCAGGGATGGGAGCATTTTCACAGCCGTGCGAACAGTGTACTATACTGGGCACCAGACATGTAAGCAGAGCTCAGTTCTGGAGGCTGGAAGGAATGCTTTCTTGGCCCTCGGGGCTCAGGATAGCAGGTTAAGATGCAAGCAAAACCATTATGATGCAAGGTCTGAATGCGATAAGTGCCCCAACGTAGGAGTTCAAACCAGACAGATCTTTTGCAGCTAATGAGGGGTGGAGGTCAATGGGTTGAGAAGGCTTTATTTTCTTGACCTTGAAGTGTGGTTAGAATCTGGTCATACAGACATGGGGAAAATGATATTCCAGGTGGAGGAAAAAGCAAAGTTGGAAAAACCAAGGCATGTTTGGGAAATCCAAACTTATCTAATATATCTGGTGTGTGGCCATCAAGGGGAACTGCACAGCATAAAACTAGAAAGATAAGCTGGGGTCCAATGCAGGTGAGCTTGTGTTTGAACTTCAGTTTGAACTTCATTCTGTAGGCAATGGGGAGCCACTGAATATTTTTCAGGTGACAAGTGAAAAGAACTGTATTGTAAGAAGACTCCTTGGCCTGTATTCTATAGGATGGCTTGGGGTGGGGAGCAAGAAGAGGAGAGGTGATCACAGGTAATGAAGGGACTGTGGGCGGGCGGCGGGGAGGGGGCGGGCCTAGGCAATGGGGTTGGCCCGGGGCAGCACGAGTAGAAAGTATCTGGACAGATCCTGATGAGTGACTGCAAATGTGACATGAAGAGGTGTCAAGGTTGGCTCCGAAGTTGCCAGGCTCACTGCCCAGAGGATGGCAGAGAGCAGGAGATTCATTTACAAAGCAGGGGAGTCTGAGCAACAACAGGTGTGAAGGGACCCTATGGATGTGGGGACTGTATGGGACATCCAGGTGGTGTCCAACCAAGGTCTAACGTCATGCTAAGGAAGGAGGAGGAAGAGAAAGGAGAGGAGACTTTGTCAAAGCAACACTGAACACAGTGTTTCAAGGTGCTTAACAGTCAAGTATTAGATGTGGCCAAATGATTAAGGAAGAAGAAAGATGAGTAGAGGCCAACCAGCTGATTTGACAATGAGGAGGTCACAGGTGACTTCCTAGGAGAGCAGAGGAGGCTGAAGTCCCCAGGCTTTCTTTTCTTTTTTTCTTTTTTTTTTTTTGAGACGGAGTCTCGCTCTGTCGCCCAGGCTGGAGTGCAGTGGTGCGATTTTGGCTCACTGCAAGCTCTGCCTCCTGGGTTCACGCCAATCTCCTGCCTCAGCCTCCCTAGTAGCTGGGACTACAGGCGCCCGCCACCATGCCCAGCTAATTTTTTGTGTTTTTAGTAGAGACGGGGTTTCACCGTGTTAGCCAGGATGGTCTTGATCTCCTGACCTCATGATCCACCCGCCTCGGCCTCCCAAAGTGCCCAGGGTTTCTTTTTTTATTTTATTTTATTTTATTTTTTTGAGACAGAGTCTCACTCTGTCCCCAGGCTGGAGTGCAGTGGTGTGATCTCGGCTTACTGCAACCTCCGCTTTCTGGGTTCAAGGTATTCTCTTGCCTCAGCCTCTTGAGTAGCTGGGACTACAGGGCATGCCACCATACCCAGCTAATTTTTGCATTTTTAGTAGAGACGGGGTTTCACCATGTTGGCCAGGATGGCCTCCGTCTCCTGACCTCGTGATCCGCCCACCTCGGCCTCCCAAACTGCTAGGATTAGAGGCGCGAGCCACTGCACCTGGCCCCCAGGCTTTATTTTTATTTGTTAGTTTGTCTCACTCTGTCACCCAGGCTAGAGTGCAGTGGTGGGATCTCAGCTCATTGCAACCTCTGCCTCCTGGCTCAAGTGGTTCTCCCACCTCAGCCTCTCAAGTAGCTGGGACTACAGGCACATACAACCACACCCAGCTAATTTTTTTTAGGGGGTTTTTTGTGGGTTTAATTTTTGTGGGTTTCTTTTTTCTTTTTTTTTTTTCTTTTTGTAGAGGTGGGGTTTTGCCATGTAACTGAGGCTGGTCCAAGCTTTATTTTTTATATTTTATTTATTTTAATTTAAATTTTGTATGGAATGCTTCACGAATTTCACGACTTGTGCAGGGCCCACACTAATCTTCCCTGTACCACTGCAATTTTAGTATATGTGCTGCCAAAGCGATGACTGAAGTCCCCAGGCTTTGAGGAGGGAGCAACAGGCATCCTGCTTTCTGGGATTCGAAGTTGGAGAGAACCCCTAGACTTACATGACCCTCTCTTTCCACTTCACACCCACTAGAGTGAATGAAATGTTAAAAATAAACACTGCTGTTCCCTTCCACCCTAAAGAAGAGAGGCACGCTAGACTCTCCCTGCTCCTCTCCCTGTCTCTCTGGCCTGCTGGCTGGAGATCAGGCACCACCAGGCAGACAGGCGCTGGCGGGACAGGCGGCTGTTTACTGCTAGTAGAGTACTGCTGTGTTTTCACAGCTCAGAATAGCTCTATAGCCACCCCCAGGCCTGGGGACCTAGGAGCCTCACTGTTTATTTTCATGACAATTCTGGGCCTCACCTCTTCCCTTCTCTGAGTCAAGGTCCTCATTTGAGAACTCTCAGAGGGGGTAAGGTGTGGGTTAAAGGGTCCAAGACTACTAATTTCCTAATTATCTGTCCCAGCTGGCTCTGGAAGAGGGGAGGACGAATAACTGACTGTACAACACGGGCGTTTTGGTTGGGATGGAATTTCCCCTGCTTTTAAAGAAAGAGTTGATTAAAGGACTGCATGGCCAGAGCCGGTGGGGAGGAAAACGTGGGAATGAAAGAGGGTAGAAGGGATGACCCCATCTGGATTGCGACAGGTTCTGTGTGAGGAGCTTTCACTAGAGAATTATGGGGGCTTCTCTGACTCATGGTGCCCCTCAAATCAGGCTGGGTTCTGGCTGCCCTGGTGTTTAAAAGGTATTCAGAGGTAGGGGAAGACTGGCTTCACAGAATACTCTTTTGAACTCTGAATTTTTTTAATAATGTGAGTGTATTACTTTTGAAAATATTTTAGGCTCACTCCTGTAATCCCAGAACTTTGGGAGGCCGAGGCGGGTAGATCGCCTGAGTTTGGGAGTTCGAGACTAGCCTGGCCAATGTGGTGAAACCCCATCTCTACTGAAAAAAAAACAAAAATTAGTCAGGCCCTGGTGGCCTGTGCCTGTAGTCCTGGCTACTCAAGTGGCTGAGGCACAAGAATCACTTGAACCCGGGAGGAGGAGGTTCCAATGAGCCAAGATTGTGCCCCTGTACTCCAGCCTGGGTAACAGAGTGAGACCCTGTCTCAAAAAAAAAAAAAAAAAAAAAGGCCAAGCATAGTGACTCACACCTGTAATCCCAGCACTTTGGGAGGCCGAGATGGATGGATCATCTGAGCTCAGGAGTTCAAAAACAACCTGGGCAACATGGTGAAACCCCATCTCTACTAAAAATGCAAAAAGTTAGCCGGGCGTGGTGGCGCGTGCCTGTAATCCTAACTACTCGGGAGGCTGAAGCAGGAGAGTTGCTTGAACCCAGGAGCCGGAAGTTGCAGTAAGCAGAGATCGCACCACTGCACTCAAGCCTGGGCGACAGAGGGAGACCCTGTCTCAAAATAATAATAATAATAATAATTTTTAAAATATGAACACATTTATCTTTTTGTTCTGGCAATCATTAATCATTTACTTCTGTTAGATAATTCAAAGCCAGGCACCACTTCATTGGAACTACGTTCAAAGGACTGCCACTACTCAGAATATCAAAGCTGAAAAGAGGGTGAGGGTCCCTGGGTCTCATTTTACAGTTGACAAAAGCAAACCCCAGAGACTCCAGTGATTTGGCCAAGGTTGCACAGTTGTTAAATTTTATTTCTTTTTTAAAATCCGGTGATGCCCATGGCGGGGGTACAGTTTCCTGGGCTGCCTGCTGGAGGCTTGAGAGTGTTTCTGAGAGTCTGCTAAGGAAAAGGAAGGAGCACTTTCTGCCCCCTGCCCACCTCCTACCCACCAGCCCCCACCTCTCTCCCGTCCACAACCAGGCTGAGCAACAGCTGGGCAATTGATGACTTGGTTTCTTTCCCTCCTTCTTTAGTCGGTCTCAATTATTCCAAAGAATCCTTGAGTTGAAGCAAGGAGGGACAGCGGTTTGGGCTTAGCTCAAGTCACACTTCCCTTCTCTCCTCAAATAGCCCTTCTTTGCCTCTGGGATACAGACCAGGACCAAGGGGAAAGAAAGCCTTTTAAAAATAGTCCTGGCCACACTTTTGCAGGTTTCCTTCCCTTGCCTCTGCCTCTCTAGTGCACCATCAGCAAGTTTAACTCCTGGCAGGAAGGATGAAATTTGACAGCAAGAATGTTTCTTAACTTCCTTCCCTTGCCTCTGCCTCTGTAGTGCGCCATCAACAAAGTTTAACTCCTGGCAGGACGGATGAAATTTGACAGCAAAAATGTTTTCTAACTGCAAAGGTGGTTTGGCACTGCAAAGGGTTGATTAAGAATGGGAGAAGAGGTTGGGCGCGGTGGCTCAAGCCTGTAATCCCAGCACTTTGGGAGGCTGAGGCAGGCAGATCACTTGAGGTCAGGAGTTTGAGACCAGCCTGGCCAGCATGGTGAAACCCCGTCTCTACTAAAAATACAAAAAATTAGCAGGGCGTGGTGGCACGCGCCTGTAATTTCAGTTACTCGGGAGGCTGAGGCAGGAGAATAGCTTGAGCCTGGGAAGCAGAGGTTGCATTGAGCTGAGATCACGCCACCGCACTCCAGCCTGGGCAACAGAGCAAGACTCTGTCTCAAAAACAAAAACAAAAAACAAAAAACAAAACAAAACCAGAAAAGTCTACCATCTGTTTGTGAGGGAACTAGTTAAATGTTCGTGGAAACAGGTTACTTCCTGGAGGGAACAACAGCTTCTTTTGGGAAGGGGGCTAAGGAAGAGCGAGGTGAAGAAGAGGAAGGGCAGTTCGTGCTTCCCATAAAGGTTCTGGTGACTCATTTGATTTTGGAAGAAGGCAGGCCCTGGGATGGCAGGAGGAAGGTATCTAGTGGGGAGTTCTGAGATGTTTACAATGCGGCAAATGACTTCAGGTTTTCTTCTGTGCACAAAATGTGCAGCCCATCCTGAGACACGCTCCACGCTTCCCCTACCTGCTCAGTTCAAGGTCCTAAAGCTGAACTTTCTCACTGTGCCAGAGAGAAGCCAGCCCTTTGCACTGGCGAACAATGATTAACCCGCCTCTCCCTCCACCTGTTTTTCTCAACATGTTTTTCTAAAACATAAACTGGGTCACTCACTTAGAAGGTGACAGCAGTTGATCTGGCCAGTTTCCCATGTCCACCATGAAACACTTCCTCCATTGATCACTTGGTAGGGAAAAAAAAAAGCATACAAAAGAAAAGTAATTAAAAACAAAAATAAAACTGTACATTTTGCACTTTGGGCTGTAGCCCTGCTGCTCGGACGAAGCTGTGAACTGGAGCTAGGTTTCGAATCCCATCTATAGTATGTAGAAAACACCCATTCTAGGTCAGGCACAGTGGCTCACACCTATAATCCCAACACTTTGGGAGGCTGACAGAGGAGGACACTTGAGCCCAGGAGTTACAGACCAGCCTGGGCAACAAAGTGAGACCCTGTTTCTACAAAAAATACAAAAAATTCGCCGGGTGTGGTAGCACCGGCCTGTAGTCCCAGGTACTGGAGAGGCTGAGCTGGGAGGATTGCTTGGGACCCAGGAGGTCGAGGCTGCAGTGAGCATTGATGGGAACAGTGCACTCCAGCCTGGGCAACAGAGTGAGACCCATCTCAAAAACAAAACAAAACAAAACAAAACAAAACAAACCTATTGTAGGATGATAACTGAGTAAAGGAAAGGTGGCTCCTCTCTCAACAGAATCCAGAGCCCCCACCCAGAATAGAAGATACAGCTTCAGGTAAAATCAGACTTTCTTTTTGGTAGTAAATGCAATTTTTGGATGAGGTGTGTGGTAAGTTACAGCTCCTTTTCCCTCTTTGCTTTCTCGTCTGCAAATAAACTTGTTCGAGTGAATGAGTCAACCTTGCCCTGGGAGAATGTGCCAGGGCCCTGGGCCCAGCTGCACTTACTCATCAGCAGACCAGACTGTACTTCCTGGCATCTTTCCTTCATGTTCTTCTCAAGATCCAAAGCCTCTGGATTTCTAGTTGTGGGGAAAATGCCTGAGGAGTGGCTTGCTTGGGTACCTACCAAAGAGGAGCCCAAATGATTTTCCATCCTCATTCCTTCCCCAACTCAGCTGGCCATTTCCCTAGAGGGTGTTAACGAATCTTCTCTACCGAGGACAAAATAATAGGGAACTCACTGATATTTCTACAAAGGAAATCAAAATATTTCATCCCAAACTATGGCTCCCAATATAATAAGTACTTTTTTTGTTCGTTTGAGACAGGGTCTCGCTCTGTTGCCCAGCAGGAGTGCAGTGGCACGATCACGACTCACTGTACCTCCCGGGTTCAAGTGATCCTCCCACTTCAGCCTCCCGAGTAGCTGCAATTACAGGTGCCAGCCACCTCACTGGGCTATTTTTTTTTTTTTTTTTGAAATAGGGTCTCTTTCTGTCACCCAGGCTGGAGTGTAATGGTGTGATCTCGGCTCGCTGCAACTTCCACCTCCTGGGTTCGAGGGATTCTCTTGCCTCAGCCTCCTGAGTAGCTGGGATTACAGGCGCCCACCACTACACCTGGCTAATTTTTGTATTTTTAGTAGAGATGGGGTTTCACCATGTTGGTCAGGCTGGTCTTGAACTCTTGACCTTGGGTGATCCACCCACCTCAGCCTCCCAAAATGCTTGGATTACAGGCGTGAGCCACTGCACCTGGCCAATTTTTGTATTTTTTGTAGAGATGGGGTTTCACCATGTTGGCTAGGCTGGTCTCAAACTCCTAAGCTCAAGTGATCCACCAACCTCAGCCTCTCAAAGTGCTGGGTTTACAGGTGTGAGCCATCGCACCAGGCCGTGACTATTTTAAATAAAAAACCCTTGAGAGGTTTTTTCACCCTTGGGAGCCTGGAAGAGATTTTTTCCCCTATCTTTCACCTATAAAGATAGGACTGGCCGGGCATGGTGGCTCATGCTTGTAATCTCAGCACTTTGGGAGGCCGAGGCGGGTGGATCACCTGAGGTCAGGAGTTCGAGACCAGCCTGGCCCAACATGGCAAAACCCCATCTCTACTAAAAATACAAAAATTAATCGGGCCTGGTGGCACATGCCTGTAATCCCAGCTACTTGGGGGGCTGAGGCACAGGAATCGGTGGATCTCAGGAGGCAGAGGTTGCAGTGAGCCAAGATCATCGCATTGCACTCCAGCCTGGGCAACAAGAGTGATACTCCGTCTCAAAAAAAAAAAAAAAAAAGGACTGACACAAAAGAACAATTGTTCTTCTCCTTCCTTTATCCCATTATCCATCACAGAAAAGAAGACCAAAAATGTAACCATAAAAAAGTCTCAACAGACCCTTTTTCAAGACAATGACTGTCTCTGAGGACCATTTAAAATCCAGGGAGAACTATTTACAAGTTAATTTCTGTTCCTCGATCCAATCATTCTCCCTCTGCCCTTCGACAGAATTCCTCTTCTCCTCCTTCCCATAACCTGTTTTTAACAGGATCCAAGCCACCCATTCTTTCTGCAACCTCAAGATGGTGGATGAGCTTCCATACCTCACTGGGAAGTTGGATCTTCATTCTTAAGCCTCCCATGTATACATGTTAAATACATTTGTAATCTTTTTCTCATATTAATTAATCTGCCTTATGTCAGTGACTTTTCAGCGAACTTGTAGGTAGTCACTCACATAAGGATCCTCCAGTTTACATAGTTTTGTAAATGTCAGGTCACCCTGTCCCACTAGACCACCAAGGTCCTGGAGGACACCTGGGATTTAACTTTTTTTTTTTTTTTTTTTTTTGAGACAGTCTCGCTCTGTCACTGAGGCTGGAGTGCAGTGTCAGGATCTCCACTCACTGCAACCTCCACCTCCCGGGTTTAAGTGATTCTCCTGCTTCAGCCTCCCGAGTAGCTGAGACTACAGGTGCCCCTCATCATACCCGGCTAATTTTTATATTTTTAGTAGAGATGGGGTTTTGCTATATTGGCCAGGCTGGTCTTAAACTCCTGACCTCAGGTGATCCACCCTCCTCAGCCTCCCAAAGTGCTGGGATTACAGGCGTGAGCCACCATGCCCAGCCTGGCTTTTAACTTTTAATTCCTCAGAGAGCCAGGCATGGTGCTTTGCTCAGGAAATGTTGGTTGAATTAAACCGGAGCACTTCTTGAAAAGGGAAAATAACAAAGAGTTAGAAGGAGATGGCGGGAACCCCTCTCTGGAGATAGTTCTTTAAATTAGTGGATTCTGCAGGGCACTGTTGCTCATACCTGTAATCCCAGCATTTTGGGAGGCCAAGGCAGGAGGACCACCTGATGCCGGGAGTTTGAGACCAGTCTGGGCAATGTAGAGAGACCCCCATCTCCACAAAAAATAAAAAGTTAGCTGGGTTTGGTGGTGTGCGCCTGTAGGCCCAGCTACCCAGAGACTGATGCAAAACGATCCCTTAAGCCCAGGAGACTGAGGCTGCAGTGAGCTGTGATGGTGCCACCGCACTCCAGCCTGGGTAACAGAGTGAGACCCCGTCTCAAATAAACAGATAAATGAGTGGATTCTCAGCAAAACTTCTAGCCACTCGCCTCATATATCCACAAGACCTTTGAGAATCCACGGTGTCTCGATGCAGTCAGCTTTCTAACAAGCTGGGGCCTCACCTGTTTTCCCACGGATAAAAACGTGCTGGAGGAAGCAGAAAGGGGCTGGCAGGTGGAAAGATGAGGACCAGCTCATCGTCTCATGACTATGAGGTTGCTCTGATCCAGAGGGTCCCCCTGCCTGGTGGCCCACCGCCAGGAAGACTCCCACTGTCCCTGGATGCCCAGAGTGGGATGTCAACTCCATCACTTATCAACTCCTTATCCATAGGGGTATTCTTCCTGAGGCGTCTCAGAAAACAGGGCCCTCCCCATATGCTGACCACATAATAGAACCCCTCCCAACTCAGAGACCCTGGCTGCTAGCTGCCCTGGCATGACCCAGACAGTGGCCTTTGTATATGTTTTTAGACTCACCTTGACTCACCTCTGACCATAGAAACTCTCATCCCAGAGGTCACTGCAATAGTTACTCCACAACAGAGGCTTATCTGGGTAGAGGGAGGCTCCCTACCTATGGCCCAGCAGCCCTGACAGTGCAGATCACATATACCCCACGCCCCAGCACTGCCTGCCACGCATGGGCTTACTTTACACCCACCCACAGTCACCAACACATTACCTGCTCTCCAAGGTTAGGCGTGGCAGGAGAAGTTTGCTTGGACCAGCAGAAACCATGCAGTCAAGGACAACTGGAGTCAGCATGGGCTGGGTGCGAGCCCTTGGTGGGGTGGGGAGGAGACTCCAGGTCATACCTCCTGGAGGATGTTTTAATCATTTCCAGCATGGAATGCTGTCAACTTTTGCCACAGATTCATTAGCTCTGAGTTTCTTTTTTCTGTCCCCAGCTACCCCTTACATGTCAATATGGACTTAATGATGGGAAATTCAGGCAAGTTTTTAAACATTTTATTCCCCCTGGCTCTTATCCTCAAAAAATGCATGAATTTGGAGGCAGTGGCTCATGCCTGTAATCCCAATGCTTTGCTAGGTTGAGGCGGGAGGATCACTTGAAGCCAGGAATTTGAGACCAGCCTGGGCCGCATAGTGAGACCCCGTTTCTACAAAAATAAATAAATAAATAATAAATAATAGTGATATGAAGCATGATTAAATAGCCCTATTTTTTAAAATGCATGAGTTCGTTACCTGATTCATTCCCTGGTTCCTTTCACAGTCCTCCGTGACCCAAGTGTTAGGGTTTTGGTCTCTCTACTATTTGTAGGCTGATATATAGTATACACACACACACACACACACATATACACACACACAGTGTATCTTGAGCTTTCTTTTGTATATCTACACACATATGTATAAGAAAGCTCAAGATATAGAAGCCCTTTTTCAAAAATAACTGAAAGTTTCAAACTCTTTAAGTCTCCAGTTACCATTTTGCTGGTATTCTTATTTGGAACCATACATTCATCATATTGTTGCACAGTAAGACTATACATTCATTATTTTGCTTAAACGTATGAGTTAAAACACTTGGCCAGGCATGGTGGTTCACACCTGTAATCCCAGAGCTTTGGGAAGCCAAGACTGGCAGATCTCTTGAGCTCAGGAATTCAAGACCAGCCTGGGCAACATGGAAAAACCCCATCTCTACAAAAGATAGAAAAATTAGCCAGGCATGGTGGCGTGTGCCTGTGGTCCCAGCTACTCAGGAGGCTGAGGTGGGAGGATCACATTAGCCCAGGAGGTTGAGGCTGCAGTGAGCCGTGATTATGCCACTGCACTCCAGCCTGGGAGACAGAGTGAGACCCTGTTTCAAAAAAAAGAGAGAGAAAATTTAAAAAAGAAAACAACACCAAGGGCTGTAACTTTAAGGTCATTAAATGAATTAATCACTGCATTCAAAAACGATTACTTTCTGGCCCTAAGAGACATGAGGCCAATACCAGGAAGGGGGTTGATCTCCCAAACCAGAGGCAGACCCTAGACTCTAATACAGTTAAGGAAAGACCAGCAAGATGATAGTCCCCAATACAATAGAAGTTACTATATTTTATTTGTTGTTTTTCTTTTGTTTTGTTTTGTTTTGTTTTGTTTTGTTTTAGAGACTGGGGTCTTGCTCGATTGCCCAGGCTGTAGTGCAGCGGTGGGACAATAGCTCACTGCAGACTCCAACTCCTGGGCTCAAGCAATCCTCCTGCCTCAGCCTCCTGAATAGCTGGGACTACAAGGGTACACCATCACACACACCAAAACAATTTTTTAAATTTTTGTGTAGAAACGAGGGTCTTGCTTTGTTGCCCAGGCTGGTCTCCAACTCCTGGCTTCAAGGGATCCTCCCACCTCAGCCTCCCAAATTGCTGGGATTACAGGTGTGAGCCACCACAACCAGCCAGAACTTTACTAATTTTAAAATTAAGAACTTAAAACTTGAATAGCTAGAGCACCAAGATTTTTCTTTGTCCCCAAATAAGTGCAGTTGCAGGCATAGAAAATCTGACATCTTTGCAAGAATCATCGTGGATGTAGACTCTGTCCTGTGTCTCTGGCCTGGTTTCGGGGACCAGGAGGGCAGACCCTTGCACTGCCAAGAAGCATGCCAAAGTTAATCATTGGCCCTGCTGAGTACATGGCCGATCAGGCTGTTTTTGTGTGCCTGTTTTTCTATTTTACGTAAATCACCCTGAACATGTTTGCATCAACCTACTGGTGATGCACCTTTGATCAATACATTTTAGACAAACGTGGTTTTTGAGTCCAAAGATCAGGGCTGGGTTGACCTGAATACTGGATACAGGGCATATAAAACAGGGGCAAGGCACAGACTCATAGCAGAGCAATCACCACCAAGCCTGGAATAACTGCAAGGGCTCTGCTGACATCTTCCTGAGGTGCCAAGGAAATGAGGATGGAGGAAGGAATGAATGTTCTCCATGACTTTGGGATCCAGTCAACACATTACCTCCAGGTGAATTACCAAGACTCCCAGGACTGGTTCATCTTGGTGTCCGTGATCGCAGACCTCAGGAATGCCTTCTACGTCCTCTTCCCCATCTGGTTCCATCTTCAGGAAGCTGTGGGCATTAAACTCCTTTGGGTAGCTGTGATTGGAGACTGGCTCAACCTCGTCTTTAAGTGGTAAGAACCATATAGAGAGGAGATCAGCAAGAAAAGAGGCTGGCATTCGCTCTCGCAATGTCTGTCCATCAGAAGTTGCTTTCCCCAGGCTATTCAGGAAGCCACGGGCTACTCATGCTTCCAACCCCTCTCTCTGACTTTGGATCATCTACATAAAGGGGGAAGACAGAAAAAATCCTACCAGTGAGTTGAAAATACAGGAAAGCCTATTTCATATGGGTTAAAGGGTAGGACAGTTGAATTTCGTGAAAAGTCTGAGTTATATAGGCTTTGAGCAAAGAGTTTTATTAGTATGAAGCAGAAGAGGTAACATAAAGAAAGATGTATGGGGCCAGGCATGGTGGCTCACACCTGTAATCCCAGCACTTTGGGAGGCCGAGGTGGGCGAATCACTCCTGGGTGAACTCAGGAGTTCAAGACCAGCCTGGGCAACATGGCGAAACTCCATCTCTACAAAAACATTACGAAAATTAGCTGGGCGTGTTGGTGCTGTAGTCCCAGCTACTCAGGAGGCTGAGGTGAGAGGCGGAGGAGGTTGCAGTGAGTCAAGATCATGCCACTGCACTCCAGCCTGGGCAACAGAGTAAGACCCTGTCTCAAAAAAAAAAAAAAGATAGATGATGTATGCTGTATGAAAAAAGGAAACACACAGATGATTCAACAGCCTGTTTTGTGGGGTAATGAAAAGTCACCCTGGGAACTGGGCTCCAGCCCTCGTTCTGCCACCCACCAACTACATGTCCTTGGCAAGTCATATCAATTATCTGAGTTTCTGTTTTATAATCTACAAATAGGTTATCTCTGGCAGCTTAATAATAATCAGGGTTAACATTTATTAAACAGTGTGTGCCAGTCCATGTGCTATGTGCTTTTCTGTGAGGTAGTTACTGCTATTTACAGAAACAGTAGATGCAGAGACCAAGGTGCTGAGTTAAATGATTAGGCCAACAAGGTTAGTACATGCCGAGCCAGGATGGAAGCCCAGGTAGGCAGGCTGGCTTCCGCGGCAATGCTCTTATGAACTATGTTACGTCCAGTGCTGATAAACTGACTCTCTGGGGAGCAGGGGAAAGCCCTGAGTTTAGCATTTGCCAATTTCTATCACGTAAACATTCCCATTCTGGCCACTTTCTTTCTTTCTTTCTTTTGTTTGTTTGTTTGAGATGGAGTCTCGCACTGTTGCCTGGCTGGAGTGCAATGGTGCAATCTCAGCTCACTGCAACCTCTGCCTCTCCGGTTCAAGTGATTCTCCTGCCTCAGCCTCCCAAGTAGCTGGGATTACAGGTGCCCGCCACCATGCCCAGCTAATTTTTTTTGTATTTTTAGTAGAGACATGGTTTCACTATGTTGACTAGGCTGGTCTCGAACTCCTGACCTCATGATCTGCCTGCCTTGGCCTCCCTAAGTGCTAGGATTACAGGCGTGAGCCACTACACCCAGCCGCATGATTCTAAAAAATAAAAAGATGAAGTGTTATTCCAAACATCTGATCTCCATTGAAGAACCATGCAATCTCTCTGGGTTGATAGAGGCCAGAGTTAGTGGCTCTCCCTGATTTCGGTGAGAAATCACTATTCCACCATCACGGGATAAAAGGCATCCTGACTGGCGGTTGACACCTATTTCCACAGTGAAAGATATATCTAGTACTTTTAAAGGGGAAGTGGTTTGTCTGAGATACTCTGTTTCAAAGTAGAGAGGATACAGAACAAGCATCTGAAGCTATATACATCCTTACAGAGAGCAATTCTGATGGAAATGCAGGCCATGTTTCCCTGGGGGGGGCTCGTCCTAGGGGCTGGAGTGCATTCTCTGATGTCAGAGGAAATGCAAGATTCCCTGAGGCCTGAGGGAACCCATGGTATATGCAAGTCCAAGTTTCAAACTGTAGTTCCATATGCATTCTTCCAGGACAAATACTTCTTGAGGTTAAAAAAAAAAAGTCACATAGCTGCCATTTTATGGATTTCAGGATTTTTTTTTTTTTTTTTTTGAGATGGAGTCTTGCTCTGTCACCCAGCCTGTAGTGCAGTGGCATAATCTCGGCTCACGGCAACCTCCGCCTCCCAGGTTCAAGCGATTCTCTTGCCTTAGCCTCCCGAGTAGCTGGGATTACAGTCACGCACCACCACATCTGGCTAATTCTTTATATTTTTTGGTAGAAACGGTGTTTCACCATGTTGGCCAGGCTGGTCTCAAACTCCTGACCTCATGTGATCTGCCTGCCTTGGCCTCCCAAAGTGCTGAGATTACAGGTGTGAGCCACCGCGCCTGCCTGGAGTTCAGAATCTTGGGCTTCATTATTTGTGTTTAAATAGATCATACAGTCAGGCACGGTGGCTCATGCCTGTAATCCCAGCACTTTGGGAGGCTGAGGTGGGAGGATTGCCTGAGTTCAGGAGATGGAGACCAGCCTGGGCAACATGGTGAAACCCCGTCTCTACTAAAAATACAAAAACTAGCTGGATGTGGTGGCACACACCTGTAGTCCCAGCTATTCAGGAGGCTGAGGTGGGAGGATCCCAGGAGGTAGAGGTCACAATGAGCCGAGATTGCGCCACTGCACTCCAGGCTGGGTTACTGAGCCAGATCCTGTCTCAAAAAAAAAAAAGATAATACATTCAAACAGTTCAAAATGCAAAAGTTACATACATAAGGAAGTGTCATGAAATATCTCCCTCTCACACTTCTCCCCAGCCACCCAGTTCTCCCTTCTAGAGGCAACATGTGAAATCCTTCTCAGGCTACACTCTTCTTGAAGGTGTAGGCTTTGGGCAAAAGCATTCATTCAGTAACCCCAGAAACTTGTTCTGTTTTTCCATAGGATTCTCTTTGGACAGCGTCCATACTGGTGGGTTTTGGATACTGACTACTACAGCAACACTTCCGTGCCCCTGATAAAGCAGTTCCCTGTAACCTGTGAGACTGGACCAGGTAAGCGTCCCAGCCCCTGCAGACAGAAGCTGAGTGGACCTCGTTTACCTGTTATGGATGAAACTGACCTTGAGGGGACATGAGGAGAGCCATTCCTTTGTACTTTTGTCATGCTCTTCAATTGGCACAAATTAATTCACTTCTGCAATACTTTCCTGAATAGCACAGTAGTATTGGAAATCTGCCTATTACAGAACCTGGATGGAGTCCAGAGAGGCACGGGCATCCATGGGCAAAGGGCTCGTGAGAGTCACCGCCCTGCAGCGCTGTGTCCTGAGAAAGGAGGGGGCAGAAGCCTGAGCTTCTGGGGGTCCTTCCCAATGGCCTGGCCCACTGGATGTGCCCTCCTGAGCTGACCGTCCAATCCCTTGCCCTCTCTGTGCCTACGTTTTATTAGTTACAGCCAGATGGTTACTGTCAAATCAAATGATAGATTTCATTTTCAGTATGTAATAGGAAGCCCCTCCCTCACCCTAAAGTCTCAGCTGCCCTCTAAGACTAGTACTCTCTAAGGTACTAGTATCCCTTCCTCAGAGACCCTTTCCCTGACCCCAAAACTAGGGAAGGTCCCTTAGTTATTTGCTCTCACAGACCACGCATTTACCTCAGAGCATATTCACTCATTCAGCTGTTACTTACCAAGCACCTACTGGGAGCTATACACTGTTCTATGTGCTAGGGATACCTCTGTCAGTGAACAACACAGACACAAAGATCCCTGCCCTTGTGGAGCTGAAATCTGAATAGAGGAGGTGAAATATACAAAAATTATAATAAATAAGTAAACTAGGCCAGTTGTGGTTGCTCATGCCTGTAATCCCAGCACTTTGGGAAGCCAAGGTAGGTAGATCACCTGAGGTCAGGAGTTCAAAACCAGCCTGGCCAACATTGCAAAATCCTGTCTTTACTAAAAATGGAAAAATTGGTCAGGCGTGATGGCACACGCCTGTAGTCTCAGCTACCTGGGAGGCTGAGGCAGGAGAATCGCTTGAACCTGGGAGGCAGAGGTTGCAGTGAACCGAGATCGGACCACTGCACTCCAGCCTGAATGACAGAACGAGACTCTGTCTCAAAAAAAAAGTAAACTATTAATATGTAGGATAGGCCAGGCACGGTGGCTCACCCTGTAATCCCAGCACTTTGGGAGGCTGAGGCGGGTGGATCACCTGAGGTGAGGAGTTCAAGACCAGCCTGGCCAACATGGCAAAACCCTGTCTCTACTAAAAATACAAAAATTAGCTGGGTGTCCTGGTGCATGCCTGTAATCTGAGCTACTCAGGAGGCTAAGGCAGGAGAATCGCTTGAACCTGGGAGGTGGTGAGCCAAGATTGCGCCATTGCACTCCAGCCTGGGCGACAAAATGAGACACCATCTGAAAAAAAAAAAAAAATATATATATATATACACACACACACACACACACACACACACACACATATAATACTAGAAAATGATTGTTTATAGGCAAAAAAAAAAAAAAAGAAGAAGAAGAAGAAAAGGAAAGGAGAAGGAAAGAAGGACCAAACATCTTTTGTAGAAATATGTTTGCTTTCATCATAACAGCTTGTTATCAAGGATGAATTTCTCCCTGAAATTAATGGAGGCACAGACTGGAAAGTTTAAAGTGGCTTTAAGAGGTTATTTTATTTAGTCCTCTGTCTTAATAGAAGCAAATTATTATCTCTGCTCCTTAGGTAGAGTAGCTAAGGCTCAGAAAGTAGGCCGGGCGCGGTGGCTCACGCCTGTAATCCTAGCACTTTGGGAGGCCAACGCAGGTGGATCACCTGAGGTCAGGAGTTTGAGACCAGCCTGGCCAACATGGTGAAACCTCGTCACTAATAAAAAAATACAAAAACTTAGCCAGGCATGGTGGCGGGCGCCTGTAATCCCAGCTACCCAGGAGGCTGCGGCAGGAGAATCACTTCAACCCGGGAGGCAGAGGTTGCAGTGAGCTGAAATCACACCACTGCACTCCAGCCTTGGTGACAGAGAAAGATTCTGTCAGGAAAAAAAAAAAAAAGTTTAAATGAATTACCCAAGGTATATAATTGTTAGTGTTAGAAGGAAGAAGAAGGGAGGGAGGAAGGAAGGGAGAAAGAAAGGGAAGGAGGAAGGGAGGGAGGGAAGAAAGCCTTTATTTATCTATGGGGTTCCCTGGAAAGCAGGCTGAAATGGAGATTCACGTGCAGGAGTTTAGATACTCTGGGGAACTATACTTGTAGAAGGGAAGGAACAGGAACAGGGCAGAAGGAGAGGTCCGGTTGTGATTCTGCCTCATCCAACCCCACAGCGAGCTCTGAAGCTGGGGATGGCTCCTCAGAGTTGGTCCAAGTTGGGACAAGGGAATCAGACCCTGGGGAGAGCGTAACCTTGATCAAGGCGACTCTCTTTAGCCCAGGGCAATGCCAGGAGAAGGCTGAGAGCAGAAAGCCATCTACCATCACACTCTCAACAGCTACGAAATAAGTCCTGCAGTTCAGGAGGGAGGTCTGGGCGGCACATCTCAGGACCCTCTATCTCTCAGGGTAGAGGAATTAAGAATGGGATGGGAACCAGACGGGCCATGGTGGCTCACACCTATAATCCCAACACTTTGGGAGGCCAAGGGTAGGAGGATTGCTTGAGCCCAAGAGTTCAAAACCAGCCTGGGCAAAAACAATCAAACAAACAAACAAAACACATTTAAAAAATTTGCTGTGTGTGGTGGTGTGCACCTGTGGTCCCAGCTACTCAGGGGGCTGAGGTGGGAGGATTGCTTGAGTCCAGGAGGTCGAGGCTGCAGTGAGCTATGATCATGGCACTGCATTGCAGCCTAGGAGACAAAGCAAGACACTGTCTCTAAAAAAACAAAAAACAAACAAATAAAAAAACGGAACCGGTTGCAAGCAGGGTTAAATAGCGTGGTCAGAGTAGGACTCACTGAGAATATGAGATCTGAGTCAAGTCTTCAAGGATGTGAGGAAGTAAGTTTCTGGCAGAAGAGCTGTGAAGGGCTGTCTGGCCAGAGAAGATTGCAATGCAAAAGCCCTGAGGTGGGAACGTGTTTGGTGTGTTTAAAGGAAAGCAATGAGGCCAGTGTAGCCAGAACAGAGTGTGCAAGGAGAGAAGGAACAGAAGATGTGGAGGGCAGATCAGTTTGTAATTGTACGCCCAGTATGCTGATTCTTTGTGTAATCTCCAGACTGTATTAAACTGCAAGAGCAGGGCCCCTCTCTGGCTTTGCTCATCATTGTATTCCCAGAGCCTTGCACAATGCTTGGTGCATAGGAGATGGAAATTTGTTAAATAAATGAATTATGGATAACGAATGGATGGTAAGATGGGTGGATGGATGGGGGGTGAACGGATGGATGGGGGGTGAATGGATGGATGAATGGGTAGATGGGTGGATAGGGGGATGGCTGGGTGGCTGGGTAGATGATGCACTGTCTCCCAGATGAGGACCTTTTCACCTTTACTCCATTCTCTTTCCTGCCCTTTAGGGAGCCCCTCTGGCCATGCCATGGGCACAGCAGGTGTATACTACGTGATGGTCACATCTACTCTTTCCATCTTTCAGGGAAAGATAAAGCCGACCTACAGATTTCGGTAAGAACTCACCACTGGGGTGTAGGTGGTGGAGGGCAGGAGGCAGCTCTCTCTGTAGCTGACACACCACGTATTCTTCCTCACATCCCCCTAGCCCGCTCCCACACCTGGGCAGCCGCTGATTAAGAGTTGTGGCACTTTGGATAGGGATAAACCTCAGAGTCAGGGAATGTTTGGGCTGAAAGGGATCCAGTAGTGCAATCCGTTGTTTTACAGATAAGGAAACAAAGCCCAACACCATGAAGGGACTTATAAAAATAAGGTAGTGAAGTAGCAGCAGGGCTTAAATAAAAACCCATGTCTGTACCAACCACAGAGTCACCCATCCAGGTTAAAATAACCAGAGAAACAGAAGATATTCCTACTACAGAGAATTCCGGGTGTGCAGCCACAGTGCAAATCCTTTTTATTTTTATTTTTGAGATGCAGTCTCGCTCTGTCATCCAGGCTGAAGTGCAGTGGCACGATCATGTCTCGCTGCAACCTCTGCCTCCCAGGCTCAAGCGATCCTCCCACCTCAGCCATCTGAGTAGCTGGGACCACAGGCCACACACCACACCCAGCTAATTTCTCGTATCTTTTTGTAGAGACAGAGTTCTGCTATGTTGCCCAGGCTCAGGCTGGTCTTGATCTCAAGCAATTGGCTTGCCTCAGCCTCCTAAAATATTGGGATTACAGGCATGAGCCACCGCGCCAGCCATGCAAATCCTTAATTATCAAACAGATAAAATAGGGAAGTTAAAATTCATATACACAAGGGTTAACCACTTGCCACAGGCATTTTTTTTTTTTTTTTGAGACGGAATCTCGCTCTGTTGCCCAGGCTGGAGTGCAGTGGCGCCATCTCGCCTCACTGCAACCTCCGCTTCCTGGGTTCAAGCTATTCTTCTGCCTCAGCCTACCGAGTAGCTGGGACTACAGGCACGTGCCACCACACCTGGCTAATTTTTTTATTTTTAGTAGAGATGGGGTTTCACCATATTGGCCAGGCTGGTCTTGAACTCCTGACCTAGTGATCCATCCGCCTCAGCCTCCCAAAGTGCTGGGATTGCAGGCATGAGCCACCGCGCCTGGCCTTTTTTTTTTTTTTTTGAGACGGAGTTTTGCTCTTGTTGCCCAGGCTAGAGTGCAGTGGCGCAGTCTCGGCTCACTGTAACCTCCACCTCCTGAGTTCAAGCAATTCTCCTGCCTCAGCCTCTCAAATAGCTGGGATTACAGGCGTGAGCCACCCCACCTGGCTAATTTTGTAATTTTTTTTTTAGTAGAGATGGGGTTTCACCTGTTGATCAGGCTGGTCTCAAACTCCTGACCTCAAGTGATCCACCCACCTCGGCCTCCCAAAGTGCTGGGATTACAAGCATAAGCCACCGTGCCTGGTCAATTTTGATCTTTTTTAAAGAGACAGGGGTCTTGCTATGTTGCCCAGACTAGTCTTGAACTCCTGGCCTCAAGTGATCCTCTCACCTCGGCCTCCCAAAGTATTGGGATTACAGGTCTGAGCCGCTGCACCCAGCCCCCAACAGGCATCTTTGGACTTTTGAGTACTGGCTTTAATTTACAAAAATTCCACTGAGAGCACCTAAGTTTGCCAGGCTCCAACATTTCTGCAGGGGCTGTTTTCTTTGCTGAAGGATCTGCACCTGTGTTCTGTTATGGTTGCCTCTTCTGTTGCAGGTGCTTGAATGTCATTTTGTGGTTGGGATTCTGGGCTGTGCAGCTGAATGTCTGTCTGTCACGAATCTACCTTGCTGCTCATTTTCCTCATCAAGTTGTTGCTGGAGTCCTGTCAGGTATGGGCTGATCTGACTCCCTTCCTTCTCCCCCAAACCCCATTCCGTTTCTCTCCCTAATCAGGACAAAATCCCAGCATTCCAGCCACATCCTGTGTGTAATCAGTACTGTTAGCATTTCTGTGGGTTGAAAGTCAAGAATGAGCAACTTGAAATGATTAATTTCTATAAGAGTGCCCAGATCTATAGAATGAATTGTGTAGAAGTTACCATACATCAAATTAACGCACCAAATTGAATTAGCTTGAAATCTCAGAGCTTTTTACAATCTTTATTTCTTACTGGTCTTCAACAGGCCCTAATTTACTTTTCAGGGAATCTGCCAAATTTAACAAATTAACACGATGTCCTAGGAAAGCTGTTCATTTAAATACATTCATTTGCAAACCTAATAGATAACTGCAGTTGATCTCTTTTATAGGTTCAGAGTTTTGAATATGTTTTTTTTTGTTTTTTTTTTTTGAGATGGAGTCTCGCTCTGTGACCCAGGCTAGAGTGCAGTGGTGCGATCTCGGCTCACTGCAAGCTCCACCTCCTGGGTTCACGCCATTCTCCTGCCTCAGCCTCTCCGAGTAGCTGGGACTACAGGCGCCCGCCACCATGCCCGGCTAATTTTTTGTATTTTTAGCAGAGACGGGGTTTCACCGTGGTCTTGATCTCCTGACCTCGTGATCCGCCCGCCTCGGCCTCCCAAAGCGCTGGGATTACAAGGGTGAGCCACCGCACCCTGCCTGAATATGTGTTTTCTTAGATCCAATTAACAAGGGTAAGACAAGATTTAAGTTAAGCATAAGAAAGATTTTGTGGGAGGCACTGGAATATAAGACCTTAACAAAACTGTGGAATTTCTCCCCTGGAGATTTGTAAGAACGGAACATAGCAGCATTCAAAGAAGAATGTTGAGAACAAGGGAGATAATGGTTTCATGGTAATCACAAAAGTAACACAGCATTTAGTACTGGGTTCCATGTTTGAGGAAGAACCTGGAAGCCATATCACATGAAAAACCTGGGAATGTTTAGGTTAGAGAGAATAACTGTGTTCAAATGTGTGACAGAGGGACTAGATTCATCACTTACTAACTCCTGCAGAAAGAACTGAGAAAAATAGACAGTATTAGAGGGGGACCAGTTTCACACAGACAAGGAAGAACTATTCAGCAATCAATTCCGTTCAAAGATAAAATGGACTGTTATAGTGGGGGTGAGCTCCCTACCTCTGAGGGTATTTCAAGTAGAGATAGGAGGACCTCCTGGTAGGAAATTTGCATACGGTGGGAGATTGTACGTGATATGGCACCTCCATCTGAAAGAGTCTATATTGAGGGCAGGCTGGAGTCACACATGGGAATAAGCCAGGCGACCCTCCCATCTGCCATCTGTGATTTAATTCCACAGTCGCAGAACGGATGGCATGTCACCCACTCCTCCAAACCCACCTCTAGCAAAGGTCCCAAATCCTTCCTATCTCTCACAGTCATGCTTTCTTCCACTCAGGCATTGCTGTTGCAGAAACTTTCAGCCACATCCACAGCATCTATAATGCCAGCCTCAAGAAATATTTTCTCATTACCTTCTTCCTGTTCAGCTTCGCCATCGGATTTTATCTGCTGCTCAAGGGACTGGGTGTAGACCTCCTGTGGACTCTGGAGAAAGCCCAGAGGTGGTGCGAGCAGCCAGAATGGGTCCACATTGACACCACACCCTTTGCCAGCCTCCTCAAGAACCTGGGCACGCTCTTTGGCCTGGGGCTGGCTCTCAACTCCAGCATGTACAGGGAGAGCTGCAAGGGGAAACTCAGCAAGTGGCTCCCATTCCGCCTCAGCTCTATTGTAGCCTCCCTCGTCCTCCTGCACGTCTTTGACTCCTTGAAACCCCCATCCCAAGTCGAGCTGGTCTTCTACGTCTTGTCCTTCTGCAAGAGTGCGGTAGTGCCCCTGGCATCCGTCAGTGTCATCCCCTACTGCCTCGCCCAGGTCCTGGGCCAGCCGCACAAGAAGTCGTTGTAAGAGATGTGGAGTCTTCGGTGTTTAAAGTCAACAACCATGCCAGGGATTGAGGAGGACTACTATTTGAAGCAATGGGCACTGGTATTTGGAGCAAGTGACATGCCATCCATTCTGCCGTCGTGGAATTAAATCACGGATGGCAGATTGGAGGGTCGCCTGGCTTATTCCCATGTGTGACTCCAGCCTGCCCTCAGCACAGACTCTTTCAGATGGAGGTGCCATATCACGTACACCATATGCAAGTTTCCCGCCAGGAGGTCCTCCTCTCTCTACTTGAATACTCTCACAAGTAGGGAGCTCACTCCCACTGGAACAGCCCATTTTATCTTTGAATGGTCTTCTGCCAGCCCATTTTGAGGCCAGAGGTGCTGTCAGCTCAGGTGGTCCTCTTTTACAATCCTAATCATATTGGGTAATGTTTTTGAAAAGCTAATGAAGCTATTGAGAAAGACCTGTTGCTAGAAGTTGGGTTGTTCTGGATTTTCCCCTGAAGACTTACTTATTCTTCCGTCACATATACAAAAGCAAGACTTCCAGGTAGGGCCAGCTCACAAGCCCAGGCTGGAGATCCTAACTGAGAATTTTCTACCTGTGTTCATTCTTACCGAGAAAAGGAGAAAGGAGCTCTGAATCTGATAGGAAAAGAAGGCTGCCTAAGGAGGAGTTTTTAGTATGTGGCGTATCATGCAAGTGCTATGCCAAGCCATGTCTAAATGGCTTTAATTATATAGTAATGCACTCTCAGTAATGGGGGACCAGCTTAAGTATAATTAATAGATGGTTAGTGGGGTAATTCTGCTTCTAGTATTTTTTTTACTGTGCATACATGTTCATCGTATTTCCTTGGATTTCTGAATGGCTGCAGTGACCCAGATATTGCACTAGGTCAAAACATTCAGGTATAGCTGACATCTCCTCTATCACATTACATCATCCTCCTTATAAGCCCAGCTCTGCTTTTTCCAGATTCTTCCACTGGCTCCACATCCACCCCACTGGATCTTCAGAAGGCTAGAGGGCGACTCTGGTGGTGCTTTTGTATGTTTCAATTAGGCTCTGAAATCTTGGGCAAAATGACAAGGGGAGGGCCAGGATTCCTCTCTCAGGTCACTCCAGTGTTACTTTTAATTCCTAGAGGGTAAATATGACTCCTTTCTCTATCCCAAGCCAACCAAGAGCACATTCTTAAAGGAAAAGTCAACATCTTCTCTCTTTTTTTTTTTTTTTGAGACAGGGTCTCACTATGTTGCCCAGGCTGCTCTTGAATTCCTGGGCTCAAGCAGTCCTCCCACCCTACCACAGCGTCCCGCGTAGCTGGGACTACAGGTGCAAGCCACTATGTCCAGCTAGCCAACTCCTCCTTGCCTGCTTTTCTTTTTTTTTCTTTTTTTGAGACGGCGCACCTATCACCCAGGCTGGAGTGGAGTGGCACGATCTTGGCTCACTGCAACCTCTTCCTCCTGGTTCAAGCGATTCTCATGTCTCAGCCTCCTCAGTAGCTAGGACTACCGGCGTGCACCACCATGCCAGGCTAATTTTTATATTTTTAGAATTTTAGAAGAGATGGGATTTCATCATGTTGGCCAGGCTGGTCTCGAACTCCTGACCTCAAGTGATCCACCTGCCTTGGCCTCCCAAGGTGCTAGGATTACAGGCATGAGCCACCGCACCGGGCCCTCCTTGCCTGTTTTTCAATCTCATCTGATATGCAGAGTATTTCTGCCCCACCCACCTACCCCCCAAAAAAAGCTGAAGCCTATTTATTTGAAAGTCCTTGTTTTTGCTACTAATTATATAGTATACCATACATTATCATTCAAAACAACCATCCTGCTCATAACATCTTTGAAAAGAAAAATATATATGTGCAGTATTTTATTAAAGCAACATTTTATTTAAGAATAAAGTCTTGTTAATTACTATATTTTAGATGCAATGTGATCTGAAGTTTCTAATTCTGGCCCAACTAAATTTCTAGCTCTGTTTCCCTAAACAAATAATTTGGTTTCTCTGTGCCTGCATTTTCCCTTTGGAGAAGAAAAGTGCTCTCTCTTGAGTTGACCGAGAGTCCCATTAGGGATAGGGAGACTTAAATGCATCCACAGGGGCACAGGCAGAGTTGAGCACATAAACGGAGGCCCAAAATCAGCATAGAACCAGAAAGATTCAGAGTTGGCCAAGAATGAACATTGGCTACCAGACCACAAGTCAGCATGAGTTGCTCTATGGCATCAAATTGCAACTTGAGAGTAGATGGGCAGGGTCACTATCAAATTAAGCAATCAGGGCACACAAGTTGCAGTAACACAACAAGACTAGGCCAGCTCTGGAATCCAGTAACTCAGTGTCAGCAAGGTTTTGGGTTATAGTTCAAGAAAGTCTAAACAGAGCCAGTCACAGCACCAAGGAATGCTCAAGGGAGCTATTGCAGGTTTCTCTGCTAAGAGATTTATTTCATCCTGGGTGCAGGGTTCGACCTCCAAAGGCCTCAAATCATCACCGTATCAATGGATTTCCTGAGGGTAAGCTCCGCTATTTCACACCTGAACTCCGGAGTCTGTATATTCAGGGAAGATTGCATTCTCCTACTGGATTTGGGCTCTCAGAGGGCGTTGTGGGAACCAGGCCCCTCACAGAATCAAATGGTCCCAACCAGGGAGAAAGAAAATAGTCTTTTTTTTTTTTTTAATAGAGATGGGGGTCTCACTATGCTGCCCAGGCTGGTCTTGAACTCCTGGGTTCAAGTGATCCTCCTGCCTCAGCCTCCCAAAGTGCTGGGATTACAGTGTGAGCCACTGCGCTTGGCCAGAAATGGTTTTGATCTGTCTGAACTGAACCCTACTGCTTAGGCATAGCCCCATCCTTGATAATCTATTTGCTCCCAAGGACCAAGTCCAAGATCCTTACAAGAAAGGTCTGCCAGAAAGTAAATACTGCCCCCACTCCCTGAAGTTTATGAGGTTGATAAGAAAACATAACAGATAAAGTTTATTGAGTGCTAACTTTATGCCAGATTCTGTTCTATGTACTTTATTTATACAATTAACTCGCTTAGTTCTCCCAACATCTCTGTGAGTTGGCTACTGTCATTTATCCTTATATTACAAATAGGTCCAGAGGGGTTAGTCATCTTGTCCAGAATGGTGGAACCAGGTTAAGGATCAGGCAGTCTGGGCTGGGCATGGTGGCTCACATCTGTAATCCCAGCACTTTGGGAGGCTGAGGTGGCAGATTGCCTGAGCTCAGGAGTTCGAGACCAGCCTGGGCAACATGGTGAGACCCCCGTCTATACCAAAAATACAAAACATTAGCCAAGCGTGGTGGTGCATGCCTGTGGTCCTAACTACTCAGGTGGCTGAGGTGGGAGAATCCCTTGAGCTCAGAGGTTGCAGTGAGCCAAGATTATGCCACTGCACTCCAGCCTGGGTGACAGAGTGAGACCCTGTCTCAGAAAAAAAAAAAAAAAAGAAGCAAGCAGTCTGGGCTGGGTGCTGTGGCTCGCGCCTGTAATCCCAGATACAAAATAATCATTTTGTAATATATCCTGCTTATTAGACAGAACATTTTGATCACTCATCTGTTCCCTAAGTTATAGATTTACGTCCACTTTAGAAATGGCTTGTGAGGCAAGTTTAAGTGACCGATGACAGTTTTAAAGCAAGGTCCATGTCATGTTATGGCATAATTTGGTAGAATGTTCTAGTAGTGTATCAGTTTTCAGGTGGTAGGCTTGAGGATGATACACACACACACACACGCAATGCAATTCTATTATTGCCCAAAGAAAATAGACCCATTAAGGAAGTCCAACTTCTGCTGCGTGGACCAGTGCTGCCACATCACACATAGACCAAAGGCTTAGGTTTTTGTGGTTTTGGTTATTTATTTTATCTTTTTATTTTATTTTATCTTATTTTATTTTATTTTATTTTATTATTTGAGATGGAGTCTCACTCTGTCACCCAGGCTGGGGTGCAATGGCGCAATCTCAGCTCACTGCAACCTCCAACTCCTGGGGCTCAAATGATCCTCCAGCCTCAGCCTCCCGAATAGCTGGGACTACAGATGCGTACCACCATGCCTGGCTAATTTTTTTATTTTTTGTAGAGACAGGGTCTCAAGCATCCTCCCGCCTTAGCCTCCCAAAGTGCTGGGATAACAGGCATGAGCTGCTGCACTCAGCCATGTTTTTGATTTTTAACAAAATTGTAACACCTTAAAAAAAATGTATAACAAGGCCGGGCACGGTGGCTCATGCCTGTAATCCCAGCACTTTGGGAAGCCAAGGCAGGCAGATCACCTGAGATCAGGAGTTCGACCTGACCAACATGGTGAAACCGCGTCTCTACTAAAAATACAAAAAATTAGCCAGACGTGGTGGCACATGCATGTAATCCCAGCTACTTGAGAGGCTGAGACAGGAGAACTGCTTGAACCGGGGAGGCAGAGGTTGCAGTGAGCCCAGATCACACCATTGCACTCCAACCTGGGCAACAAGAGTGAAACTCCATCTCAAAAAAAAAAAAAGCTGTATAACAGCTTGAGATATAATTCACAATACCATACAATTCACTCATTTAAAGTGTACAATTCAGGGGTTTTCATTCCACTCCAACCCACTCAAGCCTAGGCAACCACTAATCTACTTTCTGTCTCATAGATTTGCCTATTTGGGGCATTTCATATAAATAGACTCCTACAATATGTGGCCTTTTGTGTCTGGCCTCTTTCACTTAGCATGATGTTTTCAAGGTTTATCTGTGTTATAACATATATTGGTACTTCATTTCTTTTTATGGACAAGTAATATTCCATTGTATGAATATATAACATTGTATGAATATACCACATTTTATTTATCTGTTTATCAGGCCAGGCATGGTGGCTCACATCTGTAATCCCAGCACTTTGGGAGGCTGAGGCAGGAGGATTACTTGAGCCTAGGAGTTCAAAACCAGCCTGGGCAACACAGGGAGACCTCGTGTCTACAAATAATAAAAGATTAGCTGGGCATGGTGGCACATGCCTGTAGTCTCAGCTACTCAGGAGGCTGAGGTGGGAAGGATGGCTTGAGCCTTGGAGATGGAGGCTGCAGTAAGCCACTGCACTCCAGCCTGGGCAACAGAGCAAAAGCCTGTCTCCAAATAATGAATGAATGAATGAATGAATGAATGATAAATAAATATTTGTTAATCAGTTGATGGATAACTGGCTTGTTTCTGCTTTTTGGCTATTATGAATAACAGTGCTATGAACATTTGTGTGCAAGTCATTGTGTGGTTGCATAGTTTCATTTCTCTTGGGTACATTCTTAGGAGTGGAATTGCTGGGAGATGTGGGAACTCTATATTTAACCCTTTAAGGAACTGCCAGACTGTTTTCCCGAAGGCTTAGTTAGGAAAGTTTTACAGTATTTTTGGTTTTATCATCTCTTGATTTCCTAGGATCATACCCTTTATCATAACTTTATCTACTTCTATGCTTTGGAAAGGTTTCAAAGGAAGACCGATTAGGTGGTCAGATTTTTCTTTTTCCTTTTTTTTTTTTTTGAGACAGAGTCTCTCTCTGTTGCCCAGGCTGGAGTGTGGTGGCACCATTACTGCTTACTGCAGCCTTGACCTCTCAGGCTCAAGTGATCCTCCTGCCTCAGCCTCCCATGTAGCTGGGACCACAGGCACGCACCACCACACCTGGCTTTTTTTTTTTTTTTTTTTTTTTTTTTTTTTTGTAGAGACAAGGTCTCACTATATTGCCCAGGCTGGTCTCCAACTCCTGGGCTCAAGTGATCCTCTTTCCTTAGCCTCCCAAAGTGCGGGGATTACAGGTGTGAGCCACTCACCCGACCAGGTGGTCAGATTTTACGTGAGGAACTCTCAGCGCACTCCTCCACTTGCGTTGCCAATTTCTTTGTTATTCCAACAGGCATTCCGGGAACGTTACATTTGAAGACATGTCTGCATATCTGAAATTCCAGCCCTAATTAATTGACTCATTGTTTGCAACCTGTCAAAATTTGCTGACTTGTTTTCTGAAAACCATGACTTCAGCTGCTGAATTATTAATATTCATTGACTTCACTCTGCAGTAACTGCTGAACTAGGCTGTAAGGCCTGTTTGTGTGAATAAGATAGGACGATACCATTTGTATGCAAAAGTTTTTCAAGTGTCTCCTTGATAATAGGAAACACTCTGGCTAAATAGCCTTCTGGTTATATGGTTAAGGAAATAATTGACTAGAAGTGGCATGAAGAAGCAGACAACAAAAGTCACTTCCATCAGGGAACCAAGACCTTCATTAATCCAGAGGGAAAACTAGTGATTTTTCTAGTCCAGTGATGGGCAATTCGAAGCTCAAAGTCTAATTTCAGGGAGAAAGATGAAAAACCTGCATCCAGCCGGGCCTGGTGGCTCACAGCTGTAATCCCAGCACTTTGGGAGGTCGAGGTGGGTGGATCACCTGAGGCCAGGAGTTCGAGACCAGCGTAGCCAACATGGTGAAACCCCGTATCTACTAAAAATACAAAAATTAGCCGGGCGTGGTGGCTTATGCCTGTAGTTCCAGCTACTTGGGAGGATGAGGCAGGAGAATCGATTGAACCTGAGAGGTTACTGTGAGCTGAGATTGCGCCACTGCACTCCAGCCTGGGCAACAGAGTGAGGCTCCATCTCAAAAACAAACAAACAAACAAACAAATAAAATACAAAGCTGCATCTGGACTGGGCATAGTGTCTTATACCTGTAATCCCAGGACTTTGGGAGGTCCAGGTAGGATTGCTTGAGGCCAGGAGTTCAAGAGCAGCCTGTGCAACATGGCAAGACCCTACCTATACAAAAAAAAAAATTTTTAATAAAAATTAGGCCGGGTGCAGTGGCTCATGCCTATAATTCCAGCACTTTTGGGAGGTCGAGGGAGGCGGATCACTTGAGGTCAGGAGTTCGAGACCATCCTGGCCAACATGGTAAAACCCCGTCTCTACTAAAAATACAAAAATTAACTGGGCATTGTGGTGCGTGCCTGTAGTCCTAACTACTCGGGAGGCTGAGGCAGAAGAATCACTTGAACTTGAGATGCGGAGGTTGCAGTGAGCCGAGATCTTGCCACTGCACTCCAACCTGGTGACAGAGTGAGACTCTGTCTCAAAAAAAAAAAAAAAAAAAAAAAAAATGAGCCGGGCATTATGGTGTGCTCCTGTAGTCCCAGCTACTCAGGAGACGAGGTGGGAAAATTGGTTGAGCCTGAGAGGGTGAAGCTGCAGTGAGCCATGATTGTGCCACTGTACTCCAGCCTGGGTGACAGAGCAAGACCCTGCCTCTAAAAAAATAAATACATAAAAATAAAGCTGCATCTGGGCTGCTCTTCTCAATAAAAGAAAGAAGTCTATAAATATTTTTTATTTGTCCTGAGTTGGCCTTTATTTCAAAAAAGAAAGTTGCTCACTATAAATTCTACTCAAAAACATTTTTCATTTCATGAATATAGAAATGAAGGCCAAGAGAGGTGAAATGGTGCCTCTAAGTCACGTAACTAACATGTTCACAGGTCTCTTGATTCTCAGCAAAGAGCAGTCTCCTCTCTGCCAGTCTCCTGCGTATATTTGGGCTGCTGTGTCAACATGCAGCTGTTGAAACAGAAGTAAAAGACATATGTAAACAGTACAGTCAGATTATTTGAGCCAGACTGAGGGCTTATTAACCAAATTAAAGGCAAAGCTAGAATAATTGTGTTTGAAGTGGCCTTCTCCTAATTATGTTATGGGTTTCTTTCTTCTTTTACTTTCGTTAAGTCTCCCCAGGACACAGG
This sequence comes from Homo sapiens, assembly GCF_000001405.40. NCBI lineage: Eukaryota > Metazoa > Chordata > Mammalia > Primates > Hominidae > Homo > Homo sapiens. The sequence continues at coordinate 42,919,229 of NC_000017.11, forward strand.
GTAATAACTAACTACAACCAGGAACAGCTGGGTGTGTTTATGGGGTTTGGGGTTTTTTTTAGCAAGAAGCTAGTTTTCCAGCCAGCAAATTTTCAATACTTTCCTTTCTGCCACCTCCTCACTTTCTTCTTCTGCTCTTCTCATTCCATAATTATTGCCCTCAGAACAGTTCAACTCAGCTTCAACACTGGAATGGTCTCATTCTGCTCCATCACAGAACTGGGGATTCTAATCCTTTATTATTCTGTGCTCCTTCCTCTCTCTCCAGAGGCAAAAAGAATGAAAATTGGGGCCGGGCGCAGTGCCTCACACCTGTAATCTCAACACTTTGGGAGGCCGAGGCAGGTGGATCACTTGAGGTCAGGAGTTCGAGACCAGTCTGGCCAAAATGGCAAAACCCCGTCTCTACTGAAAATACAAAAATTAGCCAGACGTGGTAGCACATGCCTGTAATCCCAGCTACTCGAGAGGCTGAGGCAGGAGAATCTTTTGAACCTGGGAGGCTCAGGTTGCAGTGAGCTGAGATTGCACCACTGCACTCCAGCCTGGGTGGCAAAAAAAAACAAACAAAAAAAAACAAACAGGAATTTGTGGGGAAAAAAAATAGTGAAAATCAAATTTCTTTCTCTCCATTGTGAACTGTTTCGGGATTCTTGACAGAGGCATGCCACCTTTGAGGGCACCAATGTCATCTTTTCGACTCCATCTTTCATTCTAATCTCCTTCTACCCCGGCTGATTGACAATGCTGCCACTGATCCCTGCTTGATCCACCCTGGCCATTAACTCAAATGAGCCTTTTGAGAGATGTAATTTGGCTTAATTGATTTAACAAGCTGGGTGGCATAAGTCAGTTTCTCTTCACTTAGATCTTTAAACTGCCAAGGTCTTTCCTGCCAGTCCATTTGTTCCCTACACAGTGACTGCAATGGAATGACAGGGGCGTCATCTCTCCTTACAGACTGTTGTGAAACCACTGTGGACACCCCTGCACCAAAGCCTCCAAAGGGCTCTTCGGTGCAGGAGCCTTAGGTGAGGCCCTGAGTCCTGATGGGTATTAGTGTCGATCGGGGAGAAGCTGACACAGCAGCCTTGGTCTTTGATCTGGCTCTTTGAGCCTTGTCAGCAGGCTCACTAGCTACAGCAGCCACCAACTGTTATCTCCAGAACTATGCCCTTTCTCATTTTTCACCTGTGCTCTGCACAGCTATAAGATACTCTGCACAGCTTCTAGGAACTTCCAAAGGGTAAATGATCCCAAATGTAAAGATTTCATCAACTGGTGAGTTAATTTATCCTCTAGTTAGGAGATAGCTGAACTCAACCCGCTCTGTTGTTGTTGGTTGAGACAGGGTCTCACTCTCGCCCAGGCTGGAGTGCAGTGGCCCGATCATGGCTCGCTGCAGCCTCAACCTCCCAGGCTCAAGTGATCCTCCCACCTCAGCCTCCCGAGTATCTGGGTCTACAGGTGTGTGCCACCATGCCTGGCTAATTTTGGAGGTTTTTTGGTATGTATTTGCAGAAATGAGGTCTACTTATGTTGTCCAAGCTGGTCTCAAACTCCTGGGCTCAAGCAATCCTCCCACTTCAGCCTCCCAAAATGCTGGGATTATAGGCGTGAGCCACTGCACCCAGCTCAGGTCTGTCTTAAGTAGATTTGTCACTCTAAATTCCAAAATCTTTCCCTCCCATCAGGTCTACTTTTTGAAACAACTGGAGTTGTCCCATCTCAGTTTACATAAGTAAAATGACTCTTGACTCCGGCCCTCTTGTAGAGACCTTGAGCTGAATATGTTACTAGGTACCCACAGATGTGCACGTGGTTAAATACAGGATAAAGTGTGCAGCCAGATTGAGAGTCTTAGCCAAAGAGTGAGGGGGAAATGGGCAGGGCTGGCAGAGAGCCACCTATTGTTAGTTTGGTAAATAAACTGCTCTCCCCAAAAAAGGCTCTGGGTGTACTTCATATTGTTGTTAAATCACCAGGGAGAGGAAAGAGTAAAACAAAACACATTCTCAGATGAACAAAGAACGTAGTTAAGACAAACTCTGCCTAACACTGGTGCTTAATGATTCTCAGCTTGGATTGCACTTCTTCAGAGAAGGTGGAAGAGATGACATACTTCTCTGTTCTCTCATTGCTGTAAAACTCATGTCCAATACTGTTGGTACACACTCCCATTTTAATTTCTGTTTGTTACTAATGAAAAAGATCCTAATTTAATTGTTTCTCACTGTCCAAGTTAAGGTTGAGAATGGAAAAAAAAAATCCCAGGTCAAATAGCCTTCTGATGAGGTTGTTTTGTTTTTGTTTTGTTTTGTTTTGTTTTGTTTTTGAGATGGAGTCTCTCTCTGTCACCCAGGTTGGAGTGCAGTGGCGTGATCTCGGCTCACTGCAACCTCTGCCTCCCAGGTTCAAGCGATTCTCTTGCCTCAGCCTCCCAAGTAGCTGGGATTACAGGTGCCCACCACCCTACCCAGCTAATTTTTGTATTTTTAGTAGAGACAGGGTTTTACCATGTTGCCCAGGCTGGTCTCGAACTCCTAACCTCAGGTGATCCACCCATCTTGGCCTCCCAAAGTGCTGGGATTACAGGCGTGAACCACCGCGCCCAGCCTCTAATGAAGTTGTTAAGGTAAGAATTTATTAGCAAAGTGAACTTTAAATCATGTGTAAACTTTAATAATAGTTCATTCCACTGTGTGTTTCCTTGCTTCCTGGTTGTCAAATATTAATTCATACCCAGGATATATTATTTTAAAAATACGATATAGCCCCTAAAGCTTGCTGCAAATATCTATCCACCTCCTATTTCTTACAGTTCCTTGATTCAATGTCCTCTTAGTTTCTTGATCTGACTGTTCAGTTTCGTATTCTGAATTCTTGTGTTCCACGTTTAAAAACAAAAACAAAAACAAAAAAAAACAACAAAAAATGTGTGAGTATTCTTCTGTAGAAATGAGGTCTACATTGCAGCCTGATTCTGTAATAGTAATTGAAGAGTCAGTGTTACTTTTCTGTAAATGTTTCTTTGGCATCTCTGATTTATTTGGCTTCTGAAATCTAATTTCTTCCTCCTTCTTTGAAAAAGTAGGTCCCTTCCACTTGGTTTGTTGTGGTGAGCCCTGAGCAATGCCTGGAGATTGATCTTCCAGCAGACAGTGGAATGATTCCAGGAAGGTTTTAGCACCCGGCCTGTCTTTGCAGCTCTGCAGTCCTCAAAGTCTCCAAACTCTGATGCGAGCGTTCACATTTTCCTGTGCACAGGGACAAAACTACGAAGACTTTTTGCTGCAAAACGAAAACCCATTGGCTGATCTACCTTGTAACTGCTATCTACTTTATATACTCAAATAGCTGTGTTTAGGATCGAAATGATCAGGTCTGGAATATACTGCAGTAGATACTGCAATTCACAAGCAATTTTACAGAAGAAGCACCCAACCCCGACTCTAAACTATGTTTGCCTTTCCTCAAGAGTCACTTCTAAACTTTTTTTCACAACACACACTTTTCATAGTTGTAACCTTTCCATTTGGTGTTTTGTTTTGGGGTTTTTTGTCACTTAAAATAATCTAATCTACACGTTCCCCAGAGCCAGCAGAGGCTACATTCCTGTCATTTAAAATCATTTGCTGGTGTTTTCCTTATGTCACTATACCATAATTTGCTGGGCCATTTCCTTATTTGGTATTTGGATTATTTCCAATTCTTCACTCTTATAAATAGCGGCACATGAACATCTTTGCACAAGTTACATTTTTTCCCTTTTGGGTTATTTCCTTGGGGTGTATTCCCAAAACTGGTATTGCTGGGTCAAAGGTTTGAAAAGTTTCATAGCTCTTGTTACCCACTGCCAGAACGTTCTCCAGGCACATTGTGGCATGTTTGAGCATTTCAAATGTTTAAGTAGGTTTCCCACGACATAAAATAATATTAACCATCTTTTTTTTCTGATTTTTCCATAATCTTCATGAGGGAAGGAATTGCAAAATTTCAAAACAAAATAAAAATAAAGATGAAAAAGCGCTATTTCTGTAGCCAGAGATGAGCCCTTTTAGGCTAGCTTGATTGTAATGTCAACTGATGAGGATCTGAGACTGAGACAGTTTTCGGGAGAATTTAAACCCTACTAGTGGCAAGCAATTAGGAAAACTTGTTAAGAAGAGTAGATAGGGAGGTGAAAAATAATAAAAAAGGTTGCATTGTCTTTGCTCAGCTACCTTTAGGGTAATGTCCTCAGCAGAGAGAAAAATAAACTTTCTGTGCCTTTCAGATTCAGGTTATCCATTATGTTTAGGTGACTTCTAAGGATTGTGAATGCTTGCAGACCTTGATCTCCTCGGCTTAAGAACTGAAAGGTTTTTTGGTTTTGTTTTTGGTTTTTATTTTATTGTAACAGGGTCTCACTCTGTCACCCAGGCTGGAGTGCAGTGATGCAATCATGGCTCACTGCAGCCTCCACCTCCTGGGCTCAAGGGACCCTGCCGCCTTAACCTCCCAAGTAGCTGTGACCACATGCACCTGCCACCATACTGGGCTTTTTTTTTTTTGAGGCAGCGTCTCGTTCTGTTGCCCAGGCTGGAGTGCAGTGGTGGGATCTCGGCTCACTGCAACCTCCGCCTCCTGAGTTCAAGCGATTCTCCTGCCTCAGCCTCCCAAGCAGCCAGAATTACAGGCACCTGCCACCATGCCCGGCTAATTTTTGTATTTTTAGTAGAGACAGGGCTTCACCATATTGGCCAGGCTGGTCTTGAACTCCAGAGCTCAAATGATCTGCCTGCCTCGGCCTCCCAAAGTGCTGGGATTACAGGTGAGAGCCACCGCACTTGGCCTTCTACTCTGTTTTGAAAAAAATCAATTTTAAAAATGCAATGGTTCGCAATCAGCCTGGGCAACATAGTAAAACCCATCTCTACTTAAAATACAAAAAAATTAGCCAGGCTTGGTGGTGCACGCCTGTAATCCCAGCTACTCGGGAGGCTGAGGCAGGAGAATCATTTGAACCAGGGAGGCAGAGGTTGTAGTGAGCCGAGATTGTCCCACTGAGTGTCCAGTCTGGACAACACAGCAAGACACTGTCTCAAAAAAAAAAAAAAAAAAAAGCGCTGCGCACGGTGGCTCACGCCTGTAATCCCAGCACTTTGGGAGGCCGAGGCGGGCAGATCACGAGGTCAGGAGATCGAGACCATCCTGGCTAACACGGTGAAACCCTGTCTCTACTAAAAATACAAAAAATTAGCTGGGCATGGTGGCGGGCGCCTGTAGTCCCAACTGCTCAGGAGGCTGAGGCAGGAGAATGGCATGAACCCGGGAGGCGGAGCTTGCCGTGAGCCCAGATTGCGCCACTGCACTCCAGCCTGGGCGACAGAGCGAGACTCCGTCTCAAAAAAAAAAAAAAAAAAAAAAAAAAAGCAATGAATTTCTGTATATTCTTCATGTAAATCACCAACTACAGTATTCACATGTTGCCACATTGCTCTATCAATCTCTCGCTATATATGTGTACATATTCTTCGTTTTTGATCATTCGTTTCAGCAAAATTTACAGTCACCATGGCCTTCACTTCTAAATAATTTCATGTGTCTCCCAAAAGCAAGGACATTTTCTTACATAGCTACAACAACATGTGTTCTTTTATAAATGAACCTCAGTTTCAAAAAAAAAAACAACACTCAGTTTAAGAAAAACAAAAAATTAAAAATAAACTGAGGCAAATTAATTATTTTCTGTTTCAATATCTTGCACTCTGGGTTCAAAGACCTCCTTGCTCGCTGAGGCTCACCTGCCCTGCCTGCCGCTCGTCCATACCCCCAAGCTGTGGCCCATCCCTGCAGGGGAACATTCCGGAAGACCCTTGACTCCTTGGCTCTGCTGAGCCTCAGCTTCCTGCTGGGGCTTTGAATGTCTTAGTGCCAATCTACTCGTTTCCTTCCTTCTCTGACAGCCAACAAGTTGATCATTCAATTAACAGAACACTTAGATTACTGTCAACTTAAAGTTAACATCTTTATTACTGTAATAAGAAATTTTTAACTCTAAAGGTTTCAAATTATTTGTTCATAAAATCCCTTATGATTACCACTTATGTAAGCAGGGTCCATCTTTTAATTTAATAATTTTTCAGCTGGAACAATTCGTTCATTTCACAAGTATTTATCAAGCATCTGCTATATTCCAGACATTTCTGGAATTAAAATAGCTAGTATAGGCCGAGCGCGGAGGCTCACGCCTGTAATCTCAGCACTTTGGGAGGCCGAGGCAGATGGATCACCTGAGGTCAGGAGTTCAAGATCCGTCTGGCCAACATGGTGAAACCCTGTCTCTACTAAGTACAAAAAATTAGCCAAATGTGGTGGTGCATGCCTGTAATCCCAGCTACTTGGGAGGCTGAGGCAGGAGAATCACTTGAACCTGGGAGGCAGAGATTGCAGTGAGCTGAGATTGCGCCACTGCACTCCAACCTGGGTAACAAGAGTGAAACTCCTTTTCAAACAAAAAAAAATTTTTTTTTTTTGTAAAGACAAGGGCTCTCTATGTTGCCCAGGCTGGTCTTGAACACCTAGACTCAAATGATCCTCCTGCCTCAGCCTCTCAAAGTGCTAGGATTACAGGTGTGAGCCACCACACCCAGTTTAGGTTCTTAATATTTTACCCCAAACCTGGTCATCTCTACAATTCTGTATCTCAGTGAATGGTAAGTCCATCCATCCACACGCTATCTTCCTCCTTCCCATCCATCCTCCATCCATCAAATCCTCTTACTTTTACCCCTTAAATATCTCTAAAATCTGCCATTTCTTGCCATTTCTACTGCTGCCTACCCCAGATAAAAGTCACCACCATCAATGGCAATGGCCTGCAATGGCCTTCTTTTTTTCTTTTTTTTTTTTTGAGACGGAGTTTCACCTTGTTGCCCAGGCTGATCTTGGCTCACTGCAACCTCCGCCTCCCAGGTTCAAGTCATTCTCCTGCCTCAGCCTCCCAAGTAGCTAGGATTACAGGCCCATGTCACCACGCCCAGCTAATTTTTATATGTTTAGTAGAGACGGGGTTTCACCATGTTGGCCAGGCTGGCCTAGAACTTCTGACCACAGGTGATCTACCTGCCTCGGCCTCCCAAAGTTCTGGGATTACAGGTGTGAACCAACGAGTCCAGCTGCAATGGGCTTCGTAAATGTTCCCTGCATTCACTCTCGCCCTTTTCATATCCATTCACCAGAAGACTGATGGAGTGATCTTTTTAAACCCAAAATCTGATATCACACTCTTGCTTGAAACTTTTTAATGGATTATCACTGTTCTTAGGATATAAATCTTTATTATGAAAAACTTGGCCAGGCGCCGTGGCTCATGCCTGTAATTCCAGCACTTTGGAAGGCCGAAGAGATAGGATTGCTTGAGTCCAGGAATATAAGACCAGCCTGAGCAACGTAGTGAGACCCCCGTCTTTATTTTTTGCTTTTTTGTGTGTTTTTTCATTTCTGCTTTTTTTTTTTTTTTTTAAGACGGAGTCTTGCTCTGTTGCCCAGGCTAGAATGCAGTGGCTTAATCTCAGCTCACTGAAACCTCCACCTCCCAGGTTCAAGCAATTCTTCTACCTCAGCCTCCCGAGTAGCTGGGATTACAAGCACACACCACCACATATGGCTAATTTTTATGTTTTTAGTAGAGACTGGGTTTCACCATGTTGGTCAGGCTGGTCTTGAACTCCTGACCTTAAGTAATACACCCGCCTCGGCCTCCCAAAGTACTGAGATTACAGGAGTGAGCCACCCTGTCTGGTCTCACTTCTTTTTGTATCTTTTTCCTTCATCTTTTATTTTCTACCCATCTCTCCATTTTTAAATTAATACATACATAAATTTTAAAAAGGAAAAAAACTTGTACATGAATATTCAGAGCAGGATTATTCATAATAGCTAAAAAGCAGAAACAACCTGAATGTCCATCAACTAATGATAAATAAACAAAATATAGCCTAGCCATAGAGTGCAATATTATTTGGCCATGGAAGGAATGAAGTATGAATACATGCTAGAGTGTGGATGAACCTTGAAAACATTATACTAAGTGAAAGAAGCAAGGCACAAAAGATCACATACCATATAATTCCATTTATAGAAATGTCCAGAATCGGCAAATCCATAGAGACAGAAAGTAGATTGGTGGTTGCCTAAGGCTAGATGTTTGGGGGAAATGGAGAGTGACTGCTGAAGGCTGCAGGGTTTTTTTTTTAGGGTGACGAAAATGTTCTCAAATTGACTGTGGTTATGTACAACTCTGTGAATATACTAAAAACCAATGAATTGTATTTTTTTCTTTTTTTAATTTCTTTCTTTTTTTTTTTTTTTTTTGAGAGAGTCTCACTCTATTACCCAGGCTGGAGCACGGTGGCATGGTCATAGCTCACTGCAGCCTCAACCTCCTGGGCTCAAGAGATCCTCCCAACTTAGCCTCCAGAGTAGTTGGGAATACAGGTAGATACCACAATGCCTGGGTAACTTTTTAATTTTTCATAGAGATGAAGTTGCACTGTGTTGCTCAGGCTGATCTCAAACTCCTGGCCTCAAGCAATCCTCCCACCTTGGCTTCCCAAAGTGCTGGGATTATAGGCATGAGCCACCATGCCCGGCTGAATTGTACATTATTTATTTATTTTATTTTATTTTTTTGAGACAGAGTTTTGCTCTCATCCCCCAGGCTGGAGTGCAATGGTGTGATCTCAGGTCACTGCAACTTCCGCCTCCCAGGTTCAATCAATTCTCCTGCCTCAGCCTCCCGAGTAGCTGGGATTACAGGCACCCACCACCACACCAGGCTAATTTTTATATTTTTAGTAGAGATGGCGTTTCACAATGTTGGCCAGGCTGGTCTCAAACTCCTGACTTCAAGTGATCCACCCACCTTGGCCTCCCAAAGTGCTGGGATTACAGGTGTGAGCCACCGCACCCCAGCCACAGCATTTCTTTTCTTTTCTTTTCTTTTTTTTTTCTTTTTGAGATGGAGTCTCTCTCTGTTGCCCCAGACTGGAGTGCAGTGGCGCAATCTCAGCTCACTGCAACCTCCACCTCCTGGATTCAAGTGATTCTCCTGCCTCAGCCTCCCAAGTAGCTGGGATTACAGGCATGTGCCACCATACCCAACTAATTGTATTTTTAGTAGAGACGGGGTTTCAGTATGTTGGCCAGGCTGGTCTTGAACTCCTGGCCTCAAGTGATCCACCTGTCTCTGCTTCCCAAAGTGCTGGGATTACAGGCATGAGCTACCTCAACTGGCTACCAAATTGTGCATTTTAAATGTGTGAATTTTGTGGTGTGTGAATTATATCTCAATAATGCTCTTACCAAAAAAAAAAAAATCTTTATATGGCCTCTGAAAGCTTACCTCAGCTGGACCTTGTCTACCGCACCTCACCTGGTCTCCTTCACCTCATTCCACAAAGCACAGCCAATGTCATCTTGGTTCCTCCAATGCAACACACTCCAGCCCTCCTCCGAGCTTGGGCTTTTACACACCCCCCTTCTTAGAACACTCTTCTGCCTCTTCACATAATTCAGTCCTCCACATTGGTATCACTTTCTCAAGGAAGCCTCCCTGCCCACCCACCATGAGTCATGATCAAGTTCCTCTTCTGGGCCTGCCAAAGCACCCCTTTTACTTTGCTCTCTACCAAACGTCACTTTGTGATTATTTGGATCATGTCCGTCTTCCCCACTAGACTAGGCCCCATGAGTGCAGCTCCATGCCTGCTTTGCTCACTCTTGCACTTAAACCCTGTGCCTAGCCCTGGCCTAACACATGAGGAGGACTCCAGATATCTTGGTTGAATAATAAATGAGCAATATATTACTGTTTGCCCCTAACTTGGAAAACAAATGATAGGTTCAACAATTCTAGAGCTCCACAAATGACTCAGCAAAAACATGTTCGGAGGCACTCCCAACGTGAAATTAGAAGGTTGGAAACTCAGAGGACGGGACAGGCTTAGATAGAAACATTGGCCTCTTCCCAGGTAAGTTCTCCCCAGGAGGTGGGGAGCAAACTCTCTGAGCAGCCAGTTACAGGGAACTCATGACTAAGCTCTGTTGCTGTTTATCAAGATACACACTGACTCTCAGAAGTTCTAGCGTGAACCAAATCCTGCTTCAACCCCATGGGCTTTCAGTGTAGGACTTTTTCTTTTTGTTGGTGATCACACACCCTACTGGTGGCTTAACCAATTACATTGCCTCAGCCCCTGTGACACTCCAGCTCCGCGTCCCCTTTATGATGCTTCAAATATCATAAAAGCAGAGAAAAATCATATGTCATATATCAGAAAATCATATATCAACTTTTTTTTATTTTGAGGTCTTTCACACACTGAACTTATTTTAATCATAATTGTCAATTATAAATAAACATAATTACTATGTTCCTTTTTTGATGTCAAATTGTTGCAATTTGGACAGTGGCTTCCTTATCCTTCTACCATTGCTGGCCTAAAATCCTTGTGTTCTAGGCCCATTCCAAATTTTCCTTGTTCCAAGACACAGAATCAGCCACCCACTAAGAAGTCTCATTTCCTTTTGATGGGTGCACGAGAGTGGGAGGTTAGCAGAAGAAATGCTGTTAATGGGCTAGGTGCAGTGGCCTAGCCTGTAATCCCAACACTTTGGAAGGCTGAGGCAGGAGGATCACCTGAGGTCAGGAGTTCGAGACCAGCCTGGCCAACATGGGGAAACCCCATATCTACTAAAAATACAAAAAATTAGCTGGGCGTGGTGGTGTGTGCCTGTAATCCCAGCTACTCAGGAGGCTGAGCCAGGAGAATTGCTTGAACCCAGGAGGCGGAGGTTGCAGTGAGCTGAGATCATGCCACTGCACTCCAGCCTGGGCAACAGAGAGAGACTTCATCTCAAAAAGGAAAAAAAAAAAAAGAAGAAGGAAAAGAAATGCTGTGGCCAGGGCATGGTGGCTCACGCCTGTAATCCCAGTACTTTGGGAGGCTGAGGCAGGTGGATCATGAGGTCAGGAGCTCAAGACCAGCTTGGCCATTATGGTGAAACCCCATCTCTACTAAAAATACAAAAATTAGGCAGATGCCTATAATCCCAGCTACTCAGGAGGCTGAGGGAGGAGAATCACTTGAACCTGGGAGGCAGAGGTTCAGTGAGCCAAGATTGAGCCACTACAGTCCAGCCTGGCAACAGAGCGAGACTCCATTTCAAAAAAAGAAAAAAGAAAAAGAAAAAGAAATGCTGTTAATGAACTGTATTTTAGGGTCAGAGCCAGGAAATTATATTTCTCTTAAAGCTTATGGGTTCACAATAATGTTTCCAATTGAACTCTATGTTGTAATTTTTTATTCAATATAAAATATTTTCAGGCCAGGCCCGGTGGCTCATGCCTGCAATCCCAACACTAGAAGGCAAGACGGGAGAATTGCTTGAGACCCAGAGTTCAGGACCAGCCTGGGTAACATACCGCAACCCCCTCTCTATAAAAGAAAAAAAAGATATAATTGTTTTCATTTATTTTATCTGCAATATTCCTGCATAGAGATTTAATCTTCACCCTCACTATAATTGCATTTCCTTTACTAGCCCTCATTTGCCTTGCCAACCGCCATTATACCGTCCCTTTGCTGATGGTGATGTCTGTTGGCTTGGTCTCCTTGTTCTGGTTGACCAGACTATCCTCCTGTTATAAACAGCAGGAAACACAACCCCAAAACACACATACACACACACTGGAAGCCTACATGAATTTCACATGCATCGTTTGAGGCAGCCTCCTGAGAGCCAGTCATCCTTCCAAGACAGTGACTGCTTCGGGAGTAAAATCATAACTGAGAGAGTCTCAGGGAACTTTGTTGTTGTTTTACTGAGTTGACATTTGGGAAGTTTAAGGTCTTTATTGCTCTGACAGAGTATTTTAACTTAATTTTTTTTGTTGAGACAGAGTCTTGTTATGATGCTCAGGTTGCTCTCGAACTCCTGGGCTTGAGTGATCCTCCTGCCACAGCCTCCTGAGCAGCTAGGATTACGTAGGTGCACGTCACCATACCTGGCTCTTTATCTTGCTTTTTGTCATTAGAAAAGTATCACACAAATGAATTACAAAGAAGATCATTTCATTCAGAAATGTTGGAAACTACTGAAAAGTATAAAGATGAAACTAAAAATCACTCCAATCTCATCATCCAGAAATAACTGAGGGCCAAGGCACAGTGGCTCGCATGTGTAATCCCAGCACTTTGGGAGGCTGAGGCAGGAGGATCACTTGAGCCCAGGAGTTCAAGACCTGCCTGGGCAATATAGGGAGACTCTATCTCTACAAAAAAACACAAAAATACGAAATTACAAAAGAAACAAATAACTGAAGCTAACATTTTGAAAAAAGAAGTAGGCCGGGCGTGGTGGCTCACGCCTGTAATCCCAGCACTTTGGGAGGCCAAGGTGGGCTGATCACCTGAGGTCAGGAGTTCAAGACCAGACCGACCAATGTGATGAAACCCCGTCTCTACTAAAAATACAAAAATTAGCTGGGCATGGTGGCACATGCCTGTAATCCCAGTTACTCGGGGACTGAGACAGAAGAATCACTTGAACCTGGGAGGCAGAGATTGCAGTGAGCCGAGATCGCACCATTGCACTCCAGCCTGGGCAACAAGAGTGAAACTCCATCTCAAAAAAAAAAAAAAAAAAAAGAATACTGAGAATATGAAAAACCTTTTTTTTTCTAGATCCATCAATGCCTCTTGAAGAGAGTATCAAAAATCAATATGAAACTGAAAGAGCTACTGAACTGCAGACAAAAATTTCATCAGATACATCAGAGATTTCTCTAAAGGTTAAAAAGAAACGTGAGAAATATTAAAAGTCAATTGCCTGGTGTGGTGGCTTGCACCTATAATCCCAGCTACTTGAGAGGCTGAGGCAGAAGAATCCTTTGAGCCCAGAAGTTAGAGTTTACAATAAGTTCTGATTGCACTACTGCACTCCAGCCTGGGCCACAAGACAAGAAGACTCTGTCTCAAAAAAAAAAAAAAAAAAAGAGTCAGTTGTACTATTCTGCTTTGTGGTTTTGTGTATTAATCTGCAATTTATAGAGTTTTAATGAAAAGTCATCAGTGTTGGTAGAATGCTGATTTAAATGTATTTATGAGAAAATGTCACCTTGTCACCTGAGTTAAAACACACAATCAAAATGGCAGGGTGAAAACTGTGGACTCCAAAGTTCATGCTTTCACTAATTTCTTTTCTTTTTAAAAAAACATTTTTGGCCGGGCGCAGTGGCTCACGCCTGTAATCCCAGCACTTTGGGAGGCCAAGGTGGATGGATCACAAGGTCAGGCGATTGAGAACATCCTGGCTAAAACAGTGAAACCCCATCTCTACTAAAAATACAAAAAAATTAACCAGGTGTGGTGGCGGGCGCCTGTAGTCCCAGCTACTCGAGAGGCTGAGTCAGGAGAATCTCTTGAACCCGGGAGTTGGAGGTTACAGTGAGCTGAGATCGTTGCCACTGCACTCCAGCCTGGGTGAGAGAGCAAGACTCAATTGCAAAAAAAAAAAAAAACCTGGCAGGTAACTGTGTTTTGTTTTATTCTTAACTAATGTTTCTTTTTTTCTTAATCCAGTGAAATTTAGCAATGGGGGGTTGTATACCAACTTTAGTGACACTAATGTTAATAAGTTCTGATGACCCACTACCATCGGACCAGCCTAATGTTTCTTAATGAGAAACATTTCTTTCTGGGTGGTTAAACTTAATCAACCGTCCCATAAAAACAAGAAGACTCCTCTGCTGCCTAACTAAACAATCAAAAAACCAATTTTTTAATTTAAAAAAAAGGTTTAAGATTCAAGCCTACTTTTAGGCTCATCCTCTAAGAGAAATGAGTAAGCAAAGGCTGAGCTATAATCACAACATCCAGAGCTGCACTCAGTCCTGAAGCACCAGAACACACACATGGGCTGCCTGAGCTCCTCAAGTGCCCCTGCTGCCGCCACTGTTACCAGAAAGAAAAAAATGAGGTTGGTTCGCCTGGCAAGTAACAAACGACTTGCCATGAGAACACAGGGTTTTTTGTTAGTTTTTTTTGTTTGTTTTGGGGGTGGGGGGGTTTGAGACAGAGTCTCACTCTGTTGCCCAAGCTGGGGTGCAGTGGCGTGATCTCGGCTCACTGCAACCTCCACCTCCTGGGTTCAAGCGATTCTCCTGCCTCAGCCTCCCGAGTAGCTGGGATTACAGGCATGTGCCATCACACCTGGCTAATTTTGTATTTTTAGTACAGATGGGGTTTTGCCATGTTGCCCAGGCTGGTCTTGAACTCCTGACCTCAGGTGATCCACCCGCTTCAGCTTCCCAAAGTATTAGGATTACAGGCATGAGCCACCACGCCTGTTCGGAGAACGCAGGTTTTGATCAGTAGGAGTTTTACTCGGCACAAGTAAGGAGGACACTGGGCGTGTTCTCCAAAGCAGTGTCTCCCCGAGGGAAAGTAACAGAAAGGTTTTCCAGGGTGATAGAAATGGGAGAGGGTGCATCATCGCTAGTAGAGGAGGGGTCCCAATTGTCCAGATGCAGTGAGGCATCATGCCAGCCCATAGGTTACACGTGATGGTAATGAAGCCGTTGCTCCTGCTGGGGTGCAGACTCTAGCACAGTCATGAGGAAAGTTCACTCTGGTTCCTCTATGAGTTGGGGTCTGTCAGGAGCTGGTTCCAACAAACAAGGGGACCACATTCCACACAGGGTTTAGGGAAAACAGGCTGCAGGGCGGGAGGCTGTAGAACTGGCTGATTGCTCAAGTTGACTAAACCCCTATAATCCTTGGAGACCCTTCCTGTCTGCTTACAGCACCTCCCCATTCCCCCAACACGGCCACAGCAATGAAGGGCCCAGCAAGGCACCCCCAGAACCTTGTTCCAGCCCCAGCAGAGCATCCTTCACTCCTCTCTTTCCCTCGCTCCTCCCTTCAATCATCAAGTATGTCCAAAACCCACTCCTCCCCCAGATCCGAGTCTCCATCTCCTCTCACCAGGATTACAGTGCCAGCCTCCAAACAGATGCCGCCTCCTCTACTCCCTCCTTTGCCTCCCCCTACAGTCTCTCAACACAGCAGCTGTGCTGATTACTTGAAAATGAGGGCCTGGTGCGGTGGCTCACGCCTGTAATCCCAGCACTTTGGGAGGCTGAGGCAGGTGGATCACCTGAGGTCGGGAGTTCGAGACCAGCCTGAGCAACATGGAGAAACCCCATCTCTACTAAAAATACAAAATTAGCTGGGCGTGGTGGTGCATGCCTGTAATCCCAGCTACTCGGGAGGCTGAGGCATGAGAATCGCTTGAACCCAGGAGGTGGAGGTTGTGGTGAGCCGAGATTGCACCACTGCACTCCAGCCTGGGCAATAAGAGCAAAACTCCATCTCAAAAAAAAAAAAAAGAAAGAAAGAAAGAAAGAAAAGAACGTCAGACACTGGCCTTGTGCTTAAAACCTTTCATGGGGTGGGATCTCACTCACAGTAAGAGTTGTAACCTTACAGGGGCCCACAAGACCCCTTTCTCTCTAACTTCATCTCCTCCCACTGTTCCCTGCAGCCCCCACTCAGCCCCTCCAGCCCCTGCGGTCCCTGGTGAAGGCCAAGCACACTCCAGCCATAGGGCCTTGGCCCTGCCCACCCCTCCAGTGTTCTACCCCCAGATACCTGTTTGCCTGATGCCCTCATCTCTGGCAAGTCTCTGCTTATTTCTCAGTTCCCTCCCCTCCCATCCACTCCCCTCCCCTCCCCTCCCCTCCTCTTCCCATCGTCTTTCCCTCCCCTCCCTCCCTCCTTTCCTTCCTTCCTTCCTTCCTTCTTTCTCTTTCTTCTTTCTCTCTTTCTTTCTCTTTCTTTCAAAGGAGTTTAGCTCTTGTTGCCCAGGCTGCAGTGTAATGGCACAATCTTGGTTCACTGCAACCTCCGCCTCCCAGCTTCAAGCGATTCTCCTGCCTCAGCCTCCCGAGTAACTGGGTTTACAGGTGCCCACCACCATGCCCGGCTAATTTTTTTGTATTTTTAATAGAGACGGGGTTTCACCATGTTGGCCAGGCTGGTCTTGAACTCCTGACCTCAGATGATCCTCCCACCTTGGCCTCCCAAAAGTGCTGAGATTACAGGCATGAGCCACAGCACCTGGCTTTTTTTTTTTTTTGAGTTTCACCGTTTTTTGGGGGTCTCACTGTCGCTCAGGCCGGAGTGCAGTGGTGCAATCACAGTTCACAGCAGGCTAGGCTTAAGTGATCCTCCCATCTTAGCCTCCAGAGTACCTGGGACTGTAGGTGCACACCACCACACCTGGCTAATTTTTTTTGTATTTTTTTTTTTAGAGATGAGGTTTTGCCATGTTGCCCAGGCTGGTCTCAAACTCCTGGGCTCAAGCGATCAGCCTCAGCCTCCCAAAGTGCTAGGATTACAGGCATGAGCCACTGACCCCAGCCTGTTTCTGTTTCTTAATGAGATCTTCCAGGACCACCCTATTTAAAATTTCAACCCACCCTACTACCTTCCTCTCCACACTCCTACTTCCTGGATTCCCAATTCTCCTTCCCTTCCCTTCTACTTTTCCTTTTATGTCCCCCTTAGTGCTTATCACTTTTTAACACAATGTATAATGGCGGGGCAAAGTGGCTCACGCCTGTAATCCCAGCACTTTGGGAAGCCGAGGTGGGCAGATTACCTGAGGCCAGGAGTTCCAGACAGTGTGGCCAACATGGGGAAACCCCTGTGCTCTACTAAAAATATGGAAATTAGCTGGGTGGTGATGCACACCTGTAATCCCAGCTACTCAGGTGGCTGAGGCACAAGAATCACTTGAACCTGGGAGGCGGGGGTTGCAGTGAGCCAGGATCACACCACTGTAATCCAGCCTGGGTGATAGAGGGAGCCTCCGTCTCAAAAAAAAACCAACATAATGTATCACTTGTTATGTGTACTGTTTATTCTGAGTGCCTGCATCACTAGAACATAAGCTCTACTAGGAAGGGAATTGTTGTTTTGTTCACTAATGTATCCGCTGGCACATGGTAGGCACTCGATATATATTTGTTGAAATTGGTCAATGCTCATGCCACAGCAATTGGTAAATAATTTGAATATATTGCCTGAAAATATCCTATAAAACTATCCTATAAAAGATAGTCAAAGGAAAAAGAAACAATGAAGCACATCATGGACAAATGATTGTGGTTAGCAACAATCAACTCTTTACATTCAAAATGATTATACAGGTCTGGCACAGTGGCTAATGGCTGTAATCCCAGCAGTTTGGGAGGCCAGGGTGGGTGGATCACCTGAGGTCAGGAGTTCAAGACCAGCCTGGCCAACATGGTGAAACCCCATCTCTACTAGAAATACAAAAATTAGCCAGGAGTGATGGTGGGCGCCTATAATCCCAGCTACTTGGGAGGCTGAGGCAGAAGAATCACTTGAACCTGGAAGGCAGAGGTTGCAGTGAGCCAAGATCGCACCACTGCACCCAGTCTCAAAAAAAAAAAAAAGAAAAAAAAAGATTATACATAAAATCAGAGTATCTGTCCGTCCCACTGCTCCTGCCAACCTTGCCTTACCTAACTGCAGGCAGCTTGCCTTTGTTGGTGTAGGAAGTGTACTGCTCCTGCTTCATTAATTCTCAAATTCATTTCAAAATCATAGATTGCTGGCCAGGCGCAGTGGCTCATGCCTGTAATCCCAACACTTTGGGAGGCTGAGGTGGGTGGATCACTGAGGCCCAATGAGGGCAACATATGAGCAAAGCTGGGCTGCAAAGACTGGCTTCTGTTGGCATCAGCAGTCGCCTGGGCTATAAACATTGACAAGATTCTCAACACAAACAAAACAGAGATACTGGTAGACAAACAGCAAACAAACAATATTTGATTTGATTCGATTTGTTGGATGAACTCCAGCAAAATAAGAGAACAATTCAAGAAAGAGGAATATATAGGATATAGGAAAGAGTGAAACTGACCGAAGACTGCCGATAAAGACATTGCAACATAACAGCTGCTTTACGTGATGATGAATGTTGAAGTCCTCAGTGAGCTGCAGGCCTTAAGTCTTGTCTTCTGGCCGGGCGCGGTGGCTCATGCCTATAATCCCAGCACTTTGGGAGGCCGAGGTGGTTGGATCACTTGAGGTCAGGAGCTCGAGACCAGCCTGGCCAACACGGTGAAACCCCGTCTCTACTAAAAATACAAAAATGAGCCAAGCATGGTGGTGGACGCCTGTAATCCCATCTACTCAGGAGGCTGAGAATCGCTTGAACCCAGGAGGCAGAGGTTGTAGTGAACCGAGATCGCACCACTGTACTCCAGGCTAGGTGACAGGGCAAGACTATGTCTCAGAAAAAAAAACAAAAAAAGAGAAATCTCCGGTTTGGCTAGAATGATGGAGTTAAATGCACAAAATATCAAGCATCAATTTAATTGGAGAAGAACTGAAACTCGTCAAAAATAGAGATGATAATTTCCAGAAGGCCATAGCTTGTCCCTTGATTTCCTGCTTGTGTTTTGGGAAACGCCATATTCCACATCCCATGGGCAAGTCATCAGAAGCCACAAGGGCACAGGACAACCAGAAGCCTCCTTTCAGGCTGGCTGAATGAGGGGCTCTTTAATCTTTTTCTTCTGGCGGAGGCCTTGGCAGCCACAGGCTCACAGCACCCTCTGCTGTTAAATTGCAAAGGATGGTGCCTGAGTTTTGAGACTGAGACTGCTAAAGGATTCTGGTCTGGGGCAGGAAGAAAATTACATGAGCCAGAGATATTCAAAATTGTTTTAATATCTCTAAATAAGTAAATAAAGAGCCAGGTGTGGTGGTGCCCAGTTACAGTCCTGGCTACTCGAGAGGCTGAGGTGAGAGGATCGCTTGAGCCCAGGAGTTTGAGGCCAGCCTGGGCAACATAGCAGACTCCGTCTCTATAAAAAATAAATGGGGCTCATGCCTGTAATCCCAGCACTTTGGGAGGCTGAGGTGGGAGGATTGCTTGAGGCCAGGAGTTCAAGACCAGCCCGGGCAACAGAGAGAGTCCTTATCTCCACAAAAAAAAAAAAACTTTTAAAATTAGCCGGACATAGTAATGTGAGCCTGTAGTTTCAGCTACTCCGAGGGCTGAGGCAGGAGGATAGATGGAGCCCAGGAGTTCAAGGATACAGTGAGCTACGTTGTGCCACTGCACTCCAGCCTGGGTGACAGAGCAAGACCTCATGTCAAAAAAATGTTTAATGTTCTTAATTGATTAATGTTTTAAAAAATTGTTTCATGCAAAACCTCAGGATGGATTAATTTTGCTGGTGACAGGTAGCAATGATAAAGCAAAGAAAAATTATGCAGCTAAACTTTTTCACCAAGGCAGATTTTCAGCCTTTTCCAAGCCAAGTGGAAATCCCCAATTCACCCCCACCAAGGTTCCAAAATCAGGAAAAACACACTTTCTAGCAGTGTTAGTGAAACTCATGTAACACTGTCTCCATCGAGATCGAGCCCTGAGTAACAAAAAGCAGGAGACAAACAGGCTTAGAATTATATGTAGGGGATTAGGGGCATAGCTTTCAGACCCCATAGGGAATAAACCTCTAGCTTTTCAGTTCCAGCATTTTGATATGCCTACCTGCCCTAACAGAGGTAAAATTAGAGGCTACATGGCAACATTACAATGGAAGGTTTTTACTTCTATTTATAACTTGCTTATTTGGTTATTTTTCCTTACCAAAAGCACAAGACAGCCTCAATATCCTTAAATACCCCAAGTCCTAAAATTACTTATTTAACCCTGAGAGATCTAGTTTATAAGATAGAACAGCTATCAGCCATGTACCATTTGTATGCTCTTTTTTTTTAAGTCAATCAATTTTTATTCAAGGAATTCCATTTGTGTTGTGATTTCTTCCACTGTCCATCAAGGTCACTTTAGATCTTCTAAAGATCTGGAGTCAAAAGATTTATCTTCAAGTTAGCCCTTTTTAATGAAACTGATGCTTATTTTAATCCAGTTGTCCTGTCAGCCCATAATTTTTTTTTTTTTTTTTTGCTTCTGTCATCTCCTTTTAATATGGATATACTGAAGAAGACTTCAAAATTCACCAAGAATCTTTGGGATCTAATTTCTTTTTTTTTTTTTTTTTGAGACGGAGTCTAGCTCTATTGCCAGACTGGAGTGCAGTGGCATGATCTTGGCTCACGGCAACCTCCGCCTCCCAGGTTCAAGTGATTCTCTTGCCCCAGCTTCCCGAGTAGCTGGGATTACAGGTGTGCCCCACCACACCCAGCTAATTTTTGTGTTTTTAGTAGCTAAGGGGTTTCACCATGTTGGCCAGGATGGTCTCAATCTCTTGACCTCGTGATCCGCCTGCCTTGGCGTCCCAAAGTGCTGAGATTACAAGTGTGAGCCACCGCGCCTGGCCACAGGATCTAATTTCTTCAACCAATTTACTTTAAGGTCATTTTTAGTGTAGGTGGATCTGCCTGATTCTCAATTTGACACCCTCTCTAAACATGAATTTAGTTCAAATCATATTCATTCCTAAGCGATCGCACTCAAGAATAGTACAGATGTGTGGAATATGCCAATACCTTTAACTCCAGACATCATGCTCTCAAGATAAAAGCCTTTAAAACAAAAAGCCATCCTATGTATCAAGTCAACATGAAATTGGAATATAAAATTAATACAACTGAGGATTTCCCTCGTATCCCATGCTGTTTAACTATCTATTCTACAGTCCTAGAATAAACTTTGTTTTTTTTTGTTTTTTTTTTTTTTTTGTTTTGAGACGGAGTCTCGCTCTGTTGCCCAGGCTGGAGTGCAGTGGTGCAATCTCGGCTCACAGGAAGCTCCACCTCCCGGGTTCACGCCCTTCTCCTGCCTCAGCCTCCCAAGTAGCTGGGACTACAGGCTCCTGCCACCATGCCCGGCTAATTTTTTGTTTTTTTAGTAGAGACAGGTTTTCACCGTGTTAGCCAGGAAACTTTTTTTTTAAATTAAGAGACACGGTCTGTCTTTGTTACCTAGGCTGGGGGTACAGTGGTGCCATCAAAGGTCAGTGCAGCCTCTGACTCCTGGGCTCAATCCTCTTTCCTTAGCCTCCCCTTCCTGAGTAGCTGCAACTACAGACACATGCCCTGATATCCAGCTAATTTTTAAATTTTTGTGGAGATGAGGTGTTACTTTCTTGCCCAGGCTGATCTTGAACTCCTGGCTTAAAGCAATACTCCCACCTCAGTGTGGGCATTGCAGGCATGAGCCACTGTGCCTGGCCTGGAACCAACCTTTATGGCTATCAATACTCCCATCAGTTAACTGTCTCAGGTATCAAAATATCCCTTCCTGTATGTATCAAAACTCATGCTGAACAATGAGTTCTGGGTTGCAAAAGAGGATTTATTTGTTGCACCTATCCATAAGTCTTTGTCCACAAGTTAAACAAAAACATACATAAGTGCAGCGTGTGCTCTTTTTAAGTACATTAGTAGACATACTACTGAGAGGCCACACTGCACGGGGTTAGGTAAGTGGACTCTGGAGCCAGATTGCTAGTTCAAAGATGTGCCCTTCCATTTACTAAGTGACTTTAGGCAAACTCCTTCTCTTGGTGTCTCAGTATCCTCAGCTGTGAAATGGGGATGACATTAAGACCGATTTCGGCCGGGCATGGTGGCTCAAGCCTGTAATCCCAGCACTTTGGGAGGCCGAGGCGGGTGGATCACGAGGTCGGGAGATTGAGACCATCCTGTCGAACACGGTGAAACCCTGTCTCTACTAAAAAACAAGAACTTAGCCGGGCGTGGTGGCGGGCACCTGTAGTCCCAACTACTTGGGAGGCTGAGGCAGGAGAATGACGTGAACCCGGGAGGCGGAGCTTGCAGTGAGCCGAGATCACGCCACTGCACTCCAGCCTGGGTGACAGAGTGAGACTCCATATCAAAAAAAAAAAAAAAAAAAAAGACCTATTTCATGGGGGTTGTTATGACGATTAAATGAGTTAATTTTTATAATGTGCTCAGAACAACGCCTGGGAGAACTATATAAGTGTTGATTTAATGCCAACCAATAATTAAATGATGCCAAACAATAATACAATAAAAATTACACGATGGTTTGAAGTCGGCTTTTCACTATTTAGACTTGCAACTGACAGACGTTTTTTGTTTTGTTTTGTTTTGTTTTGTTTCGTTTCCAGATGGAGCTTCGCTTTTGTTGCCCAAGAATAGGAGTGCAGTGGTGTGATCTTGGCTCGCTGCAACCTCCGCCTCCTGGGTTCAAGCGATTCTTCAGCCTCAGCCTCCCAAGTAGCTGAAATTACAGACGCCCGCCACCACACCGGCTAAATTTTGTATTTTTAGTAGAGACGGGGTTTCGCCATGTTGGCCAGGCTAGTCTTGAACTCCTGACCTCAGGTGATCTGTCCACCTCAGCCTCCCAAAGTGCTGGGATTACAGGTGTGAGCCACTGCGCCTGGCCTTGACAGAGGTTTTTATTAATCATAACTTCTTGTTTGTCTTCATGAGGTCTCTTTCAGGCTGTTATGCCTTGGTCACCCTCTTCTGCTGAGGTCTAACAAAGGGCTTACTTTCTGCTAAGGGGAAGAAAAGTTGGCCTCATGGGGTCAGAAGAAATGGTTTAACAGTGGTGGAAGAGGCTCTTAGAGTGTAAAGTGACGCAAGCAAGTTTCATGTCAGTCTTATTCTTTGCTTCTTTGTAGCTGCCACATAAAAGGTGCCCAACATATGTATGGTTCATTGATGAATCCAGTAACCCCAAGACAATGGTCATCTTCTGTGGCTGGCAGACAATTCACAGCTCTGGAATTTCTATAAAGAAAAGGCTAGGATGGGCATGGTGACTCACGCCTGTAATCCCAGCACTTTGGGAGGCCAAGGCAGGTGGATCACGAGGTCAGGAGTTCGAGTCCAGCCTGGCCAACATAGTGAAACCCCATCTCTACTAAAAATACAAAAATTAGCCGGGCGTGGTAGTACACACCTGTAGTCCCAGCTACTTGGGAGGCTGAGGCAGGAGAATTGCTTGAACCCAGGAGGCGGAGGTTGTGGTGAGCTGAGATTGCACCACTGTACTCCAGCCTGGGCAACAGAGCAAGATTCCATCTCAAAAAAAAAGGAGAGAAAAGGCTGAAGTCCGGGTGCAGTGGCTCATGCCTGTAATCTCAGCACTTTGGGTATGTTTGCTTGTTTGTTTGTTTGACATGGAGTCTCACTCTGTGACCCAGGCTGGAGTGCAGTGACATGATCTTGGCTCACTGCAACCTCCACCTCCCGGGTTCAAACGATTCTCCTGCCTCATCCTCCTGAGTAGCTGGGACTACAGGTGCGCACCACAATGCCCGGCTACTTTTTGTATTTTTAGTAGAAATGGGGTTTCACTATGTTGGCCAGGCTGGTCTTGAACTCCTGACCTCAAGCGATCCTGCTGCCTCGGCCTCCCAAAGTGCTGGGATTACAGGCATGAACCACTACACCCGGCCATAATCTCAGCACTTTGGGAGACTGAAGCAGGAGGATTACTTGAACACAGTTCTAGACCAGCTTGGGCAACATAGTGAGACCCCTGTCTCTACAAAAATTTTAAAAATTAGGCGAATGCGGTGGCATATGCTTGTAGTCCCAACTACTCAGGCAGCTGAGGCGGAAGAATTGCTTGAGTCCAGGAGATCAAGGCTGCAGTGAGACACGATCACATCACTGTACCCTGTACTCCAGCCTGGGTGACACAGCGAGACCCTGTCTCAAAAAAAAAAAAAGAGGGGGGCTTATGCATGGCCATGTGGTTGGAAGGGAAACCAGCAGACTTCCATCAAGTAAAGAAAAATATCAAGCTTTTAAAGAATTAAAGTTAACTTTATTCAGAAGTCTTGCTGAAGACTATAGATTGAGGCCTCTAGCCTAGGAGCAGGCTCTGGCCCAGTGTTTCAGATCCCTGCTTATATATAGGGGTGGAGGTTCTGTATGTGCAAAATCCCATCAGACTTGCTCAGAATTACATGAAAGCAGAATCACAGCAAGATTTGTGTGTCAGAGTACATCTGGTCCTAGATCACAGAGGCATCATCACTAACCCCGTCAGATGTCATCTTATGTATAGGAAAAGCCAGGGATTAAGGCCATTCTTTTTTTTTTTTTTTTTTTTTTTTTTTTTGAGACAGGGTCTCACTCCATCACCCAGGCTGGCATGCAGTAGCACAATCATGGCTCACTGCAGTCTCAACCTCCCCAGGTTCAGGTAATCCTCCCACCTCAGCCTTCCAAATAGCTGAGACTACAGGTGCACACCACCACGCCCAGCCAATTGTTGTATTTTTTTGTAGAGATGAGGTTTTGCCATGTTGCCCAGGCTGGAGGTCATTCATCTTTTAAGGAATGCAGTGACTCCGGCAAGAGGACAAGAGACATGGGGGCTGTGTATTCTGTTTTGTTGTCTTCAAAGCATCTTTCTGGAGAGCTGCAGGTCTTCACAGAGTCAGAAGCTTTGGAAAATTATGCTGGCAAGCAGAAATGGGCAAACATAGCTTATGTTTGCTACTTGGTCTCACACTTGTCTAAAAACTTGTGTTGCTGGCTGGGTGCAGTGGCTCATGCCTGTAAACCCAGCACTTTGGGAGGCCAAGGCAGGTGGATCATGAGGTCAGGAGACTGAGACCATCCTGGCTAACACAGTGAAACCCCGTCTCTACTAAAAATACAAAAAATTAGCTGGGTGTGGTGGCGCACACCTGTAGTCCCAGATACTTGGGAGGCTGAGCCAGGAGAATCTCTTGTACCCGAGAGGCAGAGGTTGCAGTGAGCCAAGATTGTGCCGCTTCTCTCCAGCCTGGGTGAAAGAATGAGACTCCATCTCAAAAAAAAAAAAAAAAATTGTGTTGTCTATTAAACTATGTTTGCTTTATTTCAGATGGCCTGGATGCTGGAAATTATGAGAAAACTAAATCCTCCCCCAGCCTCCTTTGACAACACCACTACCCTCTCCTACCCTCTTCCTCCCATTATTCTCTATTCGTTTACCTGCTCTCTTCCTCTCAGATTCAACAGAATTTATACTTTTACATGTATTGGATTGTTTCTTTCTTATCTTCCTTCTCCACAGCTGTAAATGCCATAACAGGGACCACGGCCAGATTACTCACCAGTGTGGCCCCAGTGCTGGGTACAATGCTTGGCACACACTACACTCTCAATAAACATCTGTCGTATAAACAAATGAATTCTGTGATTATGTATCATATGCACAAGTCAACAACAACACAAGTTATGTATTATGAAAGGGAGAACTTGCATTTTCACAGAAGAAAATGTTGATTCCTCCCTTCTTTTCTGAAACACTTGGCCTCTTAAATAATTAACTAATTTTAATTGATACATATAAAATTGTAGGCCAGGCACAATGGCTCACGCCTGTAATCCCAGCACTTTGGGAGGCTGAGGCGGGTGGATCACCTGAAGTCAGGAGTTCGAGACCAGCCTGGTGAACATGGTGAAACCCTGTCTTTACTAAAAATACAAAAATTAGCTGGGCATGGTGGTGGGTGACTGTGATCCCAGCTACTCGGGAGGCTGAGGCAGGAGAATCGCTTGAACCCAGGACAAGGAGGTTGCCGTGAGCTGAGATCATACCACTGCACTCCAGCCTGGGCGACAAGAGCGAAACTCCGTCTCAAAAAAAAAAAACTACTCTCTTTGCAATTTTCAAGAATACAATACATTAGTTTTCAGTGGTTTTGTTTTTTTGAGATTGAGTCTTGCTCTTTTGCCTAGGCTAGAGGGCAGTGGCACAATCTCGGCGCAATCTCGGCTCAGCAACCTCTGACTCCGGAGTTCAAGTGATTCTCCTGCCTCAGCCTCCTGAGTAGCTGGGACTACAGGTGTGTGCCACCATGCTCAGCTAATTTTTGTATTTTTAGTAGAGATGGAGTTTCACCATGTTGGCCAGGCTGGTCGCGAACTCCTGACCTCAAGTGATCTATCTGCCTCAGCCTCCCAAAGTGCTGGGATTACAGGCATGAGCCACCACGCCTGGCCTAATACATTGTTATTAAACACCTATAGTCATTGTGTAGTACTACAGTTATCTTAAATTTATTTCTCCTATCTTGGCCAACCAAGGTGGCTCAGGCCTGTAATCCCAGAACTTCGGGAGGCCAAGGCAGGAAGATCACTTGAGCTCAAGAGTTCAAGACAAGCCTAGGCAACATGGCAAGACCCTGTCTCCACAAAAGTAGAAAAAGTAGCCAGGTGCGGTGGTGTGTGCTTGTAGTCCCAGCTACTCAGGAGGCTGAAGTGGGAGGATCGCTTGAGCCCAGGAAAGTCGAGGCTGCAATGAGACAAGATTTCCATTGCACTCCAGCCCAGGAAACAGAGTAAGACCTTGTCTAAAAAAAAAAAAAAAGCAAACAAGCCCACAAGCAGACAAAAAAAAAAAAAAAAAATCAAAAAACTTATTCCTCCTATCTAACTAAAAGTGTGTATCCTTTGACCAACAACTCCTCAACCCCTCTCCCTCCTCCAAACTCTTGGCTTTGAGGTTGGTGTTTTAAAATGAACAGGGATATTTACTAACAGGCCTCTGCCACAGGTCACTTCTGCAGGGAGTTTATGGCTCAGCAAAAGAGAAAGCTGTCCCTGTGAGAGCCTCTTCTGCTCCAGACACAACTCCAGGTCAGTTAACTAAGTCCTACTTATTCCTTAGTTTGAAGCCTGGCACTCTGCCTGTAGTATTTTGCACAGAAGATACAGACCTTTCTAAAGAAAGAAGGAAATTCCTCCATCACTCGTTCCCAAACATCCCTACTTGCCCTCTGTTGAGAACACTAGTCATAGTTTGGATCAAATTCAGGAAAGGAATGGGAGACAGAGACGCTTTCTGAAAAAGATTTTTTTCATTAGGGCAAACACTGTCTGTTTTCCTTTTGGTACCAGGTTTTAAATAAACCCTAGAGTTTATTTAAGTTCTCATTCAGGGACAGATCTGGCATTCTAGCACAGCTTGGCCGACTCACTGGTTTCCACTCAGGACTCCAAGGCAGGGTGGAGCACAGGACACTGGCACAATGCCTTCCTGAATTCAGTCTGTGTGTGTTTGTTGTTGTTGTTGTTGTTGTTGTTGTTTTTGAGACGGAGCTTTGCTCTTGTTGCCTAGGCTGGATGGAGTGCAACGGCGCGATCTTGGCTCACTGCAACCTCCGCCTCCCGGGTTCAAGCAATTCTCCTACCTCAGCCTCCAGAGTAGCTGGGATTGCAGGCATGCGCCACCACACTTGGCTAATTTTGTATTTTTAGTAGAGGCGGGGTTTTTCCCATGTTGGTCAGGCTGATCTCAAACTCCCGACCTCAGGTGATCCACCTGCCTCAGCCTCCCAAAGTGTTGGGATTACAGGCATGAGCCACAGCGCCGGCCCTGAATTCAGTCTGTCTACTGCTCTGGGTCTCTTCCACCTGATACCTTTCATCTTTCATACTAACATCTGTTCTAGTACCTACATGCATCACCTTAGTGGAAGCTACAGCAGCTGTCTTCAGCAATTTATGGGTACGCACATAAAAAAATTTCCTTAGAAGCCAAGGAGTCCCCCTTACTATTTCTGTGCCGTAAAGTGGGTTATAGTAACATTCCAGAATATATAACCTGTGTGTGTACCTAAAACTTGATTACTCCAATAAATGAACTCATTTTGTTTCCTGGTGAACCTCATAAAAGACAATCCACCCCTTCCCCTGAACACACTCTGTTCTTCTCCCCCTCTCCCTGGGGCATTGGATTAGGGCCTCAGTGACAGGCAAGAATGACATCACCAGTTCAAAAACTGCTGCTTTATTTTCTCTTTCTTTATACAACCAATTACCATTTTCACATAATTTGCTCAAGTGTTTATGGCTTTTCTTAATTATTTCATAAGGTTCCTTCCTTCTTAGGACACCCAGTTCATGTGTCCATTTTCAGGTCAAGAAACTGAAGCTCAGGGAGTCTCAGCAGGGGGACCAGACATCCAGGCTACCTTAACACCGTCTGGGTTTCTGACTGTTGTTCTGGCATGAGGTTTGCCTAACTCTGGATATTAAAATTACATGGTTGCTCTAGGTCTAAGTGACAAGAACCCACCTGAGTGGTAGTGAGCAAGAGTGGCCTCCCAGGTCACTGTTCTTGTTGTTGCACCTGTGTTCTGAATCTTTGTGTACCCCTAAAAATTCATATGTTGAAATCCTAACCCCCTAAGTGGTATCAGGAGGTGGGCCCTTTAGCAGGTGATTAGGTCACGGGGGCAGAGCCTTCGTGAATGAAATTAGTGCATTATAAAAGAGGCCCGAGAGGGCTGGGTGCGGAGGCTCATGCCTGTAATCCCAGCACTTTGGGAGGCTGAGGCAGGCGGATCACCTGAGGTCAGGAGTTCGAGACCAGCCTGGCCAACATGGTGAAACCCCATCTCTACTAAAAATACAAAATATTAGCTGGGTGGGATGGCAGGCGCCTGTAATCCCAGCTACTCGGGAGGCTGAGGCAGGAGAATCACTTGAACCTAGGGGGTGGAGGTTGCAGTGAGCTGAGATTGCACCATTGCACTTCAGCCTGAGCAACAAGAGTGAAACTCCATCTGTCTCAAAAAAAAAAAAAAAAAAAAAAGGCCCAAGAAAGACCCCTTACCCTTTGCACCAAGGGTGCAAAAAGATGGCTATTCCTGAACCAGTATTTGAACCTTCACACCAGACACTGAATTTGCCAGCTTCCCAGCCTCCACTGTGAGAAATACATTTTTGTTGTTTATAAGCTACCTAGTTTTTGTTATTATAGCAGTCAGATCAGACTAAGGCACACCCTAAAGAAACAAACACAGAGAGGGACAGAGATCTCACACAGAGACAAATTCACATGGGTCTCTGTTCAAGATCCTGCCTGAGTCCTTCTACAAAAGTAAGGAAGCTTCTGTGAAGCAAACATTTCCCTTTCTCCCACTAATGGACCCATTTTGTATAGCATGAGTGTTACACTATGGTTTTATCTAAAACATGGCACTCTGAGAAAAGCAAGATGCAGAAGAGTATACAATGTGCTACCATTTATGTTTAAAAAGAGGGAAGATTTATGTACATCTATTTTTTAAAATACTACCAGAGGGATATATAAGAAATTGGTAACAGGCTGGGCATGGTGGCTCACGCCTGTAATCCCAACACTGGGAGGCCAAAGTGGACAAATTGCTAGAGCCCAGGAGTTCAAGACTAGTGTGGGCAACACGGCAAAGCACTGTCTCTAGAAAAAATACAAAAAATTAGCCAGGTGTGGTGGTGCACACCTCTAGTCCCAGCTACTCAGAGGGCTGAGGTGGGAGGATCACCTGTTCCCAGGAGGTTGAGACTGCAGTAAGCCATGATTGTGCCACTGCATTCCAGCCTGGGCAACAGAGTGAGACTATATCTGGAAAAAAAAAAAAAAAAAAGGCCAGGCATGGTGGCTCATACTTGTAATCCCAGCACTTTGGGAGGCCGAGGCCGGCGGATTACCTGAGGTCAGGAGCTCGAGACCAGCCTGGCCAACATGGTGAAACCCCATCTCTACTAAAAATACAAAATTAGCCGGGCATGGTGGCACATGCCTGTAATCCCAGCTACTCGGTAGGCTGAGGCAGGAGAATTGCTTGAACTCGGGAGGCGGAGGTTGCAGTGAGCGGAGACTGCGCCATTGCACTCCAGCCTGGGCAACAAGAGCGAAACTCCATCTAAAACAAAAAAATTAAGTGATTGATTCTGGAGAAAGAAATTGGGTAACTCAGTGGCAGGGTTGAAGGAAATTTTTGGTAGCACACACCTGTAATCCCAGCTACTTGGGTGGCTGAGGCACAAGAATTGCTTGAACCCAGGAAGCGGAGGTTGCAGTGAGCCAAAATCATGCCACTGCACTCCGGCCTAGGTGGCAGAACAAGACTCTTATCTCCAAAAAAAAAAAAAGTTCCTTTCAGAGTCGGAAGAACAAATAGCTGAACACAGCCACAGCCACAGCCACAGGTTATCTCCCCTGGATGTCAGCTTTTGTATTTCTCCTCTGTTATTTCATCCTGGCTGTCTAGGCCTTAACCATCTTTGTTCTAGCTAAAGCTGTGACTGGATCTTTGTTTTATCACCTTTCCTGGATGTGCAAATCCAGTATTTCTACCCAGGTCTGTGAAACTTCAAAGCCTGTGCTCCTGAACATATTATGCTTCCATTTGCTCTATCACTAATGAAAGATGAGCTTAAGTCTTCCGTTGATTACAGATTTGTCCGTTTCTCCCTTGAGATCTGTCAATGTCTGCTTTATGTATTTTGAGGCTGTTATTAGATGCATACAAATTTAGAACTGTTATATTTTTCATCATTACACGTCCCTCTTAATCTCTGATTCTTACTTTAACCCTTTTCCTGTTTGCCCTGAGAATACTCGCCAGTGATGCTTGCAACTGCAGCACTTACCCCAAGAAGGTGACAATGCTGTCAACATTCCACAGTGATACTGTGATTGAAGTAGACAACAGAAATGGAAAGAAAACTAAGAAGCCAGCTGGGCACAGTGGCTCATGCCTGTAATCCCAACACTTTGGGAGGCCAAGGTGGGCGGATCACGAGGTCAAGAGGTGGAGACCATCCTGGCCAACATAGTGAAACCCCATCTCTACTAAAAATACAAAAATTAGCTGGCATGGTGGTGCGAGCCTGTAGTTCCAGCTACTCGGGAGGCTGAGGCAGGAGATTAGTTTGAACCTGGGAGGTAGAGGTTGCAGTGAGCCAAGATCGCACCACCGCACTCCAGCCTGGTGACAGAGCGAGACTCCATCTCAAACAAAAACAAAAAACAAAAACAAAAAAATCAGCCAGGCATGGTGGCACACACCTGTAATCCTGGCTACTCTGGAGGCTGAGGCAGGAAAATCCCTTCAACCCGGGAGGCAGAGGTTGCAGTGAGCTGAGATCACACCACTATATCCAGCCTGGGCAACAAAGCAAGAGTCCATCTCAGGGGGTGGGGCGGTAGGGGCGGGAAAAAGCCATGTGCCTTTGTGGATTATAACAAAATTATGGGAGCAGTGGACTCAGCTGATCAGATGTTCATTTCTTATCCAACTGAGTGCAAAAGCACAAGGTTTGGTATAAATTAATCCACCACCTTCTAAACATTACAGTGCATGAACTAAATTAGAAAATTATCTATTTATAAACGGAAAGTAACCACACAAGCACAATGGAGTATACAGTACGAATTAGTCATATAAATACAAGTGGTAGCGCAACCATTCTGAGTCAATCTATTTTATTGACCAAAAGATTCCTGTGGAAACAGGAGGTGAGTGCCCTAAGCCCTCACTCCTTAGCACTCTGCGTGCTGATGTAGTCCTGGAGAAGCGCCTGCGCCTCCATCCGCCGGCTCATCTTGGTGGCCTTGCCCTGAAAACGGCCTTTCTTCCCTGCTCCTTTGCCTTCCAGGACCTCAGCCACCCTGGGGAACAGAGGTATAGTCAGGGAGACTTTGAGGGAAAAGTCACAAAAAAAAACAAGGGCAGCTCTGAGTCTTTTTCCAGGGACTGGGAGAGGGATAAGAAGAGTAGATGACTTCTAGGAATCTTTCTTGAAAACACTTGCACATAGGCTGGGCATGGTGGCTCACACCTGTAATCCCAGCACTTTGGGAGGCCAAAGTGGGTGGATCACCTGAGGTCAGGACTTCAAGACCAGCCTGACCAATAGGATGAAACCCCGTCTCTACTAAAAATAAAAAAATCAGCCGGGCATGGTGGTATGCGCCATAATCCCAGCTACTCAGGAAGCTGAGACAGGAGAATTGCTTGAACCCGGGAGGCAGAGGTTGCAGTGAGCCGAGATGGTGCCATTGCACTCCAGCCTGGGCAACAAGAGTGAAACTTTGTCTCAAAAAAACACTTGCACATATGCACAAAGATATATGTACCATCATCACATAAGAGTGAATAACTGGAAACAACATCAGTGTCTATGAATTGGGCTAGATAAATTATGTTAATCTCCAGAGAGCAGGGTGAGCACCTGTAATCCCAGCACTTTGGGAGGGCAAGGCAGGTGGATCACTTGAGGTCAGGAGTTCGAGACCAGCCTGGCCAACATGGTGAAACCCTATCTGTACTAAAAATACAAAAAATTGGACGGGTATGGTTATGTGCACCTGTAATCCCAGCTACTTGAGTGGCTGAGGCAGGAAAATTGCTTAAACCTGGGAGGTGGTGGCTGCAGTGAGCTGAGTAGCCTGGGCTCTCCAGGCTGGGCAACAGACTAAGACTCCATCTCAAAAAACAAAAACAAACACATTTCATAAAAACAAAAACAAAAACATACATGTGAGATGTGGAGCCAAAAGACCTTCAACTGTCAAACTGGAAATGACAGTAGTAATAATTATCTCTGCTCAGCCCACCTCACATGCCCATGATGTGAATTAAATGAGATCGCAGATGTGATGGTCCTTTGACTCAGTAAAGGAATGTATTTGTAGGATACAGGCTCTACTACATGTGCAAGAGAGTCCACAAAGAATTACCTGGGCCCCAGGGTCTCCACAGACGCAGGTGGCCCTGCCAGTAAGAAGAGTCCACCACCTTTCTCATCGCCCACAGTTAAGAACAGGAGGGTCTCCTAGGAGGTAAGACAAGGAGATAAGCTCTGATACTGAAGGATGTAGAGTCAACCCCCCAAATCCTGCACTCTCTTCAATCTTAAGAATAGATTATTTCCCCCTAAACCACCAAGTGACGCTCCTGATGAATGATGATACAGCCCCTCCACACTGGCCCACGAGGGCCAAGAAACTTTTTGAGAGCAACTATGGGAACTTAGGTGAAACATTAAGAAGGCAGCAGAAGACTGCTGATCCTGGCTAAGCAGAAAATGCCTTTCATGGTTTCACTCTTGCAAACTTTTCCCCACCACACATCCTTTCCCTGCCACTGCCTAAACCACCAGGTTTCCCTCTGCCTGGCCGCCTCTGCCCCTTGTCTGTCTGATGACCTCTAAGCAGTCTTCAAGGGCCCCTCCCCTGAAACCTCCCTATCCTTCAGGTAATGTGCTCCTCCACCTCTAGCATTCATCACTCTATCATTCTGAATTATAAATGTCGACATACATATTTGTCTCCCAGACTAGAATATGAGCTTCTTGAGAATCAGTTCTGTCTATACAGAAGAATTATGAAAAGAGAGATACACAACGCTTTACCCACAGTAGGCATTCCAAAGAAGGGTTCTGGAGTAAATACAAAAGAGATAGTGGGGCATGGTGGCTCATGCTTGCAGTCCCAACTACTCAGGAGGCTGACGTGGGAGGACTGCTTGAGCCCAGGAGTTCAAGACTGCAGTGAGCCATAATCACGCCACTGTACTCCAGCCTGGGTGACAGAGCAAGACTCTGTCTCTGAAAAAAACAAACAAACAAACAAACAAACAAAAGACCTGG
Source organism: Homo sapiens (assembly GCF_000001405.40). NCBI lineage: Eukaryota > Metazoa > Chordata > Mammalia > Primates > Hominidae > Homo > Homo sapiens. The sequence goes on from NC_000017.11 coordinate 42,952,711, forward strand.
AAATCTCTAGGCTAGAGACCATCAGGAGTGGGAAGAGTAAGTAAAGCCAGAGGAAGAGGAAAATGGACGGGGATGGCTTTCAAAGGGGCTTGCCCACTCCTGTATTTACTTTTTTTTTTTTTTTTTGGAGACAGTCTGTGTTGCCCAGGCTGGAGTGCAGTGGCGCAATCTCGGCTCACTGCAACCTCAGCCTCCAGGGTTCAAGCAATTCTCCTGCCTCAACCTCCCAAGTAGCTGGGTCTACAGGCACCTGCCACCACACCCAGCAAATTTTTGTCTTCTGTTTTGAGACAGAATCTCACTCTGTAGCCCATGCTAGAGTGCTGTGGCACAATCTCAGCTCACTGCAACCTCTGCCTACCAGGCTCAAGAGATTCTCATGCCTCAGCCTCCCGAGTAGCTGGGATTACAGGCGCATGCCACCACGCCTAGCTAATTTTTTGTATTTTAGTAGAGATAGGGTTTTACCATGTTGCCCAGGGTGGTCTCGAACTCCTGAGCTGAGGCAATCCACCCGCCTCAGCCTCCCAAAGTGCTGGAATTACAGGCGTGAGCCACCATGCCTGGCCTGATTTTTCTATTTTTAGTAGAGATGGGGTTTCACCATGTTGGCTAGGCTGGTCTCCTGATCTTAAGTGATCCACCCACCTTGGCCTCCCAAAGTGCTGGGATTACATGCGTGAGCCACCGCGACCAGCCCACTGATATATTTCTAATATTGGATCCCCAGCACACATAAACCTGAATGGCTTTGAGGAGCTAGAGCTCTGATGAAAGGAGCTCAGAAGCTAATAAACATCACAGCCCCAGAGAGAGCAATAACATAGATCTAGCTCAACACCTAAAACAGAGCTTGGCATATAGCTAGTACTAAGAAAACAGTATTGAATGAATGGCTATTTCCTCCTCCTCATGTGTTCATGTGGAGGGACTTTGGCTAAACTAGCGCCCCTCACTTATGTCTCCCTAGGTCTCTATCCAGGCCGGGGTAGAGAATCTCATGCTCCTCTTACCTCTGACCCAATCTCATTGGCAATGATATTCATGAACTCTGAATCACCCTCCTTCCTACAACAAAGGACACAGACATGAGACCCAGGTTGGAGTGGTGGCTGTGAAACTGCAGGAAGCCTGGCCCCTCCTTCTGAGGCTGGCCTTGCTGCCTATGTACACATAAAGTCCCATATCCCTTAGCCAAGAGAGAGTACTGGCTGAAAGCCAGCAAGCTGCCCTTCTCAGCCTCTGCAGTTTGTAATCAACCTCCAGGTTTGTTTCCATCTCCCTTAAATAGGATTCACCAGGATAAGCAGAAATCTGTTAGAGAGTAAAGGAGGTAGGGGACAGTCCTAAAGAAAGATACAGGCTGGACACAGTGGCTCACACCTGTAATCTCAGCACTTTGGGAGGCCAAGGTGGGCAGATTGCTTGAGGTCAGGAGTTCAAAACCAGCCTGGCCAACATGGGGAAACCCCAGCTCTACCAAAAATACAAAAGTTAGCCTGGTGTGGTGGCACATGCCTGTGATCCCCCAGCTACTCGGGAGGCTGAAGCACGAGAACCGCTTGGACCCAGGAGGCACAGGTTACACTGAGCCGAGATCATGCCACTGCACTCCAGACACACTAAGACTCCATCTCAAAAAAAACACAAAAAACAAAAGATACAGAGTTACAGTAAATATGTTAATATCAAACCCAGGAGGCCTGGTATGTAACATATTTCTTTTTTTTTTTATATTTTTGAGATGGGGTCTCACTCTGTTGGTCCAGGCCGGAGTGCTGTGGCGTGATCTCCACTCACCACAACCTCTGCCTCCCGGGTTCAAGTGATTCTCCTGCCTCAGCCTCCTGAGTAGCTGGGACTACAGGCGCGTACTACCATGCCTAGCTAATTTTTGTACTTTTAGTAGAGAAGGGGTTTCACCATGCTGGCCAGGCTGGTTTCGAACTCCTGACCTTGTGATCCACCCGCCTCAGCCTCCCAAAGTGCTGGGATTACAGGCGTGAGCCACCGCGCCCGGCCAGTAACATATTTCTTAGGATCTACTCAACCTTGAGAATACCAGTGAGCAATCCACCTCCCACTGTACATTGCATATAGAGAAGACACTGAGCCCTAAGCCCAACACAGTTCCCCTTCCTTGTGTCCAGCTCCTAATTTCTCACCTGTGTAATATGACCACACCTCCCCAGTCTGGACTGTTCCTGAGGCTATGGGCAATGTGCACAGCCAGGTCTCTGAGCAGATTCAGGTTATTCTGAAATGGATATGGTAACTCAGTAGATAAATGGAAAGGATAACAATAGAGAGTATCAGCTTCCCTCCACCTCATTCTCCCCTCACTCCCACTTTGACAAACTACACATCTGTTTAGGCAGAAGACCAAGTCTGCAGAGCCTATCCTAGGCAGGGCCCATGCCCTCTCTACCCTCCATGGAATAAATCACCTTCTGCAGGATCTTGGTGGAGTTCTGGAGCTTTTTCACTGCTTCCACATGATCCTCTGCTCCACACCTGAAAGAGAAAGGTCAGAGGAGACCTGCGCAGCTTCCCAGTCGTTTCTGATGTTGGGGACATAAATCAATAATTTCCTTCTTGCTATGGTGCCTCCCTGCAGTCAGGGACCAGGAGATATTCTGAGGAGGTCTCTTAGGCAACTGGGAGAAAACATACAAAGGAATTAACCACTTTTCGTGGTTCTGATTTACTATCCAAAGCACTTGATCTTTTTTTTTTTTTTTTTTTTGAGACAGAGTCTTGCTCTATCGCCCAGGCTGGAGTGCAGTGGAACGATCTTGGCTCACTGCAAGCTCCACCTCCCGGGTTCACGCCATTCTCCTGCCTCAGCCTCTCGAGTAGCTGGGACTACAGGCGCCCACCACCATGCCTGGCTAAGTTCTTTTTGTATTTTTAGTAGAGACGGGGTTTCACGGTGTTAGCCAGGAAGGTCTTGATCTCCTGACCTCGTGATCCGCCCACCTCGGCCTCCCAAAGTGCTGGGATTACAGATGTGGGCCACCACGCCTGGCCGCACTTTATCATTTACGATTGCATCTTATCTCCCAGAGGTAAGAGATTATGTCGAAAATCTCAGAAATGGGAGGTAATCGAAGGTACTGAAACAGGCATACTTAAGCAGAGCAGTCAGTGCTTTTTCAGTTCCATGACTTCTCTCCATCCACTTCAGCACCCGGTTCCCAGACAGAAATATCAGGTTGGTTCTGTTCTTTTTCCCCTTCTCAGTGCCCAGAATCTTAATGACCTACATGAGGCAAGGGGGTAACACACACACACACGTGTGCACATGCATAAACCACAGCGGATCCTAGAACCTGAAGGCAGGAGAAACCTATCTGTTCCTCAGCTCTGAAACAGTGAAGGGGAGATTTCACTTAGGACTCCTCGATTATCCCCCTCTCCCACTCCCAGCCCCATGTGATCCCCTCTCCCCCAATCCCTCTTCTCAGCCACTCCACAGCCGTTCCTCACTTACCTGAAGGTCACTGAGATTGCTCACATGGGTCCCACAGCACATGTTGGAATCAACGCCCTCGATGTTAACAACCCGAATGGGCCCAGCATGATCATCAGGCAAACCCCGGCCACTCACCTGGACTCAAGGAGAGGGGAGGGACTGTCTGAATCTGATGAGGAATCATTCCGCAGAAACCATCCCTCTGGCTCTACCCTTACCTGCTCCACCTCAGGATCATCCAGGCTCAGTTCTCGGACATTCACAGGCAGCCGATCTCTGATTTTTTCATTGACGCTCTGCTCAATGGCAGCTACTTGCTCTGCAGTCATAGAGGGGGTGTCCAGCTCAATCGCACTCCGAAATCTCCCTAACTCCCTGTCAGAAGTACAGTGGCCACAGATAACATATCTTACTGAACAAGAAAAAGCTGAAAGCTTTTCCTCTAAAAACTGGAACAAGCATACCCTCTCACCACTTTTTTTTTTTTTTTTTTTTTTTTTGAGACGGAGTCTCGCTCTGTCGCCCAGGCTGGAGTGCAGTGGCGCGATCTCGGCTCACTGCAAGCTCCGCCTCCCGGGTTCACGCCATTCACCTGCCTCAGCCTCCCGAGTAGCTGGGACTACAGGCGCCCGCCACCACGCCCGGCTAATTTTTTGTATTTTTAGTAGAGACGGGGTTTCACCGTGTTAGCCAGGATGGTCTCGATCTCCTGACCTCGTGATCCGCCCGCCTCGGCCTCCCAAAGTGCTGGGATTACAAGCGTGAGCCACTGCGCCTGGCCTTTTTTTTTTTTTTTTTTAAGACAAGCTCGCTGTCACCCATGCTGCCATTTGGTGGCAATCACAGCTCACCACAGCCTTAATCTCCCCGGCTCAAGCAATTCTCCCACCTCCGCCTCCCTCCCAGTGCTGGGATGGGCCTGCCTACAGTTAGTCTTATGCCTCCCACTCACCATGATGTTGTCTTCAGCTTAAATAGATGGTCAGCAACTGCCGTGATGAGATGCTGCCCTAAGCAAAGAGAGCCAGAGACAGGAGAAAAGTGAGAAGCCTACATACTCCCACAATGATAAAATATGAGCTACAATGATAAAAGCACAGAAATTCTCCTTGTTGAAGACCTGCTAAGCACTGGGTAATACACTTTAGATACTTTATTGAAAATCACAATGAGAATTCTGCAAGAGGCCTTATGATACCATTTCACAGATGAGGAAACTGAAGCCTAGAGAGATCAAATAACTTGCCATGGCAATGTAACTTATAAGGGGCTGGACTTGAACTTAACTTCCTTTTTTTTTTTTTTTTTTTTTTTTTGAGACAGTCTCATTCTGTTGCCCAGGCTGGAGTGCAGGGGCTCACTGCAGCCTCCGCCTCCCAGGATCAAGCAATTCTCGTGCCTCAGCCTCCTGAGTTGCTGGGATTATAGACGTGCATCACCGTGCCCGGCTAATTTTTCTACTTTTAGTAGAGATGGGGTTTCACCACGTTGGCCAAGCTGGTCTTGAACTCTTGACCTCAAGTGATCCACCTGCCTTGGCCTCCCAAAATGCTGGGATTACAGGTGTGAGCCACTGTGCCCAGTGAACTTAAGTTCCAATATGCAGCATTCATCCATTCAACAAGTATTTATTGAGTACCTACCAAATGCAAGGCACAGGGCTTGACATAAGAGATACAGCAGCATCCCTGATTGACAAGAGTGATGATGAGGAGAAAGAAGAGGAAGAGGAGGAGGAAGAAAAGGAGAAAGAGGAGGAACTATCAAGGAAGAGGGAACAAGACAGCCAAAGGCCTTAAGGAAGAAAGAAGTAGCGCATGTCAAAGGAATCCAGAGATGACAAGCAAGGCCAGGATGCAGCCAGCAAGAGGTCAAGGGACACCAGATGAGGCTACAGCAGTAGACAAGAGCCACCCAGATACAGCTTGTATGCCATGGTAAAAAGTTTGGCTTTACACGAAGACCTACAGGAAGCCTCTGAAGAGCTTTAAGCAGAGGAGTGACATAATATTTTCATTTTTTAAAATTTATTTCAGTCAGGCGCGGTGGCTCACTCCTGTAATCCCAGCACTTTGAGAGGCCAAGGCAAGTGGATCATGAGGTCAAGAGTTTGAGACCAGCCTGAAACAACGTGGTGAAACCTCGTCTCTACTAAAAATACAAAAATTAGCCGGGTGTGGTGGCATGCACCTGTAATCCCAGCTACTCAGGAGGCTGAGTTGCTTGAATCCCAGGGGTGGAAGTTGCAGTGAGCCAAGATTGCACCACGGCACTCCAGCCTGGGCAACAAAGTGAGACTCTGTCTCAAAAAAAAATAAAAATAACAAATAAAATTAAATAAAATTTATTTCATTTTACATATTTATTTTTATTTATTTTTGTATTTATTTATTTATTTATTTTGAGATGGAGTATCGCTCTGTCACCCAGGCTGGAGTGCAGTGGTGCAATCTCAGCTCACTGCAACCTCTGCCTCTCGGGTTCAAGCGATTCTCCTGCCTCAGCCTCCCAAGTAGCTGGGATTACAGGTGCACGCCACCATGCCTAATTTTTGTACTTTTAGTAGAGTCAGGGTTTCACCATGTTGACCAGGTTGGTCTCAAACTCCTGACCTCAGGTGATCTGCCCACCTCAGCTTCCCAAAGTGCCTGGGATTACAGGCATGAGCCACCACGCTCAGTCTGTTTTTATTTTTCTTGTTTACATTTCCACTTTAACTTATATTTATTTATGCCAGGTGCGGTGGCTCAAGCCTGTAATCCCAGCACTTTGGGAGGCCGAGGCGAGCAGATCACAAGGTCAGGAGTTCAAGACCAGCCTGGCCAACATGGTGAACCCCCATCTCTACTAAAAATACAAAAATTAGCCGGATGTGGTGGTGCGTGCCCGTAATCCCAGCTACTCAGGAGGCTGAGGCAGGAGAATCACCCGAACCCAGTAGGCAGAGGTTGCAGTGAGCCAAGACTGCACCACTGCACTCCAGCCTGGGTGACAGAGCGAGACTTTGTCTCAAAAAAAAAAAAAAAAAAAAAAAGTTATATTTACTTTTTTGAGACGGAGTCTTGCTCTGTTGCCCAGGCTGGCGTGCAGTGGTGCCATCTCAGCTCACTGCCACCTCTGGCTCCTGGGTTCAAGCAATTCTGCCTCAGCCTCCTGAGTGGCTGGGACTACAGGCATGCACCACCACGCCCAGCTAATTTTTGTGTTTTTAGTAGAGACAGGGTTTCACAATGTTGGCCAGGCTGGTCTCGAACTCCTGGCCTCAAATGCCTGACCTCATGATCTGTCCGACTTGGCCTCCCAAAATGCTGGGATTACAGGCGTGAGCCATCGCGAGCAGCCTACATTTATTTTCTGAGACAGGGTTTCACTATCTTGCTCAGGCTGGTATGGAATTCCTAGCCTCAAGCGATCTTCCCGTGTCAGCCTCCCAGAGTGCTAGGACTACAGCAGTGAGCCACAGTGCCCAGCCATTTCTCTTTTCTTTTTTTTTTTTTGAGATGGAGTCTCGCTCTGTCGCCAGGCTGGAGTGCAGTGGCGCGATCTCGGCTCACTGCAACCTCCACCTCCCAGGTTAAAGCGATTCTCCTGTGTCAGCCTCCTGAGCAGCTAGGACTACAGGCGCGCATCACCATGCCTGGCTAATTTTTGTATTTTTAGTAGAGACAGGGTTTCATCATGTTGGCCAGGATGGTCTCGATCTCTTAACTTCATGATCTGCCCACCTCGGTCTCCCAAAGTGCTGGGATTACAGGCGTGAGCCACCGCACCTGGCTGCCATATTTTCATTTTTAAGATTGTTCAGCTGGGCGCAGTGGCTCCCGCCTGTAATCTCAGCACATTGAGAAGCCGAGGCGGGCGGATCACGAGGTCTGGAGTTCGAGACCAGCCTGGCCAACATGGTGAAACACCGTCTCTACTAAAAATACAAAAATTAGCCAGGCATGGTGGCACGCACCTGTTATCCCAGCTACTCGGGAGGCCAAGGCAAGAGGATCACTTGAGCCCGGGAGGTGAGGTTGCAGTGAGCCGAGATCATGCCATTGCACTCCAGCCTGGGCGACAGAGCGAGACTCCAACTCAAAAAAAAAAAGACTGTTCTGGTGCTATGTGGAGAATGGGCTACAGAGGAGCCAGACTGAATGTGGGGCAATCAATTAGGAAACTGTTAGAGAGGTCCAGGGGGAAGACAGCTAGGAGCTGGGACTAGGATGACAGTGACTGTGGAAAGAAGTGGACAGACATTTAGAAAACAAACCAACATGCTGGGGGGGTGTGGCTCATGCCTGTACTTTGCGGGGTCAAGGCAGGCGGATCATCTGAGGTCAGGAGTTCAAGACCAGCCTGACCAATATGGTGAAACACCGTCTCTATTAAAAATACAAAATTAGCTGGGCATGGTGGTGGGGGCCTATAATCCCAGCTACTCGGGAGGCTGAGGCAGGAGAATCGCTTGAACCCGAGAGGCAGAGGTTGCAGTGAGCCGAGATCGCACCATTGCACTCCAGCCTGGGTGACAGAGCGAAACTCTGTGTCAAAAAAAAAAAAAAAAAAGAAAAGAAACCAACAGGACTCAGTGATTGGCTGGCTGTCTATGCCTGAAGAGGTATCTGGAATGACTTCCAGAACTTGAGTGACTAGGTGCATGCTGATGCCCTGCGATGAACACACAGGATGCTAATGAAAGACCAGGAGGGAGGGGAAGGCTTTTTGTTTCATTTTGGACATTTTGAGTTTGAAAAGGCTGTGAGACATCCAGATGGAGATATCGAGTGGGAAGTTGATAATACCTAAATCCAGCAGTTATTCTAATACTTTTTTTTACTTCAGTTGTTCATGTTGCTGTTATAACATTTAGGATATCCTTCCTGAATTACAGCTGATTCTGAATAGTCTGTCTTTTCCAAAAGGTTAACTCCTAGAGAACCCAAACTACGTCTCAGTCATCACAGCATCCCCATACATGGCAACTGCTCCGGTGTTATGTCCCCCATCCCAGCCTTTACCTGAATGCTGCTGCATGTGGTCAAACCTCCGCTCCCAATCTACCCGGACCAGAACCTGGCTTCCTGGATCCAGGGGTGTCTGGGTGAAATGATCAGCCTGTTCCCCACGGCGAGTCACTCTCAGCACAGAGATGTCATTGATTGTACCACGGTCATCAGGCTGGTGGAAATAAGTAAACGTAATCAATGGCAAGGCAGGGCTCACCCTAACTTCTAGGTACAAAGACCCTCTAGGGTGAGAGACCCAGAATCTGGGCTCCCTAAGGGAGAGGGAGAAAGCAATGCCAAGTGAAATGAGTCCACTTTGTTCCATGAGAGGATTCTCAGTCCTTTTCATTCTAAACACCTATGTGTTGTGATCTTCAGAATAACAGAATTAAAGAGATTGTAACTACAGCAACAAAAATTTTAGTAAAACCCGAAGAATCTTAATCCTCAACTCTCCTTGCCTTAGTCTAGATTCTTTTGTAGTCTCTAAAATGATCTGATTTTTCCTCCCTCCCTCCACTCCATCCTCTTGCAGTGGTATTAGAATTAGATTCAAAAATGTTCATTTAGGCTGGGCATGGTAGCTTATTCCTGTAATCCCACCACTTTGGGAGACCAAGGCAGGAGGATCGCTTGAGATCAGACTGGACAACACAGTGAGACCCCACCTCTATGAAAAATAAAAAATTAGCTGGCCATGATACTCCCTGCTACTTGGGAGGCTGAGGTGGGAGAATCACTTGAGCCCAAAAGGTTGAGACTGCAGTGTGCTATGATTGCTCCACTACACTCCAGCCTGGGTGACAGAGTGAGACACTGTCTCATTTAAAAAAAAAAAAGGGCCAGGTACAGTGGCTCACACCTGTAATCCCAGTACTTTGGAAGGCCGAGGTGGGCGGATCACAAGGTCAGGAGATCAAGACCATCCTGGCCAACATGGTGAAACCCCGTCTCTACTAAAATACAAAAAATTAACTGGGCATGGTGGTGCACACCTGTAGTCCTAGCTACTCGGGAGACTGAGGCAGGGGAATTGCTTGAACCTGGCAGACGGAGATTGCAGTAAGCCGAGATCACGCCGCTGCGCTCCAGCCTGGCAACAGAGCAAGACACCATCTCAAAAAAAAAAAAAAAAAAAGTTCATTCATTTTAAAACATTTCAAGTGCCAACTGCTTACAAAAGACTGTGCCAGCCCAAGAATACAATGTAAACAAGATATGGTACCTCATGGAACTTAAGAGTCTAGAGAACAGAGGCTGGAAAACAGACAATTGCAATATGACCTATAACATGCCATAATATGAAAAAGTATATGACGCTAGAGAACCTCAAAGGAAAGAGACCTAACAGTCTTGGGGAATCAAAAAAAGACTTCCTGAAAGAAATGCTGTCTAAAATGAGACCTTCTATGGATACTTGAGGTCACAGGTTTTCCTTCAGCAGATCAGGGAAATCTTCATACTGGGAAAATCACCATAATAATGACTGATATGAAATTGGAACTCTCTCAATACCAAGTCTACTGAACATGTTCTCTCATGTCACTTATTTGCTTAAGAACCTGAGTGGAGGCCAGGGCAGTGGCTCACACCTGTAGGCCCAGCCTTTGGGAGGCCAAGGTGGGAGGACTGTTTGAGGCCAGGAGCTCAAGATCAGCCTGGGCAATAAAGTGAGACCTCATCTCTACAAAAAAGCAGCCAAGCATGTTGGTTGTGCGCCTGTAGTCCCCACTACTGGAGAGGCTAAAACAGGAGGATTGCTTGAGCCTGGGAGTTCGAGGCTGCAGTGAGCTAGATCAGGCCACTGCACTCCAGCCTGGGTGACATAGCAAGATCCTGTCTCTTAAAAATAAAAAAGAAAGAAAATAACCTGCATGGTTCGCTGCCCACACACCTTAATACACCTTTTTTTTTTCTTTTGAGACGGAGTCTTGTTCTGTCCCCCACGCTGAAGTGCAGTGGCACAATCTTGGCTCACTGCAACTTCAGCCTCCCGGTTCAAGTGATTCTCATGCCTCAGCCTCCCGAGTAGCTGGGACTACAGGGGCCTGCCAGTATGCCTGGTTAATTTTTATATTTTTAGTAGAGACAAGGTTTCATCATGTTGGTCAGGCTACTTGGGAGGCTGAGACAGGAGAATCACTTGAACCCAGGAGGCGGAGGTTGCAGAGCTGAGATCATGCCACTGCACTTCAGCCTGATGACAGCGAGAGATTCTGTCTCAAAAAAAAAAAGAAAGAAAGAAAGAAAAGAAAAGAAAGAAAAGCCTTTCTCATAATGCCCACCTTTGGTGTTATTATCCTCCTCTTCCATCTTCACAATGTACCTCACTTGCGCTCATGTTGTACCTAGTCCTCATCACAGCACTGATAAATATGCTCTCTGCTGTACTACTGTAACCCGTCTATCTCACCTGAACTCCTTCAGGAACATCTTTTTCAGTCCCTAAAACCCGAAGCTAATTCCTTCCTTGGGGCCTTTGCACCTGCTATTCTACCTGCCTGAATACTCCCTCTGCCCCCCAGCACCACTAGATAATTGCAAAGACTCACCCCCTCACTTCGTTTAGGTCTCTACTGAAATAACTTACCCTTCATCTAGACAAGCATCCCATCACTCTCTTTCCCTTTACTTGGTTTTTGTTTATTACTTATTATACCTAGCACACACAGTTGTCTTCAATAAACATTCCACGTATATAAAGGCACTGTGTTGTTCACCGGTTATCCTTACAGCCTGGAATAATATCTAGCATATGTTATGTCTAGATAAGCAATTGCTGATAAATACTCATTAAATGAATAACAAAATGAATTAAACTAAAGCTCATCTGAATTCATTATGGCTGAGAAAAAAGGGGCAGGAGAGCATTTCGGCCTGAGCACAAAGAAACTGGGGGCTTCCTGGGAAGAGATCGTTTTGGTACCTGTCCCCCGCCCTCAGGGAAAAGCACTGTGTCTTCCAGCACCACTTGGAAACCGCTCAGCACTTCTTTCTTGCCGTTGCTCCCTTCAGTCTGCAGCTCCGCGGGACAGCAGGAGACCACGGTGGTGGTGAACTGAACAGAGAGGAATGAGAGAATAAGCCCCGACCCCAGCCCTAGCCCTAGCCCTCTCCACACCAGGACAGAATGCCATGTTGGCACTCCCTACACGTGGCGCCCTCTTCCCCAAACCGCCTTGCCGGCCCGGCAGTCTCAAGTGCCTCGCCGTGACGCCGTACCTCTCGGGCATAACTGTCACGCTGACACCAGAACGCCATACCTGCAGGCGTGTGAGGAGGCGCACGCGCAGAGAAGCCTGGGAGCGAACGGAGAGCGACGTGGGACAAACGTCATCAAGGGCGCTTGTCTGCGCAGAAGCAGGAGGGTAAGGAATGGAATGCGGTTTGGATAAATTTACTGAAAACGCGAATTGCATATTTGCTGGGTTGTTTAACGACTGTTCTAAGGCTTTACAAAGGACAAGACCAGGAGGAAAAAAACAAACAAACAAAAACAAAAAAACGCGACCTGGACAAGGCACGTGGTTTAGTGAGCCCCTTGGGGCCCCAGGGATGTAAGTATTCTGGCTGCGGAATCCCAGCGCATAGAGGCGGGGACGGGACTGGCATGGTTACTGAGCAGCACTGCCCAGTAGAAATAGAAAGCAAGGAGCTGGGGGAGGTGGCTCACGCCTGTAATCCCAGCATTTTGGGAGGTCGAGGCGGGTGGATCACCTCAGGCCAGGAGTTCGAGACCAGCCTGGCCAACATAGCGAAACTCCGTCTCTACTAAAAATACAAAAATTAGCCGGGCGTGGTGGCGGGCGCCTGTAATCCCAGCTACCCGGGAGGCTGAGGCAGGAGAATCGCTGGAACCCGGGAGGCGGGGTTGCAGTGAGCAGAGATTGCACCACTGCACTCCAGCCTGGGCGACAGAGCGAGACTCCGTCTCAATTAAAAAAAAAAAAAAAAAAAAAAAAAAAGGCCGAGCGCGGTGACTCACGCCTGTAATCCCAGCACTTTGGGAGGCCGAGGCGGGCGGATCACGAGGTCAGGATATCGAGACCATCCTGACTAACGCGGTGAAATCCCGTCTCTACTAAAAATACAAAAAATTAGCCGGGCGTGGTGGCGGACGCCTGTAGTCCCAGCTACTCCGGAGGCTGAGGCAGGAGAATGGCGTGAACCTGGGAGGCGGAGCTTGCAGTGAGCCGAGATCGCACCATTGCACTCCAGCCTGGGCGACAGAGCGAGACTCCGTCTCAAAAAAAAAAAAAAAAAAAAAAAAGAAGAACAATTTGGCCAGCGTGGCCAACATGGTGAAACCCTGTTTCTACTAAAAACACAAAAACATTAGCCAGGCGTGGTGGCACACGCCTATATAATCCCAGCTACACGGGAGGCTGAGGCAGGAGAATCACTTTAACCCGAGAGGAGGAGGTTGCAGTGAGCCGAAATCGTACCACTGCACTCCAGCCTGGGTAACCCAGCGAGACTACGTCTCAAGAAAATTACATTACATTACATTAAAATAGTTTGGGCCAGACACAGTGGCTCACATCTGTAATCCCAGCAGTTTGGGAGGCCGAGGTGCCTGGATCAGCTGAGGCCAGAAGTTCGATACCAGCCTGGCCAACATGGCAAAACCCTGTGTCTACTAAAAATACAAAAATTAGCTCGGTGTGGTGGCGGGCACCTACAGGCTGGGATTACATCCCAGCTTCTAAGGAGGCTGAAGCAGGAGAATCGCTTGAACCTGGCAGGCGGAGGTTGCCGTGAACTGAGATCGCGATACTGCACTCCAGCCTGGCTGACAAAGCGAGACTTCGTCTCAAAAAAAAAAAAAAAAAAAAAAAAAAAAAAAGCAAATTAAACCAGGTGCTAATTTTTATCTTGTCAAATATCTGAAACGATTTAGAGAATGGAACACTCTCATTGTTCGTAGGAGTGAGAATTGGTACAATTTCATCAAAGAGCAACTTGGTAACAGCTATCAAAATGTTTAAATGTATTTTATCTACTCCTTGACCTAGCAATTCTACTTCTAGAAATGTACCCTACAGATATCCTGGCAAAAATATGTAAAGATCCACATTTTTAAATGTTGATTGCAATATTGTTTGCAAATGGTAAAAGACTGCCGGACGCGGTGGCTCATGCCTGTAATCCCGGCACTTTGGGAGGCCGAGGCAGGTGGATCACCTGAGGTCAGGAGTTCTAGACCAGCCTGGCCAACGTGGTAAAACCCCGTCTCTACTAAAAATACAAAAATTAGCTGGGCCTGGTGGCAGGCGCCTGTAATCCCAGCTACTAGGGGAGCCGAGGCAAGAGAATCGCTTGAACCCGGGATGCGGAGGTTGCAGTGAGCTGAGACCACGCCGTCGCATTCCAGCCTGGGGGACAAGAGCGAGACTTCGTCTCAAAAAAAAAGAATATGGTAAAAGACTAACGACCTACGTGTCCCTCAATAAAGAACCTGTGAAATTATGAAAAATACATTCAATGGAATACCATATAGCCATGAAAAAAATGAGTTAGATCTATATGTTCTGACTTGTAAAGATCTCCAATATATATTAAATGAAAAAGGGCACAATGCAAGATGCGGATGGTATGATTCCAGTTGTGTACACACACAGACACACACAACACATCTGCTAATTAAGTTTTAACATACTGCATGTAAGTAATATATACTATATGTTTATGTTCCATGTTATATATTGTTTTGTATGTTATATAATTATACCTTAGAACTACATAGTATAAAATAAATTATAGGTATTATAGTATTTATAATGCAGTATGGGGCCAGGGATGGTGGCTCAGGCCTGTAATCCCAGCACTTTGGGAGGCCGAGGAAGGAGGCTTAAGGCCAGGAGTTTGAGAGCAGCCTGGGCAACAAGCAAATCTTTACAAAAAAATAGTTTGTCCTAAAGACAAGGTCTTTACATATATATAAAATATATATTATATAATATATAATATAATATATAAAATATATATTATATAATATATAATATAATATATAAAATATATATTATATAATATATAATATAATATATAAAATATATATTATATAATATATAATATAATATATAAAATATATATTATATAATATATAATATAATATATAAAATATATATTATATAATATATAATATAATATATAAAATATATATTATATAATATATAATATAATATATAAAATATATATTATATAATATATAATATAATATATAATATATAAATATATATGTATTTATATATGTAGATATATAATATATAAAATATATATAATATGTATCATATATAATTTATATATTATATATTTTAAATATATAATTTATATATAATATATAAAATTAATATATATAATATATATTTTATATATAAAATTAATATATAATATATATATATTTTATAGAGCGAGACGGAGTTTCGCTCTTGTTGCCCTGGCTGGAGTGCAATGGTGTGATCTCGGCTCACAGCAACCTCCACCTCCTGGATTCAAGCCATTCTCCTGCCTCAGCCTCTGAAGCAGCTGGGATTACAGGCATGAGCCACCACGCCTGACTAATTTTGTATTTTTAGTGGAGACAGGGTTTCTCCATGTTGGTCAGGCTGGTCTCGAACTCCTGACCTCAGGTGATCCACCCACCTCAGCCTCCCAAAGTGTTGGGATTACAAGCATAAGCCACCGCACCTAGCCTACAAAAATATTTTTTAACTTAGTCAGCTGTAGTGTAGTCCTAGCTACCCAGGAGGCTGAGGCAGGAGGATTACTTGAGCCCAGGAAGTCAGGGCTCCATGAATAATGAATGTACCACTGTATTCCAGCCTGGGCAACAAAGCAAGACTCTATCTCAAACATAAATAAATAAATAAAGTTTACTTTTAAAGTAAATCCTAATAGTTTACCATGAGTTCAAGAGCAAAGTCTATAGGCAATGCATTTATTTTGTTTAAGTTACAGTCAACTGTACATATTAGGCACTCAAAAAAGTTTATGGACAAATAGAATAGCTGTTGGACAAATAAACATAGACATTAACTAGAGTAACAATCAGTTTTAAAAGTATAAAGAGGGCCGGGTGTGGTGGCTCATACATGTAATCCTAGCACTTTGGGAGGCTGAGGTGGGTGGATTACTTGAGGTCAGGAGTTCGAGACCAGCCTGGCCAACATGGTGAAACCCCATCTCTGCTAAAAATACAAAAATTAGCTGGGCCTGGTGGTGCACATCTGTAGTCCCATCTACTTGGGAGGCTGAGGCAGGAGAATTGCTTGAACCCAGAAGGTGGAGGTTGCAGTGAACAGAGACTGCACCACTGCACTCCAGCCTGGGCGACAGAGCAAGACTCCATCTCGGAAAAAAAAAAAAAAAGTATAAAGAGATTTCTAGAGTGTGCAGGAAGCTGAAGTGGCTGGTTCTAGAGATGACAGAATTAGCTGTAAGAAATCAGAGCACAAATCTGGGCAAGAGGAAGCACCCCAGCTTGGTTACTAGAGGGAGAAGAGGCTTGCCACCAGGAGGAATAAGTACAAGAAGGAAACAGACAGAGAACAGTTCCTAGAGATTTATTATAATCTGTTTCTTCTTTGGCTTTTTGCTTTGCCCCATATGCACACATAGTAGAGATTTCTATAATCTGCATTCTTCTTTGGCTTTTGTTTTGCCACATACACACACATACTCAAATAATCAAGTGGCCTAAACACAGAGATTAGAAACCAATCAGTAAGAAATCAGAAGCCCTACCAGTCTACCCCTCCCCGACCCTGCATCTGATGTGGAGCCATAGTCAAGTGCCTAGGAGGAAGACAAGCTTGAAGGACGACCCTTAATAAAGAGCTTCTAGGAAAGTTCAGAGATCTCAGAAGAACTTGGTGCACAGCCAAAGCGCTGACAAAGGCCTAGGCGCTAGCTTTCTAGAACAACTGGAAAATAGCCACAGCTGCCTTCCCAGCTTTGCGTCACAGAAAGTTAATTACTTGTTGCATCATCAGCACTGTCAGAATCATCCTGGGGGCGGGGGGGAAAAAAGACAAAGCACCTGTAGACCCTGCAAAGCAGGAACATTTGTGTTAACAAATACTGCTTCCTCTCTCCTGTTCTCCAAGTTTCTTTTTGTGATTTCCTAAACCACCCAACTTAGGGGGCTAATATGAAAGGTTTTAACTTACTTTGGATGTTAAGTAAACCAACACTACTTTGTCATACATCATTAGTTTCAGGACTTTTTTTTTTTTTTTTTTTTTTTTTGAGACAGGGTCTTGCTTCATCACCCAGCTGCAGTGCAGTGGCATGATCTCAGCTCAGTGCAACCTCTGCCTCACAGTCTCAAGCGATCCTCCCACCTCAGCCACTTGAGTAGCTGGGATTATAGGCTACTGTGCCTGGCTAATTTTTGTACTTTTGGTAGAGACAGGGTTTTGCCCTGTTGCCCAGGCTGGTCTCAAACTGCTGAGCACAAGTGATCCACCTGCCTTGGCCTCTCAAAGTGCTGGGATTACAGGCGTGAGCCACCACACCCACCCTAGTTTCAGAATTTTAATTAATGCTATTGCTCCTTACAGCTGGGGTAGGTCTTCTCTAGGATGGAGAAACAGAGGGGTAGATGGAAAGCAGGAGGGTCTTGCTAGGGTTTTCTAAAGCCTGGAGAAGAATATTAGCCTTCTTGGGCCAGGCGTGGTGGCTCACGCCTGTAATCCCAATACTTTGGGAGGCCGAGGCGGGTGGATCACCTCAGGCCAGGAGTTCGAGACCAGCCTGGCTAACATGGCAAAACCCTGTCTCTACTAAAAATACAAAAATTAGCTGGGCGTGGTGGCAGGCACCTATATTCCCAGCTACTCAGGAGTCTGAGGCAGGAGAATCTCTTGAACCCAGGAGGCAGAGGTTGCAGTGAGCCAAGATCGGGCCACTGCACTCCAACCTGGGCGAAAGAGTGAAACTCCTCCCCCACCCCCCAAAAAAAGAATATTAGCCCTCTTGGGTCAAACTCAAATTTGGTTAACAGGCACTGAGAACTACTGTGTGCTAGGAACTGGGATAGGAGCTCTCTAGTGGGTTGTTTTTAAGGGCTACAAAGAAACTGAAGGGTTGAGGGGAAGGCTTTACTTACATCCAAATCATCCATGGCAGGTGGAGGTCTCTTGGTGCTGACCTTCTTCAAAAGCTAGTGGGAAGAAAAAATAATCACAAGGGAGAAGGGAGTGAAGGAAGAACAATCTGCACATTGATGGTCCATAGAAGAATGGTTGCAGCCAGAACTGGTCAGGCAACTGCTCCCATCTTTAAAACATCACTGGAATTAATTTGAGAAAAGTAAATTGATCCCCTTCTTAAAAGAAAATTTAACACAAATCCAGATTGGAGTCGGCTAGTGTTTTTATAACTGAAACCAAATAATATAACGACAGTGTGTGATTTACTGGGGGCCAATTATTTATGATGTGAGTTTTTATACTGCTAGTTTTAACATCCCATGAAGTTGTCTGGCTTAACACGCGCACACACACACACACACACACACACACACACACACACACACAGAGGCCGGGTTTGGTGGCTCACATTTGTAATGTGAGCACTTTGGGAGGCTGAGACAGACAGATCACTTGAGGCCAGGAGTTCCAGACCAGCCTGGCCAACATGATGAAACCCCATCTCTACCAAAAATACAAAAAAAAATTAGCCAGGGGTGGTGGCGCATGCCTGTAATCCCAGCTACTCAGGTGGCTGAGGCACAAGAATCACTTGAACCTGGGAAGTGGAGGTTGCAGGGAGCTACTGCACTCCAGCCTGGGAGACAGAGCAAGACTCTGTCTCAAAAAGAAAACCACACACACAGGCCAGGCATGGTGACTTACGCCTGTAATCCCACCACTTGGGAGGGTGAGGCAGGTGGATCACCTGAGGTCAGGAATTTGAGACCAGCCTGGCCAACATGGTGAAACTCCGTCTCTACTAAAAAAATACAAAAATTATCCAGAAGTGGTGGTGGGCACCTGTAATCCCAGCTACTCAGGAGGATGAGACAAAATTGCTTGAACCCAGAGGCAGAGGTTGCAGTGAGCTGAGATCGCGCCATTGCACTCCAGCCTAGGCGACAGAAAACCACACACACACACACACACACAGAAAACAGTAGAACAAGAATTACAGAAAAGTGGAAAAACGTTTTGTCAAACTTCTTCAGAATACAGGCTCTACACTGAATAAGTGAATCAATGTATATAATTTCAATAATATTCTTTCCTCTCATCCCTATTAAATAAACATTGCACAAAATACGTAAAGAATATCAGCATCAATGAGTAACCTGCCTAGAGAGCTTGCATATCTCTGCTTGGCCCCAGTGACAATCCTCCAGAGACATGTGTGCAGAGAAACACAAAGAATGATCAAGTGGGCAGAACACAGTAGGTGTTGTCTCTCACCTCTGCATAATGTTCCACATGAGCCAGCTCCATCTCTTCATCCCCTTCCCAGTCTCTCCAGTTATCAAAGTCCACAGACAGCCACACTGGCTGCAAGAAGAGGCACCAAGAGTCACAGGCCAGGAGGGCAGGAGCAGGAGTGTGTGGGAGAGTGTGGGCATATGCATGGGAGCACGCCTGGGGAAAAGAGGGTCAGTAGGTCCCTAGTCCTCCCAACTGCACTCCTTTGACCAGGAACCTGCCAATCTACACACAAAGCTAGGCATGATAGAGTCTGAAAATCTCAGAAGTCCTACCCTCCGGCCAGGCGTGGTGGCTCATGCCTGTAATCTCAGCACTTTGGAAGGCCGAGGCAGGAGGATCACAAGGTCAGGAGTTCGAGACCAGCCTGGCCAATATGGTGAAACCTCGTCTCTAGTAAAAATACAAAAATTATCCGGGCGTGGTGACGGGCACCTGTAGTCCCAGCTACTCGGGAGGCTGAGGCAGGAGAATTGCTTGAGCCTGGGAGGCGGAGGTCGCAGTGAGCCAAGATCGTGCCACTGCACCCCAGCCTGGGTGACAGAGCAAGACTGCATCTCAAAAAAAAAAAAAAAAAAAAAAAGAAGTCCCACCCTCCAGGAGCCGATTGACTGAGGAGACAACACATCTGGAAAGATAATTGTATCATAAAGCAACATAGGCATTATGCCCTCTCTCTCTCCCTCTCCCTCTCCCCCTCCCCCTCCCCCTCCCCATGGTCTCCCTCTCTTTCCACGGTCTCCCTCTCATGCGGAGCCGAAGCTGGACTGTACTGCTGCCATCTCGGCTCACTGCAACCTCCCTGCCTGATTCTCCTGCCTCAGCCTGCCGAGTGCCTGCGATTGCAGGCACGCACCGCCACGCCTGACTGGTTTTGGTGGAGACGGGGTTTCGCTGTGTTGGCTGGGCCGGTCTCCAGCCCCTAACCGCGAGTGATCCGCCAGCCTCGGCCTCCCGAGGTGCCGGGATTGCAGACGGAGTCTCGTTCACTCAGTGCTCAATGGTGCCCAGGCTGGAGTGCAGTGGCATGATCTCGGCTCGCTACAACCTACACCTCCCAGCCGCCTGCCTTGGCCTCCCAAAGTGCTGAGATTGCAGCCTCTGCCCGGCCGCCACCCCGTCTGGGAAGTGAGGAGTGTCTCTGCCTGGCCGCCCATCGTCTGGGATGTGAGGAGCCCCTCTGCCTGGCTGCCCAGTCTGGAAAGTGAGGAGCGTCTCCGCCCGGCCGCCATCCCATCTAGGAAGTGAGGAGCGCCTCTTCCCGGCCGCCATCACATCTAGGAAGTGATGAGCGTCTCTGCCCGGCCACCCATCGTCTGAGATGTGGGGAGCACCTCTGCCCCGCTGCCCCATCTGGGATGTGAGGAGCGCCTCTGCCCGGCCGCGACCCCGTCTGGGAGGTGAGGAGCGTCTCTGCCCGGCCGCCCCGTCTGAGAAGTGAGGAGACCCTCTGCCTGGCAACCACCCCGTCTGAGAAGTGAGGAGCCTCTCCGCCCGGCAGCCACCCCATCTGGGAAGTGAGGAGCGTCTCTGCCCAGCAGCCACCCCATCCGGGAGGGAGGTGGGGGGGGGTCAGCCCCCCGCCCGGCCAGCCGCCCCGTCCGGGAGGGAGGTGGGGGGGTCAGCCCCCCGCCCGGCCAGCCGCCCCGTCCGGGAGGTGAGGGGCGCCTCTGCCCGGCGGCCCCTACTGGGAAGTGAAGAGCCCCTCCGCCCGGCCAGCCGCCCCGTCCGGGAGGGAAGTGGGGGGGGTCAGCCCCCTGCCCGGCCAGCCGCCCCGTCCGGGAGGTGAGGGGCGCCTCTGCCCGGCCGCCCCTACTGGGAAGTGAGGAGCCCCTCTGCCTGGCCACCACCCCGTCTGGGAGGTGTGCCCAACAGCTCACTGAGAACGGGCCAGGATGACAATGGCGGCTTTGTGGAATAGAAAGGCGGAAAAGGTGGGGAAAAGATTGAGAAATCGGATGGTTGCCGTGTCTGTGTAGAAAGAAGTAGACATGGGAGACTTTTCATTTTGTTCTGCACTAAGAAAAATTCTTCTGCCTTGGGATCCTGTTGATCTGTGACCTTACCCCCAACCCTGTGCTCTCTGAAACATGTGCTGTGTCCACTCAGGGTTAAATGGGTTAAGGGCGGTGCAAGATGTGCTTTGTTAAACAGATGCTTGAAGGCAGCATGCTCGTTAAGAGTCATCACCACTCCCTAATCTCAAGTAATCAGGGACACAAACACTGCGGAAGGCCGCAGGGTCCTCTGCCTAGGAAAACCAGAGACCTTTGTTCACTTGTTTATCTGCTGACCTTCCCTCCACTATTGTCCCATGACCCTGCCAAATCCCCCTCTGTGAGAAACACCCAAGAATTATCAATAAAAAAATAAATTAAAAAAAAATAAAAATAAAAATAAAAAAAAATAAAGCAACATAGGAGTCAACCAATAAGACAGACAAGCTGCAGCCAGGCGCAGTGGCTCACACAACCTGTAATCCCAGCACTCTGCGGGGCCAGGGTGGGTGGATCACCTGAGGTCAGGAGTTCGAGACCAGCCTGGCCAACATGGTAAAACCCCATCTCTACTAAAAATACAAAATTAGCTGGGCATGGTGGCACATGCTTCTAGTCCCAGCTACTTGGGAGGCTGAGGCAGGAAAATTGCTTGAACCTGGCAGGTGGAAGCTGCAGTAAGCTGAGATCGCGCCACTGCACCCCAGCCTGGGCAACAAGAGTGGAACTCTGTCTCGAAAAAAAAAAAAAAAAAGACAAGCTGCATTCCATGGAGTCAGAGACAGCCCTTCAAGGTCCATGTTCCAAAGTTTCCACATTTATACAGGGAAGAAGTTATTCACTCCTTCATTCAAAAGATATTTATTGGCCAGGTGCAGTGGCTAACATCTGTAATCCCAGCATTTTGGGAGGCTGAGGCAGGTGGATCACTTGACGTCAGGAGTTTGAGACCAGCCTGGCCAACATGGTGAAACCCCATCTCTACTAAAAATACAGAAATTAGCTGGGAATGCTGGTGGGCACTTGTAATCCCATCTACTCAGGAGACTAACGCAGGAGGATTACTGGAACCCGGAAGGTGGAGGTTGCAGTGAGTCGAGATCACGCCACTGTACTCCAACCTGGGCGATGGAGTGAGACTCTGTCTCAAAAAAAAAAAAAAAAAAATTTATTGAACACATACTATGGACAGACTCTCAGCTTGGCACTGGGTTTATAAAAATGTTCTGGCCGGGCGCAGTGGCTATCACTTATAATCACAGCACTTTGGGAGGCCAAGGCACATCAATTGCTTGAGCCCAGGGGTTCGAGACCAGCCTAGGGCAACATGGCAAAACCCCATCTCTACAAAAAATACAAAAATTAGCCAGGCATGGTGGCACACTTCTGTTGTTCCACCTACTCAAGAGGCTAAGGTGAGAGGATTGCTTGAGCCCAGAAGGGCAACGCTGCTGTGAACCTTGATTATGCCACTGTACTCCAGCCTGAGTAACAGTACGACATCCTGTCTCAAAAAAAAAAAAAAAAAAAAAGGTCAACACACTGTCCCAGCCACTTGGAAGCAAGCTGGGGAGGGAGATATAAATAAAGCACTATAATACAGTGTGAAAAGTGTGGTGGTGGAGTTATATAGGGGACATCATGGGAACCCCAAAAGGAGTCACAAGAACCCAGGTTTCTGGAGTGGCAGGGCTTTGAAGGATGCACAGGGATTGGGTGGGTGAAGGTAGTAATGATGGTAACTTTTCAGGAAGAAGGCATACCTTGAGCAAAGGTACAGAGGTGAGAAACAGCCTGGTTTTTGCAAAACAAACAAAACACAACAGTCTGCTGTGGCTAGAAGATAAAGCTTGGGGCAGAGAGTGTGGGATGTGCTAGTGTGTTATGTAACGGATCTCAACCTAAAGGGCAGGAAATCAAACGCTCAAATACCCAAGAGAGTCAGGGAGGTAATGAAAAGGAGCAAGTGAGGTGAAGTACATGATCCACTGAAAACTTCAACTCTAGGCATCTGGGGATGTGTATCAGTGGGGCTAGATTCTCTCATTTTTCTTTTTCTTTTTTCTTTCTGAGACAGAGTCTCACTCTGTCATCCAGGCTAGAGTGCAGTGGGGTGATCTCGGCTGACTGCAACCTCTGCCTCCCGGGTTCAAGCAATTCTCCTGCCTCAGCCTCCGGAGCAGCTGGGATTACAGGCACGTGCTACCGCGCTCTGCTAACTTTCGTATTTTTAGTAGAGACGGGGTTTCACCACGTCGGCCAGGCTGGTCTCAAATTCCCCACCTTGTGATCTGCCTGCCTCGGCCTTCCAAAGTGCTGGGATTACAGTCACGAGCCACCGAACCTGGCTCCCCGTTTTATTTATTTATTTTTTTTGAAATGGAGTCTCACTCTATTGCACAGGCAGGAGTGCAGTGGTGAGCTCTTGGCTCACTGCAACCTCTGCCTCCCGGGTTCAAGCAATTCTCCCGCCTCAGCCTCCCGAGTAGCTGGCACTACAGGCTCGCACCACCACGCCCAGCTCATTTTTTGTATTTTTAGTAGAGATGGGGTTTTGCCATGTTGGCCAGGCTGGTCTTGAACTCCTGACCTAAATCAATCCATCCACCTCAGCCTCCCAAAGTGCTGGGATTGTGAGCCACCTCTCTCAGCCTCCCATTTTTCAACAGAAGCTTATAGTCTGGATTTTTAGAAGATGCACATTTTTAAATGTCAGCAACTAATAAAAATTTTTTAATGTCAGTAACAAGTCAAAATAATTTCTTTTTTTTTGAGACGTTGTCTCGCTCTGTCGCCCAGGCTGGAATGCAGTGGCACGATCTCAGCTCACTGCAACCTCCACTTCCCAGGTTCAAGCGATTATTCTGCCTCAGCCTCCTGAATAGCTAGGACTACAGACATGCGCCACCACACCCAGCTAATTTTTTGTATTTTTAGTAGAGACGGCGTTTCACTATGTTGTCTGGGCTGGTCTCCAACTCCTGACCTCAAGCAATCTGCCTGCCTCGGCCTCCTACAGTGCTGGGATTACAGGCGTGAGCCACCACACCCGGCCTTAAAATAATTTTTGACACTGTAAAGATTAAAACAAATCTGAGAGCCAGATCCAGCCATCAGGCAGTCAGTTTTCAACCTTTAAGGAGGAGACGACTTTGGAGGGCCTTAAGTGGGGGAGCATCAGGGTCAAATGTGTGTTTTAGACAGACCATGCTGAGGGCAATGCAGAGAATGGATTGAAAATGGAACTGAAAATATGCAACAAACTTCTCACTGTATGCTGGTGAGGCTTGAACTAGGAAGAAATTAAGTAGTGAATTCATTAATATTTAAGAGGTCAGTAGAGCCTGGTTGTAAGCCACTACTAGAAAGAATAAGAGTCATCAGGGCTAGGTGTGGTGGCTCATGCCTGTAATTCCAGCACCCTGGGAGGCTGAGGCAGGCAGATCACCTGAGGTCTGAAGTTCGAGACCAGCCTAGTCAACATGGCAAAACCCCATCTCTACTAAAAATACAAAAAATTACCAGGTGCGGTGGCTTACACCTGTAATCCCAGCACTTTGGGAGGCCGAGGCGAGCAGATCACCTGAGGTCAGGAGTTCAAGAGCAGCCGGGCCAACATGGTGAAACCCTGTCTCTATTAAAAATACAAAAATTAGCTGGGCATGGTGGTGGGCACCTGTAATCCCAGCTACTCAGGAGGCTGAGGAAGGAGAATCACTTGAACCCAGGAGACAGAGGTTGCAGTGAGCTGAGATCACGCCACTGCACTCCAGCCTGGGTGACAGAGTGAGACTCTATCTCAAAAAAAAAAAAATACAAAAATACAAAAATTAGCCGGGCGTGGTGGCACACGCCTGTAATCCCAGCTACTCAGGAGGCTGATGAAGGAGAATCGCTTGAACCCAGGAGGCGGAGGTTGCAGTGAGCCGAGATGGCGCCATTGCACTCCAGCCTGGGCAACAAGAGAGAAACTCTGTCTCAAAAAAAAAAAAAAGAAAAGAAGAAAAAGAAAGAAAGAGAGAGAGGGGGAGGGAGGAAGGGAGGGAGAGAGAGAGAGAGAAAGAAAGAAAAGAAAGAAAGAAAGAAAGAAAAGAAAGAATAAGACTCATCAATTAATTTCTACAGTGGAAACTACTTCTGGGACTGGAATATAGAAAACAAGAATTGGCAGAGGCCGGGTGCAGTGGCTCACAGCTGTAATCCCAGCACTTTAGGAGGCCGATGCAGGTGGATCACCTGTGGTCAGGAGTTTGAGACCAGCCTGGCCAACATGTTGAAACACTGTCTCTACTAAAAATACAAAATTAGCTGGGTGTGGTGGCACATGCCTGTAATCACAGCTACTCGGGAGACTGAGGCAGGAGAATCGCTTGAATCTGGGAGGCGGAGGTGTAGTGAGCTGCGATCATGCCATTGCACT
Source organism: Homo sapiens (assembly GCF_000001405.40). Classification (NCBI taxonomy): domain Eukaryota; kingdom Metazoa; phylum Chordata; class Mammalia; order Primates; family Hominidae; genus Homo; species Homo sapiens. The sequence continues at coordinate 42,978,045 of NC_000017.11, forward strand.
CCAGCCTGGGCAACAAGAGCGAAACTCCGAATCAAAAAAAAAAAAAAAAAAAAAAACAGAAAGAAAAAAGAAAAAGAAATGGCTGGGCACATTGGCTCACGCCTGTAATCCTAGCAGTTTGGGAGGCTGAGGCGGGTAGACCACCTGAGGTCAGGAATTCAAGACCAGCCTGACCAATATGGTGAAACCCCGTCTCTACTAAAAATACAAAAATTAGCCAGGCGTGGGGGCACAAGCCAGTAATCCCAGCTACTCAGGAGGCTGAGGAAGGAGAATCGCTTGAACCCGGGAAGTGGATGTTGCAGTGGGCCAAGATCGCGCCACTGCACTCCAGCCTGTGCTACGGGAGTGAGAATCCATCTCACACAAACACACACACAAAAAGAATCAAAGGTTTTGATTGTGAGTTGCAGTAAAGGGAAAGACCATGTTCATAGCAGTGCCAATATCTGAAGTGGAGTCTTACACATTTCATCACCTACAACGAAAGTAAGTTAACTGGGAGAGATTACCAAGAGAGTAAAAAGAGACTCAGGACAAATAGCTAATGTATGCAGGACTTAAAACCTGCATGACGGGTTGATAGATGCAGCAAACCACCATGGCACACGTATACCTATGTAACAAACCTGCATGTTCTGCACATGTATCCCAGAACTTTAAGTTAAAAAATAAGCCAGGCGCGGTGGCTCACGCCTGTAATCCCAGCACTTTGGGAGGCCGAGGCGGGCAGATCACCTGAAGTCGGGAGTTCGAGACCAGCCTGAGCAACAAGGAGAAACCCCATCTCTACTAAAAATACAAAATTAGCTGGGCGTGGTGGTGCATGCCTGTAATCCCAGCTACCCAGGAGGCTGAGGCAGGAGAATTGCTTGAACCCGGGAGGCGGAGGCCATGGTGAGCTGAGATCACGCCACTGCACTCCAGCCTGGGCAACAAGAGTGAAACTCCGTCTCAAAATAAATAAATAAATAAAAATAAAAAGAGAGACTAATACAGTTGGAAAAAAAAGATTAGGCAGGACTTGTTGAGTGATTGAATATTGGCTGGAAAGGAGGCAAGGACAATCCCAGCTGTAACCTGGGTACATGGAGAGAAGAAGCAGGCCACTTTCCACACACCCACCTTGATATCCTCCTTGGTAAGCCGCGGCCAGGCCACCTTTTCCTTCCATTTTCTCACAAAACAAGTAATAGAGCGGGAAGAGCGCTTATCCTGGGAGTCCTGCCAGATAGAGAGCCTCATTCTTAGGGTCTGGGGTTTAGAATTAATCTCCAGTTTCCCTGGGCAGCCCGGTTTCCATCCAAACCTTACTGTCCCATTTCACCCTTACCTTGGAGTTCACTTTGGCATAGAACTCAATCTCATTGTACAACTCCACTCCATCGGCATTCTTGCAGCTGAGGAGACAATGAAGCTGAGGAGATGCGGAATACTCCGTGTGGGGACATTAGGAAAGGGGTAGATTCCTGGGAAGCCAGGCCCTCGGACGGCAGGGCCACTACCTGAACACAATGCGGTGATCCTCAATAAGCACGTGGACATCGGTGCTGTCCTCAACACAAAACTCCATGAACACATACCTGGGCCTGTCGTACCACAAGGTCCGGGCGTGCTGCCTGAAGAGAAGTTGAGGTGTGGCTTCATAGGGGTGGGAGAGGGAAGACTGAGGTCATTTGGGAAGGGACTACCCAGGGACCTTTGATGCCACAGTTTTTTCAAAGTGGAGCTAAATGAGACAGAAGGGGTGAAAGGGAAGGGAATGACAGGAGTGGGTGGGTGTGGTGAATGTGAACCTGGGAAGAATAGAACGTGCAAGACTAGGAAACTAGGAGGTCAGGGAGAACATTCAGGTCACACCTTCCCTCACCCCACAGTTACAGAGACCAGGGGTCCGGGGCTCCCGTGGGGCCTCACAGAACCTGGAGCGCCCAGAAGACTTGGAGCAGGGAATCTCCAGGGAAAAGGGCCAGGGGGAGCACCGGAGCCGGAAACACTCACCGTGCCATTGCGGCTCCCGCTCCAGGGTGGCATTTAGAGTTCCAGGCAGGGGCCGCTATCTTTAGATCCTGGGGACGCCCCCAGCAGCTGCCTCTCCTTATATGGTCGGGAGAGCAGTTGAGAGGAAGAGAGAACATGACCTGGCAGCCAAGGGATCTGCACTCTGGAGATACTCTGGGACAGCTTCATCCTTGCAGCCCTTCACCGTGGGGTCTTCAGAAATGCATAGACTATGAAGAGACAACCCATCTGCTGGAACCAGGGCAAAGGCTGCCCTAGACGCTACACACAGGGAATGACTTTTCCCCGGTATCATTCACCTGTTTCTCCGACGCTTACTGCTCAGTGTCTGATTCACAATAGGCGCTCAATAAAACATTATTGTCCTGAATTAAATTCCCGGGGAAGGCGCGCCCTCGGGGACTTGGGTACTTCAGGCCCCGCCCACCACTCCCCTGGGGTTCCAGGCCACCGCGCCGTTGCCATGGCAGCAGGGGGGCGCGGCTGACGTGCGGTGGTGTTTCCGGGAAGATGGCGGCTGTCGAAGCGGCTGCAGAGCCGGTAACGGTGGTGGCGGCTGTTGGGCCAAAGGCGAAAGACGAAGAGGAGGAGGAAGAGGAGCCGCTGCCACCGTGCGAGGCGGTGCGCTGGGCCCCAGTGGGGGCGGTGGCGGAGGCCCGGCCTGGGGCAACCGCGTTTTTAGAAGAGGCGACGGCCGAGGAGCCTGGCGCGGCCCCGGGCTCCCCGCCGGATTCGCCGGGCCGGACGCTGCGGCGGCTGCGGGCAGAGCGGCGGCGGCTGGACTCGGCGCTGCTGGCGCTGTCCTCGCACTTCGCGCAGGTGCAGTTCCGCCTGCGCCAGGTGGTGCGCGGGGCGCCGGCGGAGCAGCAGCGCCTTCTGCGGGAGCTCGAAGACTTCGCCTTCCGCGGCTGCCCTCACGTCCTAGGTTACGAAGGGCCCGGCGACCCCGCCAGCGATGAGGGCGATGGGCTGCCAGGGGACCGGCCATGGTTGCGGGGCGAGGACCAGGTGAGTGGCTGGAGCCGGGCCGCGAGGAATATGGGAATAGTGGGGTCGTGTGGGTGGCGATCCAGACCCGGATGATGGTGCATGCGGGGAGAAGCCTCCCCGACTCGGTCGGTGAGTACGTGTGTCGGAGACCAGGGGACTGGAGTGCGGGGCCGGCTGAAGGGCAAGAGGACAGAGGCCTGGGAACCTGAGGGTGAGCGGTGTGCACGGAGGATGTGGAGAGATGTCGGTGCGTGATGACGTGAGTGGTAGAGGAGCGGTGAGCGAAGTGAGTCGTTGAGAGGGCAGCAGAGCAGCCAAGAGCAGTGCTGCGCCCACTCACCTTTCCCTCACGTATCTCAGTCTTGAACACTTTGGCTGCTAGAGGACCCCGACTCTGGGGATTGGGAAAATTGGCAAAGGAAAGGAAAGTGAGTTGGAATCCGTGGAAATTTAGGTTAACTCCCTGTCCCTGCTTTCCTGAAATCTAGGCAGTCTTTACACTTCTTTGGGTGGGAGTTTGGATTAACAGCAGGGTCTCTTAGTAACTGAAATAAACACAACTCTTGATTAGATAAATTTCCTAATGTTGGAATTTTTCCTTTTTAAGAGACGGGAGGGTCTTGGTATGTTGCCCAGGCTGGTCTCGAACTCCTGGTCTCAAGCCATCCTCCCGCCTCAGCCTCAGGACTACAGGCGTGTGCCACCGTGCAGGCTATAATGTTGAAATTTTTAAACTCTTCCTCCATCCTGCTTAATCATTAGGCATTCTGAATGAGGTCCTCTGATAACTGACAAGATCGATTCAGTGTGCCTACCCCAGAAGTAGTGAAACTATGTATAAGACACCAGGTAAACGTTTCCTTACAAGCTTTGCATCTCTGGAAGTGCACAAAGTGCTGGCTTTATTGGAAGTGTTGAGGTACACTGCCTTTTCACTTTTTTTTTTTGAGACAGAGTCTCACTCTGTCACCTAGGCCAGACTGCATTGGCGCAATTTCTGCTTACTGCAACCTCTGCCTCCTGGGCTCAAGCAATCCTCCTGCCTCAGCTTCCCCAGTATCTGGGACTACAGGTGTGTGCCACCACACCCAGTTAATTTTGTTTATTTTTTGTTGAGGCGGGGTTTCACCACATTGCCCAGGCTGGTCTCGAACTCCTGAGCTCAAGCGATCTGCCCTCCTCAGCCTACCAAAGTGCTGGGATTAGAGAAGTGAGCCACCATGCCCCATCCCTTTTCACCATTTTATTCTTCAAACTACAATCTACATGTGGCTTTCTTCCCACTTACATTGGTTTTAGCCAAGAAGATTTATCAAGCAGATAATGATTTGTTTATTTTAGTCTGAACTGTTTCCAGTGCAATCCTGTGTTTACTGTTCCACCCTTCTCCACATACCTGCAACTCCTTACACAAGGAGCAGCCACCTCAAACTGTCAGATTTAAGGGCTAGAAAGGGGTGGACAGCACCAAAGGTTCTACATGATAGGAAACTCTGTTGTTCATTTTCACCTTTAGAAACAGTAGGCCAACCCCATTTTCCATGATGTGATTATGACACATTGCATGCCTGTAGCAACATTTCATGTACCCCATAAATATATACACATACTATGTACCCATAAAAATTAAAAACTAGCCCAGCGCAGTGGCTCACGCCTGTAATCCTAGCACTTTGGGAGGCCAAGGCGGGCGGATCACCTGAGGTTGGGAGTTCGAGACCAGCCTGACCAACATGATGAAACCCCGTCTCTACTAAAAATACAAAAAAAAAAAAAAAAAACTAGCCAGACATGGTGGCACATTCCTGTAATCCCAGCTACTCGGGAGGCTGAGGCAGGAGAATCGCTTGAACCTGGGAGGCAGAGGTTGCGGTGAGCCAAGATCGTGCCATCGCACCCCAGCCTGGGGCAACAAGAGTGAAACTCTGTCTCAAAAAAAAACACACAAAAAATTAAAAACTGAAAAAAAAAAAAAGACTGTGTGCAGTGGCTCATGACTGTAATCCCAACACTTGGGGAGGCGAAGGCTGGAGGAGGATCACTTGAGCCCAGGAGTTGGAGGCTGCAGAGAGCTATGATCATACCGCTGCACTCCAGCCTGAGTAACAGAGCAAGACCCTGTCTCAAAAAAAAAAGGCAAAAGAAACATTGTACCACCTTAAAAAAAAAAAAAAAAAGTAGTGCTCAATCCACCTACAAGTTGTAATCTTGTATTTATACATTGAATACATTGACAGGTGAACAGGTAGGACCAGAGTAGGGAATATCATTGAACTGAATGATTTACTTCTTACCACTTACCTTTTTTTTTCTTTTTCCTTTTTTTTTTTTTTTTTTTTGAGACAGAGTCTCACTCTGTTGCCAGGCTAGAGTGCACTGGCATGATCAGGACTCACTGCAGCCTTGACTCCCAGGCTCAGTAGATCCTCCTACCTCAGCCTCTCGAGTAACTGGGACCACAGGCGAGCATCACCATGCTCAGCTAGTTTTTGTATTTGTAGAGATGAGGTTTCACCATATTGCCCAGGCTGGTCTTGAACTCCTGGGCTCAAGCAAGCCACCCACCTTGGCCACCCAAAGTGCTGGATTACAGGCATGAACCACTGTACCCCGCCAATTTTTTTTTTTTTCTTGAGACAGAGTCTCACTCTGTCGCCCAGGCTGGAATGCAGTGGCACCATCTTGGCTCACAGCAACCTCCGCCTCCTGGGTTCAAGCGATTCTCCTGCCTCAGCTTCCCAAGTAGCTGGGACTACAGGTGCCCGTCACCACGCCTGGCTAATTTTTGTATTTTTAGTAGAGATGGGGTTTTGCCATGTCGGCCAGGCTGGTCTCGAACTCCTGGCCTCGAACGCCTGACCTCATAATCTGTCCGACTCGGCCTCCCAAAGTGCTGGGATTATAGGTGTGAGCCACCGTGCCCGGCCCTAAATTTTTATTTTCCACTCTGTTGCCCAGGCTGGTGTGCAGCAGCATGATCACAACTCACTGCATCCTCAACCTCCTGGGCTCAATCCATCCTCCCAGCTCAGCCTCCCAAGTAGCTGGGACCACAGGCGCACACTACCATGACTAGCTAATTAAAAAATATATTTTTTCTGTAGAGGTGGGGCTCTCCCTATGTTGCTCAGCTGGTCTCTGACTCCTGGGCTCAAGCCACCCTCCCACCTTAGCCTCCCTAAGTGCTGGGATTACAGGCATGAGCCACTGCACCTGGCCCCCAGTTTTTTTTTTTTTTTTTTGAGACAGAGTCTGGCCCTGTCACCCAGGCTGGAGTGCAGTAGCATGATCTCAGCTCACTGCAACCTCCACCTCCTAGGTTCAAGCTGTTCTGCTGCCTCAGCCTCCCTAGTAGCTGGGACTGCAGGCATGTGCCACTATCCCCGGCTAAATTTTGTATTTTGAGTAGAGACAGGGTTTTGCCATGTTGGCCAGGCTGGTCTCGAACTCCTGACCTCAAGTGATCCACCCACCTCAACCCCAAATATTTTAAACCAATATTTTCTCTTATCTTACTTCATACTGGAAATGATTTATGTTATTTCCTGCTTTGCACCAGAGCTCATTGTTCTCTCTTGTTTGCCCACACTCCAGCAAATAGCATATCGTAGCTACCATGGCAAGTGACAGAGTTCAACAGACTTGGTCATGAAAATGGAATCAAAATTTATGGCTGATTTCTTTCTTCCCTGACATAAAGTTGGGTAACAGTGAGAACAAAAACAAAAGACTTTTCCACAGTTCTTTCTCCTTAGGCTGGTTAGACAACTTTCTCCACTCAGAGTTCATTATTTGGAATTTGTCATTCTTTTCTTTTTCTTTTTCTTTCTTTCTTTTTTTTTTTTTTTTTTTTTTTGGACACAGAGTCTTGCTGTGACACCCAGGCTGGAGTGCAATGCTGCGGTCTTGGCTCACTCCAACCTCCGCCTCCTGGGTTCAAGCCATTCTCCTGCCTCAGCCTCCCAAGTAGCTAGGATTACAGGCACGTGCCACCACACTGGGCTAGTTTTTGTAGAGACGGGGTTCCACCATGTTGGCCAGGCTGGTCTCGAACTCCTGACCTCAGGTGATCTGCCTGCTTTGGCCTCCCAAAGTGCTGGGATTACAGGCATGAGCCACTGCGTTCGGCCATACTTTCCTTAATTCAGTTCAGTAACATACAACAAATGCATGTTGAGAACTTATCTTGTGCCAGACACTGTGCCTGGCATTTGTGGTTCAAAGTCAAAACCTTTGTCCTTAAGGAGTTCATAGACTAGAAGAGACAGAATCCTAAACAAATAATGTGATATGAGCTAGACTAGAAGTGTGAACAACCTCTAGAGGAAATGTTTAGTTATGCCTGGGGAAATCAGGAAGCCTCTTAAAGGAGAACTAGGCCTTCACCAAATGGGGAAGTGGGATAGGGTTCTAACAGTATGCAACTGCGCTCTGAAAGGATTACAGAGGGACTGCCCTGAGAAAAGGCTTGCTTTCATGTTGAGCAAAGTTAAAGCAAGAGGATTGCATTTTAAATACTTAAACAAAAAGTTAATTTGTTGTTTTCTTTTTTTTTTTTTTTTCATTTCTTCTCTCTCATTACTTACTTCTTCAGGGCTTGGTAAGTACCGTTTTAAGGTTAAATGTAATACGCTGTAGACTTCTAGTTTAAGACGCAGCCTTGCCCCTACAAATGATTTGCTGGTTTTGCTTTTTGTTTTTGAGACTCAAGAAAGACAAGGAAGAACCAGTGTTTGAGAATACGTTGACAAGACTTTACCACCCTGAAGCATTTTTATTAGTTGAAATGCAGAAACTACTGGTGGCCAACAGTTGAAAAAGGAGTCACTAGTCAGCAAAACTTACAGATACTTTTTTTTAAAAACGTTGTTACCTTCACATCCCCATTATGTGGCTTTTGGTTTTTTTTCACTGGCCTAGGCACTTGCCTTTTACTCTTTTGTTTTTGGTTTTGGTTTTTTGAGACAGAGTCTTGCCCTATTGCCCAGGCTGGAGTGCAGTGGTGAAAACAAAGCTCAATGCAGCCTCAACCTCCTAGACTCAAGCCATCATCTTGTCCCAGCCTCTTGTGTGACTGGGACCACCATGCCACCACGCCTGGCTAATTTTTTTTTTCTTTGAGACAGGGTCTTGTGAAGCCTTGACCTCTTGTGCTTAAGCAATCCTCCCGCCTCGGCCACTCAAGTAGCTGGGACTACAGGCATGCACCACCATGCCCAGCTAATTTTTAAAAATTTTTTTGTGGAGATGAAGTCTCACTGTGTTGCCCAGGGTGGTCTCGAACTCCTGGGCTCAAGTGATTCTTTTGCCTTGGCCTCCCAGAGTGCTGCAGTTACAGGCGTGAGACACCACTCCTGGTGCGTTTGATTCTTTTGATTTTTCAGAAGTGGTCTATCGTACATCAAAGGGACTTTGGTGAACCTTAGGAAAGCTGGTTATGAGTTTTTTTCTTTTTTTTTGAGACGGAGTCTCGCTCTGTCACCAAGGCTGGAGTGCAGTGGCGCGATCTCTGCTCACTGCAAGCTCCGCCTCCCGGGTTCACGCCATCCTCCTGCTTCAGCCTCCCAAGTAGCTGGGACTACAGGCGCCCGCCACCACACCCGGCTAATTTTTTTTTTGTATTTTTAGTAGAGACGGGGTTTTACTGTGTTAGCCAGGATGGTCAATCTCCTGACCTCGTGATCCACCCGCCTCGGCCTCCCAAAGTGCTGGGATTACAGGCGTGAGCTACCGGGCCCGGCCAGCTGGTTATGAGTTTTAAAGCCTCTCTCCACACCCTTACCCCAGATTCTTTTGCAAAATTTGGCTGCACAGAGTAATCAGGAGTTGTGTTATGGTAACTGGCTGTGGAGAATGGCATGTCTTAATTCCTGGGAGGCTATCTTGGCTGAGATAGATTGTCTCTACCCTAACTAGACCTTTGGGGGAAAAAAGGCAGTCTTAACAAAAAGCCTCATTGTATTAATATCCTATTTCCAATGAGGGACAGATAGTTTCTTAAAGAAAACACCCATTTGACAAATTGCCTAGGATGAAATAATTATTCTTACTTTTGAATCTATCGTATGAATTGTGTATTTCATTTGGATTATTGGAAACATCTTATATTTTATTGGTCATTACTGGCTCGAGCAGATTCTTAATGTGCCCTGAGTTTCCCTTTGCCTGCATAATAGACCCAATTATTTTCTTGCCTTAGAGTGAGCAGGAAAAGCAAGAGCGTCTGGAAACCCAAAGGGAGAAGCAGAAAGAACTGATACTGCAGCTCAAGACCCAGCTAGATGACCTGGAAACGTTTGCCTATCAAGAGGGCAGTTATGACTCGCTGCCACAGTCCGTGGTGTTGGAAAGACAGCGGGTGAGCAGACCCCAGAGGAACCTCCACCACTGCCCGAGGTTAACTTGTCCCTTCCAGCATTCACAGGGCATCCTCTCTCAGCTCAGTTCTCCTTTGGCCTTACTGAGAATCCCTCTGCTGGCCCAAATCAAAGGGAAATTTTACTGCTATGAGGAACCTTTCTTTGCTCACACATGGAAAACACAGATTCCAAAGTTTTGTAATACGATAATTGAGCTATTTCTTTTTGGTGATTGTAATTAATAATAGAAATAAGAATATAACAATAATTTCTTCATTTGATCACTTAAAAAATTCTACTTGGGCCCATCATACAATGTAATCTAGCTTTTTTGTTTTGTTTTATTTTGTTTTTGAGGTGGAGTTTTGCTCTTGTTGCCCAGGCTGGAGTGCAATGGCACAATCTCAGCTCAACACAGCCTCTGCCTCCTGGGTTCAAGCAATTCTCCTGCCTCAGCCTCCCAAGTAACTGGGATTATAGGCAGGCGCCACCATGCTGGGCTAATTTTGTATTTTCAGGAGAGATGGGGTTTCTCCATGTTGGTCAGGCTGGTCTCGAACTCCCAACCTCAGGTGATCTGCCCACCTTGGCCTCCCAAAGTGCTGGGATTACAGGCGTGAGCCACCGCACCTGGCCGTAATCTAGCTTTTTCCTACTACTCACTACCTTTTGATAAACATGCCAGGAATCCAGACTGACTTTAATACTGTATTTATTTAGGTAAGACCTGGGTAGACAGGTAAATCTCTTGGTAGAGATACAGTTACAACCTCCCCTGCATGTTTCTCTACCCCTGTGCTGTGGCTGTTTTTCTGGCTGGGCTGGAGTTTACGATATCAGATTTTTTTTTTTTTTGAGACAAAGTCTCAGTTTGTCACCCAGGCTGGAGTGCAGTGGCATGATCTTGGCTCACTGCAACCTCCGCCTCCAGGGTTCAAGCAATTCTCCTGCCTCAGCCTCCCGAGTAGTTGAGATTACAGGCATCCACCACCATGGCCAGCTAATTTTTGTATTTTTAGTACAGATGGGATTTCACCATGTTGGCCAGGCTGGTCTTGAGCTCCTGACCTCAAATGATCCACCCGCCTTGGCCTCCCGAAGTGCTGGGGTTACAGATGTGAGCCACCGCACCCAGCCTATTATCAGAATTTTAAATTGTTCCTAATAATGTCACTAGGATATTTTGGCTATAATGCACCTTGATATTTTATAGAGATTTTTCTTTAGTTGCCTACAGTAGGGCAAGAAGGGATAAGAAGGATTAGAAATTAAGAAAAATCAGGCCAGTTGCAGTGGCTCGTGCCTGTAATCCCAATTCTTTGGGAGGCTGAGGTGGGAGGATCTCTTGAGGCCAGAAGTTTGAGGCCAGCCTGAGCAACATAACGAGACCCTGTCTCTACAAAAAATTTAAAAATTAACTAGGTGGTAGCGTGTGTCTATAGTCCCAGCTATGGGGGAGACCGAGGCAGAAGGATTGCTTGAGCACAGGAGTTTGAGGTTACAGTGAGCTACGCTCACATTACTGGACCCTAGCCTGGGTGACTGAGCAAGACCCTGTCTCTTAAAAATCAGTATATATTCTCCTTGAAGCCTTTAGAGCAACTAAATATAAGGCTTGTTGGATCATCAGCCACTTTGGATTTTTCATACTGTTGTTTTCCTGAGTGAAATCTGACTAGCCTGGTAGAAATTTACTGTGAGTGGGAGGATCCATTTTTATCAGAGAACTGAGGGTTCTTTTTACTTTAAAAGTAGAGAGTCTATGTCCTCACCTTGATCAATCAGCAGTTAAGTCATTTACTTTCACAAATTTAGAGGTCTGTTTTTTATTTCCATTTAAGGACAGAAGACATTTTTAGATTCTCCTTCCTAACCCTCTCCCTAAAAATTCCAAAGGGTGTGCTCATTGCTTGTGATCTTGGTAGGTGATCATAGATGAGTTAATAAAGAAACTGGACATGAATCTGAATGAGGACATCAGTTCCCTGTCCACTGAAGAGCTTCGTCAGCGTGTAGATGCAGCAGTGGCTCAGATCGTCAACCCAGCCCGAGTCAAAGAACAGTTGGTTGAGCAACTGAAAACTCAGATCCGAGACCTTGAGATGTTTATCAACTTCATCCAAGGTTAGAGGAGGGGATGGGATGAGAAGGGTGGACAGGTGTCATAATAATTATACTTATTCTAAGTACTAGTAAAAAGGTTCTAATTCTGGTTTTTTGTTCTTTTTTGGGCGGTGGGGACAGTGTCTCTCTCTGTTCCCCTGGCTGGAGTGCAGTGGCACAATCTTGGCTTACTGCAACCGCCGCCTCCCAGATGGAAGCAATTCTTCCGCCTCAGCCTCCTGAGTAGCTCGGATTACAGGCTCCCACCACCCCACCCAGCTAATTTTTGTATTTTTAGTAGAGATGGTGTTTCAGCATGTTGGCCAGGCTGGTCTCGTACTCCTGACCTCAAGTGATCCGCCTGCCTCAGCCTCCCAAAGTACCAGGACTACAGGCATGAGCCACCATGCCCAGCCAAAAGGTGCCAATTCTTGATGTACTATTTAAGAGGCTTGATGGCTTAGTAGGGGAGGCAGCATTGGCAGAGTAGAAAGTGCATGGGTTTCAAAATCAGATAGTTAAAATCTCCACTCTCATACTCATTGGTTTTATGTCCTTGAGCATGTTACTAACTCTTCAGTCTCTCTTGTCATCCATAAAATGATGATTCATGGTTCATTCACTTAGCAAATATTTATTGAGCCAACTACTGTATGCCAGTCCTCATTTTACACAATTAAATAGGACAAGAGTTTGTGAAATTCTTGTTTCTAATAGGCACCATTAAGTATTATTTTTCCTTTAAAGATCTGCCATAAAGGGCTAAATAAGTGTCTCTTCTATAATTTCTGATTCCAGATGAAGTGGGAAGCCCCTTGCAGACAGGTGGTGGACACTGTGAGTGCAAGGCCGGTGGGAAGACAGGAAATGGCTGCAGCAGAACAGGCAGCAGCAGAACGCCTCCAGGAAACAGCAAAAGTAAGTGCAGTTTCCAGAACAGGCAAATCTCTAGAGACAGAAAGTAGATGAGTGGTTGCCTAGGGCTTGGGTGTGTTGAGGAGAAGAGGGGAATGAGAAATGCTGATGGTATGGATTTGCTTTTGGGAAGGATGAAATATTCTAAAATTGATTGCAGTGACAGTTATACAATTCTGAATATACTAAAAACCACTGAATTAAACACCTTAAATGGGTGAATCATATGGTATGTGAATTATATCTCAATACAGCTATTATTAACCAGAAAAAGGAAGTCCAGCTACATCCTGGGTGGCTCTTGCCTTCATGTGAGACCCAGCATGTGGCTCAGACTGATCTCAGCCTGTGATTTGTTGAGTGTAGCTCTGTGCCATCATGGCCTCTCACTGATGAGCCACTGTCTTTTCTAAGCAGCAAAGGCAGAGGATGTGAAGAAAGTCCGGGAGACGGGGCTGCACCTGATGCGGCGAGCGCTGGCCGTGCTCCAGATCTTTGCTGTTAGCCAGTTTGGTTGTGCCACAGGCCAGATCCCTCCAACCCTGTGGCAGAGGGTCCAGGCTGACAGAGACTACTCTCCCTTGCTGAAGAGGCTGGAGGTGTCAGTGGACAGAGTGAAGCAGCTAGCCTTGAGGCAGCAGCCACATGACCATGTCATCACCTCTGCCAACCTCCAGGACCTCTCTCTGGGAGGCAAGGATGAGCTGACTATGGCTGTGCGGAAGGAGCTAACGGTGGCTGTGAGGGACCTGCTGGCCCATGGACTGTATGCCTCCTCCCCAGGGATGAGCCTTGTTATGGCTCCTATTGCTTGTTTGCTGCCAGCCTTCTCCTCGGCCCCAGAGGCCATGCACCCGTGGGAGCTCTTTGTAAAGTACTACCATGCTAAGAACGGCCGTGCTTATGTGGAATCCCCAGCCCGGAAGCTCTCCCAGTCCTTCGCCCTTCCTGTTACGGGAGGCACTGTTGTCACCCCCAAACAGAGCCTACTGACAGCCATCCACATGGTGCTGACAGAGCATGACCCTTTTAAGCGCAGTGCAGACTCAGAATTGAAGGCCTTGGTGTGCATGGCACTGAATGAGCAGCGTCTGGTGTCCTGGGTGAACCTCATCTGCAAGTCCGGGTCACTCATCGAGCCTCACTACCAGCCCTGGAGCTACATGGCACACACAGGCTTTGAGAGTGCCCTCAACCTGCTCAGTCGCCTCAGCAGCCTCAAGTTTAGCCTCCCTGTAGATCTGGCTGTGCGCCAGCTCAAAAACATCAAAGATGCCTTTTGATGAGAGTGCCCTAACCCCAGACAAGCTCCTTGTTCAGTAGGGATAGATGTGCTAGTCTTCTAGCATAGGAGCAAGGAATCAGAGGTGGGGTTAAAGGCATTTTTCCCAGACCCTGCTCAGGCAGTCGGCCAAATGAGTGCAAAGTCTGTTTTCCCCACCAACTTAGCTCTCGGAAAGATGTGCTGGAGGGACCCTCTTGTTAAGAAGGTTCTGCCAGGCCGGGCGCGGTGGCTCACACCTGTAATCCCAGCACTTTGGGAGGCCGAGGCGGGCGGATCACAAGGTCAGGAGTTCGAGACCATCCTGTCTAACACGGTGAAACCCCATCTCTACTAAAAATACAAAAAAATTAGTCGGACATGGTGGCAGGCACCTGTAGTCCCAGCTACTCGGGAGGCTGAGGCAGGAGAATGGCGTGAACCCAGGAGGCGGAGCTTGCAGTGAGCCAAGATCGCGCCACTGCACTCCAGCCTGGGCGACAGAGTGAGACTCCGTCTCAAAAAAAAAAAGAAGGTTGTACCCACAGTATACGTGTGGGCACTTGTGCTTGAGCCTGTATTAAAGGAATCAGGCCAGGCACAGTGGCTCACGCCTGTAATCTCAGCACATTGGGAGGCTGAGGTGGGCGGATCACCTGAGGTCAGGAGTTCAAGACCAGCCTGGCCAACATGGTGAAACCCCATCTCTACTAAAAATACAAAAATTAGCTAGGCGGGGTAGTGCATGCCTGTAATCCCAGCTACTCAGGAGGCTGAGGCCGGAGAATCGCTTGAGCCCGAGAGGTGGAGACTGCAGTAAGCCAAGATCATGCCATTGCACTCCAGCCTGGGCAACACAGGGAGACTCCATCTCAAAAAAAAAAAAAAAAAAAAAAAGACATTCAACTTGAGGCTCCTGTTAGTTAAGCTATCTTCTTTCACTTGAAGCAGGTTTGAGAGGCCTAGGCCAGAATTTAAATTCCTTTTATGAATAGATTTCCCTTTCTTCCTGACCCCAAGGTCAGAGGAGACTATATATTCCATGGCTGCCTCTAAGACTAGGAATAGGAATATCTGAAAACAGCATTTCTAAGGGTGGTAACCACAGGTCGATTTTAATACGAGTCCTTTTTCTTGTAGAGGTAAGTAAAATCTTCCTGACAAGGTAGTCCTCTTTTCATGGCACAGACAATGGGCTTTCTGTTTATGAGGGGTGAGAAGTGATGTTTGTTACTATGTTCTCCAGCAAGTAAACATTCCTCTGCTCACCTCCCAACAAGACTAACAGTCTTTTTAGAAGTAAATATATTCAAGACAAACGAGAAAATCCTGGCTACCCAAGTCGAGTATATACAGGAATACAAATCGGTAACCAGCAGCTGTTCCTCAGGTTGTGACTCACTGAGCACCACTTGTCCTGGAGGCTGGATGATGGAGGACATCTGGTTATAGGTACTGTAGCAGGGATAGGTGCCACAGGAGGATAGGAACTACAGCAGATCGCTGTTTCCAGAACGGGGAGGAGTATCTCATTGTGAAACAGACTCTAGAGTGGTTCTATTTGGTCTTCAGTGTTTTAGCCTCGTTAGTTCATATTTGGCATGCAGCTTGTGGTGAGTACTGTTCTAGGACTGGCCAAAAATGGGCAAAATGTATCACTCCAAACACTACTGATTCAGCATTGTTTTCATGTCTTAAAATTGCCACCTGCACTTTGTTTCTGCACTATTATGTAGTGCATTTTAACTTAAATTTTTTCCAGCAACATGTTACTTATTTAAGATACATTACTGATATTTCATTATAATTAGTTCACCTTCCCTGTGAAACAAGAGAATTGTAAAATGTTGTGGAAAATGATACATATGTGGATGCTAATGAAATCATAGTATTTTGTGTAGCTTCTCTGAAGACCTTAGAGATCTGCAGCTTTGGTTTATAAGTGTTTGGGCCTTATCAGCCCATCTGATCCAGATCAATATTTTTTTGAAAACTGCCTGTATCCTCTGTCCTCTGTTACGGATCATCTCAGCTTTGGTGGTGGTAGTAGGGGTTTTTTGCCTGAAAAAATTCACTAAAAAGTCCCCTTGGCATGACCATCTCCTCCTGCCCACGCCTGTAGTCCCTCCCCACAACAGATGTCATCACACATGCTGCTTTTGGAATGGAGACCTTTTTTTTTTGAGATGGAGTCTCGCTCTGTTGTCCAGGCTGGAGTGCAATGGCGTGATCTCAGCTCACTGCAACCTCCGCCTCCTGGGTTCAAGCGATTCTCCTTCCTTAGCCTTCTGAGTAGCTGGGAGTACCGGCGCCTGCCACCACGCCTGGCTAATGTTTGTATTTTTAATAGAGAGGGTTTCACCACATTTGTCAGGCTAGTCTCGAACTCCTGACCTCAGGTGATCCACCCACTTCAGCCTCCCAAAGTGCTGGGATTATAGGCGTGAGCCACCACACCCAGCCAGGATTGGCACTTTTAAATCCACTTGTCTGGATATCACTTTGGGTGGTAACTGGTATAGCCATATGGCGTAGCCCAGCGATCACCCCAGTATTGCCTTTTTCAAATCACAAAAACAAAACTTGTATTAAGGCTTTGTGCTAGCATTACAGGAAGCATTTTCATTTGTCTCATTCTAATTAAATTCTCACTACTTACAAAGTGGGACAGTATTATCCCCACTTTACAGCTGAGGAAACTGAACTGCAGAGAGGTTAAATATTTTGTCCTGGTTTACATGATGATGGAAGACCTGAGATTTGGAGTCAAGTTTTCTGAATCCAGAGCCCACAGTCTATCTTTTCACTTCATTGTATCATGTTGTTTCTAGATTTTGGTTTCTCTTTCTCCTTTATCCACCACCCTCATTCCTCCCCTCACTTTGGGGAGGAGAAGGTATTTTCTACACAACTGCCAGAAATTTCAGCTGCCAAAGGACAAGGCTGCAGGGAGACAGGCCGGCAGCCATGACTTTCATGTCTAAGTTCTTGAAACCTAAATGTGTGTATCAACTGAGACAACCCAACAATTCCATCAGCATCCCTGCAGTCAGATATCTGCTAAGCTCTGATATCATCTGTCATTACTGAGAACAGAGCTCTGTCCTTCACTTAGGGTGAGACAGGACAAGGGAGGAGAGGCAGGCCAGTCCACCCAGATCCAAGGATATGCAAGAATGGAAGGGTCAAGAGCCACGGATATGTATGCAGTGGAAATGTAGGGTGTGTTGTACAAGTATGATCTGCAAAGTATTGTTAAAGCCGTCTAAGGTGCTCTCCAATCATTCATTCACTATTGATCACTTAGCAACTGCCTGCCTAGACTAGATGCTAAAGAAAGAGAAAAGTAAACCTACCCCGTGCCCTCAACAAACACAGTCTAGCAAAGGAGATACCATACCAATTGGAGATTTGGAGAGACTGTTAAAATATAGATTGCTGGGTCCCATCCCCAGAGTTTTTTATTGAGTTGTTTTGGGGTGGGGCCTGAGAATTTGGTTTCTAACAAGTTCCTAGGTTATGGTGATGCTGCTGCTCTGGGAACCACACTTTGAGATGAGAACCACTCATATCCAAACTAAGATTATGTTCTCTAATAAAGGTAAGTACAGACTGGATTGCTGAGAGAGCCCAGAGAAAGGAGAGATTAATTCTGCCTGGGAGAATTCTGGAATAACCTTGAAGGATGGATAGAATTTGAATAGGATTTTGCCTGGTTACTTGGAGAGGAAGAAAAAGACACAAGGAACAGCCCAGGGGGTATGTGAAGGGTGGGGGAGTCAGAAATTTATGCTGCAGGAAAGGTAGTAAGGAAGGAAAGGAGTGAAAGTTCATACTATTGAATAAGCCAACAATGGAGTTCAAGAAAAGTGAAGAACTTTTCAAGAAAAAGAGTTGTTTAAAGCTGTTGCTCAAAATAAGATCTATAGATCATATGGCTCCACTCCAGACCAGAATGACTATCTCTGAGGTTGGAGATACTTCTTTAATAAGCATCCCGGGGGCCAGGCGCGGTGCCTCACACCTGTAATCCCAGCACTTTGGGAGGCCTAGGCGGGTGGATCACAAGGTCAGCAGATCAAGACCATCCTGGCTAACATGGTAAAACCCTGTCTCTACTAAAAAATACAAAAAATTAGCTGGGCGTGGTGGCGGGTGCCTGTAGTCCCAGCTACTCGGGAGGCTGAGGCAGGAGAATGGCATGAACCCGGGAGGCGGAGCTTGCAGTGAGCCGAGATCTCGCCACTGCACTCCAGCCTGGGAGCGAGAGGGAGACTCCGTCTCAAAAAAAATAACAAGCATCCCGCTGGGCATGGTGGCTCACGCTTGTAATCCCAGCACTTTGGGAGGCCAAGGTGGGTGGATCACCTGAGGTCAGGAGTTCGAGACCAGCCTGGCCAACATGGTGAAACCCCATCTCTACTAAAGATACTAAATTAGCCAGGCGTGGTGGCATGCGCCTGTAGTCCCAGTTACTCGGGAGGCTGAGGCAGGAGAACTGCTTGAGCTCAGGAGGCGGAGATTGCAGTGAGCCAAGATCATGCCACTGCACTCCAGCCTGGGCAACAAAGTGAGACTCCATCTCAAAAATAAAAGACATAAGACAAAATTCAGAGGATTTAGTTACTGATTTGATTTGGAGGGTAAGGTGGCTTAGTCCTAGCTACTTGGGAAGCTGAAATGGGAGGATCGCTTGAGGCTAGGAGTTTGAAGCTACATCACACCTGTCAATAGCCACTGCATTCAAGCCCGGCAACATAGCAAGACCTCATCTCTTTAAAAAATGAAATATATAAGAAAAAGACATTTTAAAAACCATTGGAGGCCAGGCGTGGTGGCTCATGCCTGTAATCCCAGCACTTTGGGAGTTCGAGGCAAGCGGATCACTTGAGGCTGGGAGTTCGAGACCAGCCTGGCCAACATGGCGAAACTCCATCTCTACAAAAAATATAAAAATTAGCCGGGTGTGGTGGCAGGAGCCTATAGTCCCAGCTACTTAGGAGGCTGAGGCAGGAGAATCGCTTGAACCCGGGAGGTGGAGGTTGCAGTGAGCTGAGATCGCGCCACTGCACTCCAGCCTGGGTGACAAAATGAGACTCCGTCTGAAAAAAAAAAAAATTGTAATGGGGCCGGGCACGGTGCTGCGTCGCCTGTAATCCCAACACTTTGGGAGGCTCAGGTAGGAGGATCACTTAATCCCAGAAGTTTTTGAGACCAGCCTGGGCAATATAGTGAGTCCCCATCTCTACCAAAAAAAAGTTCTTTGATTTTGTTTTTGTTTTTTTCTTCAAATTACACGGGCATGGTGGCACATACCTGAAGTCCTAGCTACTCAGGAGGCTGAGGTGGGGGGATCACGAGCCCAGGAGGTTGAGGCTACAGTGAGCCATGATTGTGCTACACACCATTCAGCCTGGGTGACAGAGCGAGACCCTGTCTCAAAAAACAAAACAAAAGCCATTGCAATGGGATCCTGAGGGATACAGGGAAAATTGTATCACTGGAGAGCTTCAGGAGAGAACTGATGAAATCCTGGTTGTTCCACATCTTGCCCAAGACAAATCCTATAGGTTCAGATAAGCAAAAACTGTGAGATAGTTTATCTTTCCCTTAAACTCGGAAAGCACATAAGGTACCATGTGAAAACACTCTTCTGGTGAGTGATGGGAAATAATTCAGTTTGAGAGCCAACTAGACCTAGATTCAGACCTAGATTTGAATCCCATCTATGCCACTGATTAGGATTAACCTCAGACAAGCAATTTATCCTCTCTGAATTGCAATTTCCTCATGTCTAAATGGGAGGAGAATGCCCAAGATGCAGAGTTGTGAGGATTAAACAGGCTGCCGGCTTGTATAAAGTGCTCACATCTTGCCTGGGAGAGAATCGCTGCTCAGGATGGTGACATGGTAAACAGTATGGGTTCAGGAGTTGAACTGCTTGAGGCTGAGCCCCAGCTCCACTATTTAACCACTATAGACTTCGGGCAAATCTCTCTAAGCCAGTTTCCTCGACTCTAGAATGGAGATAATAGTATCTATTTCTTAGTGTTATGATGACCAAATCAGATGATGTGCATAAATAGATTAACCTGACCTGGCACAGGGTAAGCAGCTGCCATTCTTCTCCTCTACCTCCCTCATGCTTATTCTAGTTGGTAATGTCAGTGACACCACTAGACTTTAACTGTTGGGGGTAAATATCCTTTTTGTTTGTTTTTTTAAAACCAAATTTAGCAGTGGGGGGTTGTATACCAACTTTAGTGACCCTAACGTTGATAAGTTCTGATAACCCACTACTATCGGACCAGCCACCCTTACTGATCTTTGTCCCTCCCTCTTTAGCTAACAGTGCCCCCGACAGGCACCAATAAATGCCCTATTTTTTTCCCTGTGTCTCCCAAGAGAAAAAGTAAATTTCAGATTGTGTTCCCCCTCCTAGCGCCAGAGAAAGGAACTACAACAAAGCCTAGCTGCTGAGTCCAGAGCGCACAGCACAGTCGCCCTCCCAGCTCTTCCGTCGGCCGGGAGGAGTCTCCTTTGCTCTTGTCTACTGCTGGAGCTGCTAATAAAGTTTCATTCGAATACTTGAGCTGCCGCGCCCTGCGTTTCCCTCATGAGCTTCTTCCGCCCGCAACACGAGACTCAGCACCACACAATCAGCGTGGCAAAGCCTGAAGGGCGGGACAGGAAGTGAGGTCACTCCTCACCGGGGTGAAAGGTTAGCGGAAGTGTCCTTCTTTCCTTTTTGCTGGTAGGGCCGGGTGGTTGCTGCCGGTAAGTAGAAGCTTGGGTTGAATCTTTCAATCCGCTGCCATCCGCGGCTTGGGGGTCGAAGGTCCGGGCGGCGCCGGGTGCATTCCTTCCCTAGGTCTCTGGCGGCTACGTATCCGATCCTGTCCTGCGAGCAGGGCCCTCGGGCGGCCTTGACCAAGGCGACAGTGAACACAGTCTGAAGTTCCGGCCCAAGACCTGGGCTTGCTGGCAGGAGTCAGCTCTGGGCATCTTTGGCTTTACGGATTTTTAAGTGGCCCTTTCTCCTTGCTCTCTGCAGAAATGGGCAAGTTCATGAAACCTGGGAAGGTGGTGCTTGTCCTGGCTGGACGCTACTCCGGACGCAAAGCTGTCATCGTGAAGGTATCAGCCTCGCGGGACTCTGCGTCCTTGCATGCCGGGACCAGGCTGGCTGCGGCGGGGCGGGCAGGCTTGGAATTCAAGGCCTGTTTCTGGGGCAGTAGCCAGTGAGCACGGTCAGGGTGAACGTGGGAGAGTTTTTGAGAGAGGAAGAAGCACAGTAAAAGCAAATGTGAGCTGAATTGGGCTCCCAACGCATAAAGCCTTCTCCACCAGAGGCTTTAAATATATAGTAATAGTGGCTGACATTGCACGCTTGCTATGTGCTCCCACTGCCTTTCAGGTATTGTCATGTGCAGTCCTTGAAGTAATCATAGGGGATTCCTTTTCTTTTCTTTTCTTTTTTTTTTTTTTGAGACGGGATCTCTGTCCAGGCTAAGTGCAGTGGCGTGATCACTGCAGCCTCGACCTCCCGGGCTCAAGCGAGTCTCCCATCTCAGCCTCTCGAGTGGCTGGGACTACAGGTGCGTGCCACCATCCCCAGCTATAGGGGGTTCCTTCCTGTTGCTAAGGTTTGGAGGTGTTCTGTTATTTACCTGAAGTGCTGCAGCTGGGAATCTGTAAGAAGAGGAGGAAATTGCTTTTAGAAAGGTCACATAGCCCCTCACTGTTTTCCTCTTATCCATGATTTTGTAGCTTCTTGAGAGAGTTCCCTAGGCTCTGGCCACATACACCACTGCGTTTTGTTGTTGTGGGGACACTGGAGTACCCCTGGATTCCCCTCTCCCATCTCCTGAGACTGATCTCTGGAGTTAGGCTGTGGTGTCTTAACCTTGGCTGTACACTTCACTAGCAGTGGAGCAAGTGAATAGATACCAAGTCCTGTGAGCAGTGCTTGGCATATAGCAAGTACTTCTTAAATGTTAACTGTTGCTACTTTTAAATCTCTTACCTCTAGTAAGCCGTTCCAGATGCTTCCTGATGGAGATAAACACTGTTCTGTTTCTCTTTGGTCATTTCTCATAGCTTTCTGTGATTTTTCTCTTTATAATGGTGGATCTTGGAGACCTGAGGGTGGAAATATTTTTTGGACACTGCACTACCTCTAACACAGGGCCTAAATAGGCCCTCAGTGAATAACAAATGTAATTCTTACTCATTTAGAACATTGATGATGGCACCTCAGATCGCCCCTACAGCCATGCTCTGGTGGCTGGAATTGACCGCTACCCCCGCAAAGTGACAGCTGCCATGGGCAAGAAGAAGATCGCCAAGAGATCAAAGATAAAATCTTTTGTGAAAGTGTATAACTACAATCACCTAATGCCCACAAGGTGAGCATTTCAAGAACTAGAATTTAAATTTCTTCTCCCTGCTCTGTTGAATAATGAGACAGACCTTGCAGCCATTCCAACACCAGGAAGGGATATCATTTCCAAAATGTTCATCTTCAACTCATAAAGTGGCTATGGTTTCCAGTTTTGCCTTTGATCCATCTTTTAAGTGTTGGGTAAAGATTGTTTTCCATCCACAGTAAACACAGGCATGGGGTCTGATCTGCCCTCTTCCACTGTTCCACCCTCAAGGATAAATACAATAGGTTTCAAAAAGTCTGTGAGTGCGTGAAAGCAAGTCTTCCCCAATTAATTTTACTCACCTGTTGGGCCCTTTAGTCTGGGGACATACACTGTCTTAGTACAGTGTTTTGTTTTGTTTTGTTTTTTTTTGAGACGGAGTCGCCCAGGTTGGAGTGCAGTGGCGGGATCTCACACCATTCTTCTGCCTCAGCCTCCCGAGTAGCTGGGAGTACAGGCACCTGCCACCACACCTGGCTAATTTTTTTTTTTTTGTATTTTTAGTAGAGACGGGGTTTCACCATGTTAGCCAGGATGGTCTCGATCTCCTGACCTCGTGATCTGCCCACCTCAGCCTCCCAAAGTGCTGGGATTACAGGCGTGAGCCACCGTGCCCGGCCAGTACAAGTGTTTTTTAAGAAGTACAAGAGGCCGGGCACAATGGCTCACGCCTGTAATCCCATCACTTTGGGAGGCCAAGGCGGATGGATCACCTGAGGTCAGGAGTTTGAGACTAGCCTGACCAACATGGTGAAACCCTGTCTCTACTAAAAATACAAAATTAGCTGGGCATGGTAATCCTGTAATCCCAGCTATTTGGGAGGCTGAGGCAGAAGAATCGCTTGAACCCGGGAGGTGGAGGTTGCAGTGAGCCAAGATCACACCATTGTACTCCAGCCTGGGCAAGGAGAGCAAAGCTCCGTCTCAAAGAGGTGCAAGGCCGGGCACAGTGGCTCACGCCTACAATCCCAGCACTTTGGGAGGCCGAGGCGAGCGGATCACAGGGTCAGGAGATCGAGACCGCACTGGCTAACACGGTGAACCTGGGAGGTGGAGATTGCAGGGAGCCGAGATCACACCACTGCACCTCCAGCAAAAGAGGTGCGAGAATTGAGAAAGTCCTGAACAATAATTGCCAGAACCCAGCAGCATGCACCTTAAAGTTTGCTGCTGGTATTGCACATTTACTCTGGGTTGGCTGACCTAAAGGGGCAGAGAGAGGCCGGACACCATGGCTCACGCCTGTAATCCCAGCACTTTGGGAGGCCGAGGCAGGTGGATCGCTTGAGGTCAGGAGTTCGAGACCAACCTGGCCAACGTGATGAAATCTCATCTCTACTAAAAAAAATTAGCTGGGCATGGTGGCTGGCACATGTAATCCCAGCTATTCCGGAGGCTGAGGTGGGAGAATCGCTTGAGTTTGGGAGGTGGAGGCTACAGTGAGCTGAGATGGCACCACTGCACTCCAGCCTGGGTGACAGAGCGAGACTCCATCTCAAAAAATAAAAATAATAATAAAAGGGCAGAGAGAGCTGTTTCTTGGGTGCTGGGATGTGGTGGGGTTGAGGCAGCTAGTGTTTGGGCTGTCATGAGAGTGACTGCATTGGCAGAACTTGAACAATAAGGAAATGATTTCAAGTAGAAAGTTAGCTAACTGTCATGATGAAAGTCAAGAAGGCCTAATTTGGCCGGGCACAGTGGCTCAGGCTTGTAATCCCAGCACTTTGGGAGGCCGAGGCAAGCGGATCACGAGATCAGGAGATCGAGACCATCCTGGCTAACACAGTGAAACCCCGTCTCTACTGAAAGTACAAAAAATTAGCCAGGCATGGTGGCAGGCGCCTGTAGTAGTCCCAGCTACTCGCAAGGCTGAGGCAGGAGAAGGGCGTGAACCTAGGAGGCGGAGGTTGCAGTGAGCCGAGATTGCGCCACTGCACTCCAGCCTGGGCAACAGCGAGACTGTGTCTCAAAAAGTGGGGGAGGGCCTCATTTGATGATTCTTAGCTAGAAAAATAAAGTAGTTGTGGGAAATTGAGAATGAAACATTGAATTTTACATTTTATTGGCTTGAATCCAATAAATGTTAAAAGTGAATTTTCAGGCCGGATGCGGTGACTCACGCCTATAATCCCAGCATTTTGGGAGGCCAAGGCGGGCGGATCACGAGGTCAGGAGATCAAGACCGTCCTGGCTAACACTGTGAAACCCCGTCTCTACTAAAAAAATACAAAAAATTAGCCAGGCCTGATGGCGGGCACCTGTAGTCCCAGCTACTCGGGAGGCTGAGGCAGGAGAATGGCGTGAACCCGGGAGGCGGAACTTGCAATGAGCTGAGATCACACCACTGCAGTCCAGCCTGGACGAAAGATTCAGACTCCGTCTCAAAAAAAAAAAAGTGTGAATTTTCAGATAATGTCATCGGGACATGGCTTTTGATGGTTGCTTCTAAGGAGTCAGACCCTGATTCCCTAGTGTCCCACAAGGATTTGGGCTGTATAGGGGCCCCGGCAGTATGTGGGCTAATCCTGCCTCTCCACCTTTGTCCCCAGGTACTCTGTGGATATCCCCTTGGACAAAACTGTCGTCAATAAGGATGTCTTCAGAGATCCTGCTCTTAAACGCAAGGCCCGACGGGAGGCCAAGGTCAAGTTTGAAGAGAGGTAAGTAGGCTTTGGTAGTGAATGGTGGAGTATGGTTTCACTATTTCCATTCCTTTCCTCATTGGTGTCCTCTTTTTTTCCCTTCTAGATACAAGACAGGCAAGAACAAGTGGTTCTTCCAGAAACTGCGGTTTTAGATGCTTTGTTTTGATCATTAAAAATTATAAAGAAAAAAAGCCTGTGTCTGCATGCTGTATGTATTACCAGACTGTGAAAAGGAGAACATTATTGAATAGGAAACACTGGGTGGGCTGGGCACGGTGGCTCACGCCTGTAATCCCAGTACTTTGGGAGGCCAAGGCGAGCGGATCACCAGGTCAAGAGATGGCCAACATGGTGAAACCTTGTCTCTCCTAAAAAATACTAAGAATTATCTGGGCCTGGTGGTGCACGCCTGTAGTCCCAGCTACTCGGGAGGTTGAGGCAGGAGAATTGCTTGAACCCGGGAGGCGGAAGTTGCAGGGAGGGCTGAGATAGCACCACTGCACTGCAGTCTGACAACAGCAAGACTCCATCTCAAAAAAAAAAAAAAAAAAAGACGCTGGGTGATGGATGAGGGGCTGGGAAAATGTTAAATCTGCCTTAATGAGATTTATGCTGCCTCTGTCCTTAGCCTGATAATCCCTGTGAAGAATTGTGTAGCCTCCCTGGCTTCTACCCATTACATGCCAGGAGAACCTCTGCCACACACACTCTGCCCCTCCTTGTGACAACCAAAGGCCCCTGAGTGGTGGGGATCAGGTATTTTTGATTGAGAACCACTAACCTGAAATTCTCAAACCTTAGCACAGATAGAGGTCACCTGGATGGTTTGTTAAACCACGGATTGCTGAAATCCTGCCCTCAGACTGATCCAGTAGGTCTGAGTTTCTAGCAGGTTTTCAGGTGACACTGGTACTGGTGTAGGTGAGATGGGGACCACCCTGGAGACCTGCTCCTGGTGGTAACGACAGATGCCTTTGGTGAATCCCTGAGCCTAGAGCAGCTGTTTAATAGGACAAGGGAGTGCTCCTCAAATGGCCTGGCTGGCAGAGACTTGAAAGAAAGTGATCAAAGGAGCTTTGGGGCATTGGGTTGTGCCACTACTGTGTAGTGCAGGAGAGACATTTGGTTCTTAGGATCTGGCATTTTATCTCTCAATGGACTGTAACTAGTCATGTTTCATGAATGAAATAGGTGCTCCATCTGAATGGTTCTGTCGCTAGAGGGAACTAAGATTCAAACAGGCCAGTTTGCCAAGTCTGCTAGGTACCACACTTGCACTTGGGAACCAGAGGGGGCGGGGTGGCGGGAAGGGGCCAAAAGTAGGATTGGTGAGTAACTGGAAAAAACTTTGGGCTAGGTTACTAGGAAACTTTTTTTTTTTTTTTTTGAGACAGAGGCTTGCTCTGTTGCCCAGGCTGGAGTGCAGTGGCACGATCTCGGCTCACTGCAAGCTCCGCCTCCCGGGTTCACGCCATTCTCCTGCCTCAGCCTCCCGAGTAGCTGGGACTACAGGCGCCTGCCACCATGCCCGGCTAATATTTTTGTATTTCTAGTAGAGACGGGGTTTCACCGTGTTAGCCAGGATGGTCTGGATCTCCTGACCTTGTGATCGTTCTACCTCAGCCTCCCAAAGTGCTGGAATACAGGCGTGAGCCACCGCGCCCAGCCACTTTTTTTTAAGATGGAGTTTTGCTCTTTCACCCACCCAGTCCGGAGCGAGGTGGCACTATCGGCTCACTGCAACTTCTGCCCCGCCCCGGGGTTCAAGCGATTCTCCTGCCTCAGCCTCCCAAGTAGCTAGGACTACAGGAGTGTGCTACCACACCCAGCTAATTTTTGTATTTTTAGAAGAGATGGGGTTTCACTATGTTGGCCAGGATGGTCTTGAACTTCTGATCTCATGATCCACCCACCTTGGCGTCCCAAAGTGCTGGGATTACAGGTGTGAGCCACTGCACCCAGCCAGGAAACTTTTTAATTGAATCTTCACACACTTAAGTATTAAGGCATCTCTATTGAGACAGACTTCTATTAAGTAGCTTGCCTACTCAGGGTCACAGAAATGGGGCTGAATTTAAAACTTTTGAGGAAAAATACAGCAAATTTTTTTCCACTCTACCTCAAGGCCCAAGTGTAAATACTGTTCCTACCAGGTTTGGATCCATGCTTTGATTCCTAGCCCTGTGACCTTGGGCAAGTTTCTAATGCTCTGTGCCTCAATTTTCTCATCTGTAAAGTGAAGAAAATAGAACCAACTTCATGGCATTGTTTTGAAGAGTTAATTCATGTAAGGCACAAGCGTGTTGGGCAGACGATAGCTCTCCTTGCTGGCCACTGTTAACAGTTTTGTGAACTTTTTTCTTTTTTTTTTTTTTGAGCCAGAGTCTCGCTCTGTCACCCAGCTGGAGTGCAGTGGCACGATCTCGGCTCACTGCAAGCTCCGCCTCCCGGGTTCAAGCGATTCCCCCGTCTCAGCCTCCCGAGTAGCTGGGACTACAGGCGCATGCCACCACGCCCGGCTAATTTTTGTATTTTTAGTAGAGACAGGGTTTCCCCATGTTGGTCAGGCTGGTCTCAAACTCCTGACCTCAAGTGATTCACCGCCTCAGCCTCCCAAAGTGCTGGGATTACAGGCGTGAGCCACTGCACCCAGCCTTTTTTTTTTTTTTTTTTTTTTTTTTAAGAGACAAGATTCACTGTGTTGCCCAGGCTGGCCTCGAACTCCTGGGCTCAAGCAGTCCTCCTGCCTCAACCTGCTGGAACTATAGGCACATGTTACCAGTGGGCCCAGCTGCTGGGATTGGCACTTTTTTTTTTTTTTTAGTCAGAATCTCACTCTGTTGCCCAGGCTGGAGTGCAGTGGTGTGATCCGGCCCGGCTAATTTTTTGTATTTTAGTAGGGACAGGGTTTCACCATGGTGGCCAGGATGGTCTCGTGATCCACCCGCCTGGACCTCCCAAAGTGCTGGGATTACAAGGCATGAGCCACTGCGCCTGGCAGTTTTGTGAACTTGAACTGTGGACTTTATCTGTCCTGATTGTGTTTCTCATTCATTCAGCAATTATTATTTTTTGAGATGGAGTTTCGCTCTTGTCACTCAGGCTGGAGTGCAACAGCGCGATCTTGGCTCAATGCAACCTCTGCCTCCCAGGTTCCAGCTATTCTCCTGCCTCGGCCTCCCAAGTAGCTGGGATTACAGGAATACACCACCACACCCGGATAATTTTTGTATTTTTTTAGTAAAGACGGGGTTTCACCACGTTGGCCAGGCTGGTGTCTAACTTGGGATCTCAGGTGATCTGCCCACCTGGGCCTCCCAAAGTGCTGGGATTACAGGTGTGAGCCACCGCACCCGGCAGTTTTGTGAACTTGAACTATGGGCGTTATCTGTCCTGACTGTGTTTCTCATTCATTCAGCAATTATTGTTTTATTTATTTTTTGAGATGGAGTTTCACTCTTGTCACCCAGGCTGGAGTGCAATGGCACCATCTCAGCTCAATGCAACCTCTGCCTCCGGGTTCCAGCTATTCTCCTGCCTCGGCCTCCCAAGTAGCTGGGATTACAGGAATGCACCTCCACGCCCGGCTAATTTTTGTATTTTTTTAGTAAAGGTGGGGTTTCACCATGTTGGCCAGGCTGGTCTCTAACTCCTGACCTCAGGTGATCTGCCCGCCTGGGCCTCCCAGAATGCTGGGATTACAGGTGTGAGCCGCCGCACCCAGCTCATTCAGCAATTATTTTATCAATGTTCAATGTGCCCAGCATTATTCTAGGCTCTAGGGAAATAATCCATTGACAAAGCAGGGTCTACCAATGGGCTTGTCGGAGATTGCTGGGAATGGTTGATGGGGGCCAGTTTGCAGTTGGGGTGAGGTGGCTTTCCTTGAGGCAGCCTGGCTGAGTGAAGTCGACTTTGCTGACCAAGAAGGCTCCTCCCAGGGGTGGGGAAGCCTCGGCAGGGGGCGGCATGTGAGCGCCAGAAGGCAGGGATTTCACGGAAATGAAAGTGGAAGCAAACAGCCTGCGAGCAGAGCCTCCTGAGGTGTATTTCGGGTCTTGCTGGGGCTGAGAGAGACCACAGCCCTTTGGGGGGTACAAACAAGAGTTCAGTTGCTGTGAATTCTGCCACTGTGCCCAGCTCTGAAGCCTCAGCTCTTGCCAAACAGACCCGAGACCCATGTCAGCCCCACTGGATGCCGTAAGTGAGGAGGAGGGAGTTGGGAAGTGGGGAAACAGGAGTAATCCTCTTGGCTAGGAACCTGCAGATATCTCAGGGCCTGGCAGCCAAGCCTCACCCTGCCCATCTCAGACCTGCTGAAGGGCTGGGGAGAAACACAGGGCTGGGGTTGCCTCTGCAAGAGTTGGTTCCCTAACCTATTGCCTCAGACAGGAGGAGCTCATTAAATCCTGTGTGTGTACACTTCTCTGGAGAGAGAATCTGTAGTTTCCATCAGATACTCAGCGGGTTCTGTGACCCAAATAACAATTGTTCTAGGCCGGGCGTGGTGTCTCACGCCTGTCATCCTAGCACTTTGGGAGGCCTTGGCAATACAGTGAAAATCCGTCTCTACTAAAATACAAAAAATTAGCTGTGTGTGGTGGTGTGCGCCTGTAATCCCAGCTACTTGGGAGGCTGAGACAGGAGAATCACTTGAACCTGGGAGGCGGAGGTTGCAGTGAGCCGAGATTGCATCACTGCACTCCAGCCTGGGTGACACAGCGAGACTCTGTCTAAAAAAAAAAAAAAAAAAATTAAACTAAAGGAATTAGGCTGGGTGTGTTGGCTCACACCTGTAATCCCAGCCAGCACTTTGGGAGGCTGAGGCGTGTGGATCACTTGAGGTTAGGAGTTCGAGACCAGCCTGGCCAACATAGCAAAACCCCATCTCTACTAAAAACACAAAAATTAGCCAGGCATGGTGGCACACACCTGTAATCCCAGCTACTAGGGAGACTGAGGCGGGAGAATTGCTTGAACCTGGGAGGCAGAGGTTGCAGTGAGCCGAGATTGTACCACTATGCTCCACTCTGGGCAACAGAGGGAGACTGTCTCTCACACACACACACACACAAAATTTATATATATATATATATATATATATACTATAAGAATTATACTTTAAGAATCACACTAGGTAATCCATAGATTAACACGGTAAAAACTTATCCCACTGCTTAGCACCTACAGAGCATTCAATATGTGTTTCTTCTTAATATTATTATTGCCAACCTTTTCAGAACCCCAGTTCCCCAAGGACAATCCCTTTTTTTTTTTTTTTTTTGAGACGGAGTCTCACTCTGTCTCCTAGGCTGGAGTACAGTGGCATGATCTCGGCTCACTGCAACCTCTGCCTCCCGGGTTCAAGCGATTCTCCTGCCTCAGCCTCCCAAGTAACTGGGAGTACAGGCACGTTCCACCATGCCTGGCTAATTTTTTGTATTTTTAGTAGAAATGGAGTTTCACCGTGTTAGCCGGGATGGTCTTGATCTTCTGACCTCGTGATCTGCCCCCCTCAAGCTCCCAAAGTGCTGGGATTACAGGTGTAAGCCACCATGCCCGGACTTTTCTTTCCTTTTTTTTTTTTTTTTTTTTTTGAGATGGAGTTTCACTCTTGTTGCCCAGGCTGAAGTGCAATAGCATGATCTTGGCTCACTGCAACCTCTGCCTTCCAGATTCAAGTGATTCTCTTGCCTCAGCATCCCAAGTAGCTGGGATTATAGGCACACATGCCACCACGCCTGGCTCATTTTTTTTTTTTTTTTTTTTTTTTGAGATGGAGTCTCGCTCTGTCACCCAGGCTGGAGTGCAGTGGCAGGATCTCGGCTCACAGCAAGCTCCGCCCCATGGGTTCATGCCATTCTCTTGCTTCAGCCTCCCAAGTAGCTGGGACTACAGGCACCCGCCACCACGCCCAGCTAGTTTTTTGTATTTTTGGTAGAGATGGGGTTGCACTGTGTTAGGCAGGATGGTCTCGAACTCCTGACCTCGTGATCCGCCTGCCTCAGCCTCCCAAAGTGCTGGGATTACAGGCGTGAGCCACCGTGCCCAGCATGGCTAATTTTTTGTAGAGACAGGGTTTCAGCATGTTGGCCAGGCTGGTCTCGAACTCCTGACCTCACATGATCTGCCTCCCTTAGCCTCCCAAAATGCTGAGATTACAGGCTTGAGCCACAGCACCCGGCTTTATATACGTTAAATTGGGCCATCTTTTTCAAATAAAAATCCAGATTTTTTGTTTTTTGGAGACAAGATCTCACTGTTTTTTCCAGGCTGCAGTGCAGTGGCTGGATCATGGCTCACTGCA
The DNA here is from genome assembly GCF_000001405.40 of Homo sapiens. Lineage (NCBI taxonomy): Eukaryota > Metazoa > Chordata > Mammalia > Primates > Hominidae > Homo > Homo sapiens. The sequence goes on from NC_000017.11 coordinate 43,009,076, forward strand.
GCCACCTCCACCTCTAGGGATCAATAGATCCTTCCATCTCAGCCTCCCGAGTAGCTGGGACTACAGGCATGTGCCACCATGCCTGGCTAATTTTTAAATATTTTGTAGAGGTAGAGTTTTGTCCTGTTGCCCAGGCTGGTCTCAGACTCCTGGGCTCAAGCGATCTGCCTCCCTTGGCCTCCCAAAGTGCTGGGATTACAGGCATGTGCCACAACAACCTGCCCAGATTTTTTATTTCTATTAAAAATGGGAAGATTAGGGGGCCTGGGTCCGTGGCTCCTGCCTGTAATCCCAGCACTTTGTGAGGCTGAGTTGGGCAGATCACTTCAGGTGGGAAGTTTGAGACCAGCCTGGCCAACATGGTGAAACCCCATCTCTACTAAAAATAAAAAATTAGAGCCGGGCACGGTGGCTCACTCCTGTAATCCCAGCACTTTGGGAGGCCGAGGTGGGTGGATCACGAGGTCAAGAGATTGAGACCATCCTGGCCAACATGGTGAAACCCCATCTCTACTAAAAATACAAAAATTAGCTGGGCATGGTGGTGCGTGCCTGTAGTCCCAGCTACTCGGGAGGCTGAGGCAGGAGAATCGCTTGAACCCGGGAGTCAGAGGTCGCAGTGAGCCGAGATCCTGCCACTGCATTCCAGCCTGGCGACAGAGCGAGACTCTGTCTCAAAATAAATAAATAAATAAAAAATAAAAAAAATTAGCCAGGAGTGGTGGCAGGTGCCTGTAATCCCAGCTACTTGGGAGGCTGAGGCAGGAGAATCTGTTGAATCCGGGAGGTGGAGTTTGCAGCGAGCCGATATTGCGCCACTGCACTCCAGCCTAGGCAACAGAGGGAGACTCCGTCTCAGAAAAGAAAAAAAAATAGAGGGCTGGGCGCGGTGTCTCACACCTGTAATCCCAGCACTTTGGGAGGCTAAGACGGGCAGATCATGAAGTCAGGAGATCGAGACCATCCTGGCTAACACGGTGAAACCCCGTCTCTACTAAAAATACAAAAAAATTAGCCAGGCGTGGTGGCGGGCACCTGTAGTCCCAGCTAATCGGGAGGCTGAGGCAGGAGAATGAAGTGAACTGGGAGGCGAAGCTTGCAGTGAGCAGAGATCGCGCCACTGCACTCCAGCCTGGGCGACAGGGTGAGACTCCGTCCCAAAAAGAAGAAAAAAAAAAAATAGCTGGCATGATGGCACACGCCTGTACTCAGGAGGCTGAGATGAGAGGATTGATTGATTCCAGGAGGTCGAGGCTGCAGTGAGCCATAATGGAGCAATTGCACTCCAGCCTGGGTGGCATTGAGACTTTGTCTCAAAAAACAAAACAAAACAAAAACATGGGTAGATTTGCTGTGGGGGGAAACTTTGTTATGGCTAGAAGCAGTTTACTTTAGAAAGGACATGCTCTTCCCAGTGCGTCAGAGTCCCCACCACTCTCTGTTATCCTACATGGCTCTATTAACTCATTAATGTCATCCAACTGGCCCTTAAAGGCACTGTGTTAGCACTCTCTGAGTTACAGAAATATGAATAACTAATGATCTTTTTCACTATTCATAAACCAGCATAATTTGGTCAAGCTCTAGTATTCTTCTGCTAAAAATAGAACAAACTCACACTGAATTTCTTTGGTGTCCTCTGTAATGTGCTCCTTTACCGTCATTCATTCACTTCATTTCTTCATTCAACACAGTTTTACCGGACACATATTTTGTGCCGGAGATCTTGCTGGACACAAGGAATACAGAGATGGTCAGAACAGAGTCCTATCTTTCCAAGAGATCTCATGCTTCTCTGAGCTGAACTTCTTTATCAGGATTCCTAACCACAGGGTGAACTCTGCTCTATTCCACAAACAAAGGTGCATTTATTGGTATCCCTGGTGTCACTTCCCTGCCTGTGATGTCAGTTCTCTCTCTGGACCCATTCCAGATCACACCCAGCCTAAAAGGTTACTTGGTGTACAGTGGAAAGTGTGACAGTCCAGGGACAAGCTAGAATTGATGGGTAAACTACCTCCCCACTCTGGGCTTCATTTCTTCACTGTAAAGCACAGGTTAGTGGGTGGGCTCTGGAGTCAGACAGCCTAGGGCCAAATGACTTTGGGCAAGTCATTTAACCTCTCTGAGCTTTAATTTCCTCATCTATAAAATAAGGATTGGCCAGGCATTGTGGCTTACACCTGTAATCCTAGCACTTTAGGAGGCCGAGGCGGGCAGATCATCTGAGGTCAGGAGTTTGAGACCAACCTGGCCAACATGGTGAAAACCTGTTTCTACTAAAAATACAAAAATGAGCCAGGTGTGGTGGTGGGTGCCTGTAATCCCAGCTACTTGGGAGGCTGAGGCAGGAGAATTACTTGATCCTGGGAGGTGGAGGCTGCAGTGAGCCAAGATCGCGCCACTGCACCCCAGCCTGGGAGACAGAGCAAGACTCTGTCTCAAAAATAAATAAATAAATAAAAATTAAAAAAATAAATCAATAAAATAAGGATCACAGGATATCTATCTTAGATACCCTGTTGTTCTAAGAATTGAATGAAATAATTCATCAGACGGGCTTAGCACAGTGCCTGGCATATAGTAAGTACTTAGTAAACGTTAGTTAAGAATATGACTGTATGACATTTTGCAACTAGTCTCCCCTCCTCTTGGAGGTGTCCCTAATTGGGTTAACCCCTTTGGGATTGTCCCTCTTCCAAATTCCGGCTGCCCTTCACAGTCAGTCATGTGATCATGTACTCTTGAGCACTGTTTGGCAGGCCTGAGGGTCGTACCCTTATCTTCCACTGCCTGTGTCAGTGCCGAGCACTTTCTAGCAGGAGCTTAATCAGTGTTTGTTGAACTCTAGATCTGTGGTCACGAACAAGTCATGGACGCTGCAAAGGCTCCTGCCCTTTCAAGAGCAGCTGAGATGAGGCCAGCCAAGCCCTGGGTGGAGGGGGCCAAGACCAGCCCAGGGCAGCACAAAGGGGTTGGGTTGTTCTTGAGCTTAGCATCAACTCTGCTTTTGGAGCGTCCAGAATAGGCCCCACTTCCCCTGGGCTTGTTGATTCTCTGGAAGGGCGGGTAGAAGTCTTGTTGTTTCCTTCTGCCCCAACAGGCCCTCCACGCCCTTCAGGAGGAGCAGGCCAGACTCAAGATGAGGCTGTGGGACCTGCAGCAGCTGAGAAAGGAGCTCGGGGACTCCCCCAAAGACAAGGTAAGGTGGGAGATCTGGTGTTGTTTGGTAAAAACGAGCTGGCGAGGCCGGGTGCGGTGGCTCACACCTGTAAACCCAGCACTTTGGTAGGCCAAGGGGGCCTGATCACCTCAGGTCAGGAGTTTGAGACCAGCCTGGCCAACACAGTGAAATCCCATCTCTACTAAAAATACAAAAATTAGGCCGGGCGCAGTGGCTCACGCCTGTAATCCCAGCACTTTGGGAGGCCGAGGCTGGTGGATCACCTGAGGTCAGTTTGAGACCAGCCTGGCCAACAGGGTGAAACCCCGTCTCTACTAAAAATACAAAAATTAGCTGGGTTTGGTGGCACATGCCTGTAATCCCAGCTACTTGGGAGGCTGAGTCCGAATTGCTTGAACCTGGGAAGTGGAGGTTGCAGTGAGCCAAGATCATGCCACTACACTCCAGCTGGGTGACAGAGCAAGACTCCCTTTAAAACAAAGAAACACAAAAAAGAGCTGGGGAGTTCTCGGTTTTATTCCTGGCTCTGCTACTTCCTTGCTGTGTGACCTCCATTATGTTACTTGAACATCTGTAAAGTAGAGCTACCCACCTCCCAGGACAAATTAAGATGTTGTATGTAAATTGCCCTGTATGGACCAGACCTGCATTCATCCACTCATTTATCCAGCTTTTCTTTCAGTAAATGTATTTATCTCCGGCACTCAGCATCAATGGAATGGAATCGGAGATGCCTTCCTCCTAGGTGGGAGTGAGGAACACTCCTACTCCCCTCCCCTACTTCCAGGTCCCATTTTCAGTGCCCAAGATCCCCCTGGTATTCCGAGGACACACCCAGCAGGACCCGGAAGTGCCTAAGTCTTTAGTTTCCAATTTGCGGATCCACTGCCCTCTGCTTGCGGGCTCTGCTCTGATCACCTTTGATGACCCCAAAGGTAAGCTCATGGGGAGCCTCAGGAGGGAGGTGGGGAGGGTTCCCAGTACTGACCCTGTTTCCCACCACCCAGTGGCTGAGCAGGTGCTGCAACAAAAGGAGCACACGATCAACATGGAGGAGTGCCGGCTGCGGGTGCAGGTCCAGCCCTTGGAGCTGCCCATGGTCACCACCATCCAGGTGATGGTATGACAGAATCCTGGGGCATGCAAAGCATGCCATGCACCTGGGCATGGGGAAGTGGAGCTGTGTCTGGGACCACCCCTTGCTGTCTCCCCCTAGATGTCCAGCCAGTTGAGTGGCCGGAGGGTGTTGGTCACTGGATTTCCTGCCAGCCTCAGGCTGAGTGAGGAGGAGCTGCTGGACAAGCTAGAGATCTTCTTTGGCAAGACTAGGAACGGAGGTGGCGATGTGGACGTTCGGGAGCTACTGCCAGGGAGTGTCATGCTGGGGTTTGCTAGGGATGGAGGTGAGGGCTATGCAGGCCTCCTGCAGGGGAGAGGGTATAGGGTGTGCAAGATTACGGTGCAGGGAGAGGAGAGGGCTTGATGCTAAAGGCCCACCCCTCCTTGCTCCCCACAGTGGCTCAGCGTCTGTGCCAAATCGGCCAGTTCACAGTGCCACTGGGTGGGCAGCAAGTCCCTCTGAGAGTCTCTCCGTATGTGAACGGGGAGATCCAGAAGGCTGAGGTAAGCAGGAGGGGTGAAGAACAGGGGCTGGGCTGGGTAACCTGTCTGCCTGCCAGGAACTTGCCCAATGAAGGATCAGAGGCCCCAAACCCCACTGACCTACCTACCCACCATCAGCCTCTCCAGGCCTCCCGACCTCATACCCCCATGGGGCACTGCCTGCCCTACCCCCAGCCCCCAGCCCTTCTCCCATGAGCCTTTGCCATCTCCTGGCTCCTTTTCCAGATCAGGTCGCAGCCAGTTCCCCGCTCGGTACTGGTGCTCAACATTCCTGATATCTTGGATGGCCCGGAGCTGCATGACGTCCTGGAGATCCACTTCCAGAAGCCCACCCGCGGGGGCGGGGAGGTAGAGGCCCTGACAGTCGTACCCCAAGGACAGCAGGGCCTAGCAGTCTTCACCTCTGAGTCAGGCTAGGGGCCTCCCCTTCTCATCCTCCCCACCCCCCCGCCAAGGTTCTCACACTGGCCTGGGCTTGGGTGCCCATATAGGAGGTCTGTATGTTCACCAACAGTGCGGAGGGGTCACACATTGCAAAACACTGCCCAGAACAGTAAAAAGAGCCTGCATGCCATGATGTTCTTCCTCATTTCACTCATGAAAGGAAACGTGATTTGGGCATGGAAAGAGGCAGGGGGCAGGAAGCAGCCCAGATCTTCTGCTGGCAGCACTAGCCTTCCAGGAGCTCACCTTCCCTCCACTCTCAGAGGCAACAAGCAGGACCCAGGGTTTGGCTTTTTATTGACACAAACACACAAAGGCAGCTGTGGTAATGGGGTGGTGGGGTACACAAAAGCAGAAATCGCACTTCACACATTTAGGCCTCATTTAGACAATGAGGAGGCTGAGCCTGTCCCTCCACCTCCCATTGCAATGGTTGGGGCAATAACCCTCCCTAATCCTAGCTCAGTGAGTAGAGGGAGTGACCTCCCTACCCAGGAAGTCCCCATTTTGGTTGCAATGGCCCAGGTCCTGACCATCCCACTCTGTACTTCCCTGCTCCATCTCCCCACCCATGTAAACAGAGTTTTGGGCTGAGTTTGATAAGCTGCCTCTCTGCTTTGAGAAGGCAGTAGGGCCTCCCCTAACTGCAAGGGGAATGTGCTTGGATTTTTACTTTGGTCCCAGTACAAGAAACAGACAGCACTGCCTTTCAGAGCTCTGGCTAGTAAATGCCACACATATCTGCAAGGCTGAGGAAGCTTCCCCGCCTTTCTCCTCAACCACCATAGAGACGGGACATGGCACAGACCACGATGAGGGCACCTGTTTTTGCCCTGCCTCCCCAGGAGGCTTGGGGCTGCCCCACCCAATGGCACATACACAGATTTTTGGCAGTGTTGTGGGACTGGGGAGGAGAGAAACCCCAGCTCCACCAGAACAAGGAAGGCACTGGGGAGTACAGGGGAGGAGAAGGAGGTGGGAAACAGGATCCTCCCTCCCCGCCGCCACACACACACAAGCACAGGTTTTCGTTGCTAAGGCACTGAGAACAAATCCAGAGAACTCAGTGAAGGGTGGGGGCTCTGTATCCTTCCCAGAGTTGTGACCTAGGGGAGTAGGTCTGATTCCCGCCCTGTTGGAAGAGGCAGCCTTGGTTAAGAATGGCAGAAAACCTGGAGATGGAAGAAGCCCAATTGTGCTTAAGAAGTTGGGGACAGAGGACGAGATTGGGAACTGGTCAAGCCCAGAGGCGGGCACTGGTCAGCCCAGGCTGAAGGGACACTAGGGAGAGACAGGTACATGCTGGACTCACAGAGATTGGCCCCATATCCTGAGCTGACGTTTCAATTCTTTGGGGAGGTGGCGGGGCAGGGACGGGAGGAAAGATGAGGCAGAGGTGAAAGCACATGGAACACAACAGGGGGGACTGGCTAACCTTGGCACAAAAGCAGCACAGCAGGCCCGGGGAAAGGGTGGGGGCAGGAAGCAGCCGGCCTCCCTCTGACCCTCCCTGTCGCCTTGGCAGGGCCCAGACATCCAAATGGTCACTTCCCAACCTCTTCAGAGGTCAGGAAGCGGGGAGGGGCAGGGGAGAGCGGTCATCACCACAGAGACCTTCGGGGGAGGGAGGGCAGAGCATTATGACAGAGGCTGAAATGCAAGTCTGGTGGCCAACAGAACGTAGCTTCCCAACTTCTCCCTTCGCTGGTCTCTAGGGTCTCACAGCCACTTGCCCTAGTTCTCCTTCTCTGGCCCTGGAACCAGGAGGACCTTGCCCACATTCTTCTTCTCCTGCATCTGTTTCATGGCATCAGCCACCTGGGGAGGAAGGAAAGATGCGGCTCCCAGTGCTATCCAACCCTCATCCAACAAGAGCCAGTGTGATGCAGGCAGCCCTCCTCTTCCCCAGGAATCTGCCCCTTGGGACCCCAGCCTTCATGAGTCCTACCCAAGCCCTCCCTGCAAAGTCCTCACATTCACCTTCTCGAAGGGCCAGACTGAGTCAATGTGGGGCTTGATGTGGCCCTGGTTGTACAGAGCCAGGAGGCGGGCCACCACACCACTGACCAGCTCCACCTCACCATCCAGGTAGCCCAGGTGGAAGCCACACACAGCCCGGTTGGCCTGCAGCAGCTGCAGAGCTGTCACGCTGAACTGATTCCACCATGTCCGGGCCAGGGCCATCAGGTTCCGTTTGGGGCCCGTCAGCAGGTTGGCCATTCCTGAAGGACAAGGTGACATAGCCTGTGAACCCCCCCAGGCACATCCCTGTGTGTCTGCATCTGTGCTCTCTGTTCCCTGTGATCCCCTTGCAATTCTCCACACCAGTGCCAGGGAGTGATTGGATAATTCTCAAACTGCTGGTTACCAGGCCCAAACCAACCCTGGCTGACTTTAAATTGCTCTAGGGGCTGGGTGCTATGGCTCACATCCATAATCCCAGCACTCTGGGAAGCCAAGGTGGGGGGATCACTTGAGGTCAGGAGTTCGAGACCAGCCTGCCCAAAATGGTGAAACCTTGTCTCTACTAAAAAATACGAAAATTAGCCAGGTGTTGGCCGGGTATGGTGGCTCACGCCTATAATCCCAGCACTTTGGGAGGCCGAGGTGGGCGGATCACTGGACGTCAGGAGTTCGAGACCAGCGTGACCAACATGGAGAAACCCCGTCTCTACTGAAAATACAAAATTAGCTGGGCATGGTGGTACATGCCTGTAATCCCAGCTACTCAGGAAGTCTGAGGCAGGAGAATCGCTTGAACCCGGGAGGCGGGTTCTAGGCTCAAGCCATCTGCCTGCCCTGGCCTTCCAAAGTGCTGGGATTACAGGCATGAGCCACCATGCCTGGCTTATTTTGTTGTATGAAATACTTTTTTAAATGAAAATGCACCCTGCCTAAGATGCTCAGGGAGGTAGGACAGAAAGAAGGCAGGCTGGTTGTTCAAGAATAATCCCCAAACAAGAATGTAGAATTTGGCCAGGCGTGGTGGCTCACGCCTATAATCCCAGCACTTTGGGAGGCTGAGGCGGCTGGATCACCTGAGATCAGGAGTTCAAGACCAGCCTGGCCAACATGGTGAAACACCGCCTCTACTAAAAATACAAAAATTAGTTGGGCGTGGTGGCAGACACCTGTAATTCCAGCTACTCGGGAGGGTGAGGCAGGAGAATCGCTTGAACCCAGGAGGCAGAGGTTGCACTGATCGAGATCATGCCATTGCACTCCAGCCTGGGCGACAAGAGCGAAACTCCATCTCAAAAAAAAAAAAAAAAAAAAAAGAATGTAGAATTTACTATCACTCATATGAAAAGTTGTGACAGAGAATGAAAAGAGCTGGTACCCAAGAGTCAGCAATCTGAATGCAGCATACAGGACCATTCCTAACCCTGATCGTCTACAGAGCACCTGAGTCCCTACCCCTTCTTCATTCAAAAGCCCTGGCCTCTATATCCCACCCCTTAGACCCTCCCTCCTGCCCTCACATGCTCTCTCCATCCCTGGCCCACTAACTCACCATAGGTGACGACTTTGCCCATGGGTTTCAGGAGGTTGTAGCCCTTGGCAGTATCTGACCCACCCAGAGGGTCCATGACAATGTCCACTCCTGTCATAGAGTAGGGGAACCCAAGAACAACATTAGGATCCACAGATCTGGAGCTCCCCTCCCTGTCCTGTGCCTCCCTACCCCCTCCCATATTATGCCCCCCACCTTTAGGGGAAATCTTCTTGATCTCATCCACGTAGTCAGTCGTGTGATAGTCGATGGGATGTGTGACCCCATTCTCCTTCAGTGCCTCGTGCTTGCTGGCCGAGGCCGTTCCGAACACTGTCACATTCTCCACTGTACGGCACAGCTGCACGGCAGCCATACCCACACCCCCTGCAGCAAGACACCCATAAGCAGGGGATATGGAGTTGCCCTGGCCACCAACCACTCCATTCTAGCCTCCCAGGGACTCAGCCTGTCACCTTCATTTTGCCTACGCTCATTTTAGGGCCGTGTCTAATTTCCATGACTGAGAAGTGGTGGGGAAGGTAGCTAGAGAGGTGGGGGTGTGGGGTGAGGGCACGTTGCTAAGGATAGCACACCAGACTAGACCTGGTGCCTGAATGTTACCACGGCAACTACACAGCAGAGGCCTCTGGGAGCCACAGGCCAAGGCAGCCTGGTGTTGCCATGACAACAACCCAGACAGGCTGCAGGGAAGGGGCCTGGAAGGAAATCTGGGTGGGGTAAGGGGTGATAAAGTGAGGGGACCTGTCACCTGCAGCCATGTGTACCAAGACGCTGTGGCCAGGCTGTAGGTTGCCGAAGTCAAAGAGGACCATGTAGGCTGTAATGTAATTGACGAGCAAGGCAGCAGCTTCCTCAAAGGTCATGGCCTCAGGAATCAGGAAGGTCTGGACCGAGGGCACAGTCACCTCTTCCTGCCACATCCCTGACCGGTTCAACACCATCACCCGGTCTCCTGCCTTGAAGAACAGAAGAGTATCATTCAGTCACTCATTCATTCACCCACAGGCTATTTACTGATTTCCCCCTAGGTACAAGGCTACCTTCTTCCAAATGAAGTAGCAGGAGAAGCAGCAATAGTCATGGTAATAATAATAATAATAACATCATCATCAACAACAATAACAACTCACCTTTACTGAGTGCTGACTGAGGGCCGAGCCCGATTTCAAGTGCTTTATATATAATGCTTAATTAACCCTTACATCAGTTCTTTGAGGCAGATACTATCCTTATCATCTTCTTACAGATCTTACATGTCACTATTGTGTAAGATCCCTGAATGCAAGAAGCTTACAGTTAGGGCAGCATGAAGTATTGTGGAAAAGATCAAACTGCTGTGGTTACAAAAGCGGTCTCAACTGTTTACTGACTGTGTGACTTCGGATGCATAAAAATTACTTAATCTTTTTGAGCTCCACTTTTCCAGCTCCAGTTTTCTTATCTGTCAATTAGGGCAGTTTTTCCAAATGGAAAAAAAAAATTTTAGCACAATGTCTGGCACATAATAAGCACTTAATAATGTTAGCTAACAATAATAATAATAATAATATAATAGCAGCAAGGAAGTCACACAACCAAAAGAAGACGGCACTGTGTGGTCAGGGCCATACCAAAGTGCAGGCAAAGTTCTCTGAGCGCTTACAGCAGGGTGTGGTCACCTCGGGAGAAGTGTGTTTGAGCCAGCACTGGGAGCCCAGAAAACATCTTCACTCAGAGATGGTGCAGGAGGGGCAACAGACAAGAAGGGCTACAGAGGCCTACGCAGCAGTAAAAGGCTTCCCCCCCACCCCCACGAGAGCCTCTGTGCAGGAGGGAAAGGGGACAAAGATAACAGAACCTTTCTCTCCAGCTTAGCAAGTGGGGTCAAGGGAAGGGCAGGGAAAAGGAGGGAGCGTCAGGAGAAAAGACTTCTCTGCGCTCTCTGAAGAGCATGAAGAGGGAGGTGTGGGTGCTGTTCTGGGACAATCTGGGTCTGTCTTGATCCCTGCCAGGAATGATGGGAATTCTGTATATTAACAAGAGTTAGGGTCCATGGGGAAGGGGGATGGGACTGCCACTTACGCCCTTTTTCATGTCCTCAAGCCCCCACACTCCACTGAATACGAGAACTGAGGGCATGCTGGGGTCTTTCCTTCCAAGTTCTGGCCTGAGATGAGGTCTGGAGAACAAGAACGGAAGCCCTCCACCCAGGGACTCAGGACTAGCAGATACAGAACAACCCAGGAGAGCTGCGAGGAGTGCATTGGTCATTTAGGGTCATGGCCAGTCCCAGATTTGACCCAGAACAAGTCTCACTTACCCTGGCTCATGCTAACCCTCAGGCCATCCAAATCAGGGCCATGACCCCTCCCCAACCCAGACACCAGGAAGGAGGAGGAGGGAGAGAGAGGGAAGGGCCCTCCCCGCAGAATCCAGGCTCTTACATCAGATTCTTGCCCTGGACAGGATATCCTGTATTTACCAGGCGGAAAGTGTATGGAGGGGAGGTGAGGTGGGTGGCCTTCAGCAGTAACATGAACTACAACTACCTCCCGAAAATATTCCTCTTAGACGCCTGCTCAAGAGTGGGATCATTTAGAAGTCAGTTTGAGGGTGGGGCCAGAGCTGAATTCAGAGGAAAGCCTTAAGGAGAAGCTGTTTGCATACAGGATGAATCCAACAAACCTGGCTCCAGAATTGGGCTGGCAGGTCTGCAAGAGGCTGCATCTGTGGGGCCTCTCATTGAGGGGTCTGATTTAAAAAGGAAACTCCTGGCCAAGCGCAGTGGCTTATGTCTGTAACCCCAGCACTTAGGGAGGCCGAGGTGGGCAGATCACCTGAGGTCGGGAGTTCGAGACCAGACTGACCGACATGGAGAAACCCATCTCTACTAAAATACAAAATTAGCCAGGCATGGTGGCGCATGCCTGTAATCCCAGCTACTCGAGAGGCTGAGGCAGGAGAATCGCTTGAACCCGGGAGGCAGAGGTTGCGGTGAGCCGAGATCGCGCCATTGCACTCCAGCCTGGGCAACAAGAGCGAAACTCCGTCTAAAAAAAAAAAAAAAAAAAAAGAAAAAGAAAAAAAAAAGAAACCTCTAAACAAATGGCGTGCTGAGGCCTCATCCCAGGTCTCTCAAAAAGCTGATCATTTTGAGCTCTCTGGTGTCCAGGGTTGTGGCCAAGATTAATGATAAATGAGAAGGAGAAACAGGCCTGCAGACTTGGCCAACCAGTTCAAGGCGCCGCACCTCTCCGTTCCAGTCCAAACCCCTGGCACTGGGGTTTCTGAAGTGGGGGTCCTCTGCAGGAGGAAGGCAGAGGTGGGTCCCCCCTTCCACTCCCCGCCCCAGGCATTCCCAAGGGCAGCCCCGGGTCGTGGCCCGAAGGCTGAGGGCTGAGTCACAGGAGGAGGAGATACTGCAGTCACGGGAGACACAGAGCCCAAGACAAAGATCGGATGACCCAATCCCGCCTCCCCCACCCCAAAATCAGATCGGCGGTGTAAGGCTGGTGGCGGTGGGGTAGCAAAGGCTCTCTCTCCTCCGTGATGGGCGTGTCTCGTCTCTTTGGCCTTGCTTTGGGAGGGGCCGCCTCACACCCCCACAGACCACGGGGCTGCATGTGACCAGGACTCTGGCACGGCCGCTGTGCCCCCGCCCAACCCCGACGACATAGCCCCTCAAGCTCCCTCGGGGAAAGGGGGCACTAACCGTCACTCATAGTCACAGACCACAATTACCCAGAGAGTGTTTGGTGGGTAGGGGTACAGGTGTGGTTTTAATGGGGGGGGGGGGGGGGGGTGGGGACGGTAGTGTGGTTGTGCGCATGCGCATGGGCACCTTATTGTTTTCCCCCCCACCAGCACAGCTTCTGGGCGGCGGCCACAACTAAAAATGGTTGGGGAAGGGGCGATAATTTCGTCTCCCCTCCCCACATAAATGCCGCTCTCCAGGAGCCCCCAAACACAAGTTCCTTGGCTACGCTTTCCACGCTCGTGCACCCAGGTCCGCGCCAGTTTCTCCCGCCCTGCCACACCCCCGGCGCTCGCCCACTCGTGCCCCACTGCCCAGTGGCCTGCGCAGCCCTGCCCTGCCCTACGCAACCCGCTCACCTTGCGGTCGCTGACTCCCTCGCCCACTGCGATCACAACACCCGCGCCCTCCATGCCCGGAGTGACAGGCAGAGGCGGGAGACGGTCGTACAGCCCCTGCCTAGCCATGAGGTCTGCGAAGTTGAGCCCGCAGGCCCGCAGACGCAGCGTCAGCTGGCCGGGCCCAGGGGCCGGGGGCGCTGCCGGCCGGCTCTGCAGCTTCACCTTGTCGTAGCCTCCAAAGCCGGTGAGCACTAGGCAGCGCAGCAGTGGCGGCGAGGCGGCGGCGGCGGCGGCCCCTTCGGAGGCCGCGGGATGCTGGGGGTCGCTCGCTGCCTCGGTTTTCGGAGGCGGCGAAGAGGCGTCTTCCCCGGTCGCTGCCTCGGCTACCTCTCTCTCGTCGGACATGGCTGGGACTCCCGACGAGAGCGCACAGCTGGATGGAGAGTGCACAGCTGGGGAAGGCGGAACGCGTCGGGAAGAGCCGCGGCTGCGGGATCCAGCGGGAGGGGCGGGGCGCCGGGCGAGGCGGGGCCTCGCGCTCAGCCTTAAAGGGCCAGGGCCATAGTGGCGCAAGCTGGGAGAGCACGAAAAGGGGCACCAGGAACGTCTGTGCTCTTGGGATCAAGCCGACTGTGATTTATTTATTCATAGTAAACCTTATTCAAATTAAAAACTATTTTAAGGGATAGGCCTGGCGCGGTGGCTCACGCCTGTAATCCCAGCACTTTGGGAGGCCGAGGCTGGTGGATCATTTGAGGTCAGGAGTTCAAGACCAGCCTGGCCAACATGGTGAAACCCCCGTCTTTACTAAAAATAAAAAAGTTAGCCGGGCGGTAGTGGCGCGCGCCTGTAATCTCAGCTACTTGGGAGGCTGAGGCAGAGGAATCGCTTGAGCCTGGGAGGCGGAGGTGAGCCGAGATCGCGCCACTACACTCCAGTCTGGGCAACAGAGTGAGACCCTGTTAAAAAAAAAAAAAAAAAGGGCCGGGCGGCGTGGCTCACGCCTGTAATCCCAACACTTTGGGAGGCCGAGGCGGGTGGGTGGATCACCTGAGGTCAGGAATTCGAGACCAGCCTGACCAGTATGGTGAAACCCCAGCTCTACTAAAACTACAAAAATTAGCCAGGCATGGTGGCAGGTGCCTATAGTCCCAGCTACTAGGGAGGCGGAGGCTGGAGAATTGCTTGAACCCAGGAGGCGGAGGTTGCAGTTAGCCAAGATCATGCCGCTGCACTCCAGCCTGGGCTACAGAGGGAGACTCCATCTCGAAAAAAAAAAAGGCCGGGCGCGGTGTCTCACGCCTGTAATCCCAGCACTTTGGGAGGCCGAGGCGGGCAGATTACGAGGTCAGGAGATTCACCTGGCTAACACGGTGAAACCCCGTCTCTACTAAAAAATACAAAAAATTAGCCAGGCGTGGTGGCAGGCGCCTGTAGTCCCAGCTACCTGGGAGGCTGAGGCAGGAGAATGGCATGAACCCAGGAGGCAGAGCTTGCAGTGAGTCGAGATCGCGCCACTGCACTCCAGCCTGGGCTACAGAGCGAGACTCCGTCTCAAAAAAAAAAAAAAAAAGTTAAGGAACAGTCCCAAAACTTGAACTTACATCAGATTTGGAGTTAACTCATATCAGATTTGGAGTCAGCCACCTGTGGACTGGAGTCCAACTACATTGTGTCTCAGGCTCTGACATCTAACCCAGGCAGGGATGAGACTTAATTCACTGTGGTCTTGCAGTGGCAAAGTAGAAGCATGGAGACCAAGCCTTTAAAACTTTCTGACTTTGGTGTTAACGTTCTGTTCCTCATTTTCCCTTCTGTAACATAGTGATGATGCTGCGTGCTCTAGTTATATTTATATTTTTATTTTTTTGATACAGGGTCTCACTCTGTCACCCAGGCTGAGCGAGGTGGGGCGATCACAGCTCCCTACAGCCTCAAACTCCCGGCTTCAAGCAATCCTCCCACCTCAGCCTCCTGAATAGCTGGGACCACAGGCATGTGTCACCACGCCCGGCTAACTTTATGTTTTACTGCTCTTTGCAGAGCAGGGCTACCCCATAGGCAGCGTGCCTAGAGTGGCCAAACCTAGCTAAGTTTTGATTTTTTTTTCTAGAGAGAGGGTCTCGCTAATGTTGCCCAGGATGGCCTCAAACTCCTGCACGCAAGCAAGCCTTGGCCTCCCAAAGTGCTGAGTTTACAGGCGTGAGCCACCGCGCCCAGCTTCTAGTTATCTTTACAGAATTATTTGCAGCATATATTATTGACTCGAATTGCCTCGATATAAAAAAGCACTTTTTTTTTTTCGAAACTCTATTGCACAAGCTGGAGTGCAGTGAGGCAATCTCGGCTCACTGCAAGCTCCGCCTCCCGGGTTCACGCCATTCTCCTGCCTCAGCCTCCTGAGTAGCTGGGATTACAGGCGCCCACCGTGCGGGTTTCACCGTGTTAGCCAGGATGATAGTCTCGATCTCCTGACCTCTTGATCCGCCCGCCTCGGCCTCCCAAAGTGCTGGTATTACAGGCGTGAGCCACCGCGCCCGGCCTATTGTCAGACTCTTAATCAAGCCTGACTTTTGGGTTTAGCTCTGGCTCCAGCAGAGCAACTCTGGCGGTTGGTTCTTTCTCTTCCTTATCTCCTTGTCCCCAAGCATCCACCAGAGGACGCAGCTCCCCCAAAACTTTCCACCCAGTGCTTGGCTGGAGGAACTCAGTCCACGCTTCTCTGCTAGTCTAGGCCGGCGGTTAAGTCAATGTAACCGGAGACCCGGCTGCCCGTTGCCATGGGGACGGAAAGCTATGATGTCACCACCGTCCGGGTGGGTGTGCTGGGGTTCACCCTCCCATTTCCCCAAGACCCCCTGCCAGGACATAGGCGGACGCGGGAGAGAAAACCAAAGAGGCTCCCTCCTTCCCCTTAGCATCTCTCTCCCGCCGTGTTCAGGAAGTGGATGGCTGCCCCAGCTCTTGTCCGCACTGGTACACCTGCGTGCACGCGTGGGTACACAGCAGGCCCGAGCTTCGCGCTTGTGCCGCTCATATTCTACCCCTAAGAACTTCGCTTGAACTCTGACCTGCCCTTATATCCGAGAAAGTCAAATAAGCCCAGTTCGGCCTGTCCCAAACCGGCAGGGGCCCCTCAGACCACACCGGCGGGCTGGACCCCGGCTCTGAGGCCTCTGTTCCCAGGGCTCCGCCCAGATCTTCTGGGCCCCGCCCCCCGGCTGCGGGGGTGGGAGGAGGGGCCGGGGGGGCGCGGCCGCCTGGCTGGGGGCGGGGCGGAGGGGGGGCCGCGGACCCGGGGCGGGGGCTCGGCGCGGGCCCGCGAGATGCCGGTGTTGGCGGCCCGAGCGGCTGCAGTTGCAGGGGCGGGGGAGGCGGCGGCGGGGCCCGGGAGAGGGGTGGCGTGGGGGACCGGCGCGTAGCCGGGACCATGGAGGGGCAGAGCGGCCGCTGCAAGATCGTGGTGGTGGGAGACGCAGAGTGCGGCAAGACGGCGCTGCTGCAGGTGTTCGCCAAGGACGCCTATCCCGGGGTGAGGGACCTGCGTCTTGGGAGGGGGACGCTAAGGCTGCTGGGGGGTGGGTGACAGGGGCCCTGGCGACGGATGGGAATGGGTACTCGGGTAACCAGGGACAAGAGACAGGGGGTCGGAGGACGCGGGGAGGCCTTGAGGGCTCAGGAAGGACTGCAGAGGATTGGGGTGGGAGGAATTAGGGAGCAGGGTGAGATAGATGGGGTTTGGGAGAACCAGAGCATCCGGGAGGGAGGGCGAGGGGAATGTCGGAGGTCCTGGGCAATGGAGAGGGGAAGAACTAGGGGGCTGAAGGGACCAGAAGGGAACAGGAGGAGGTCTGGGAGCTTAGCAGAGATTCTCCGGGGGGGGGGGGGGGGGGGCAGGAGCTCCCGGGATCTCCCCTTTGCCCAATCCCAGACCAACTTGTGTCCAGGGGCTGGGCTGGACGGGGTGTGGGAGTGAGGAGGGCATTTATCTGGGGTGAGGACTTGGAGAGATGATCTCATCTGGATCCATCCGTGTCTGCAGAGTTATGTCCCCACCGTGTTTGAGAACTACACTGCGAGCTTTGAGATCGACAAGCGCCGCATTGAGCTCAACATGTGGGACACTTCAGGTAGCCAAGTCCCTGGGGGTCACCCTGACTTCCAAGGCGGCCCACTCTGTCCCCTCCCTTGGTTAGACCCTTAGGTTCCAGGTAAGCCCAGCCCATCCATCCAATTCCAACAGGAAGGGAAAAATCAATATTCTGCTAAAATCCAGGGAAACTGAGGTAGAACTTGCAGAGCCTGACAGAAACCATGTCCTGAAGGAGAAAGCCTAGGATCTGAGCCCCTCAGCTGGGTCCTGCCTACCTGGGAAAGTTGGGAAGGAATGGCTTTTAATTTGGAACATGTTCCTTCAGAGATAAGACTGGGTTTAGAAAAGACATTTAGAGGCCAGGCACGGTGGCTCACGCCTGTAATCCTAGCACTTTGGGAGGCTGGGGTGGGGGGATCACCTGAGGTCAGGAGTTTGAGACCAGCCTGGCCAACATGGTTGAAACTCCGTCTCTACTAAAAATACAAAAATTAATCGGGCGTGTGGCACGTGCCTGTAATCTCAGCTACCAGGAGGCTGAGGCAAGAGAATCGCTGGAACCTGGGAGGCGGAGGCTGCAGTGAGCCGAGATCATGCCGCTGCACTCCAGCCTGAGCGATAGAGCGAGACTCCATCTCAAAAAATAAAAAAGCAGAAAAGACATTTAGAATGTCTTGAGTGAGGGGTGGTCAGGAGGCTGTTTCTCTCCATTGAACTAGATAAATCTGAGGTCAAGTCCCAGGAGAATGGGAGAGTGCTCTCCCTGCCACTGCTCTTTTCCTCCTCCCAACATAAGGAGGGTTTTTATTTTTACAAGAGTTCCCTTCAGGGCTTTAGACTGCCAAAGCCCAGAAAGCACATGCAACATTTTATGAGAATGTCTATAGATTTTATGAGCTTCTCAAAGGGGTCCAAACCTCAGTCAAGAATAAAAATTATTACTTTTTAAACCACTAGGGAAGCAGAGAGCCGTTTCCCACCATGTGACCTCCCTTCTGCCCGCTCCCCCACTTGGGAAACCCAGACTCCATGATGGGTATTAATGATGGGTATTAATGGTTGCTCTTTTCCATTCTCTGCTCCCAGCATCCCTTGACCAGGATCTGTAAGGTCTCCCATTCCCTTCCAGGCCTCCCATCCACTCAGGCCCCTCATGCCCTGTCTTCCTTCAGGTTCCTCTTACTATGATAATGTCCGGCCTCTGGCCTATCCTGATTCTGATGCTGTGCTCATCTGCTTCGACATTAGCCGACCAGAAACACTGGACAGTGTTCTCAAGAAGGTGGGAGCCTGGGGAAATAGGGCAGCTAGACTGAGGGGGACCAGACCACCATGGTCCTGACATAACATGGGCCAGGAGGAGGGAGTGATGGCTGGGGTATGGCCATCAGCTGGTTAGCGAGTGAAGCTCTCATCCCTGCCACCCCTGCCTCCAGCCCCCATCCCTCCCAGCCACCCCTTTCCTGAAAGTCCTCAGAGCTGGATACAGCAGCTAGGGGAGGTGGGGGAGTGAAGGGAGAAGCACTCACAGGATTCCTTCTCTGCTCTTCCAACTCCTTGGCAGTGGGAGTCCCAGATGGAGGGGATGGGATGGGAAGCCTGATCCTGGAGCTCAGGAAAGCCCTGTGGCCTCCTCTCCAGGCCCCAGTTTCCATGACAAAAGCCAGGGGTGAATGGACAGAAGTCAGCTAGGGCAGCCCCAGTTCCCAGGTGGGGGAGGGGAGGGTGGGATAAATTTGTTCCCAGGAGAGAGTATGGGAAAGGCGAGTGGGAATGGGAAGTTTCCAGGCTGGCAGACCCTTCATAGCCACTGAGGGAGAAGAGTCCACAGGCCCACGCCAGCCCTCTCCTCCCCGCTGCTTCTCTCTCACCCCATCCTGCTCTCAAACCAAGCCTAGCATTCTCACCTCCTTCCTCATGTGGGAGAGTCCTGAGGGATACATGGTTTCTGCGTGCTTGAGGAAGAGAGGGCACACTGCTGGCATGGCACAAAGGCTCACGCTGTGCCTCCCTCCACCCCTCCACAATTCTCTTTTCTTCTCCTACATAGTGGCAAGGAGAGACTCAAGAGTTCTGCCCCAATGCCAAGGTTGTGCTGGTTGGCTGTAAACTGGACATGCGGACTGACCTGGCCACACTGAGGGAGCTGTCCAAGCAGAGGCTTATCCCTGTTACACATGAGCAGGTGGGACCCTTGACGTCTGACCTCATCCCAGCCTAGACCTGTCACCTCTGCCCCTTCAGTCTCTGATTTGAAAACACCTTACCTGGCTCATCCTTTGTTCTGGTCTGTGACCTCTGACCTGATCCCTTGACTGCCCCCAGCCTTGACATTCAACCCCAGCCCACAGCCTCCATGCCCCTTTCTAAGCTGCAGGCTAAGACCTATAACTTTCTCCCATGCACTCCTTCCTTTTCCAGGGCACTGTGCTGGCCAAGCAGGTGGGGGCTGTGTCCTATGTTGAGTGCTCCTCCCGGTCCTCTGAGCGCAGCGTCAGGGATGTCTTCCATGTGGCTACAGTGGCCTCCCTTGGCCGTGGCCATAGGCAGCTGCGCCGAACTGACTCACGCCGGGGAATGCAGCGATCCGCTCAGCTGTCAGGACGGCCAGACCGGGGGAATGAGGGCGAGATACACAAGGATCGAGCCAAAAGCTGCAACCTCATGTGAGGGGCTAGGAGAGGGCAGAGTGTGAAGAGGGGTGGTGAGGGACACAATTGTTCCCCTGCCTGCGCCCAGGCTTCCTGACCTCCTGATCCTGGCTGGGAAGTTAGGGCAGGCAGAGCGAGCAATTCTGGGCAGGGGAGCTGGAGGGCAGAAGGGTATCATCGTTTCTCATCTCCTCCTCCCTCCTCTTCTCCAGTGGATGTTGAGGGAGCTAACAGGGCTGGCATCTGGGGCATGAACTGGGATGGGGCAGGTGGGCGTTAGGGAAGCTGGTATCAAATGGTGACCTTGGTGGAGTCTCCTATGTGAAGAGTACCCTCCCTCTCCACCCCCAGTCCCCATATCCTGGTTCTGGCCCAAGGAAAATGTCCATTCTATGACCTTCTCTTTTCCTCTCCTCTCACTTCTGCAGCTATTCTCACACATCTAACCTCTAGGCAACATGCACTAAATTCAAAAGCAAGGAGAAGCCCTTGCCCCCCATCAGTCCACCAGCCCTAGAACCTCCCTTGCCTCAACAGTCACCTAATAAAGCCCACCTCCATGGAAAACGGCTGTGGCTTTAGTTTTGTTGCTTTTTAAAAAAATCAATCTACCAATCTTTAGCAGTAAGAGGGAAAGTTAGACCTCAGCTGGGGAACTTTCCTGTCCATGTCCACAGATAGAGCAGAGGACAAAGCCATAGGTTGGATCAGAAGTGTCCTTTTAGGAGTCAGAGTTGGGAGAAGGAGACATCCTGGGACTGTTCATCCTAGTTAATGAAGTGGGCAATTCTCAGGCCATTAGGGGGTTTTAGAGCAGACCGACATATAATTAGTCAGCATTTCTCAGCCCAGCCAGGCCTGCTGCTAGTGTGGGAGGGGTCCTGCTCACCATCTGTACCCCTGGCTTGGAGCCTGCTGGTACCCTGGGGGTTGTGGGGATAAGGAGGCATCAGGCCGGGCGCGCTGGCTCACGCCTGTAATCCCAGCACTTTGGGAGGCCGAGGTGGGCGGATCACAAGTTCAGGAGATCGAGACCATCCTGGCTAACACGGTGAAACCCCATCTCTACTAAAAATACAAAAAATTAGCCAGGCGCGGTGGCAGTGCCTGTAGTCCCAGCTGCTCGGGAGGCTGAGGCAGGAGAATGGTGTGAACCCGGGTGAACCTGGGAGGCGGAGCTTGCAGTGAGCCGAGATTGCGCCACTGCATTCTAGCCTGGATGACAGAGCAAGACTCTGTCTCCAAAAAAAAAAAAAAAAAAAAAAAAGAAGGCATCAAAAGCCTCCACATCACAGAAGCTACCCCTGTACAGCGTGAAGTTTCCTAAGAGGTCAGTAGTTTGATTCTGGGGTCTCCTTAGAGGCTCAGGCCAGGGACCTTTCTCTCCTCCCATGCTGAGTTTCATGATGGCTTTCAGGGGAGCATCAGCTGTTAGAGTCACCCCTACCCTGTCCCTTAAAGGAAAGACGGTGGAGAGGACGGCTGAGCGCCTGTTGTCAGGAAAGACAGTACTGGTCTGTTTTCTCGGGAGTCTGGTTTCAGATTGTCCTGTATTCCCTTCCTGGCTCTGGTCCCACTGGCCTCTTTTCGGTGACATTCTCCCCCAGGAACCATCCCTGGCCCTTCCCTCCCCCAGCCCTAGCCAGTTCTCCCAGACACACTGGAAGAGAACACTGACCTTACCCAACTATCTGCTGGGATCCCACCCAAATTTATAGCCCATTCCTCCCTCATTCATTCATTCAGCAAGTATGTACTGAACACCAACTGTGTGGCATACACTGGCTTGGGAGATTGCAAGGACCAGTCTCTAAGCTTTTGGAGGCCAGCCCAGTGTGGAAGAGAGGTACCTCAGGTGTGAGGGTGCCATGGCTGAGGGATATTTGTACATGTATGGGATGCTATGGGAGCTCCTTGCAGCCTGAGAAGCCAGTCCTGTGAGCCAGGTCCTGAGGGTTGAAGAGGAGTTTTCCGGGCAGGGAAGGGGTAGGAAAGGCACTCTGGGCAGAGGGTACAGCATGTGTAAACACGTGGAGATGAGAATGAGCATAGCACTGTTGGGGCTCCCATGGCAGGGAGAATAGAAGACAAGGCTAGGAAGGTACACTGAGGCTACTGCAGGGTCCACAGAGGAATCAGAATTTCATTCTGAGGATGAATGAAATCATCCTCAGAGGATGAAGCCACCAGGAATTTCAGGCAGAGAGTGAAGTGATCAGAGTTGTTTTTTGGATAGATGGTTATCTGGATGTGGTGTTGGAGCTGGGAGATTTGGCTCTGAGGTGTGTCATTTAAAATAATAGCTTCTCGGCAGTGGCTCACACCTATAATCCCAGCCAAGATTCCTCCTTTGGGAGGCCAAGCTGGGAGGATCGCTTGAGGCCAGGAGTTAGAGACTGCAGTGAGCTATGATCATGCCATTGTCTTCCAGCCTGAGTGTCAGAGTGAGACCCTGTCTCTAAAAAAAATTAAAAAATAAAAAATAAAAAATAGCTTCTCCTTTCCCTTATGCCAGGTTCCAGTCTTGAGAGGAAAGGAATCCCTACCCACCACTCCCTGGATCATCAGATATCCCTATCCCAACCTCTCCTATGGGACTAGTTCATCTCAGCCAGTCTCAAAGATTCTAGGATAACTTCAATGGCATTTGAAATTATCTAAGTGTGCTTGGATAACCACCCCCTCAAACTGAGACCTGGTTAGGGACTGACTCAAAGACCCTGAGTCCTCGGCTAAGGGTACAGGAGAGGGCAGGGGCTCCAGGCCCAGCTAGGTGGATCTCCATCTGTCTCTGAGGACTGACCCTTTCCCCACAAGGACCTGCCATAAAAATCGACTTGCGATTTTTAGCTGAGTGGCTTCTCTTTTCCACTTTGGACTTCTCAGTGTATAGCAGGTTCAAGCCTGCAACCACCAAAGTGCAGAGTGTGGAGTGTTTGTGCCCCCTCTTTCCTCCAACCTCCATATCCTGCCATGTGAGCTCAGGGAATGCAAATGCATTTAAATATCCATCTAAAGCAAACATAATTAGAAAAATCAATCAGCTGGAGGACCCCCCAAAGTTTAATACATTTTCAATACCACCAGGAATGGATTTTTGGTCCCTTTCTGCAGGTCTGGGTTGCCAGACGTTTTATTTCTGGGGAGGAGGGCTCTGGGCTGAGGAGCTCAGTGGGTGGGAGGAGGGAATGGGACTGTTGCTGATCCTCAAAGGCCTCTGTAGGATGGAGGGAGGGGACCTTACTCCCTTCCCCACCCCAGATGCAGGAGTCACCCAGCTTCCTTCTCTGCGCTGTTTCCTTCACAAATTAGACATTGGTTTGGGAAACAATGTAGCCTCGTTAAACATTTAATGAAATAAACAAATAATCACACTGTGATGGCTGCCAGAGTTTCTGTGTTTTTTTTTTTTTTTTTTTTTTTTTTTTGAGACGGAGTTTCACTCTGTCATTCAGGCTGGAGTGCAGTGGCACCATCTCGGCTCACTGCAACCTCTGCCTCCTGGGTTCAAGCGATTCTCCTGCCTCAGTCTCCTGAGTAGCTGGGACTACAGGCGCGCGCCACCATGCACAGCTAATTTTAGTGTTTTTTTTTTTTTTGAGACGGAGTTTCACTCTTATTGCCCAGGCTGGAGTGCACTGGCGCGATCTCGGCTCACGGCAACCTCACCTCCTGGGTTCAAGTGATTCTCCTGCCTCAGCTTCCTGAAGTAGCTGGGATTACAGCCATGTGCCACCATGCCCAGCTAATTTTGTATTTTTAGTAGAGATGGGGTTTCTCCATGTTGGTCAGGCTAGTCTTGAACTCCCGACCTAACGTGATCCACCCACCTCGGCCTCCCAAAGTGCTGGGATTACAGGCATGAGCCACCGTGCCCAGCCATTTTTGTATTTTTAGTAGAGACAGGGTTTCACCATGTTGGCCAGGATGGTCTCCATCTCTTGACCTCATGATCCGCCTGCTTCAGTCTCCCAAAGTGCTGGGATTACAGGCGTGAGCCACCATGCCTGACCTAATTTTTGTATTTTTAGTAGAGATGGGGTTTCACCATGTTGGCCAGGCTGGTCTCGAACTCCTGACCTCAGGTGATCCACCCACCTTGGCCTCCCAAAGTGTTGGGATTACAGGCAGGAGCCACCGCGCCCAGACTAGTGGTTTTTTTTTTGAGAGTCTCGCTTTCTTGCCCAGGCTGGAGTGCAGTGGCCCAATCTTGGCTCACTGCAAGCTCCACCTCACAGGTTCACGCCATTCTCCTGCCTCAGCCGCCCCAGTAACTGGGACCACAGGCACCCGCCACCACGCCTGGCTAATTTTTTTTTTTTTTTTTTTGAGACGGAGTCTCGCTCTGTCGCCCAGGCTGGAGTGCAGTGGCGCAATCTCGGCTCACTGCAAGCTCTGCCTCCTGGGTTCACGCCATTCTCCTGCCTCAGCCTCCCGAGTAGCTGGGACTACAGGCACCTGCCACCACGTCCGGCTCATTTTTTGTATTTTTAGTAGAGACGGGGTTTCACCGTGTTAGTCAGGATGGTCTTGATCTCCTGACCTCGTGATCCGCCTGTCTTGGCCTCCCAAAGTGCTGGGATTACAGGCATAAGCCACCGCGCCCGGCCTAATTTTTTGTATTTTTTAGTAGAGACGAGGTTTCACCGTGTTAGCCAGGATGGTCTCAATTTCCTGACCTAGTGATCCACCTGCCTTGGCCTCCCAAAGTGCTGGGATTACAGGCGTGAGCCACCTCGCCCAGACTAGTGTTTCTTAACCTAGGCAATCCGCCTGCCTAGGAGGGAGGAGGGGGAAGGACAGGGTGGATGGGAAGAGAGGACTCAATCAAACTCCTGAAACACTTCAGCTGACAAGGGTCCTCCCCTTGTGACTCTGGCCCTCCCAGGGGGTAGTCGTGGGAAGAGCTTCAGGTTCAGAGGCAGAAGTCCCAGGGCCTGGGTTGAGCTCTGCTGCTTCTTCCCTGGGGAATCTTTGGTGAGGCCCAGCACCTCTCTGAACCTCAGTTTTTGCACCTAGAAAAGGGGGCTGATCACCACATCTACCTCATTGTGTTGCTCAGCTGATGTCAACTTTTATTCTTTACAACCAAGACACCAAGGCTTAAGTGCTTCTAAGCTGGGCCTGAGGGAGTTGGGAAAGGCTTCTTGGAGGGGTATTTTGTGCTGGGACTTAAAGGCTGGAGGAAGACAGAAGACAGAAAGCAGGAGGTGGTTATGTCTTGTTCCCACCCCTATCTTGGGGCCTGAAGAGAGCTTTAGTGACTCCTCCAAAGATTGAGGTCCCTCCCTGCCAAATCCCCCTCTGCGAGAAACACCCAAGAATGATCAATAAAAAAAAATAAATAAATTGAAAAAAAAAAAAAAAGATTGAGGTCCCTTGGTCTCCATTTTTCTGAACTCCTCTTATTACGTTTTCTGCAGTCTCTGGGTGAGGACTTCATGTTGCCATAGTGACCCTCTCCCTGCTTCAGATGCACTCAGACTTGTCCTGCAGGCTGAGGAAGGTGTGGGGGGAGGGGTCATGTCCCTGAGATTCCCAGTGGGGCAGGCACTCTTGGCACAGCTCTCTCCCCCAACTCCACATTCTCTTCCCCAGGAAAGGGTTTAGCGTTTTGTTCTCAGTTTGTTCTACACAAGGCAGCTCCTCTCCTGCTTCCTTCCTTCCAGCCAGGTTCCCAGATCTCCCTCCATCTCTGTCTGGTCAATCCCTTACTTGCTGTCCTCAAAGCTGTGAGTGAGGGTCAGAGAGAGGGGAGGCTCCAGGTCGGGAGGTGTGGGATGATTCCTGAGTAGCTACCCGCTAGCAGCGGAGAGACAAGAGAGCCCTGTACACTAGTGCCCCTCCCGACAAGAAAATGCCTCTGCTGTTGACTCCTAAATAACAGATGTCTGTCTGCATATTAATGAGACTGGACGAATAATTGGTGAGTTTTTCATTCAGTGTCAGAATGAACCCGGAGGCCTTATGTTCATGCACACAGACACCCACTCACCCCTGACTCTCCCCTTCCCCCACAGCACAATGAAACAGACGCCAGCAGGCTTGACCCATAAAGGGGAGGGGCAGACAGGGAACCACCAGGAGGGCTGTTAGGGAGGGGTGTTAACAGGAGGGAGACCCCCATGGTTGGTCTGGGTTTGTCAGGTTTCTTTCTTGATCACTGCCTCCCCACCTCCCTGGGGGCAAAAGCTTGCATTTGTGAGATTTCGCCACGCTGCAGAAGGGGCTCAGAGAAGGAGGGGGCTCTGGGGGGACGCAGTCGCTGCCTAGAGGACAGCAACAAAACAGTGGTCTCCTTCAGTGACTTTGTGCCTCCCTTGCGCCTGAAATCAATGAGCCCCTTACCCTGAGTTAGACCCTGTGCCAGGGTGTGAGATGGAAGAACAGAGGTTTTGGAGTCAGGTAACTACAATTTGCTAGCTGGGTGCCCTTGCACAAGTTACTTAACCTCTCTGAGCCTCACCCTTTTTGTCTCTAAGAACACCTACCTTGCAAGATTGAAAGGATGAAATGAGATAAAGTGCATTATGTGTCTGTCTTAGTGCCTGGTTTATAATAGGCCCCAACACATATTTTTCTCTCCCCACCTATCCCCAAAACAAACCAAGACACTTGCTAAATTGCTGCCTCATGCCAGACCCACCTTTGTTAGGGCAGGGGTTAATTAAAAGTCTAGTAATTATCCTAGCTGCCTGGAAACCAAGAGGAAAAGATACAGAGAGGAACAGAAACAGAGAAAAAGAAATAGACCCAGGAGACAGAATGATGGAAACGAAGGCCCCGGGAACAGGAGACCACAGAGATGGGAATAAGGGCACAGAGAAGGTATTATGGGGAAACGAAGTGAACCCTCAAATGACAGTTTAGAATCCAGGCCTGGTGCAGTGGCTCACACTTGTAATCCCAGCTATTCAGGAGGCTGAGGTGGGAGGATCACTTGAACCCAGGTGAGACCAGCCTGGGCAACATAGGGAAACACTGTTTCTAGAAAAAATAAAAGAAATAAAAATTAGCTAAGCGTGGTGGCACATACTTATAGTCCTAGCTACTCAGGAGGCTGAGGTGGGAGGATCACTTGAACCAGGAGTGTGAGGCTGTAGTGAGCAGTGATCATACCACTGCACTCTAGCCTGGATGACAGAGTGGAACCCTATCTCAAAAAAACAAAACAAAACAAAAACCAAACAGGCCCAGTGCTGTGGCTCACACCTGTAATCCTAGCACTTTGGGAGGCCAAGGCTGGAGGATCACTTGAGCCCAGGAGTTCGAGAAAAATGTGGGCAACACAGTGAGACCTTGTCTCTACAAAAAATTAGCCAGGTGTCGTGGCCCACAGAAAGTTGAGGTGGGGGGATCACTTGAGCCTGGGAGGTAGAGGTTGCAGTGAGCTGAGATTGTGCCACTGTACTACTCCAGCCTGGGTGACAGAGCGAGACCTTGTCTCAAAGAAAAAGGATCCAGAGGTTAGAGTTTAAAATGCTTAGTTTTGCTATGTTCTTGCTGTTTGACCACAGCAAGGCTCACCTCCTCTCAGCACCTCAGTCTCTTCTTCTATAAAGTGAAGCGGTGATTTGCTCTCTAAGGTCCCTTCTCATTGTGTGAGAACAAGAGTCCCAGTGGCCTGGGAGCACAGGGGAGGGGAGGCGGCTGCCCACCCTTCAACACTATTACCCATCGGTCACTTGTGCTCTGTCTCCTCTCTCCCTTGGTAAATGGATCTGCTGCGCCAGCAAACAACTGTCCATTGTGTCCTGATGAGGGACGAGCAGGGAAAACCAATCACTTATGATGCAAATGAGCCGACGGCTGCAGCCTCCTCACATTCACTGAGTGCTTCTCTTCTGCCCAGAGCCCGGCGCCGCCCCAGTTGGGCCTTTCTCCCTAGCCCCAGTTCCCATCTGGTCCTGGAGGAGGAGTTGGGAGGCCCAGACTGGCCTCCCCATTGTCGTTCATTTCACTCCCTGCAAGGAGTTTCAACCCTCAAATCCTCAGAGCCTGGCCCAGCTCCTCTCCCCACCCCAAAGGTGGCTCAGTTTTATTTTTTTTAAAAATCGATTGAAATTCACATAACATACAATTAGCCATTTTAAAATGTACAATTCAGGGGCATTTAGTGCATTCACAATGTTGTGCAACCACCACCTCTGGACTCAGGTTTTATGCCCTCTGCCCATTCTTTCTTTTTTTTTTTTTTTTTGAGACGGAGTTTTGCTCTGTCGCCCAGGCTGGAGTGCAGTGGCAGGATCTTGGCTCACTGCAAGCTCCGCCTCCCGGGTTCATGCCATTCTCCTGCCTCAGCCTACCAAGTAGCTGGGACTACAGGCACCTGCCACCACGCCTGGCTAATTTTTTGTATTTTTAGTAGAGATGGGGTTTCACCGTGTTAGCCAGGATGGTCTCGATCTCCTGACCTCGTGATCTGCCCGCCTCGGCCTCCCAAAGTGCTGGGATTACAGGCTTGAGCCACCACGCCCGGCCTGCCCTCTGCCCATTCTATGCCCCACAGCCTTCAGTGGGACTGGGAAGCTGCTGAGGCCTCAGCAGAGCTGAGGACTAATGGAGGCTGATGAATAGGCTGAGAAAAGCCCAGAGCTGGCCTGAGGTGAAGAGGTGATTCCCACACTTTAGGATGATGTTAGAAGGTTTGGGCTTTGGTGGGAGGGGGACATCACTGCCTTAGCCAGAACGGACCTGTGGCCACGTTGTAGAACTTTTTTTTTTTTTTTTGAGATGGAGTTTTGCTCTTGTTGCCTGGGCTGGAGTGCAATGGCATGATCTCAGCTCGCTGCAACCTCTGGCTCCAGGGTTCAAGTGATTCTCTGGCCTCAGCCTCCTGAGTAGCTGGGATTACAGGTGCACACCACCACGCCCAGCTAATTTTCTATTTTTAATAGAGACGGGGTTTCACCATGTTGACCAGGCTGGTCTTGAACTTCTGATCTTAGGTGATCGGCCTTCCAAAAGTGCTGGGATTACAGGCATGAGCCACCGTGCCTGGCCCCAGAACATTCTTGCATTCTTGAATTTCCATGGGAATTTTTTTTTCCATTTTAATCTCTCAGGCATTAGAAACCAGAAGTGGCTCCTGTACAGATCTTGGTTTCCATAGCTTTCAGAGCTTCTGTGGGCTTGGGGATGATCCCGTCGGCAGGCTTCTCACTTTAGCAGCTGCAGAAGGCCCTGAGACAGCCCCACAGTCCTTTGCCTCCAGGAAAGACCTCCCGCCACCAGGCTCTAGGAACAATCCTAGACTTTCTACCTAATTTGTACTAGCTTATTCCAGAGTCGTATAGCCTAACAGCTGGGAAGAGCCTCCTGAGTTTCTCCTGCTAATATACACTGTCATTTGGTTTTATATGACTTTCAAGAGAAGATGGCAAACATCTGCTTACCTGTGTGTCTGTGTTACCTTGGATTCACCCTCTCTTCCCTCATCTAGGACGCGTGATAATGCTTTAAACACACACACACACACACACACACACACACAAACACACACACACACCCTCTGGAATTAACCAGTGCCAACTGCTGCAGCATTGCAGAGAAAAACACTCTGTAGTCACAAACTTATCTTCCAGTGCATATCTCCATTTAACTGGAGTCCAGTTAGTTGACTCTCTCTCAGACATAGCCCAGACAGCATAATGAGGGCATTTCCATCTGTGGCCTAATGAATATCGAGACTCCTAGGCTAGTTATTTCCAGGTCTGCCACCAGCTCACTGAGTGACCTTTGACAAGGCCCTGGACCTGTTTTAGCACCTATAAAGTGGGGTTAGCAATTTTATCCTAGTGAAGTGGGAGAGATAATGGCTGGGCTAGTGCTTTGAACCTGCAAAGAAATCATCATGAACACCATAATTATTTCCCCAGTTATTGCAGCAGCAGTCTCTCTGTCTGCCTTGAATGTCCATCACGGAGAAGACCTCGCTGATGGATAGGGGAAAATGTTATTCTGTCTGGGTGGACATTGGTCTAATTAATTACAAAGGGGTAGACTTCATGATAGGCAAAAGAGAATCAAAGAGGCCGGGTGTGGTGGCTCATGCTTGTAATCCCAGCACTTTGGGAGGCCAAGGTGGGTGGATCACCTGAGGACAGGAGTTCGAGACCAGCCTGGCCAACGTGGTGAAACCCTGTCTCTACTAAAAATACAAAAATTAGCTGGGTGTGATGGCAGGCGCCTGTAATCTCAGCTACTCGGGAGGGTGAGACAGGGAGAATCACTTGAACCCTGGAGGCGGAGGTTGCAGTGAGCTGAGATCGCACCATTGCACTCCAGCCTGGGCAATAAGAGTGAAACTCTGTCTCACACACACACACACAAAAAGAGAGAAAATCCTTAGGTGTGGGTTTAGAAGGAGTCATTCTTGGACACTTAGATCCCTTATATTGTTTTTGGAGTAAATCAGGGTCATAGAAAAATGGGCGAAAGGCATTGAAGGGAATTAGCATTCCAGAACATGGCTAGTTTTCCAAAGGTCTTGAGAGTGGAACCAATAGTTGGATAAGCCCTTCAATGCACTGAGTCCATTCATTCATCCTTTACTTCATTCATTTAGGAAAAACCCACTGGATGCCTAACAAAGTATCTGCTAGTTACAGAGCTGGGTTATATCAAAGATAAAATAATTATGGTCATAAGGGATTATAAGGACCTTCTAGTCAAATAGAGAGGATAACATATGCACACAAGTAACTTCAATTGAATAAAGTCTCACAAATAAAGCAAAACTTCTGGAGTATTCTAAGTGGGGAGAGATTCTGGCCTAGAAAACCTGGAGAAGGCTCTGTAGGGGTGAGCGGGAAGGATTGGGGCCTGTAGAGATGACAGATCAGGACTTGCCTAGTAGAACATAGAGTATGAGCAAAATTTATGGGTTCCTATATTTGGTGGCCAGGGTGCCTGAAAAGGAGCAGCAGGTAAGGTTGTGTTTGGGCTTGGGATGGAAGGTCTGGGGAGATTGGATGGGGACAAAGGGTCAGAGATATGTATCCTTTCAGGATTCTCTTGCCTTTTCTCATCTCTCTGAATCAGGTGCTCCTTCCTCCAATTCTAGCAGCTGGAGGCTCTCACCTGGGCCTGTGTAATCTCCAGCTTTCCTTTTCATCTGGCTAAATTTTACTCAAGGCCCAAGGCCCAGCTGAGATGCCTCCACCAGAAGTCTCCCACAACAGGCAGAGCCTGGCCCCACCACACGGCCCCAAAAGAACTTTTACACCAGAATTCTGCAAGTTTTCTTTGGCTTTCTTTTCTTGCCTTACTCATTGGATAGTAACCAATTTGAAGGTCAGAAATGGAGGTTTTCACCCTCTTTTCCACAGTTACATACATATACACACACACAGACACACGCATGCCCATACAGAATACCACAGAACTGGGCACAAAGTGTCCCCTCAATCATTAACCTTATTGTTTTGTTTTGTTTTTTCTTTTGAGACGGAGTCTCACTGTGTCACCCAGGTTGGAGTGCAGTGGCGCGATCGTGGCTCACCGCAAGCTCTGCCTCCCAGGTTCATGCCATTCTCCTGCCTCAGCCTCCTGAGTAGCTGGGACTACAGGTGCCCGACACCACGCCCGGCTAATTTTTTGTATTTTTAGTAGAGACAGGGTTTCACCATGTTAGCCAGGATGGTCTCGATCTCCTGACCTCGTGATTTGCCCGCCTCCGCCTCCCAAAGTGCTGGGATTACAGGCATGAGCCACTGCGCCCGGCCCATTAACCTTATTGTTATTCACTGCCTCCCAGGACTGGTTCCCAGCATAATGCACTGGAAAGAGCACAGGGCTTCAGCCTCACACAAATCTTTGAATCTGGGCTCTGCCCCTTCCTTTTGTTGTGTGACCTTGGGTAAGTTGCTTGACCTCTCAAAGCTTCATTTTCCTCATTTGTATGTGAGGAATAGTGCATGGCACTTAGTAGTAGTGTGGCAAATGATAGTCATTAATGATTATTGTTGTTGCTGCTGAGAGCCAGCAAGATCAGATGGTCTACAGGACCCAGGGCTGGGTTTTTATTTTCCTTCCCTTTTAATTTAGTTGTCTTCTTCTCCCATCTGCCTGCTCTGTGTCTTTCCTGTCACCTGTCTATGGGTCGGCCTGCCTCTCCCTCCAGCCTGGCTTTCTCTTCTCTCCTCAGAGAGCTCGGCTGTTGCTGACTCTCACAGGGTATGGGCTGTGCCTTGTGCAACATCAGTCAATAAAGATAAATTACAAAATCATTTGTTTTATTTGTTCTTGTTACTTTGAGGGCTGTCTGAAATTGCCTTTCTTTTGAAAGCCATATTTGCATATCTCTATGCTGGAGTCAAAGGCTGCAGCTGTGGTTTCAATACAATTTAAATATTAATAAAACCTCCTAAACCTTTAGCTGTTTTTTAAAAAAGCAGTCTTGCCCTTCTGCTCCTAGATTGCTAATATAATTTAATCTTTGTCCTTTGCATTGTACAGCAGTCCCCCCTTATCTGCGGGGCATATGTTCCAAGACCACAAGTAGATGCCTGAACCCTCGGATAGTACCAAACCCTATATATATTATGTTTTTCCCTATACATACATACCTATGATAAAATTTAATTTATAAATTGGGCACAGTAAGAGATTAACAACAATAACTAATAATAAAATAGAACAAGTCAAACAATACTTAGAATGGTGTACAATTTAAAACGAGTGACTGGTTTCCGGAATTTTCCTTTTAATATTTTTGGACCATGGTTGACCATAAGTAACTGAAATCAAAACCATGGATGAGTGGGGGGACTACTGTCTTTGCTTAAAGGGCCTTTTTGAAGTTAACTGAAGCCAGCTGTTGCAACCTTGTAGAGAAGAACCACTTACCAGCCCACAAACCTTATTTATCCTTAACAAGCCCAATATTCACTACAGACAAAATAATAGACCACAGGTAACATTTTATATCAATTAGCAGCCCCTTACACTAAGTCATTTGTTCTCAAACTTGAGCCTGTTGTAGATTCACAGGTTGCTGGCCCCACCTGTCTGGGATTCAGTGGGTCTGGGAATTTGCATATCTAACAAATTCCTAGGTGATGGTGTTGCCCCCTCACACTCCTATCAGGGGATCATGCTTTGAGAGCCTCTGCACTGAACTGTAAATGTTAAGCTGTCATATCATTTTGAGTCCTTGAAACCATGTCTCCACAGTTCATATTCCCCAGCCACCAGAGTCGGGAGGATCTCTCTCCAGATCTTGATTCCTACCAGTCCCTTAAACAATTGCTTACATTTTCCTGATCCTCCAGACATTCAGGATCAGCCCCTCTACACCTCCCCAATCCCTGCTCTCCATAGGAGCTGTTTCTAGTTTTCCTTAATTTTCTATTTGGCCAGATTCGTTGCTTTAATTTTCTCCTTGTTACAGGCAGAGTTACAGGCTGTTCAAGAAAACCAGGCATCACTGTAGTGGAAGGGGTTGCCGGCTCAGCCATTTTCCAGTAGTCTTTGATAAGTGAGCCCCCACATTCCCTGGGCAGCAGGCCCCATTCTCTAGGGCTTCTTTGCATAAATCTGCAGCTCCCCCTCATCCTGCCATTCTGTGTGTGCCATCTGCCTCTGGGGCTGACCTTATCTGCTCCTCGCAGCCTTCAGAGGACACCTTCTGGGCAGTTTGGCTCCTTCTGCTCCAACCACCCCAACATTGATTCCTTTCTTTTTCTCCTGCATATTTTTGAGGTGATACTTTGTTGATGATTCTGGTTGCATTTTTTAAGAGGGACATAATCTGCCAGAGCTCTTCTCTAGGCCCCCTCCCTGTGCCTGCATGATAATCCTTTCTCCTCCTTCCTTTCCAGCTTCTTTGTAGAAGTTTGTTTTGTAAAATGAGATAAAGGCAGTACAGGAACTAGTTCCCAATTGCTGCTGTGCCCAGAGAGGGCTAGAGATTGCGGGGTGGAAAAGTGGGAGGACATCTTAAAGTCAGAGGTCAAAGCAACGTGTATTAACTCCATCATCAGGTAGCACTCTTAACCTGGGCCAGGCACCATGAGGCCAGGGCCTGAACTTGACTTCTGGGAAAGGTTATGCAGAGCTTGAAACAGATGGGGTATATGTTTGTTGGGAGACCTTAGAGACAATTACAGAAAACTTTAATGTATTTTAGTCATCTTTGCTTTTACTCACTATTCCTGAAAAGGCAGGCTGTACTAGATGGATACTGCTTTTCCTATTAACCCATTAGTGATGGGGTCAGAAGGCTGAGGCCTGGCTTACCCTCAAGGCCCAGTAGCACTTCTGCTTGCTTCCCGCCTGCCTTTACTACTAACACCGAGACTCATCAACTCACTGGCAGGTAGACAGGGAGCTGGCATGGGCCCTTGGGAAGTCAAGCTGTAGGTGAGGATGAACTGGAAGGCTTTGACAACTAAGATACACAGTCATAAGCTGGGAAGCCAGAGAGAAGTGGAAACAGCAGCCATGATCCACTCCTGTAAGACCCTTTGCCTGACATGGGGCTGCTTTTACTGTCTCCTACTGTGGCCCAAAAGGGAAGTGAGTGTGAGTTCCCCTCAAAATCTAGTTCTCTCTCCAAATTCCCTTAAGGCTTGAACCTTCTGTCCCGGGGTCAGTGACAGAGGCAGATGGAAAGCTGATGATGGGAACAGAAAGGTGGCTTTGGGTCTCCATGTAGTCATTTTTAGCTGTGCAAATCTGAGTAAAATCTTACAAACAAGGAACTTGAGATTCAACTCCCATTTTTCCAATGAGGTAACAAATACCCACTTCATAGGGCTATGATGAAGACTGATATAAAATGTAATATTGGCAGTTAGCTCCATTTTCTCTATCTTCCTTCACTGTTTCCAGCAAATACAGCAGGACTGAACTATGTGATGACTTCATTCTCTTTGCTCAAAAAGGATTCCAATCTCTGAGCAGTGTGAGGACCAGGAAATAATGGTAGAGAGTGTCATCTGTGGATTAAGCATGTTAAATACAAGTGGTAGGCAGAATTCTAAAGATGTCCTCCCTTGATTGCTGTCTTCTGGTTATTCATTCCAACAGTAATCTAGGTACTGCTGCGAAGGGACTTTGCAGCTATAATTAAGGCTATGGGCCTTAAGATATGAAGATCACTTTGGATTACCAAGTGGGTGCAATCTAATCACTTGAGCCCTTAGAAACAGAGAAATGTCTCTGGCAGGAGTTAGAAAGATACAGTAGTCAGCAAGATTCAGTGTGAGAAAAACTTGACCACCCATTGCTGGTTTTGAAGATGGAGGCAGACAGGCCAGGAGCCTAGGAATGTGGGGAGCCTCAAGAAGCTGAGAATGATGCCCAGCCAACAGCCAGTGGGAAACAGGGATCTTAGTCCTAGAACTGCAAGGACCCAGAGCCTCTAGAAGGGAACACGCCCTGCGAACACCTTTATTTTGGCCTCATGAAACCTGAAACAAAGAAACAGTTGAGCCACCTCAGACTTCTGACCTTGCAACAATTTGTTTTGGCAGCAACAGGAAATACAAAAGGTATTTAAGCTGCCTCAATAAATCCTAGGAGGTAGATACTATCATTACCCCCATTTTACAGAGTGGGAGACTGAAGCACAGTGAAAAGGCTCTGAGAAAGTCGGCTGGCCTAAGTCTCAAGAACAGTCATTCATGGTGGAAGTGTTTGCTACCAAGTTTATTTGCAGTGTTAACAGCACAACATTTACAAAACGTATTTTGTACAATCAAGTCTTCACTGCCCTTGCACACTGGGGGGGCTAGGGAAGACCTAGTCCTTCCAACAGCTATAAACAGTCCTGGATAATGGGTTTATGAAAAACACTTTTTCTTCCTTCAGCAAGCAAAATTATTTATGAAGCTGTATGGTTTCAGCAACAGGGAGCAAAGGAAAAAAATCACCTCAAAGAAAGCAACAGCTTCCTTCCTGGTGGGATCTGTCATTTTATAGATATGAAATATTCATGCCAGAGGTCTTATATTTTAAGAGGAATGGATTATATACCAGAGCTACAACAATAAACATTTTACTTATTACTAATGAGGAATTAGAAGACTGTCTTTGGAAACCGGTTCTTGAAAATCTTCTGCTGTTTTAGAACACATTCTTTAGAAATCTAGCAAATATATCTCAGACTTTTAGAAATCTCTTCTAGTTTCATTTTCCTTTTTTTTTTTTTTTTTTTGAGCCACAGTCTCACTGTCACCCAGGCTGGAGTGCCGTGGTATGATCTTGGCTCACTGCAACCTCCACCTCCCGGGCTGAAGTGATTCTCCTGCCTTAGCCACCTGAGTAGCTGGGATTACAGGTGTCCACCACCATGACCGGCTAATTTCTGTATTTTTAGTAGAGATGGGGTTTCACCATGTTGGCCAGGCTGGTTTCGAACTCCTGACCTCCAGTGATCTGCCCACCTTGGCCTCCCAAAGTGCTGGGATTACAGGCGTGAGCCACCATGCCCAGGTTTCAAGTTTCCTTTTCATTTCTAATACCTGCCTCAGAATTTCCTCCCCAATGTTCCACTCCAACATTTGAGAACTGCCCAAGGACTATTCTGACTTTAAGTCACATAATCGATCCCAAGCACTCTCCTTCCATTGAAGGGTCTGACTCTCTGCCTTTGTGAACACAGGGTTTTAGAGAAGTAAACTTAGGGAAACCAGCTATTCTCTTGAGGCCAAGCCACTCTGTGCTTCCAGCCCTAAGCCAACAACAGCCTGAATAGAAAGAATAGGGCTGATAAATAATGAATCAGCATCTTGCTCAATTGGTGGCGTTTAAATGGTTTTAAAATCTTCTCAGGTGAAAAATTACCATAATTTTGTGCTCATGGCAGATTTCCAAGGGAGACTTCAAGCAGAAAATCTTTAAGGGACCCTTGCATAGCCAGAAGTCCTTTTCAGGCTGATGTACATAAAATATTTAGTAGCCAGGACAGTAGAAGGACTGAAGAGTGAGAGGAGCTCCCAGGGCCTGGAAAGGCCACTTTGTAAGCTCATTCTTGGGGTCCTGTGGCTCTGTACCTGTGGCTGGCTGCAGTCAGTAGTGGCTGTGGGGGATCTGGGGTATCAGGTAGGTGTCCAGCTCCTGGCACTGGTAGAGTGCTACACTGTCCAACACCCACTCTCGGGTCACCACAGGTGCCTCACACATCTGCCCAATTGCTGGAGACAGAGAACACAAGCAGAGATTAGTGTCAATTCATTCTCCTGGACTAGGCTCTAATCAATCGACTCCAGGGTCCTGGTTGTATGAGTTCTTAGGATTAATGAGGTAGAAGCTAATTTTTTTTTTTTTTTTTTGAGACGGAGTCTTGCTCTGTCGCCGAGGCTAGAGTGTGATGGCGCAATCTCGGCTCATTCAACCTCCGCCTCCTGGGTTCAAGCAATTCTCCTGT
Organism: Homo sapiens; assembly: GCF_000001405.40. Classification (NCBI taxonomy): domain Eukaryota; kingdom Metazoa; phylum Chordata; class Mammalia; order Primates; family Hominidae; genus Homo; species Homo sapiens. Next base: position 43,046,036 of record NC_000017.11, read on the forward strand.
CTCTGCCTCCTGAGTAGCTGGAATTACAGGCACATGCCATCACACCCAGCTAATTTTTGTATTTTTAGTAGAGACGGGGGTTTCACAATGTTGGCCAGGCTGCTCTGGAACTCCTGACCTCAGGTGATCCACCCACCTTGGCCTCCCAAAGTGCTGGGATTACAGGCGTGAGCCACTGCACCTGGCCTTTTTTTTTTTTTTTTTTTTTTTTTGAGACGGAGTCTTGCTCTTGTTGCTCAGCCTGGAATGCAATGGCACGATCTCAGCTCACTGCAACCTCCACCTCCCGGGTTCAAGCAATTCTCCTGCCTCAGCCTCCCAAGTAGCAGGGATTACAGGTGCCTGCCACCATGCCAGGCTAATTGTTTTTTCTTTTTTTTCAGATGGAGTCTCACTCTGTCACTCAGGCTGGATTGTGATGGTGTGATCTCAGCTCACTGCAACCTCAACATCCTGGGTTCAAGCGATTCTCCTGCCTCAGTCTCCCAAGTAGCTGGGACTACAAGTGCGTGCCACCATGCCTGGCTAATTTTTTTTAGTATTTTTAGTAGAGATGGGGTTTCGCCATATTGGCCAGGCTGGTCTCAAACTCCTGATGTCAGGTGATCCGCCCTGAGGCTGAGGCAGGAGAATCATTTAAACCCAGGAGGCGGAGGTTGCAGTGAGCCAAGACTGGGCCACTGCACTCCAGCCTGCTAAGTGACAGAGTGAGACTCCACCTCAAAAAAAAAAAAAAAAGGCAATGCTTCAGGACATAAGGCCTTGCTCTGAAGAGGCCCTAGGAGTGACTCCTGGTGACAGTGAAAGCCCACAGCCTCTGGCAACTGTATTAACATGAACTTCAATCTGTTAAAGGAAAGCCACCAGGAAAACAGCACTGTAATTTAACGATGTGGAAAAATGTATGTAATATCTTAAGGAAAAAAGCAAAACAGTGTAATTATGATCACATTTTATAAAATACACGTGTATATATACGCACATATGCCTGGTGGAGTTTTATGGTGATCATCTCCAAGTGGTGGAATTACTGGGATTATTTTATTGTTTTTGTGTAAATTTATACTTTCTTTTTTCTTTTTGAGACACGGTCTCGCTCTGTCGCCCAGGCTGGAGTACAGTGGTGTGATCGTGGCTCACTGAAGCATCAACCTCCTGAGCTCAAGTGATCCTCCCACCTCAGCTTCCCAAGTAGCTGCGACTACAGGCATCTGCCACCACACCCAGCTACTTTTTAAATTTGTTGTACAGATGAAGTCTCCTTATGTTGCCCAGGCTGGTCTCGAACTTCTAGGCTCCCACCTTGACCTCCATCTTGACCTCCCAAAGTGCTGGAATTATAGGCATGAGCCACCATGCCCGGCCTTGATTTATGTTTTTGTGATGAACATTCATATCTTACTCCCACCCCATGGAAACAGTTCATGTATTACTTTTACAATATAAAACAAATAACAATAAAAACATCAAAAAGACATTTTAGCCATTCATTCAACAAATATTTAAAATGTGCCAAGAACTGTGCTACTCAAGCACCAGGTAATGAGTGATAAACCAAACCCATGCAAAAGGACCCCATATAGCACAGGTACATGCAGGCACCTTACCATGGAAGCCATTGTCCTCTGTCCAGGCATCTGGCTGCACAACCACAATTGGGTGGACACCCTGGATCCCCAGGAAGGAAAGAGCATTCAAAGTGTCAAAGTAGGACTACTGGAACTGTCACTTCATCATTTTTTTTGTTTGTTTTTGAGACAGGGTCTTGCTCTGTCACCCAGGCTGGAGTGCAGTGGTGTGATCTCAGCTCACTGCCACCTCTGCCTCCTGGGCTCAAGCAATCCTTCCATCTCAGCCTCCTAAGTAGCTGGAACTACAGACACGTACCACCACCCCTGGCTAATTTTTTTGTATTTTTGGTAGAGACAGGGTTTTGCCATGTTGCCCAGGCTGGTCTCAAACTCCTGGGCTCAACTTCACCCCCGGGATTATAGGCATGAGCCACCGCACCCAGCCTTGGCTAATTTTTAATAATTTTTTTGTAGACATGAGGTCCTACTGTATTGCCCAGGCTGGTCTTCAGCTCCCAGGCTCAAGCGATTCTCCCACCTTGGCCTCCCAGTGTTGTGATTACAGGGGTGGGGCACTGGCCCAGCCCATCATTTCTCTCTCTCTCTTTTTTTTTGAGACGGAGTCTCGCTCTGTCGCCCGGGCTGGAGTGCAGTGGCGCGATCTTGGCTCACTGCAACCTCCGCCTCCGGGGTTCAAGCGATTCTCCTGCCCCAGCCCCTCAAGTAGCTGGGACTACAGGCGTGCGCCCCTACGCCCAGCTAATTTTTGTATTTTTAGTAGAGACGGGGTTTCGCCATGTTGGTTGGCCAGGATGGTCTCGATCTCTTGACCTCGTGATCTGCCCACCTCAGCCTCCCAAAGTGCTGGGATTACAGGCGTGAGCCACCGCACCTAGCTTTTCTCTCTCTCTCTTTTTTTTTTTTTTTAGACAAAGTCTCACTCTGTCACCCAGTCTGGAGTGCAGTGGTGCAATCTTGGCTCACTGCAACCTCTGCCTCCCACGTTCAAGCGATGCTCACACCTCAACTTCCCAAATAGCTGGCATTACAGGCATGCTCCACCAGGCCTGGCTACTTTTTGTTTTTTTTTTTTTAGTACAGATGGGGTTTCACCATGTTGGCCAGGCTGGTCTCAAACTCCTGACAAGTGATCCACCTGCCTCGGCCTCCCAAAGTGCTGGGATTACAGACATGAGCCACCATGCCCAGCCTCCAGCCCATCATTTCTTGATGATTTGTTGAAACACAGTATGCTGGGGCAGTCACAGAGAGGAGGGGGAGGGACATATGGGAAAAAGAGTTAGAGGGAAAAAGTCTTCCCTCAGTATATTTAATATGTGCAGTTCTCAAATCCTTACCCATCCCTTACAGATGGAGTCTTTTGGCACAGGTATGTGGGCAGAGAAGACTTCTGAGGCTACAGTAGGGGCATCCATAGGGACTGACAGGTGCCAGTCTTGCTCACAGGAGAGAATATTGTGTCCTCCCTCTCTGACAGGGCACCCAATACTTACTGTGCCAAGGGTGAATGATGAAAGCTCCTTCACCACAGAAGCACCACACAGCTGTACCATCCATTCCAGTTGATCTAAAATGGACATTTAGATGTAAAATCACTGCAGTAATCTGCATACTTAACCCAGGCCCTCTACCCTACACTCTCCGGATGAAGGCTTATAGCAAGACCTCTCAATGGGAGAGTCTGTCTCTCTGCTCCAAAGGACAATGGTCTTAAAATAGTAGGGGTATGGATTTTAAGTCAATTTGCCACTGATATGCCATGTACTCTGGTTATCAGTCTCCATAAGGCCACTTGGTATAAGGTTTGATAGTCTCTCAAATAAAATGCTTGAAAGAAAAAAAAATCAAAGATCTAATTTCCATTAATTTGCTAAATTGCTGGCTAAGACACTGTGTGAAAAAACACCCACCTTCCTTCCCTCCCTTCCTCCCTTCATCCTAATTCTGTGTTGGTAACTGATAATCACGGCCACTGAAAATACCATACTTGGTGGTAATTACTGTAAATGTCAAGAGATGGGAAGATAATTCATCCAGTCAAAAAAATACATGTTATCCTGGTTAGAGACTCAGCAGGGAAAGGCTACATGCTGAGCTGGAATCCATATACTCAGGGGAATAAAAATCAGAAGAGACTGTGGAGATGCTGTGTACCTGGAAAATCAGAACTGCCCAATGGGCTCTGTTGGCTGTGTTCTTCAAGACATTCATGTATGTTGCTCTTTCCCATCAGCCCGTTTCTGGGAATTGCTGAGGTGCTCCTGTCTGTCTGACTGAACGAAGGTTGACTAACTCACCCCCAAAATAATACTTTCTGGCAACCCTGGTTTCCACTATACCAAAGTAAAAAAACACTGAGAAATCCTTGAGTGGAACTTGGAAATTTCATAAAAATCCAATTGATAACTAATAAAGAGGATGGAAACAAAATTACATTGCAGCCAGGTTTTCTTGCTGTCACTCATCTGCCTGTGACCAGATGCTAAGGCCTTTCTCTAAGGTGTAAGAGGACCTAAGTCCCTGGGCAGAAGCAGGCACAGGAGGCAAAGGTGGGTAGCTTTTGCTGTGAAAAGAACAAACCAAATTTATACACACACCAAGGCCTTTGTGCTGCGCAACTCCAGAGGTAAGCTTTATAGCAGTCCTAAGCATAACATTGTATTAAGTGTCAAGTTTAATTAGAAAATGTTCATGGAGAGGGCTGGGCACAGTGGCTCATGCCTGTAATCCTAGCACTTTGGGAGGCTGAGGCGGGTGGATCACGAGGTCAGGAGATCGGGACCATATTGGCTAACACGGTGAAACCCCGTCTCTACTAAAAAAAAAATACAAAAAATTAGTCGGGCGTGGTGGCACACGCCTGTAGTCTCAGCTATTTGGGAGGCTGAGGCAGGAGAATCACTTGAACCCGGGAGGTGGAGGTTGCAGTGAGCCGAGATCGCGCCATTGCACTCTGGCCTGGGCAACAGAGACTCGACCTCAAAAAAAAAGAAAAAAAAAAAGAAATGTTCACCGAGAATCTTCCCCTGCTCTGGGCCCGTCCGTGGTGGGCCAGCTGCTGTGCTTTCTTCTATGTAAGTAAATTAAGATGGTTTAGGAAGAGGAGAACTCCTCCTTGATTTTTACCTATCCAAAGATATTTTCTCACTAACATGTTGGCACTAACAGCAGCTCAACGCCATCTGAACACATAACATACTGAATCCTAACTATTAACCACCTTCATGCTCTTGAGAAGGGGGACAAGGTATAGTTTTTTTTTGCCATAGGATAACATTTAGGTGCTGTTTTGTTTGGAGAGTGGTAGAGAAATAGAATAGCCTCTAGAACATTTCAGCAATCTGAGGAACCCCCATCGTGGGATCTTGCTTATAATACTCCACTATGTAAGACAAAGGCTGGTGCTGGAACTCTGGGGTTCTCCCAGGCTCTTACCTGTGGGCATGTTGGTGAAGGGCCCATAGCAACAGATTTCTAGCCCCCTGAAGATCTGGAAGAAGAGAGGAAGAGAGAGGGACAGGGGAATGGAGAGAAGGAAAATCTAGTTATAAAAGAATATTGGCTTTTATTCAAAAAACAGACTTTCAAAAAGGAAGAGCTTTTCTTTTTCTTCTGTTCACCACCTGATGATTTCTGCTGCTACTTCCCAGGGACAAGCAGTCCAATGTCCAGAACACTACTGGATTTCAGAAGATCTTCTTGAAGTGCATATGTAGTTGACCTGCACTCTACAGGCATTCTTTGTCATTCAAGGACTGAGCATCTCACTTTTGTCACCAATCAGGCCAAGGCTCCTCCCTAATGATCTCTGCAGGTGCTTTAACTTGTTAGATGCAAGGGAAAAAAGGTCCTTCTGTATGTTTAATAAGAGGCTTGGATGGCTAGAAACTCAAAGTTATTGGCTGAAGTTTGATGTTTATCCAGACTTGGTACCTCAAGTACTCACTATGACCCCATCAACAGAGGGGTCTATGTTGATTTTAGGTGTACATGCTCCTTGTCTCCTCTGACTTTTTTTTTTTTTTTTGAGACGGAGTCTCTCTCTGTCACCTAGGCTGGAGCGTAGTGGTGCGATCTGGGCTCACTGCAACCTCTGCCTCCAGGGTTCAAGCGATTCTCCTGCCTTAGCCTCCTGAGTAGCTGGGATTACAGGCGCGCACCACCACGCCCGGCTAATTTTTGTATTTTTAGTAGAGACAGGGTTTCACCATGTTGGTCAGGCTGGTCTCGAACTCCTGACCTCGTGATCTGCCTGTCTTGGCCTTCCAAAGTGCTGGGATTACAGGCATAAGCCACTGCGCCCGGCCCTCTCTGACTTTCTTCTAGCCCCCTAAACATCTGTTCCTTCCTTCTCACTACTCTGAGAATGGCCATTGTATCTTTAGGCCACCTAAGCAGTTTTTAATCTAGAAGTGAAGCCAGGTTCTGCCTCTCCTCATTGAACTAGTCTGACTACCTGGTTTCCTGAAGACACAGATCACACTGCACTGCCTCTTCCACTTACAGGGCTTGGCAACACTGTTCAAAACAACTTTCTGTGATAGTCACAATGTTCTATATCTATGCTAATAAGGTAGCCATGAGTCACATATAGTTATTGAGCACTGGAGATGTGGTTAGGGTGAATGAAGAACTAAACTTCATATTTTAATTTTTTTCTTTTTTTTTGAAGAGATGAGGTCTCATTCTGTCACTCAGGCTGGAGTACAGTGGCACGATCATAGCTTGCTGCAGTATTGAACTTCTGGGCTCAAGCAATCCTCTTGCCTCAGCCTCCTAAGTAGCTGGGACTACAAGTGCACACCACCATGACTGGCTAATTTGTAAAATTTAAATTTAAACAGTCCCATGTGGCTGGTGGCAACAGTGTGGGACAGTGCAAATTCTCATAAACACACTGGCATAGGTTCTTAGCAAATAACTTGGGTATCACTTAAAAATAAACCCTAAAATTGTATCATTTTGGATGGATATGTTTTGGGTGACTCTCAGTGTCTTGACCTTCCCATTGCAATAAAAAGAAAATTGCCAAGGCCTAAAATTCACCTGGCTTCAAAGAGACTGCGATAGAGAAAAAAATCAGGAAGCTAAAAATACACGGATGGCCTTTTAGAAAGTGGTCACCCTCCCCCTTGACAGACAGACGGACAGAAACACACACACACACACACACACACACACACACACACACACACACTCTCTTACTTTACCGCCAGAGTGAAAAGAAATGGCAGTAGGACAAGTCTGTGTGTTTTTTTTTTTTTTTTGAGACGCAGTCTTGCACTGTCGCCTGGGCTGGAGTGCAATGGTGCCATCTCGGCTCACTGCAACCTCCACCTCCTGGGTTCAAGTGATTCTCCTGCCTCAGCCTCCCTAGTAGCTGGGATTACAGGTGCACACCACCACACCCGGCTAATTTTTTGTATTTTTAGTAGAAACGGGGTTTCACTATGTTGGCCAGGCTGGTCTTGAACTCCTGACCTCATGATCCACCCGCCTCAGGCTCCCAAAGACAAGTCTGTTTGTTTTAAGGGACAGCATCCATCTGTGCCACTCTCACTACCTGTATGAATAAACCGCACCCCCAACCTGTTGATAGGACCTGCATGCTCATAATGCTAGAAGTTCTCCCCAGGCAGCCAAGTGGAGCCAAATGCTGACATGAAAAGTACAAAAGATTAGGAATGTTTATATCCAGGCTAACACTCAGTGATGAGGATGCCTAGTTATGAGATAAGAAATTTGAAGTTTCGGGCTTGGCGTAGTGGCTCACGCCTGTAATCCCAGCACTTTGGGAGGCTGAGGCAGGCGGATCACGAGGTCAAGAGATGGAGACCATCCCGTCTAACACAGTGAAAACCCGTCTCTACTAAAAATACAAAAAATTAGCTGGGCATGGTGGCGGGCACCTGTAGTCCCAGCTACTTGGGAGGCTGAGGCAGGAGAATGGTGTGAACCCAGGAGGTGGAGTGGAGCTGGTAGTGAGCCGAGACGGCGCCACTGCACTCCAGCCTGGGTGACATAGCGAGACTCTGTCTCAAAAAAAAAAAGAAATTTGAAGTTTCAGGCCGGGCGCGGTGGCCTGTAATCCTAGCACTTTGGGAGGCCGAGGTGGGTGGATCACTTGGGGTCGGGAGTTCAAGACCAGCGTGACCAACATGGAGAAACCCCATCTCTACTAAAAATACAAAATCAGCTGGGCGTGGTGGCACATGCCTGTAATCCTAGCTACTTAGGAGGCTGAGGCAGGAGAATCACTTGAACCCTGGAGGCAGAGATTGCGGTGAGCCAAGATCACGCCATTGTACTTCAGCCTGGGCAAGAAGAGCAAAGCTTCGTCTTAAAAAAAAAAAAAAAGAAATTTGAAGTTTCACCTCTACATATACATTTCTCTTCCAGAGAAAAATACTATGGTGACATTTAGTATTTTCAGAATGTCATTACTTTGACCACATACTTTCCATCATTGCTATTCTGCATGGAGGAAAAAATCCAAAGCACTAGAATTTCTTTTTAAAGAGGGGAAGAATCTGGTGCTAATACTGCCTAGCATACAGTGGAGGAAAAACAGAGGACTGGCTCACATGGCGCTCCCCTGTGGTAAAGGCAGAAGCAGAAATAAGGCCAGCAGCTTTTCTTGGCATCTGGAACAATTACTTGATAGGCTCAGAAGGTAAAAACAGGCTGACCTCAGCAGTTCAAAACTCCAGGCTTCATTTGTGATCATGTCCCAAAGCAGTTTTCCTTAGGAAATTACCTCTACTGGTTCCCTCTTAAGTTTCTATAAAGGGACAGAAAGTGCTCAGTAGAAGGATGTTTTGTTTTGTTTTGAGACAAGGTCTCACAATGTTGGCCAGGCTGGAGTGCAGTAGCACCATCATGGCTCACTGCAGCCTCGACCTCCCAGACTCAAGCATTCTTCTCACCTCAGCCTCCTGAGTAGCTGGGAATACAAGAGTGTGCTACGACACCCAATTAATTTTTAAATTTTTTTGTAGAGACAGGGTCTTACTATGTTGCCCAGGCTAGTCTTGAACTCCTGGGCTCAAGTGATCCTCCTGCCTTGGCCTCCTAAAGTGCTGGGATTACAGAAGTGAGCCGCTGTGCCCAGCTGGGATTTTTTTTTTTTTTTTGAGATGAAGTCTCCCTCTTGTCCCCAGGCTAGAGTGCAGTGGCGCAATCTTGGCTCACTGCAACCTCCGCCTCCTGGGTTCAACCGATTCTCTAGCCTCAGCCTCCCGAGTAATCCTGAGCTAGGATTACAGGTGCCTACCACCACGCCCAGTTAACTTTTGTATTTTTAGTAGAGATGGGGTTTCACCATGTTGGCCAGGCTGGTCTCGAACTCCTGACCTCAGGTGATCCACCCGCCTTGGGCTCCCAAAGTGCTGGGATCACAGGTGTGAGCCACCGCGACCAGCCTGGGATGTTCTGAAATGCCTGGTAGTGCACACTTGAAAAAGGAAGAAAAGCAGACTGGGAACATAGCACTTAGGGAGCTGAGAAAGCAGCCAGCTCAGGCCTGACAGGTAAGTGTGAAATCTTGCAGACTTTCTCCCTGTGAGGAAGTCAGAGTTCTGGCTAAGTCATCTGCTACAATATGATCAGGAGAAAGTCATTGAGTCTTCTTGGGTCTCATCTGCAAAGTTGTTAGAATGCTCCATTTTTTTTCCCTCCGTGAAGCCTTCAACAACTTTTCAAGAAACTATAGTATTGTTGTTAAGAGTTTAGAATTGGAGGCCGGGTGCAGTGGCTCATGCTTGTAATCCCAGCACTTTGGGAAGCCAAGGCGGGTGGATCACTGGAGGCCAGGAGATCAAGGCCAGCCTGGCCAACATGGCAAAACCCCATCTCTAATAAAAATATAAAAATTAAGGCCGGGTGCAGTGGCTCATGCCTGTAATCCCAGCACTTTGGGAGCCTGAGGCGGGCAGATGATCTGAGGTCTGGAATTTGAGACCAGCCTGGCCAACATGTTGAAACCTTGTTTCTATTAAAAATACAAAAAACTATCTCGGTGTGGTGGCACGTGCCTGTAATCCCAGCTATTTGGGAGGCTAAGGCACGAGAATCACTTGAACCTGGGAGCTGGAGACTGCAGTGAGCTGAGATTGCGCCACTGCACTCCAGACTGGCCAACAGAATCAGACAAAAAATTAGCTAGTTGTTGTGGCACATGCCTGTAATCCTAGCCACTTGGGAGGCCAAGGCACAAGAATTGAACAAGGTTTGAACTTGGGAGGTGAAGGTTGCAGTGAGCAGAGATAGTGGCACTGCACTCCAGCCTGGGTGACAGAGTAAGACTCTGGCCCGAAAAATAAATTAACAAAGAATTTAGACTTGGAGCTAGACTTCCTGAGTTCAACTTCTAGTTCCATCACTTATTACCTGTGTGACTTTGAGCAACTTATTCAACCTCTCTGAGCCTCAATTTTCACATCTGTAATATAGGCATAATTACAGTACATAGCTCATAGAGTTGTCATAAAATTGTTAATTAGTTAAAACATGGTTGGGCCTTTAGAGCAGTCCCAGCATAAAGTGATCTTTTTTTTTTTTTTTTCTTTTGAGATCTTCTGTCTGTCGTCTAGGCTGGAGTGCAGTGGCGCAATCTCCGTTCACTGTAGTCCCCTCTTCTTGGGCTCAAGAGATACTCTCAACTCAGCCTTCCGAGTAGCTGGAACTACAAGTACATGCCACCACGCCTGGCTAATTTTTGTATATTTTTTTTGGTAGAGATGGGGTTTTGCCATGTTGCCCAGGCTGGTATCGAACTCCTTGGCTCAAGCGATCTGCCTGCCTCAGCTTCCCAAAGTGCTGGGATAACAGGAACGAGCCGCTGTGCCTGGCCCAGTGAACATTATATAAATTTTAGCTATTATTGGCTGGGCACGGTGGCTCACGCCTATCCCAGCACTTGGGGAGGCCAAGGCGGGAGGATCACAAGGTCAGGGGTTCAAGACCAGCCTGGGCAAGATGAGTTTTCAGTGAGCTGAGATCGCACCACTGCACTCTGGCCTGGGCAATGGAGTGAGACTCCGTCTTGGGAAAAAAAAAAAGAGAGAGAGAGAGCAAGAGAGAGAGAGAGAAAGACACCCCAGTGAAGTGAAAAGAGCAAAGTCTTTAGATTCTCATCTGCTTAAAGTCCCAGCTCTTCCACTTATCAGCTAAGATCTGAACCCGAGACGGGAATCCAAATTACACAGCCTCTCTAAATCTCTTAGTTTTATCATTCATAAAGTAGAGACAATACTTATTTATGTGGTTGGGATGGAAGAGTGAAAAAAGAACCTGTGTGAAAGTATCTAGCACTGTGTATGTATGTAATAAGTCTTACAAAATGAAGCGGCCCATCTCTGCAAAGGGGAGTGGAATACAGAGTGGTGGGGTGAGATTTTTGTCAACTTGAGGGAGGGAGCTTTACCTTTCTGTCCTGGGATTCTCTTGCTCGCTTTGGACCTTGGTGGTTTCTTCCATTGACCACATCTCCTCTGACTTCAAAATCATGCTGAAAGAAACCAAACACAACCCATCAGGATAAGAGAAAGAGAAGCTTCCTTCAATGGAAGTGGAGCAGACACGTCATATTTAAGGCATTCAGGCCAGGCGCAGTGGCTCACCCCTGTAATCCTAGCACTTTGGGAGACTGAGGCAGGCAGATCACTTGAGGTCAGGAGTTCGACACCAGTCTGACCAACATGGTGAAACCTCATCTCTACTAAAAATACAAAAAATTAGTTGGGCGTGGTGGCAGGCACCTGTAATCCCAGCTACTTGGGAGGCTGAGGCAGGAGAATCTTTTGAATGCAGGAGGTGGAGGTTGCAGTGAGCTGAGATGGTGCCACTGCACTCCAGCCTGGGTAACAGAGCGAGACTCCATCTCGCATCTCAAAAAATTAAAAATAAAATTAAAAAAAAAAAAATTAGGCCGGGTGTGGTGGCTCACGCCTGTAATCCCAGGACTTTGGGAGGCCGAGACAGGCGGATCACGAGGTCAGGAGATCGAGACCATCCTGGCTAACACGGTGAAACCCCGTCTCTACTTAAAATACAAAAAAATTAGCCGGGTGTAGTGGCAGGCGCCTGTAGTCCCAGCTACTCGGGAGGCTGAGGCAGGAGAATGGCGTGAACCCGGGAGGCGGAGCTTGCAGTGAGCGGAGATCACGCCACTGCACTCCAGCCTGGGCAACTGAGCGAGACTCCGTCTCAAAACAAACAAACAAACAAACAAAAAAACCAAAAATTAGCTGGGCGTGGTGGCATGCACCTGTAGTCCCAGCTACTCGGGAAGCTGAGGCATGAGAATTGCTGGAATCCAGGAGGCAGAGGTTGCTGTGAGCCACGATCATGCCACTGCACTCCAGCCTGGGTGACAGAGTGAAACTCTGTCTCAAAAAAAAAAAAAAAAAAAAAAAAAATTTAAGGCATTCAGAATTGCCAGGCAGGCAGTAGCTGGGCACCAATGGCTCACACCTATAACCCTAGCACTTTGGCACTTTGGGAGGCTGAGGCAGGAGGACAGCTTGAGACCAGGAGCTGGAGACCCAGCTGGGCAACACAGTGAGACCCCTTCTCTAGAAAAAAGATACATAAAACCTCAGCCAGGCATAGTTGCATGTGCCTGCAGTCCCAATTTCTTGAAAAGCTGAAGCTGGAGGATCACTTGAGCCCAGGAGTTGGAGGCTGCAGTGAACTGTGATCATACCACCACACTCCCGCCTGGGTGACAAAGTGAGACTCTGCTAAAAAAAAACACACACACACACACACATAAAACAAAAAAAAGAAAGAAAGAAAAAGAATTGCTGGGCAGAGATTTGACCAAAAGCAAGTAAAATCATTCTTTTTGGTAGACCAGGTGAAATGACTAGGATCTCAGCTGTTGAAATCAATTCACTGAAGCAAATCTTTTGTGTGCAGAACTTAACAATCGGCTTTTCACCTCACTGGGACTTAATGTATTTTAATTTTCAACATCTATCTCCTCTCAAAACATTCACTTAGCATTTAGATTAGACTGCTAATACTGTGCTGTTATAAAGGTAACTGAAAAATTCCCTATCTCCTAAATCAATTGTATATTATCATCTAAGGAAATAAAGGCTTTTCAGATTTCCACTGAGAGATTTACAGTTAACACAACCAAAATGATAAAATATACATTCAATGCACTAAAGAAAGTTAGAGGTTTTTCATAATTACTATTATGACTGGTCATGGACATGAGAATAAAGAATAATGAGACTGGGGAGAAATTTGAGGAAGAACGCTCAGAAACAATTCTGACTGAAACTCAGATTGTAGGGAAGGCCTTATGTGTTGCCAAGAGTATTGTGAAGAAAACTAAAGGCAAGAGTATAACCACTGGCTATTACTAGGGGAAGAATATCTGACATTTCCTAGTTACTTGAATGAGGAGTCTAGTGATAAATTTGTCAGAAGACTCCCATGTTCATAGTCCTCCTTGTACCCCTGAGCTTCATACAATGTGTCCAACTGCCTACTTAACTTCTCTATCCAGAAGTCTAGTATACATCTCAAAATTCATGCATCTGGCCGGGCACAGTGGCTCACACCTGCAATCCCAGCACTTTGGGAGGCCGAGGTGGGTGGATTACCTGAGGTCAGGAGTTTAAGACCAGCCTGGCCAACATGGTAAAACCCCATCTCTACTAAAAATACAAGTATTAGCCAGGCATTGTGGCAGGTGCCTGTAATCCCAGCTACTCGGGAGGCTGAGGCAGGAAAATCACTTGAACCGGGAGGCGGAGGTTGGAGTGAGCTGAGATCGTGCTACCGCACTCCATGCACTCTAGCCTGGGCAACAGAACGAGATGCTGTCACAACAACAACAACAACAACAACAACAACAACAACAACAACAACAAATTCTCACATCTAAAACAGAGTTCCTGGTTCCATTCCTGCTTCCTGCCTTTCCCACTCCCCCATATTCCCTACCATGCCTTCTTCATCTAATTTAATATTACTAACAAGATCTATTGTTCAAGCCAAAACCCAAGTGTCACTCCTTCAATTTCTCTTTACCTTATCCTCCAAATTTAATCCATTAGCAAGTCCTCTCTTCAAACCCATCCCAAACCAACCTTGTTTTTAACCATCTCCACACCACCAATTACCACAAGGATAAAATCTGAATTCCTTACCACCAAATACTATGTGATCTGGCCCTCATCTATGACCTTCTCCCATTCCTTGTGTAATCTCTGCCTCCACACATAATTTGCAAATTACTCCAGCTACACTGGCCTATTATTATTATTATTATTATTTTTGAGACGGAGTCTTGCTCTTTCGCCCAGCCTGGAGTGCAGTGGCGCAATCTCAGCTCACTGCAATCTCCGCCTCCTGGGTTCAAGCGATTCTCCTGCCCCAGCCTCCCAAGTAGCTGTGATTACAGGCACATGCCACCATTCCCAGCTAATTTTTTTTTGTTTTTGAGATGGAGTTTCACTCTTGTTGCCCAGGCTGGAGTGCAATGGTGCGATCTCAGCTCACCACAACCTCCACCTCCCGGGTTGATGAAGTGATTCTCTTGTCTCAGCCTCCCGTGTAGCTGGGATTAGAGGCACGCGCCACCACGCTGGGCAAATTTTTGTATTTTTAGTAGAGACAGGGTTTCTACCTCAGTGATCTGTCCGCCTTGACCTCCCAAAGTGCTGGGATTACAGGAATGAGCCACCACACCCAGCCGTGCCCAGCTAATTTTTGCATTTTTTAGTAGAGATGGGGTTTTGCCACGTTGGCCAGGCTGGTCTCAAACTCCTGACCTCAGGGGATCTGCCTGCCTCGGCCTCCTAGAGTGCTGGAATTACAGGTGTGAGCCACTGTGCCCGAACCTTTTATCATTATTATTTCTTGAGACAGGAGTCTTGCTCTGTCGTTCAGGCTGGAGTGCAGTGATGCGATCTTGGCTCACTGTAACTCCTACCTTTCGGTTCAAGTGATTCTCCTGCCTCAGCCTCTGGAGTAGCTGGGATTACAGGCACTGGGATTACAGGCACACACCACCACACCATGCTAGTTTTTTGTATTTTTAGTAGAGATGGGGTTTCACCATGTTGGCCAGGCTGGTCTCGAACTCCTGACCTCAAGTGATTTGCCTGCCTTGGCTTCCCAAAGTGCTGGGATTATAGGCACGAGCCACCACACACGACCAACATTGGCCTATCTTTTAAAAAATAAACCAAGCTCTGGCCGGGCACAGTGGCTCACACCTGTGATCCCAGCACTTTGGGAGGTTGAGGTGGTTGGATCACTTGAGTTCAGGAGTTTGAGACCAGCCTGACCAACGTGGTAAAACCCCATCTCTACTAAAAATAAAAACTAGTCGGGTGTGGTAGCACGCGTGCCTGTAATACCAGCTACTCAGGAGGCCAAGGCAGGAGAATTGCTTGAACCCAGGAGACAGAGTTTGCAGTGAGCCAAGATTGTGCCACTGCACTCCAGCCTGGGGGATAGAGGGAGACACCATCTCAAAAAAACCAAAATACAGAAATCAAAAAACCACACTCATTATTACCTCAAGACCTTTATGTTTGCTATTCCTCTGCCTATAAGATGCATTCCCTTCATTTTTCAAGGACAATTATTTCTTGTTATTTAGGTCTCAGCTCAATTTTTTCAGAAAGGCTTTCCCTGGCCTCCTTAAACGAAAGTAATCAACAACCTTTGACAGCTAATACTATTCCACTGTTCTGTATATTTCTCCATAGCATTTATTGTTATCTTAAATTCATCTTTATTGTGTATCTCCCCTCGACAGAACCTGAATCCTACCAGGGACTTAGTTAGTCTTATTTACTGTTGCATTCCTAGTGCCCAGAACACAGTAGGCTCCCAATAAATAGCCACTGAATAAAAGTTAAAACCAACAAAAATAATCATTTAATTAATTATGAATACATCGAATTGTGCACAATAGTTTATAAAATTACTTTTTTTTTTTTTTTAAGACAGGGTCTCATTCTGTCTCACAGGCTGGAGTGCAGTGGTGCAATCTAGGCTCACTGCAACCTCCGCCTCCCGGGTTCAAGTGATTCTCCTGCCTCAGCCTCCCCAGCAGCTAGGATTACAGGCACATGCCACCACGCTCGACTAATTTTTTTGTGTTTTTAGTAGAGACAAGGTTTCACCATGTTGACCAGGCTGGTCTCGAACTCCTGACCTCAAGTGATCCACCTGCCTTGGCCACTCAAAGTGCTGGGATTATAGGCATGAGCCACCACGCCTGGCCTATAAAATTACTTTCACATTTCATTTTGCCTGATCTGTTGTCACAGAAGTTCTCAGATGGCTGTTCTGAAATTATTCCTCCTCCTACACTCTATCTTATTTACTTCTCACTGTTCTCAGTATCATAAAGTGCAACATCTTTTTGAAGCAATCTGAATTATAAACAGATACATTTGCATGTATATATATGTATATATGCATATGCACACACACACTTTTTTTTTTTTAAGAGACAGGGTCTTGCTCTGTGCAAGTGCAAGAGTGCAATGGTATGATCATAGCTCACTGCAGCCTTGAACTCCTGGGCTCAAGTGATTCTTCTGGCTTAGCTTCCTCAGTAGCTAAGACTACAGAAGCACACTGCCATGCCCGGCTAATTAAAAAAAAATTTTGTGGAGACAGAGTCTCACTATGTTGCCCAGGCTGGTTTCAAACTCCTGGCCTCAAGTAATCTTCCTGTCTCAGCCTCCCAAAGGGCTGAGATTATAAGTGTGAGCCACTGCATCTGGACTGCATATTAATATGAAGAGCTTTTCTTCAACAACAGTGAACAGTTTTCTACAAAGGTATATGCAAGTGGGCCCACTTCTTGTTCTTATGAATCTTTTCTTTCCTTTTATAAAACTCCTTTTCCTTTCTCTTTTCCCCAAAGAAAGGACTGTTTCTTTTGAAATCTAGAACAAATGAGAACAGAGGATATCCTGGTTTGCGCTGCAAAATTTTTTTTTTTTTTAAGACGGAGTCTCGCTCTGTTGCCAGGTTGGAGTGCAGTGGCACGATCTTGGCTCATTGCAACCTCCACCTCCCGGGTTCAAGAGATTCTCCTGCCTCAGCCTCCTGAGTAGCTGGAACTAAAGGCGCATGCCACCACGCTGAGTAATTTTTTGTATTTTAGTAGAGACAGGGTTTCACCATGTTGCCCAGGCTGATCTCGAACTCCTGAGCTCAGGCAATCTGCCTGTCTTGGCCTCCCACAGTGTTAGGATTACAGGCATGAGCCACTGCACCCGATTTTTTTTTTCTTTTGATGGAGTTTTGCTCTTGTTGCCCAGGTTAGAGTGCAATGATGCGATCTCAGCTCACTGCAACCCCCGCCTCCCAGGTTCAAGTGATTCTCCTGCCTCAGCCTCCCGAGTAGCTGGAATTACAGGCAAGTGCCACCAAGCCCGGCTAATTTTGTATTTTTAGTAGAAACGGGGTTTCTCCATGTTGGTCAGGCTGGTCTTGAACTCCCGACATCAGGTGATCCAAGCGCCTCAGCCTCCCAAAGCGCTGGGATTATAGGTATGAGCCACAGTGCAGGCCTGCATAATTCTTGATGATCCTCATTATCATGGAAAATTTGTGCATTGTTAAGGAAAGTGGTGCATTGATGGAAGGAAGCAAATACATTTTTAACTATATGACTGAATGAATATCTCTGGTTAGTTTGTAACATCAAGTACTTACCTCATTCAGCATTTTTCTTTCTTTAATAGACTGGGTCACCCCTAAAGAGATCATAGAAAAGACAGGTTACATACAGCAGAAGAACGTGCTCTTTTCACGGAGATAGAGAGGTCAGCGATTCACAAAAGAGCACAGGAAGAATGACAGAGGAGAGGTCCTTCCCTCTAAAGCCACAGCCCTTTAATAAGGCTTGTAGCAGCAGTTTCCTTCTGGAGACAGAGTTGATGTTTAATTTAAACATTATAAGTTTGCCTGCTGCACATGGATTCCTGCCGACTATTAAATAAATCCCTAGCTCATATGCTAACATTGCTAGGAGCAGATTAGGTCCTATTAGTTATAAAAGAGACCCATTTTCCCAGCATCACCAGCTTATCTGAACAAAGTGATATTAAAGATAAAAGTAGTTTAGTATTACAATTAAAGACCTTTTGGTAACTCAGACTCAGCATCAGCAAAAACCTTAGGTGTTAAACGTTAGGTGTAAAAATGCAATTCTGAGGTGTTAAAGGGAGGAGGGGAGAAATAGTATTATACTTACAGAAATAGCTAACTACCCATTTTCCTCCCGCAATTCCTAGAAAATATTTCAGTGTCCGTTCACACACAAACTCAGCATCTGCAGAATGAAAAACACTCAAAGGATTAGAAGTTGAAAACAAAATCAGGAAGTGCTGTCCTAAGAAGCTAAAGAGCCTCAGTTTTTTACACTCCCAAGATCAATCTGGATTTATGATTCTAAAACCCCTGGTGACAGAATCAGAGGCTGAAAACACCACTAATTATAACCAGCAGGTATGGATATTTGGAAGTCTAGGGGAGGCTGATATGAAGTTAAGACCAGAGGAAATATCTGTCCACTCCCTCTTCTCAACACCCATCTTCTAGACGCCAAGGCTAGCTATAGATCTCCATTATAGTGTTCAAGGAATTAGGAATTATCCATGTCAATAGTTTTGATTAATGTGGACGGAGAACATCTATATTACTAGATGGCAATATGTGAAAGAAGAAAACAGTATTGTTGAAAACCTAAATCTGAAATGTCAATGTAATGACAAATTTTCACCCCTAGAATGTCTACCTGGGGAGTCCTAACCCTCTAATATTCCCCTGAGAGGGATGGGAGAATACAGTGCAGAGCTTTTATATAAGTATTTCAGAAAGCAGTAGCTAAAGAATCACTTGTTTATTTCCCAGTGTTTCAAAGGCCCTTCTGAAGAACTAAGCAAACTAAGGAAAGACCATTTAGTTTTAAACAGGAGAAATGTATTTAACTAAATCCTAAACACAGCAGGCTATCTGCAAGCAGCAGCAGCAGCAGCAGCCATGCTCCCTCACAGAATCCTTACAATTTTTGAAGTTTTTTGTTTAACTGCTACAAAAGCCGATTTAGTAACATTTATTACACTTAAAAACTTCAGTTCATTTGTAGTTCAAAGCAAATGTATTGGCTTTGAGTTTAAAGACTGAACTACTTTAGATTTGATTTGCATTTTTTTTTTTTTTTTTTTTTGAGATGCAGTCTTGCTCTGTCAGCCAGGCTGGAGTGCAGTGGCTGGATCTCAGCTCACGGCAAGCTCTGCCTCCTGGGTTCATGCCATTCTCCTGCCTCAGCCTCCTGAGTAGCTGGGACTACAGATGCCCGCCACCATGCCCGGCTAATTTTTTGTATTTTTACTAGAGATGGGGTTTCACCGTGTTAGCCAGGATGGTCTCGATCTCCTGACCTCGTGATCTGCCCGCCTTGGCCCCCCAAAGCGCTGGGATTACAGGCCTGAGCCACCACGCTTGGCATCTTTTTACCTTTCATTAACTTTGATGCAAACCTATAGCTTAAGGTATCTTAAACTTTAATGACATTTTTCTCTAAAATAGTAGTTTGTAATAACTTGTTCTGGCACCTGGCTCCAATGAACACTACCCTCTGACCCTGTGGTATAATTTTCATGAGTAAGTGGAAACCTAAGATCTTAGAAGTTCAACGGCAATGTGTCCAAGGGGTTTAGATCCTCTCCTTAAGTGCCTGTATCTCTGTGAAAAGAATCATCATAGGCTAGGCGCGATGGCTCACACCTGTAATCCCAGCACTTTGGGAGGCCGAGGTAGGTGGATCACCTGAGGTCGGGAGTCCAAGACCAGCCTGACTGACATGGAAAAACCCTGTCTCTACTAAAAATACAAAATTAGGTATGGTGGTGCATTCCTGTAATCCCAGCTACTCGGGAGGCTGAGGCAGGAGAATCGCTTGAACCCGGGAGGGGGAGGTTGCAGCAAGCCAAGATCGTGCCATTGCACTCCAGCAGCCTGGGCAACAAGAGTGAAAAACTACACCTCAAAAACAAAAACAAAAACAAAAGAATCATCATCAAGTGAACTGGAACACATCCAGAGAACTAATTTTGTTAGAAAGATTTTAGAGTTGAGCCACACAATCTGCATCTTCTGCGTCCTCCATGCACTCGTCTGCTTTCTGGAGCCCCATGAGTGAGTCTTAATCCTGTTCCAGATAACAGTTCTCTTCCGGGTAACGGTTCTTCAGATACTTGAAGACAGTGTCTTATTTCCTTAAATCTTCTCATTTCTTCTTCAAAAGACAGTATTTCAAGTTACTTTTATGTATCTTTACCATCTACCTCTGGATAAACACTCTCCAATTTGTCAGTGACCATGTTAAAAACCAAGCACGGTGCTTAAAACTGACATCATCTTTCAGGCAATCACTCCATTGGAGAATACAGTGGGGCTCTGGATCTGTACTTCACTTGCTCCAGAGCCTCTGCTTGTGTTAATACGGCCCAGTTTCAAATAAGCATTTTTAGCAGCCCTGAAATGTGTACTCAGATTTAGTTTATAGTCAACTAAAAACACCCAGAGGTCTCCTGTATTACACAAGTTATAATTAAAACCTTAAAAGAGAAAGGTATAGGACAAATGATCTGTCTCCTCCCTTTTTTGCTTTTTCATATGTTAAGACTATCTCGGAGCTGTTATCAGACTTTTTTCCTGAAAAACTCTCAACAATACTCAAACTAGGTGTTACATGAAGCTGGGGTCTCCAGGTTTTGCCTCACTTGTTCTTTCTTTTGTTGTTGTTGAGACAGAGTCTCACTCTGTCGCCAGGCTGGAGTGCAGTGGCAGGATCTCAGCTGACTGCAACCTCAGCCTCCAGAGTTCAAGCAATTCTTCTGTGTCAGCCTCCCAAGTAGCTGGGATTACAGGTGCACACCACCACGCCCAGCCAATTTATGTATTTTTAGTAGAGACTGGGTTTTACCATATTGGCCAGGCTGGTCTCGAACTCCTGACCTTGTGATCTGCCCGCCTCAGGCTCCCAAAGTGCTGGGATTACTGATGCGAGCCACCGCGTCCAGCTGCCTCACTTGTTGTTTTAGGACTTAGGCTCCACCTCACCAGTGTAGTCCCAGCAGGTAGATAGGAGTTAATAGTTGACTATCTCAGCTCACCACCCTCCAAACCTTTTTTTTTTTTTTTTTTTTTTGAGACAAGAATCTCGCTCTTGTCCCCAGGCTGGAGTGCAATGGTGCGATCTTGGGTCACTGCAACCTCCACCTCCTGGGTTCAAGCGATTCTGCTGCCTCAGCCTCCTGAGTAGCTGGGATTACAGGTGCCTGCCACCACGCCCACCTAATTTTTATATTTTTAGTAGAGACGGGGTTTCAACACGTTGGCCAGGCTGGTCTCGAACTCCTGACCTCAGGTGATCCACCCGCCTCGGCCTCCCAAAGTGCTGAGATTACAGGTGTGAGCCACCGTGCCTGGCCCACACTCCAAATCTTAACCCAAAACAAAAGGAGGTAAGGAAGCAGCAAAACTATTATTTGTCTTTCATAAAGTAATTGATTGACTATTAGAAGACTATCATCCATGCTATGCTCAACAAATATTCTTATTTTTTCACGTTTTTTTTTTTTTTTTTTGAGACGGAGCCTTGCTCTGTCGCCAGGCTGGAATGCAGTGGCATGATCTCGGCTCACTGCAACCTCCATCTCCCCGGTTCAAGTGATTCTCCTGCCTCAGCCTCACGAGTAGCTGGGACTACAGGCGCACGCGACCACACCCAGCTAATTTTTTTATTTTTTAGTAGAGACGGGGTTTCACCATGCTGGCCAGGATGGTCTCGATCTCCTAATCTCGTGATCTGCCCGCCTCGGCCTCCCAAAGTGCTGCGATTACAGGCATGCGCCACCGTGCCTCGCCTCATGTGGTTTTATGCAGCAGATGCAAGGTATTCTGTAAAGGTTCTTGGTATACCTGTTTTCATAACAACATGAGTAGTCTCTTCAGTAATTAGATTAGTTAAAGTGATGTGGTGTTTTCTGGCAAACTTGTACACGAGCATCTGAAATTAAATCAAATATTCCATTATCATGAGTTACCTCTAGCACACAGCTCAGAATACTAGTTATTCCACCATGGCATATGTTTACCTATGTAGCAATCCTGCACGTTCTACACGTGTCCTGGAACTATTTAAAGTGAATTTTTTTTTTTTTTTTTTTAGACAGAGTCTTGCTCTGTCACCCAGGCTGGAGGTAAAAAAAAAAAAAAAAAAAAAATAGAATACCAGTTATCCTAGCTTTAAGTCTCTGTTTTTCTCAGAAAGGGTACATTTAAAAAATTCTAAGACACCTGAAGTCTCGGCTGGGCGCGGTGGCTCACGCCTGTAATCTCAGCACTTTGGGAGGCTGAGGCGGGCAGATCACAAGGTCAGGAGATCGAGACCATCCTGGCTAACACGGTGAAACCCTGTCTCTACTAAAAATACAAAAAATTAGCCAGGCGTGGTGGCGGGCACCTGTAGTCTCAGCTACTCAGGAGGCTGAGGCAGGAGAATGGCGTGAACCCAGGAAGCAGAGCTTGCAGTAAGCCGAGATGGCGCCACTGCACTCTAGCCTGGGCGAGAGTGCGAGACTCCGTCTCAAAAAAAAAAAAAAGATACCTGAAGTCTCAAATAAATAGTTTAATAAAAATTATGTACACATCAGCAGACATAAAATTACAACTAAGGATTCAAAATAATATTATAAACCTACTACGTACCACAAAACTTAAAACTTAAAAAATATATACTGGGCCAGACACGGCAGCTCATGCCTATAATCCCAGCACTTTGGGAAGCTGAGGTGGGAGGACTGCTTGAGCTCAAGAGTCTGAGACCAAGACCAGCCTGGGCAATACAGTGAGATTTCATGTCTTTAAAAAAAAAAAAAAGTAAAAAGAAAAAATATATATTAATTTTGCTTTAATAGCAGATATCATTCGATTCCCTAAGATCGTTTCTTTGCATAGTGACACTCTACTGTACTATAAATTTATCAGCCTACACTTTATAAGCTGAGAGGTAACTAGCCTACACAGAAAGTTATGCTACAGATATACATGGCTTAAAACCAAGACTCAACCCTCTGATAGTTACAAAACACTGAAATCAGGATGTTACTAAAGGTCAGTGCAAAAGCGATCAATTCTCTCGTAAGAAGGCTTAGAAGGGGTTCATGTTCTTCCCCAAAGAAATTTAGAGTCCTCTAGCTATTATCTATCAACCAAATAAAAATCAATAGGCAGCAAAAGAAATTAACCAGATCAATTATGGGCACAGTTGACCTAGCTGGTAGGTATTGTCTGATAAATAACTTTGTTTACCAAGGGCCATCATTTACTAGCCATAGCCACAGCCACTCACACCAGTATTTACGTGTTGCACAATACTGCCATGAAGGTCAGGCCATCTTTCTTTCATGTTGCCTCACTCCATACTGCCACAGGGCACTGAAAAAAGGCAGGCTAGAGAAGCTAATGACATCCTCCCCCTTTTGCTACCACCCTCCGCCAGGATCATTAGCAATTCTGAACTGATTAATTGCTGAAATCCCAGCCTTGAAACTGTTCAGTTAGAAGAGCAATGCTGAACTGCTGAAAAGATCATCTTAATATGGGCTTCAGAATTAATCATGTGTAATACAGTCAGTAGCTTTCATCATAAATTTACCACACTTCACCAAGTCTGAATAGAGCTCAAAGTTTTCCTCTTCGCTTGTTTAAAGACAACATGTACCCAAGCCACTTGTAGTCTAATCTGCAGCTCAGAATTGCCTTTGCCAAGAAAGATTAGACCATTTTAGCCATCTCTAAAAAGCTGAACTTGCAAAACAAAGGGATAAAGAACGCTAATTTTCAATGAATAAATAAGGAATTCTGGACGTGCAGGCAAGTGATCAAGAGCCATTGAAACAGACACAGGTAAGAGCTTTCAGAGCAAATTGCTGGTCTGGACATGGGATTATGAGATGAAAACATTTATAGCCATCACTGTGCACTTACTCATTGTATCTACCAGGGCAGCCACAGCTTACTTTGCCCTTTTAGTAGTGGGATACATCTGGCCACAGAGATGTTATGCTAAGTAACTACCTATGGAGAAGTTAGGATGAAAAATCCTAGGAAGGATATATTAATAAAGATATTTCAGAATGACTTGGTCATCTCTCAGTGTGCAATAAATGGCACACCCACTACTGAATCCATTTGATAATCTGGTATGTTATCTCATCATAGTTTTAAAGAAATATTCACGCAATTCTTCTTCTTATTATTGAGACAGAGTTTCGCTCTTGTTGCCCAGGCTGGAGTGCAATGGTGCAATCTCGGCTCACCGCAACCTCCGCCTCCCGGGTTCAAGCAATTCTCCTGCCTCAGCCTCCTGAGTAGCTGGGATTATAGGCATGCGCCACCACGCCCGGCTAATTGTGTATTTTTAGTAAAGATGGGGTTTCTTCATGTTGGTCAGGCTGGTCTTGATCTCCTGACCTTAGGTGATCTGACCACCTCAGCCTCCCAAAGTGCTGGGATTACAGGCTTGAGCCACCATGCCCGGCCATGCAATTATTTTTATTATGAAGTGATGACAATGACAATTAATTACAGGGGTGGTAAACTTCTCAGGATGTCTGAAATCCACAAATAGCCCAAGCAGAAACGAGGTTTTACTGGTCTTAATATTTTAATGGGTATTTTTCCACAGTATGAAGCAATTCCCATTTCTGGCATTAAGGACCCAAGGTGATGCCAAAATCCTAATAGCAAGGGATATTGCAGGGCAGAAGTGGCAGGGCATTCTTACAAGCCAGGATGAAAACAAACACTAGAGAAATGCTACTATCTGGCAGTACATTTGGAACCAGTCTGAATTTAGTTAAATATGCTGGTAAATTCACCCATGTGAGACAAGGGGGAGAAAAAGATGCCTTCTGGGGAATAAAACTATACCTACTTGCTTTTACAGATAGAAAGGAAAATTCCAATTCGAAAGTCCTATATCATACCCAAAGTATAGCTTTTCCACTAATATTTAATAATTATTTTCTCAAGTAAATATACATAAAATAATCCACACTATAGCTTTATCTAGATCTAAATTTTCAGAAATTAGTAATCGAAATTAAATTACACAGAACTGTGATTGTTTTCTAGATTTCTTCCTCTAGGTTATTAATTGACAATACCTACATAAAACTCTTTCCAGAATGTTGTTAAGTCTTAGTCATTAGGGAGATACATATGGATACACTCACAAATTCTTCTGGGGTCAGGCCAGACACCACCATGGACATTCTTTTGTTGACCCTTTCTGTTGAAGCTGTCAATTCTGGCTTCTCCCTGCTCACACTTTCTTCCATTGCATTATACCCAGCAGTATCAGTAGTATGAGCAGCAGCTGGACTCTGGGCAGATTCTGCAACTTTCAATTGGGGAACTTTCAATGCAGAGGTTGAAGATGGTATGTTGCCAACACGAGCTGACTCTGGGGCTCTGTCTTCAGAAGGATCAGATTCAGGGTCATCAGAGAAGAGGCTGATTCCAGATTCCAGGTAAGGGGTTCCCTCTGAAAGGAATGGGAGAAGTTTAATTTACACAACGATGAATGTTGAATTACAAAGTTCTGGTCTCTGTTAAGAATTAAAAAGACCAATAAAGTTAGGTTAAGAGAAAAATGGGTACATGAATACAGTGTTGGTGGAAATCCAAAGTAGCTTAGTTTCCTAAAAAGGAAATATGGCATTATGTAGCAAACACCTTAACACGTATTTACACTTTCAGTCAACAATGCTAGTTTTAGAAATATATCCTAGGGAGATAAAAGATATATGCAAAGGTTTAGTCATAGGAATAGTATAATTTTAGAAACAATGTAGTTGTCCAATAATAGGAGATTAAATTACGATATACCTAGTCCAATGGAGTACTCTTCACCCATTAATTTGAATATAAATGTTGATGTACAATAAAACAGAAATGTTACTAATATATTAAAGACACCTAAGCAATATTATTTATCATGACATTATTTTAAAAATAAAAGTTTATGGGCCGAGCACGGTGGCTCACACCTGTAATCCCAGCACTTTGGGAGGCCGAGACGGGTGGATCACGAGGTCAGGAGATCAAGACCATCCTGGCTAACACAGTGAAACCCTGTCTCTACTGAAAATACAAAAAAAAAAATTAGCTGGGCGTGGTGGCGGGCGCCTGTAGTCCCGGCTACTAGGGAGGCTGAGGCAGGGGAATGGCGTGTACCCGGGAGGCAGAGCTTGCAGTGAGCTGAGATTGAGCCATTGCATTCCAGCCTGGGCAACAGAGCGAGACTCCGTCTCAAAAAAATAAATAAATAAAAATAAATAAATAAATAAAAGTTTATGTAAAATGACTAAAGAAACACAGAAATATTTTATTATTAAAGAATAAGAGTACAGGCCGGGTGCGGTGGCTCAGGCCTGTAATCCCAGCACTTTGGGAGGCCAAGGTGGGCGGATCACCTGAGGTCAAGAGGTCGAGACCAGTCTGACCAACATGGAGAAACCCTGTCTCTACTAAAAATACAAAAAATTAGCCGGGCGTGGTGGTGCATGCCTGTAATCCCAGCTACTGGGGAGGCTGAAGCAGGAGAATCGCTCGAACCCAGGAGGCGGAGGTTGCGCTGAGCCGAGATTGCGCCATTGCACTCCAGCCTGGGCAACAAGAGTGAAACTCCGTCTCAAAAAAGAGTACGGGTAATATTTTTTTTTTTGAGAAGGGTCTCGGTCTGTCATCCAGGCTGCAGTGCAGTGGCACAAACATGGCTCACCTGCAGCCTTGACCTCCTGGACTCAAGTGATCTTCCTGTCTCAGCCTCCTGAGTAGCTGGGACCACAGGTGTTTGCCACCTTCCAGCTGATTTTTTTTTTTTTTGAGATGGAGTTTCATTCTTGTTGCCCAGGCTAGAGTGCAATGGCGCGATCTCAGCTCACTGAAACCTCTGCCTCCCAGGTTCAAGCGATTCTCCTGCCTCAGCCTCCCGAGTAGCTGGGACTACAGGCATAAGCCACCAAGCCTGGCTAATTTTGTATTTTTAGTAGAGACAGGGTTTCTCCATATTGGTCAGGTTGGTCCTGAACTCCTGCCCTCAGGTGATCTGCCCGCCTCGGCCTCCCAAAGTGCTGGGATTACAGGCGTAAGCCACCCACCACGCCTGGCCCCAGCTAGTTTTTTTTTTTTTTTACTTTTTATAGAGATCAGGTCTCGCTACATTGCCCAGGCTGGTCTTGAACTCTTGGCCTCGAGCAATTCTCCCACCTTGGCCTCCCAAAGTACTGAGATTACAGGCATGAGCAGTGGCTGTAATCTGTCCTTATTTTATCTTTTAAGAGGTGGCATCTCAGCTTGGTGAAGTGGCTCACACCTATAATCCCAGCACTTTGGGAGGCCAAGGTAGGAAGATTGCATGAGGCCAGGAGTTAGAGACCAGCCTCGGCAACATAACAAGACCCGTGTCTAACCCCACCCCAAATTATCTTTTTTATTCCCTATATTGTCCAATTTGGGGGCAATGAGCTTATAGCAATTTTGTAAGAAAGGAAAAAAAAGTTGAAAAATGTGGCAAATGCTTTATTTTTGTTTCTTCATCCAAGGTAATGACACCATTACTTTTTTCACTTAATAAATCAGCAGATATCATTACCAAATTAAAAACAGCAGAGATGTCATCCTTGAAACATTTCAGAAAATGCCATGGTATCAGGAATTAAGCATAGCTAAGTAGAATGTATGAGATTCCTAAAATGACCCTAATGAACATGGCCAAATACCACATTTGATGCCAAACAGTGTCTTTTATGATAACGTGTTTTTGAGGATTAAAAACTTTCTTTACTGATTAAAACTCTGATTTACAAGCCATAAAACACCATTCATTAAAAGTGATTTTTAAGGCATAAAATATGTAGTCATTTATATTCATTAACTCATAAAAAAAACTTGCTTTGGGATTTGACTCATTTTCTAATAAAGGACTGGCCTAAAACTTTATTCTTTGGCCTTTGGACTCTTGTCTAACAGTTGAAATAAAATATATGTGTGTATATATATATATATATATTTTTTGAGATGGAGTCTTGCTCTGTCACCCAGACTGGAGTGCAGTGGTGTGATCTTGGCTCACCGCAACCTCCGCCTCCCGGGTTCAAGTGATTCTGCTGCCTCAGCCTCCAGAGTAGCTAGGATTACGGGCATGCACTAGCACACCCAGTTAATTTTTTTGTATTTTTAGTAGAGACAGGGTTTCACCATGTTGGCCAGACAGGTCTTGAACTCCTGACCTCAGCTGATCCACCTGCCTCGGCCTCCTGGAGTACTGGGATTACAGGCGTGAGCCACTATGCCTGGCCTGAAATAATACATTTAGAGTACACCAAGACTCCCTCATCCTCAAAATCATTAGTTAAACCATTAATTAAAATATAGATGGATTAACAGTTTCAATAATTTTCAAGTAAACCTTGATTAACACTTGAGCTATTTTTCTAAAGTGGGCTTAATTAAGTATAACAAAAGTGTCCATGATAGACTAGTACATCTAAAAGTTGGTTAACCAGAATATCTTTATGTAGGATTCAGAGTAAAATCAAAGTGTTTGTTCCAATACAGCAGATGAAATATTACCTAGATCTTGCCTTGGCAAGTAAGATGTTTCCGTCAAATCGTGTGGCCCAGACTCTTCCAGCTGTTGCTCCTCCACATCAACAACCTTAATGAGCTCCTCTTGAGATGGGTAGTTTCTATTCTGAAGACTCCCAGAGCAACTGTGCATGTACCACCTATCATCTAATGATGGGCATTTAGAAGGGGATGACCTAGAAAGATAAATGGAAGGAGAAAACCATCGCCACCAATTGTGAAAGGACAAATCATACTTGCTGGGCAGCCAAAGCATAAATGAAACAGCTCATGTCAGAGAGATCAGAAATGACTGGCAAAAAAGAGCCCGCAAGACAGCCTAGAAGTCTGGATTCATGTTGCCTGCCAATATGTCAGGGTTGACATATAACATGGGGTTGGGTTGGTCTGAGGCACCATATCTCCCAGCTGTTTAAAAGCAGGTCAGTAGCTGGGTGTGGTGGCTGGCGCCTGTAATCTCAGCTACTCGGGAGGCTGAGGCAGGAAAATTGCTTGAACCTGGGAGACAGAGGTTGCAGTGAGCCGAGATCACGCCACTGCACTCCAGCCTGAGTGACAGAGCAAGACTCTGTCAAGAAAGAAAGGAAAGGAAAGAAAGGAAAGAAAAGGAAAGGAAAGAAAGAAAAGAAAAGGAAGGGAGGAAGGAAAGAAAGGAAGAAAGGAAAGAAAGGAAAGAAAGAAGGAAAGAAGGAAGGAAGGGAGGGAAAGGAAAGGAAAGGACGGAAGGAAGGAAGGAAGGAAAGGAAGAAAGAAAGGAGGAAAGAATAAAAGCAGGTCAGCAAATTTTTACCAAATTACTCACTGCCACTCACTCTATACACAATATTCTACTTGAGTCTAAATGGATATGTTAGAATCAGATCTCTTATGAAGATAGAAAGTTGATCAATGTCGACATCTCTACACTCATTCTTTCTACTCAGTTTTAGCAGAATTCACAGAATCATCCCTATTGCCTGCCTTTTCAATGTTCAAATTCATTCTAAAAACAAAAGCCAGCTATAAAATATTGTTAGAAAAGCATACACACCCAGTAAATAGTTCCTCTGCTCTTCCAAGTGCTTAGGACTTTGCAAAATAAGATACTTATCAACAGATTTAAAGGGCCTCAGAGGTTAATTAATTTAAACAATTATTGGGTGCTTACTATGGGTCAAATACTAAGGCTAGGCCCCCTGGATTGAAGATGGGTGAGACCTGAATTACTGCTCTCTCTCTCTTTTTTTTTTTGTTTTGAGACGGAGTCTTGCTCTGTCGCCCAGGCTGGAGTGCAATGGCACGGTCCCAGCTCACTGCAACCTCTGCCTCCCAGGTTCAAGCAATTCTCCTGCCTCAGCCTCCTGAGTAGCTGGGATTACAGGCACCTGCCACCACGCCTGGCCCTCCAGTAAGGAAAAGAATAGTACTGGACTACATAGTCCAGTACTGGACTGCTATACAGCCCTGTGTTAATAGTGGTGTAAATACACATCTCTGAAAGATATTCTAAATGTTTTCTGGCTTTGGGAGGGCAAGGCGGGCGGACTACTTGAGTCCAGGAATTTGAGACCAGCCTGGGCAACAAGGTAAAACTCCATCTCTACCAAAAATACAAAAACTTAGTGGGTGTGGGTGGCGCATGCTTGTGGACCCAGCTACTCAGGAGGCTAAGGTGGGAGGATTGCTTGAGCCTGAAAAACGGAGGATGCAGTGAGCCATGACTGCACCACTGCAATCTAGGTGACACAGGGCGACCCTGTCTCAAAAAATAATAATAATAGTAATTATTATTATTATTTTCTGTGGTAAATCAACAGCTAGACTTTTTCTAGAAAGACAAGAATTTTAATTAGGGCAAGGGCTGCCTTGAAGAAGTCTACCATCAGTTTCCAAGCTTGTTCAGGTTTTACCTCCATTATATTTTTTTCTGACCTTCAGAAGGGACATATCTATCTAACCGCACATTTCTCATGTTGTAGCTTATGTTATAGGTTCAAAAAACCTATATAGGATTAAACAAAAGAAGTATCCTAGAGCAATAAAAGTGTATAAATGCCTGTATGCAAAAAACTGGAGAAAGTATGGTGAAAAAAATTAACAATCAGAGTTCAATATAAATAAAGATGTCAGATACCACAGCATCTTTACATTGATGTTTCTTACCTTTCCACTCCTGGTTCTTTATTTTTACTGGTAGAACTATCTGCAGACACCTCAAACTTGTCAGCAGAAAGGCCTTCTGGATTCTGGCTTATAGGGTATTCACTACTTTTCTGTGAAGTTAATACTGCTTTAAATGGAATGAGAAAACAAATCTACTTTACTGCTTTGTTCTGATAGTGATAATTCAGGTTAGAATACTGATTTTTTTCAAAAGCATCAATCTATGATACACAAATTGGTTTTTAAACAAGTATATCAGGCAGAATTTTATAAACACAAGCAATGCAACAGACAGATGCTAGCACCAAATGGAATTCAATGATTAAAAAATAATAATGATAATAAAAGGAACACTTTAAGACAGAGTAAATAAAGACACCCAGCTGAGACAAGGCTGAAAAAAAAAATCTATATTCCTTGGCCCTGAATGATAAAAAATATATATAACAAATTTTTATCTCTGCAGCAAAATAAATTATGCCCAAATCCCCTCAGACAATAGGAAAGAAAGAGTACCGGAGAGCACAAAGTACATTATTTTCTCCATCCCTACTGCCTCCACATTGAAGACTGTATGAAATGGGGATTTCAGCTTCTGCATGTCGGGGGTAAACAAGACATGAGTGTCAGACATGAAAGAAAAAACAGGTGACATTTTGCTTCACATTTTCAATTACCGAAAAAAAAGAAAAAAACAAATAAACCCCCTAAACCAACACATACACAAAAAAATCCCAAGGTGCTGGTTGATAAGAAATCTTAAATAATACATGGAACTAATGATGAAATGGCACAAGAAGGGAAAAATCACAAAACATACTGAAGGCAAAGTTCTGGCATGTTAGTTCTTTTTTTTTTTTTGAGACGGAGTCTCACTCTGTTGCCCAAGCTGAAGTGCAATGGTGCAATCTTGGCTCACTGCAACCTCCACCTCCTGGGTTCAAGCGATTCTCCTGCCTCAGCCTTCCTAGTAGCTGACATTACAGGTGCCTGCCACCACGCCCAGCTAGTTTTTTTGGTATTTTTAGTAGAGATGGGATTTTACCCTGTTGATCAGGCTAGTCTCGAACTCCTGACCTCAAGTGATCCACCCGCCTTGGCCTCCCAAAGTGCGGGGATTACAGACATGAGCCACTGCGCCCAGCCTAATTCATTTTGTAATATATTTACTCCTCCAAATGTATCACTTTGTGCCACTGCCTTCTAGGAAGTGGCTTAAAGGCAGAAGTACTTATTTATTTATTTTTATTTATTTATTTTTTTTGAGATGGAGTTTGCTCTTGTTGCCCAGGCTGCAGTGCAATGGCATGATCTTGGCTCACCACAACCTCTCTGCCTCCCAGGTTCAAGCTGTTCTCCTGCCTCAGCCTCCCAAGTAGTTGGGATTACAGGTATGCACCACCTCGCCCAACTAATTTTGTATTTTTAGTAGAGATGGGGTTTCTCCATGTTGGTCACGCTGGTCTCGAACTCCCGACCTCAGGTGATCTGCCTGCCTCGGCCTCCCAAAGTGATGGGATTACAGGCGTGAGCCACTGCGCCCGACCGTTATTTTTCAACGAGATGGGTGTCTTGCTGTGTTGACCAGGCTGGTTTCAAACTTTTTTTTTTTTTTGAGACAGAGTCTTGCTCTGTTACCCAGGCTGGAATACAGTGGCATGATCTCGGCTCACTGCAACCTCTGCCTCCAGGTTCAAGCGATTCTCCTGCCTTAGCCTCCCAAGAAGATGGGATTATAGGTGCCCACCACCACCCCTTGGCTAATTTTTGTATTTTTTGTAGAGATGGGGTTTTACCATGTTGGCCAGGCTGGTCTTAAACTCCTGACCTCAGGTGATCCGCCAACCTTGGCCTCACAAAGTGCTGGGATTATAGGCATGAGCCACCATACCCAGCCTGGTCTAGAACTCTTAAACTCAAGTGATCCTCCTGCCTTGGCATCTCACAGTGCTGGGATTATAGGCGTGAGCCACCATGCCTGGCCAAGGCGGAAATATTTAATAAGTAAAAACAAATAGTTAAAAATTGCAAAAGTCTTCTATTCATTAAAAAGTCACTGATGACTGTAATTCATTTTGAGCTTTTATTAGAAAAGCTAAAAGCCATAAATATAGGTAGAAAATTGAAACAAAAGATTGTATTAATTAAACTGTTTTTTTAAGACACTGGGTAGCCTGGGGGGAAATAATCATTGATTTCCTGAGTTAGTCTTCAAATGCATTATTTATAGTTTCCTTTATGCTTGTCTTTTCTGGACCTGTGAGTTTCTAGGATTGTTAAGAACTCTGTTGAAAGTAAGTAGGATCTAACTATGAAGAGAGGTATCATCCTCCCCACCCCCAATACAGGGTGATAATTGATAAAGGGTAATGTGCAAGTTCCAAGGAACCATATCAAACGGAATTAACCATTGGAAAGAGTTAAAAAAGTGGCCAGGTGATGTGGCTCACGCCTACAATCCCAGCACTTTGAGAGGCCGAGGTGGACAGATCACCTGAGGTCAGGAGTTTGAGACCAGCCCGGCCAACATGGTGAAACCCTGTCTCTACTAAAAATACAAAAATTAGCTGGGCGTGGTGGCGGGTGCCTGTAATCCCAGCTACCCAGGAGGCTGAGGCGGACATTGTAATGAGCCGAAATCACACCATTGCACTCCAGCCTGGGCAACAAAAGTGAAACTTCATCTCAAACAAAAACAAAACAAAACAAAACAAAAAAAATGAAAGGCAGAGGGAAGGCTCAGATACAAACACAGCTATTAAAAAGTCATTCCTCCTTTTGGCCAGAACCACCATCTTTCAGTAATTTGCCAAAATGACGAACACAAAGGGAAAGAGGAGAGGCACCTGATATATGTTCTCTAGGCCTTTTAGAAAACATGGAGTTGTTCCTTTGGCCATGTATATGCGAATCTGTAAGAAAGGTGAAATTGTAGACATCAAGGGAACGGGTACTGTTCAAAAAGGAATGCCCCACAAGTGTTACCATGGCAAAACTGGAAAAGTCTACAACGTGACCCAGCATGCTGTTGGCATCGCTGTAAACAAGTTAAGGGCAAGATTCTTGCCAAGAGAATTAATGTGCGTATTGAGCACATTAAACACTCTAAGAGCCAAGACAGCTTCCTGAAACGCGTGAAGGAAAATGATCAGAAAAAGAAAGAAGCCAAAGAGAAAGGTACGTGGGTTCAACTGAAGCACCAGCCTGCTCCACCCAGAGAAGCACACTTTGTGAGAACCAATGGGAAGGAGCCTGAGCAGCTGGAACCTATTCCCTATGAATTCATGGCATAATAGGTGTTAAAAAAAAAAAAAAAAGACCTTTGGACTGTAAAAAAAAAGAAAAGTCATTCTATCACCAGAACATTTAGCATATAAATTCCTCTTCTTACTACAATGGGCCTCATGCAATGAAGCAAATAAGATAACTTGTTAGAAGTTAACAACTCAATAGAACCTGAAAAACAGAGCAAAACCTTTCTGCTTTTTTTTCTCCTTAATCCTTAATTCATTCTCTGAACAGCAAGCCCAACCTAAGCCTTGTGACATGATGATCTACTTGCTGGCTGGTTTAGGAAAGTCTAAATGCAGAGATCCAGAGTCCAAGTTTCAGAATATTATTGTAGTTCCTCTTAAATCATTCCCTCATCTAGATGTCTTAACATGTTACATTCTTTGTGGATAGGAAGTATGGGCCACACCAAACATTTAATAAACTTACAGACTGCCCACTGTGTGCTAAGCATTGTACAGGGTATTGTGAAGAATTAAGGAAGACACTGGAAGACAACAGATATTAAGAAATAATAAACTAGGCCAGGCACCGTAGCTCCCAAGTAGGTGGGATTACAGGCATGTGCCACCACGCCCGGCTAATTTTTTGTAGTTTTAGTAGAGATGTGGTTTCTCCATGTTGGTCAGGCTGGTCTCGAGCTCCCGACCTCAGGTGATTCGCCTGCCTTGGCCTCCCAAAGTGCTGGGGTTACAGGCGTGAGCCACCGTACCCGGCAACAATATTCTTTTTACTAGAAGTTCTGGCCAGGTGCCATGGCTCACACCTGTAACCCCAGCACTTTGGGAGGCTGAGGTGAGAGGACTGCTTGAGTCCAGGAGTTTGAGACCAACTTGGGCAACATAGGGAGACCTTGTCTCTACAAAAAATAAAAAAAAAAATTAGCTGGGTATGGTGGTGGACGCCTATAGTCCCAGCTACTTGGGAGGCTAAGGCAGGAGGATCGCTTGAGGAGGTCGAGAGGCTGCAGTGAGCTGTGATTATGCCACTGCCCTCCAGCTTGGGCAACAGAGCAAGACCCTCTCTATAAGGTGAGGCTCAGGTCGGGGAGGATGGCTCAAGATCAGGAGTTCAAGACCAGCCTAGTTAACAGTGCGTCCCTGTCTCTACTTAAAAAAAAAATTAAAGAAAAGAAAAAATTATTTTTAAAAAGTTCATTTGAGTTTCAGTTAGACTCACACCAGATTTAGGGAGAAAAAGGCTCAAAACTTATGTTGGTATTAAGTTGTGATATCCAAAACAATTCAGAAATTAAGCATTTCAGTTACAGATCTCCAGAAAAAAATAAACACACGTATATACCAAAGAGGAGATAGTAGATTTACACAGATATTCAAAGTCACACAATAATAACATTTTAAATCTTACACATTATAATTGAAAGTCTAGTCTGTGTTTAGACTGAAGATGGTGAAAGTACCCTAAAGAAGAGTATTATACTGGGGATGGGACTCTGATCTCTCATTATCTGAGAGATGAACTAAATGAAGATAGTTACAAAGAAAGCATTTAAGGAAATACATTTTGAAGCACTGCCATAGCAACAGAGTTTCTAGCTAGCTTCTTTATCCAAGAGCTACTGTTTCTTCCTGAACACAAAAATACTGCAAGGCACAACTGGGGACCAAAGCCACTGTTCTGTATAAGTAGCAGACTTGAGTTCCTAGAAAGACTCCAAGAAAGGTCTTAAAGTTCCCAGTTGGACTGTGGAACGGGGTGCTGAAGAAGGAACTTTAACACTCAGATAAGAATCACTGAGCTAGGAATGAAGTGTACTTTGGGAGTACTCACCACCCCTGCATGTTTCTAAGCAGCATCCTAGTGGGGACCCCATGCCTAGCATCTCCTATGTGTCTGTTTGTTTGCCCCTATTTAAAAATCTGCCTGATGTATTGTCTTTCCAATTAAAAACTCAAATTTCCATCTCACTTTCCTTCATTTATGCCATTATTCCTCAGCTCAGTGCTCACTTCTTATAGGAAGTCAGCTCTGATCAACTGCATCTGCCTGGTTACTCCAATGGCATCCTCTCAGAGGTCCATCTGGATTTTTTTTGATAACTGTAACATTGCTATAAAGCACTTGACTCTATTGCATAATTAGGCTTTCTGTGTTGTTCTTTTCTTTTCCTTTTGAACTAACAGGAGCTCTACATCACTAGGCTTTCTGTGGATCAAAGTGCAGTTCCTGAAGTATAGGATGTCTCTCCCTATAAATCAGAAGCACATTAAATAGGTCTTTGTGATGTGACACCAGTGTTATAAGGAATATGTCTGAGTACTTTTTCATAGCTTTCTGAAATTATGGGGTTGCCTGTCACCAATTTCTCCCATTCCACTTAGCTTCCAATAGAGCAAGAGCTATGTTGTATACCATGTATCTTCCATGGGCTCCCCATAGCATCTACTTGTTGTAGGTACTCAGATGACAACATGAATGACTGCCTTGGGTCCCTCTGACTGGTATATTAGTTGTGAGCAGGGACAAGAACCAAGGCTCCATAATTACCCATGTGCTGAGCAAGGATCATAAAATGTTGGAGCTAGGTCCTTACTCTTCAGAAGGAGATAAAGGGGAAGGAAAGAATTTTGCTTAAGATATCAGTGTTTGGCCAACAATACACACCTTTTTCTGATGTGCTTTGTTCTGGATTTCGCAGGTCCTCAAGGGCAGAAGAGTCACTTATGATGGAAGGGTAGCTGTTAGAAGGCTGGCTCCCATGCTGTTCTAACACAGCTTCTAGTTCAGCCATTTCCTGCTGGAGCTTTATCAGGTTATGTTGCATGGTATCCCTCTGCTTCAAAAACGATAAATGGCACCAAGAAAATGAAATACTTTGAGAAGCTTTCCATTAAATGAAAATATATCATACAAATTAATTTTAGCACAGGAATTGAAATCACCTAGTATGGAACTACAAGTTCTAGCTGAACACCTTTTAATCTAACCACATTCATGCAATTAATGCCCATGAAATTATTTCCAAATGATGTTAGTGAGGGAAAAAATCCTCAAATTCCCCCAAATAGACTTGATGTTATTGTGATGTCCTTTTGAAGTTGGTTATTTTCTTTTAAAGCTAGGGAGTGAAAAAATAATTAAGGCATTTAAACACTATCGATATTTAAAATTAGCATGAATCTGTTAACATTTTATTTATATGGGCACATTTCAAAGACTTGGTGTTGTGAGATTCATCAGACATTTAGGTTAGTTCATATAAAAATGTGTGATTTTTAGACTGATGTAATGTTGAAAAAAGCCCTCTATCTATGGCATTTTATAAAAATACAACAAATATAAAAATACTATCAGTAATCCTGCCTAGATTACTGGCTTGTGAGGACTCTTCCTTTTCTGGGATTCTTTGAACCTTTAGTTTCTTTTCTTTCTTTCTTTCTTTTTTTTTTTAAGTCTCCCTCTGTCACCCAGGTTGGCACCATCTCGGCTCACTGCAACCTCTTCCTCCCAGGTTCAAGCGATTCTCCCACCTCAGCCTCTCAAGTAGCTGGCATTACAGGTGCTTGCCAAGACGCCCGGCTAATTTTGGTAATTTTTGTAGAAACAGGGTTTTACTATGTTGGCCAGGCTGGTCTTGAACTCCTGACCTCAAGTGATCAGCCCGCCTCGGCCTCCCAAAGTGCTGGGATTAGAGACATGCGCCATTGTGCCTGACCTGAACCTTTAGTTTCTAACAGAAAAAGCAAAAAGCTAATTCATGAATCTATCTGTTTGCTCAGTTAATTAGACAACTATTTACTATCTATTAAGCACCAGGCGCTGTCCTAGTACTGAGGATATAGCCCTCATGGTGCTGCCATTCTAGACAGGGACATCTCATCTAGAATGTGTCCACCTAGAGATCATTAGCAAGGACCTGTGAGAGGGAAGGATCCAACAGAAAGAGCCCTGAGAAAGCCTGTAAGGATAGTTACTGTTTTTAAAATAATGAGTTCTTTTTGCTTATGGGCTCCTGTTGTTTATTGGTCCATTTCAAAGAAGAGTGTGCTAAGTCCAAGTATTTGATAAACAAAGAATTTAGGTATGTAAGGAGTTTTCCAAAATATCCTTCTTAAGAATTTATTTTATTTATTTATTTTTTTTGAGACAGTCTTGCTCTGTTGCCCCAGGCTGGAGTGCAGTGGTGCGATCTTGGCTCACTGCAACCTCCGCCTACCTGGTTCAAGCAATTCTCCCTGCCTCAGCCTCTCAAGTAGCTGGGATTACAGGCACCTGTTACCATGCCCGACTAATTTTTTTTTTTTTTTTTGAGACGGAGTCTCACTTTGTTGCCCAGGCTGGAGTGCAGTGGCGCAATCTTGGTTCACTGCAAGCTCCGCCTCCCAGGTTCAAGCCATTCTTCTGCTTCAGCCTCCTGAGTAGCTGGGATTACAGGCGCCCGCCACCATGCCCAGCTAATTTTTTGTATTTTTAGTAGAAATGGTGTTTCACCGTGTTAGCCAGGATGGTCTGGATCTCCTGACCACATGATCCTCCCGCCTCGGCCTCCCAAAGTGCTGGGATTACAGGCGTGAGCCACCACACCTGGCCTAATTTTTGTATTTTTAGTAGAGACGGGGTTTCACCA
Organism: Homo sapiens; assembly: GCF_000001405.40. Taxonomy (NCBI): domain Eukaryota; kingdom Metazoa; phylum Chordata; class Mammalia; order Primates; family Hominidae; genus Homo; species Homo sapiens. The sequence continues at coordinate 43,084,367 of NC_000017.11, forward strand.
TGTTGGCCAGGCTGGTCTTGAACTCCTGACCTCAGGTGATCTGCCCGCCTCGGCCTCCCAAAGTGCTGGGATTACAGACGTGAGTCACTGTGCCTGGCTTCAAAATATACATGTTTAAAAATCACTTTTAGAAGGAACAGCAATGGTTGCCAAAAAGTCCAGTGGGGGAGTAGGGCAGGAACACATTGTTTCACTCTCCGTTTCTTCTTCTGATCCTTAAAAATGACTTTGCCCTTTACTAAAAACAAGCCATCTTCTTTCTCCTGCTACACTGAGTTCACAATTTTCAGGAGGTTTTTATGACCAGAAAATGTATTCCTAGCTTCACAAAGGTTTCTACTGCTACTCTAACACTGCTTTGCTGCCAAGGTCTGCAGCAATGCCATTGCCACCACGTGGTACTCGTGAGTAGTTACATCACTGATCAAACCCTAGCCAAAGTCTTGCCTCAGTCAACCTGGAATGAAAGCACATAGATATCTGACCAAAATGCTTCACAGGCTGTATTAGTCACTACTGTCACAACCATCACATCTAACCTCTACGTGGCCATTACATAAATCAGAAAAAGTAGTGGGGTAATTATTAATAGATAACTTTCCTTTGGGTTTCCCAAAGGAATTATTTTTTATAACTTAGACAAATTCCCCAGCAGGTAAGTGGCCAAATACATTAGGGAGAATAAAACCAATAGGTTTCTAAGACTTCTTGATTCTAATTCTGAAGTGCTCCTTCAATTAGCTCTAGCCTTCTACTTCTACTATGCTGCTCTGATCTCTACTTTTAATACAGCTACATTACTGTAGAAGTTCCCTAAAAGCCTTGTTTATCATGTCTTTTTCTTCCATAAAGACCCTTAGTGCTCCATCCTGGCCATCACAGTGAAACACTGGCTGAGGCAGAAGAATCACTTGAACCCAGGTGGCGGAAGTGCAGTGAGCTGAGATCGTGCCACGGCACTCCAGCCTGGGCAACAGAGCAAAACTCTGTCTCAAAAAAAAAAAGAAAAGAAAAAAACCCTTAGTGGTATACCACTGCTGATTTATACTTTTTGAACACTATATAATTGTTAGTCATTACTGCCATTAGGATAAAATTCCTCAACATAGCATTCAAAAGGCCCTTTATACCCTGGTATTATCTCTCATTTCTCCCAACACCCCTCACACAAGTTGTTTTCCTATAACACATGACAACTTTACGTTTCCTGGGAATTCCATGACTCTGTACCTTTACCTTACTTGCTGCCACTCCTCTTTTTCCACTTGGAAAAATTCTCATCTTTCAAGGCCTAGTTTGAATGTCTCCTTAAGTCCCCACCAGGAGGAGTTGTGAAATATGAGAAGTAAGGGCAAGTGGGCAGAATGTGGCTAATTCTAATAAGACTCCTGAAATGTGCAGCAGAGCAGCCGGAACTGGTCTGGAGGGAAGCAGAGTGTATATCTGACCCTTGTTTGTTCACATTCATTACATATAAATATATATATAAAACCTTCCCATAAAACATGTGTATTTAATGAGTTAAAACTATTTCTAATGTTCCTACTACTACATAATAAGCCTAATCCAGATACAAGCTGAAGTCTTAGCACAAATAGTGGCTTTATCATGCTAGTTTTGTCGACATGTTGTGAATATTTTCAAATATACAGAAAACTTGAAGCAACTTTGCAATGAGTGTTTATATATCTACTACTTAGAATCTATAATTAACATTTCCTATATTTATTTTATCACATACATACACACACACACACACACACACACACACACACACACACAGAAGTCCCCACCAATAATCCATCTCCTATCGGGAACAGATGATCTCTCACTACTTGATTTACATTGCTAATGCATTAGTATACCCAAATGGAACACATGACCTTGATAGGAGGAAGCTTCCCTTAATCATATTTGTCTCCCTAATGCCTAGCAGACAGTAAGCACTCAGCAAGTGTTTATTAATGAGAAGATAAATTAATAAATAAGTATAGTTAATCAGTCTTCTGTAAAAACAAACAAAAACCCAGATATCAATGATACCAAATTAGGAATTCTCTATCATCTATATACTTTTTCTCGGTTCAGTACAAAAAGGGAAAAAAAAATCCCACTTCAATAGTTTTTCCTGCCTGTGCTACTTTAGACGTAAGACAGCCTGAAATCTGACTTCAACGGTTTTGGGTAGATGCTTAGTAAAAACACGTTGCAAAATGAATCCTGAACAAATAGACACATCTCTGGGAATAAGATTAGAAATACAGAAAAACAAGGACATTGTATATTGAATGTCAAATATAATACAGTATGGCTAAGGCAGATGTAATCAGAAATTGCAACCTTAAACTTTAAAACACAATGGACAGAATTAGATGATGGGTATATTGACAGAGTCCCAAACCCACATTCAAAAAGGATCATAGGAATTGCAAAGAGAGAAAAGGCCTCCTAAATCTTTTCATCAATTTAGTTGCCATGGCAATCCTGAAGAAGTGGAGAATACTGGTGACAGCTCAGATACAGAGTGGGGAGTCATCTCAAAGGTTTCTTGACAACTCCAAGGGGCTTCAGGTCTAGAGGGATTTGCTCTGTACAGAGAATGGGCAGTAGAAGATAAGCCTTCTCTAATTGTAGTTCTCATAGCAATGCAAGATTTAGATTTTAAAACTGGATATCACCCAGTGTTGGCAAGGTACAGGAAAATGGGAACTATCATATACCACAGGGGCTGGAAGAGCATAAACTGGTTTAATCTTTCTAAAAAACAATTTAGTAACATGTATCAAACACCAAAATCCTAGTCCCAGTAATTTAGACTAAGGAAATAATCAGGGATGTAGGCAAATATTTAGCTATCAGGATGCCACTATAGTGATGTACATAATAGCAAACTGTGCCTCTTACCCTGAAACCTCCAACATTCAGCAATAGGTCAAATAAATCATGATACACTGGAAAGATAGAATCCCATATAGTAATTAAAAATGAAGTCACTTAAGAATTTTAACGACCCAGGCTGAGTGCGGTGGCTCACGCCTGTAACCCCAGCACTTTGGGAGGCCGAGGTGGGTGGATCACTTGAGGCCAGGAGTTTGAGACCAGCCTGGTCAACATGGAGAAACCCTGTCTCTACTAAAAATACAAAGTTAGCTGGGCATGGTGGCACATGCCTGTAATCCCAGCTACTCGGGAGGCTGAGGCAGGAGAATCGCATGAACCCGGGAGGCAGAGGATGCGGTGAGCCAAGGTCACACCACTGCACTCCAGCCTGGGCAACAAGAGTGAAACTCCATCTCAGAAAAAAAAAAAAAAAAAGAAAAAAGAATTTTAATGATCCAGTAAAAGCTAGATTATAATGCACAGAATTATCTGGATTTCTTGTTTTTGAGACAGGGTCTCACCATATCACCCAGGATGGAGTGCAGTGGCACCATCATGGCTCACCACGGCCTCAACTTGCTGGGATCAAGCAATCCTACCCCAGCCACTCAAGTAGCTGAGACTACAGGTGTGCACCACTAAGCCTCACTAATTTTTTTTTTTTTCCCAGACAGGGGTTGCCCAGAACAGAGTGCAGTAGCGTGATCACAACTCACTGCAGCCTTGACCTCCGGGGCTCAGGCAATCTTCCTGCCTCACCCTCCCAAAGTGCTGGGATTACAGGTGTAAGCCACTGTGCCTAGCTTCCTGGATATATTTTAAAGATAAAGTATATACAAGCACCCCTGTGCACACACAGGAATACTAAAAGAATATACACCAATAAATTGCTAACCATTTCTGGATAACACAAATTACAATTAACTTATCATTTTAATCATTTTAAGTGTACAGTTCAGTGGCATTATTTTCACACTGTTGTGTTACCATTGCCACTATCTATCTCCAGAACTTTTTCATCATCCCAAACTGAAATCTGCACTCATCAAACAGTAACTCCCCATTTCCCCCTCCCCAAGTCCCTAGTAACCACTATTCTACCTTCCATCCTATGAATTTATCTTTTTTTTTTTTTTAACTGCTCCTTGTGGAGCAAGGCTTATCTATAGGCAATGTACCCAGAGTAACCAAATGTAACTATTCTAGGTATCTCATATAAGTGGAAGCATATAACATGTGTCCTTTGGTGTCCGGTTTATTTCAGTTAACACAATGTCTTCAAGGTTCGTCCATGGATGATTTTTGTTTATCTGTATTTTCTAAGTTTTCTATGATGCACATATATAACTTTATAAGAATATCAGGCTTTTCTCAACTTCATCTAATCTGACTTCAGAAAGTTCATAAAAAAACATCATTCACTTACTAGCAGCTAAAAGGGTATTTAAGATTTAGGTGGGAAAAAGAAGCCACAGCAGGATGAATCGAGGGGGTCTGAACAGCTTCATTTTAAGAATGTGCCTACGGCAGGTCAGAGAACATAAGCAAACTGTCTAAGATCACATAGCCCAGTACAGAACTCTCACCAATATTATTGCCAGCAACTGCTGTGTGTGTATTCTGCATAGAACCCTGTGCTGGGAATACAAAGAACCAACCTAATTATTAGAAGTTGTCAATTTAGTGGGAGATAAATAAATGAAAAAAATAAACTGAGATGAGCCTGAATTTTTGCATGAGAACTTGGAAAATTTTGGTGCCACTTCTACAAATAAAAATTAGGAGGCCAGGCCTGGTGGCTCACGCCTGTAATCTCAGCACTTTGGGAGGCTGAGACGGGTGGATTATTTGAGGTCAGGAGTTCGAGACGAGCCTGGCCAACATGGTGAAACCCTCTCTCTACTAAAAAAATACAAAAAAATGAGCTGGGTGTGGTGGCAGTCACCTGTAATCCCAGCTACTTAGAAGGCTGAAGCACGAAAATCACTTGATCCTGAACCTGGGAGCTGAAGGTTGCAGTGAGCCAAAATTGTGCCACTGCATTCCAGCCTGGGTGACAGAGCAAAACTCCATCTCAAAAAAAAAAATTAGGAGAAAGAGCCTGGTTCTATGATGAAGATGATATTCATTTTTAGACGTTGTGATACAGAATGTTTTTTCTAGACTATTCTGCCTTTAGTACATAAACATTTCATATTACATTATCAAATGGTCATATATATGGTAAAGCTTTTATTTATTTCATAGGTGACCAAATTATTGGCCTTGACCATTAGGTCCAGAAAGTAAAATTGTGTACTTTCTTTTTTTTTTTTTTTGAGATGGAGTTTCACTCTTGTTGCCCAGGCTGGAGAGCAGCAGCATGATCTCAGCTCACTGCAACCTCCGCCTCCTGGGTTCAAGTGATTCTCCTGCTTTAGCCTCCCATCTTTCTTTTTTTTAAAGAAAAAAGATGATTTATGAGCAATTAAAAAAAAAATAGGCCAGGCGTGGTTGCACACACCTGTAATCCCAGCATTTTGGGAGGCTGAGGTGGGATCACTTGAGCCCAGGATTTTGAGACCAGCCTGGGCAACATAGTGAGATGTTGTCTCTAGTAAAAACTTAAAAATTAGCTGGAGGTGTTGGTGGGCGCCTGTGGTCCCAGCTACTCGGGAAGCTGAGGTAGGAGGATCGCTTGAGCCCAGGAAGTCAAAGCTACAGTGAACCATGACTGCACTACTCCATTCCAGCCTGGGTAACAGAGTAAGAGACCCTGTGTCAAAGAAACCAAAAAGAAAAAAATAACTAGATTTTAAAAGGGAAAAAAAAAAAGAAGAAGAGAAAGAAGTATCCACAAAACAGTGAAAGGCTAGATGGTCTCTATTAGGAAGAGAACCCTATAGTCTCCAACTTGGTACCAAGAATAAACACCAAAATTGCGATTGCTGGCAATAATATTGGTGAGAGTTCTGTACCTGGCTGTGTGGCCTTAGGCAGTTTGCTTACCTTCTCTGACCTGCAGTAGGCATATTCTTAAAATGGAGCTATGCAGAGTCCCTTGAATCATCCTGCTGTGGCTCCTTTTTCTCACCTCTCTTGATACAGTAAGTGCCGTCATGTTTTTGCTATAGGGGAAATGATGTGTTTTTGTTTGTTTGTTTTTGAGATGGAGTCTCACTTTGTCACCCAGGCTGGAGTGCAGTGGTACAATCCCAGCTCAGTGCAACCTCCGCCTCCCAGGTTCAGGCGATTCTCCTGTCTCAGCCTCCAGAATAGCTGGGATTACAAGGCATTGGCCACCACGCCCAGCTAATTTTTGTATTTTTAGTAGATGTGGGGTTTCACCATGTTGGCCAGGCTGGTCTCAAACTTCTGACCTGAGGTGATCCACCCACCTTGGCCTCCCAAAGTGCTGGGATTAGCAAATGGGTTTCGAAGGTTTAGCTTATTCATTAAAATCAGTATTTAGTATGCTACAATGAGCTAGGCAGTGTATGTGTAGGCTGTGTGTGCGCGTGTGCGTGTGTGTGAAATAAAAGGTAGTATGAGTTCCATCAAGGTGCTTACAGTCTAATTTAAGGAGACAATGAACCACAAACAATTGTGCCATTAATTCAAAGAGATGATGTCAGCAAACCTAAGAATGTGGGATACATACTACTGAATGCAAAGGACACCACACACACGCATGTGCACACACACACACGCTTTTTACCTGAGTGGTTAAAATGTCACTCTGAGAGGATAGCCCTGAGCAGTCTTCAGAGACGCTTGTTTCACTCTCACACCCAGATGCTGCTTCACCTTAAATAACAAAAACAGAGGTTCAGATGTAAAAGCAGACTATAAACGCTGCAACTTGCTGTGTCTTTTTCTTCTCATTGGCAGGACTGGATTTACTTTCATGTCACACAAAATGATTAAATTCCTTGCTTTGGGACACCTGGATTTGCTTTTATAAAATGAAACCAGAAGTAAGTCCACCAGTAATTAGGATGTTAAAGCTCATTCAGTCAAAGATGACGTCCTAGCTGTGTGAAGGACTTTTTTCTATGAAAAGCACCTTAGGAGGAACATGTTTCAAGTTTAAGAAGCAGTTCCTTTAACTATACTTGGAAATTTGTAAAATGTGCTCCCCAAAAGCATAAACATTTAGCTCACTTCTATAAATAGACTGGGGCAAACACAAAAACCTGGTTCCAATACCTAAGTTTGAATCCATGCTTTGCTCTTCTTGATTATTTTCTTCCAAGCCCGTTCCTCTTTCTTCATCATCTGAAACCAATTCCTTGTCACTCAGACCAACTCCCTGGCTTTCAGACTGATGCCTCATTTGTTTGGAAGAACCAATCAAGAAAGGATCCTGGGTGTTTGTATTTGCAGTCAAGTCTTCCAATTCACTGCACTGTGAAGAAAACAAGCTAGCAGAACATTTTGTTTCCTCACTAAGGTGATGTTCCTGAGATGCCTTTGCCAATATTACCTGGTTACTGCAGTCATTTAAGCTATTCTTCAATGATAATAAATTCTCCTCTGTGTTCTTAGACAGACACTCGGTAGCAACGGTGCTATGCCTAGTAGACTGAGAAGGTATATTGTTTACTTTACCAAATAACAAGTGTTGGAAGCAGGGAAGCTCTTCATCCTCACTAGATAAGTTCTCTTCTGAGGACTCTAATTTCTTGGCCCCTCTTCGGTAACCCTGAGCCAAATGTGTATGGGTGAAAGGGCTAGGACTCCTGCTAAGCTCTCCTTTCTGGACGCTTTTGCTAAAAACAGCAGAACTTTCCTTAATGTCATTTTCAGCAAAACTAGTATCTTCCTTTATTTCACCATCATCTAACAGGTCATCAGGTGTCTCAGAACAAACCTGAGATGCATGACTACTTCCCATAGGCTGTTCTAAGTTATCTGAAATCAGATATGGAGAGAAATCTGTATTAACAGTCTGAACTACTTCTTCATATTCTTGCTTTTTTATTTCAGGATGCTTACAATTACTTCCAGGAAGACTTTGTTTATAGACCTCAGGTTGCAAAACCCCTAATCTAAGCATAGCATTCAATTTTGGCCCTCTGTTTCTACCTAGTTCTGCTTGAATGTTTTCATCACTGGAACCTATTTCATTAATACTGGAGCCCACTTCATTAGTACTGGAACCTACTTCATTAATATTGCTTGAGCTGGCTTCTTTAAAAACATTTTCTCTAATGTTATTACGGCTAATTGTGCTCACTGTACTTGGAATGTTCTCATTTCCCATTTCTCTTTCAGGTGACATTGAATGTTCCTCAAAGTTTTCCTCTAGCAGATTTTTCTTACATTTAGTTTTAACAAATGACTTGATGGGAAAAAGTGGTGGTATACGATATGGGTTTTGTAAAAGTCCATGTTTATTTGGAGTAATGAGTCCAGTTTCGTTGCCTCTGAACTGAGATGATAGACAAAACCTAGAGCCTCCTTTGATACTACATTTGGCATTATCAACTGGCTTATCTTTCTGACCAACCACAGGAAAGCCTGCAGTGATATTAACTGTCTGTACAGGCTTGATATTAGACTCATTCTTTCCTTGATTTTCTTCCTTTTGTTCACATTCAAAAGTGACTTTTGGACTTTGTTTCTTTAAGGACCCAGAGTGGGCAGAGAATGTTGCACATTCCTCTTCTGCATTTCCTGGATTTGAAAACGGAGCAAATGACTGGCGCTTTGAAACCTTGAATGTATTCTGCAAATACTGAGCATCAAGTTCACTTTCTTCCATTTCTATGCTTGTTTCCCGACTGTGGTTAACTTCATGTCCCAATGGATACTTAAAGCCTTCTGTGTCATTTCTATTATCTTTGGAACAACCATGAATTAGTCCCTTGGGGTTTTCAAATGCTGCACACTGACTCACACATTTATTTGGTTCTGTTTTTGCCTTCCCTAGAGTGCTAACTTCCAGTAACGAGATACTTTCCTGAGTGCCATAATCAGTACCAGGTACCAATGAAATACTGCTACTCTCTACAGATCTTTCAGTTTGCAAAACCCTTTCTCCACTTAACATGAGATCTTTGGGGTCTTCAGCATTATTAGACACTTTAACTGTTTCTAGTTTCTCTTCTTTTTCTTCTCTTGGAAGGCTAGGATTGACAAATTCTTTAAGTTCACTGGTATTTGAACACTTAGTAAAAGAACCAGGTGCATTTGTTAACTTCAGCTCTGGGAAAGTATCGCTGTCATGTCTTTTACTTGTCTGTTCATTTGGCTTGTTACTCTTCTTGGCTCCAGTTGCAGGTTCTTTACCTTCCATGAGTTGTAGGTTTCTGCTGTGCCTGACTGGCATTTGGTTGTACTTTTTTTTCTTTATCTCTTCACTGCTAGAACAACTATCAATTTGCAATTCAGTACAATTAGGTGGGCTTAGATTTCTACTGACTACTAGTTCAAGCGCATGAATATGCCTGGTAGAAGACTTCCTCCTCAGCCTATTCTTTTTAGGTGCTTTTGAATTGTGGATATTTAATTCGAGTTCCATATTGCTTATACTGCTGCTTATAGGTTCAGCTTTCGTTTTGAAAGCAGATTCTTTTTCGAGTGATTCTATTGGGTTAGGATTTTTCTCATTCTGAATAGAATCACCTTTTGTTTTATTCTCATGACCACTATTAGTAATATTCATCACTTGACCATTCTGCTCCGTTTGGTTAGTTCCCTGATTTATCATTTCAGGAGTCTTTTGAACTGCCAAATCTGCTTTCTTGATAAAATCCTCAGGATGAAGGCCTGATGTAGGTCTCCTTTTACGCTTTAATTTATTTGTGAGGGGACGCTCTTGTATTATCTGTGGCTCAGTAACAAATGCTCCTATAATTAGATTTTCAGTTACATGGCTTAAGTTGGGGAGGCTTGCCTTCTTCCGATAGGTTTTCCCAAATATTTTGTCTTCAATATTACTCTCTACTGATTTGGAGTGAACTCTTTCACTTTTACATATTAAAGCCTCATGAGGATCACTGGCCAGTAAGTCTATTTTCTCTGAAGAACCAGAATATTCATCTACCTCATTTAGAACGTCCAATACATCAGCTACTTTGGCATTTGATTCAGACTCCCCATCATGTGAGTCATCAGAACCTAACAGTTCATCACTTCTGGAAAACCACTCATTAACTTTCTGAATGCTGCTATTTAGTGTTATCCAAGGAACATCTTCAGTATCTCTAGGATTCTCTGAGCATGGCAGTTTCTGCTTATTCCATTCTTTTCTCTCACACAGGGGATCAGCATTCAGATCTACCTTTTTTTCTGTGCTGGGAGTCCGCCTATCATTACATGTTTCCTTACTTCCAGCCCATCTGTTATGTTGGCTCCTTGCTAAGCCAGGCTGTTTGCTTTTATTACAGAATTCAGCCTTTTCTACATTCATTCTGTCTTTAGTGAGTAATAAACTGCTGTTCTCATGCTGTAATGAGCTGGCATGAGTATTTGTGCCACATGGCTCCACATGCAAGTTTGAAACAGAACTACCCTGATACTTTTCTGGATGCCTCTCAGCTGCACGCTTCTCAGTGGTGTTCAAATCATTATTACTGGGTTGATGATGTTCAGTATTTGTTACATCCGTCTCAGAAAATTCACAAGCAGCTGAAAATATACAAAAATAACAAGGTACTCAAAAACTGAATTGTCATTAAAAAAATACATACTTCATACACCTTGGAGGTGGAAATCAACCAACTGGCTATATTAGAGAAACTAACCTCATAAACTACCAAGTATACTGAAGATGTAGCTCATACTCTTTCATTTAATTCCTATTTACCTAGATTATTTCCACTTAGGATCCATTAAATTTTTAATTTCAGAATTTTCCCTATGCAGAAACCACACCTATTTCTCTAACGTCTAAGAGTGAATTAAAAGCAGATTGGCCATCAGAAAACTGGTTCTGATGTACTCTAAAGATTACTGGCCATTAAGTCTACTTAATACTCTGTTCTATCTACAGACTTACCACTCCCTATATTTAAAAACCAGTAGGTAAAAGATGAAACACAAATACACCAATTAAAAGTAAAGGGCAGGCCAGGCACAGTGGCTCAAGCCTGTAACTGCAGCACTTTGGGAGGCTGAAGTGGGCAGACTGCTTGAGTCCAGGAGTTTGAGACCAGCCTCGGTAACATGGTGAAACCCCATCTCTATAAAACCACAAAAAATTAACCGGGTGTGGTGGCATGCGCCTGTAGTCCCAGCTACTCAGGAGGCTGAAGTGGGAGGATAGCTTGAGCCTTGGAGGTGGAGGTTGCAGTGAGCCAAGATTGCATCACTGCACTCCAGCCTGGGCAACAGAGTGAGACCCCATCTCAAAAAAAAACAAACAAACAAACAAAAAAAAAAACGAAAGGGCAACAATCAGTTACAGAAGGTCTTATTATAGGTACATTAGTCTAGTACCATTTAAATCTATCAGACCATACCACGACATTTGACAGAGAATGATACTCTAACTCTGCCAAGAGATTTTGTGGGTTGTAAAGGTCCCAAATGGTCTTCAGAATAATCTAATTACAGTACTGTATCTACCCACTCTCTTTTCAGTGCCTGTTAAGTTGGCAAACTTTGCCATTACCCTTTTTTGCAGAATCCAAACTGATTTCATCCCTGGTTCCTTGAGGGGTGATTTGTAACAATTCTTGATCTCCCACACTATAGGGAAAAGACAGAGTCCTAATAAGAAACACTAGTTACATGTATGCAGAACTGTCAAATGACCAAGATCAAACATTTTAGCTCTTTCGATTACAGAAAGCTGACCAATCTTATTTAGTTAGTGAAAGCTGCTCTCTCCTTTAGAAACTTCTAGTTGAAATGAAATGGTTGCTGGGCACGGTGGCTCAAGCCTGTAATTCCAGCACTTTGGGAGGCTGAGGCGGGTGGACCACTTGAGGTCATGAGTTCAAGACCAGCCTGGCCAACATGGTGAAACCCCATCTCTACTAAAAATACAAAAATTAGCCGGGTGTGGTGGCGCGCGCCTGTAGTCCCAGCTACTAGAGAGGCTGAGGCAGGAGTATGGCTTCAACCTGGGAGGCAGACGTTGCGGAGAGGTGAGATCACACCTCTGTACTCCAGCCTGGGCAACAGAGCAAGACTCTGTCTCAAAAAAAAAAAAAAAAAAGAGAGAAAGAAAGAAATGGAATGGTCAATTAACCGGGCGTGGTGGTGTATACCTGTAGTCCCAGCTACTCGTGAGATTGAGACAGGAGAATCGCTTGAACCAGGGAGTTGGAGATTGCAGTGAGCCGAGATGGCGCCACTACACTCCATCCTGGCAACAGGGCAAGACCCCGTCTCCAAAAAAAAAAAAAAAAAAACCTGGGTCAAGCAATAATTCCTAAGGAAGGTAGGTAACATAGTTGGGGTTGCTTGTAGTTTATTATATAACATACAGACAAAGCTTGAGAGATATGTGGAAATAAGGAACAGAGGAAAGAAAGAGTTGAAAATGAAGTCCTTGAACATTTTCATCAGTCACAATTACTGCTGTGTCAATATTACTGTATATGAGGAACTTAGAGAACAATCTGCTAGAAGCAAGCATGTGCAGAGTTCTACTGTTATCCTAAATTCCTTTGGACAGTGCTAATAACTAAATCCAACAAACAAAAAGGGTATTTCCTCCACTATAAAATGAGAGAACTAAACTAGATGATCTCTAAGGTTTCTTCCAATACCATGATTCTAGTCTGGAGAAACACCAGCCTACTTGAGGGAGGAAGGTGGGAAGAGGGAGAAATTCAGAAAGAAAGCAAACAAAAAACTGTGGGGTATGCTTAGTACCCGGATGATGAAAAAAATCTATACACCAAATCCCAAGTCGTGTGTTTACCTATATAACAAACTGCACATACATCCCTGAACCTAAAATAAAAGTTAAAATATTTTTAAAAAGAGAGAAACATCAATCCTTAATATTAACTAAATAGGAAAATACCAGCTTCATAGACAAAGGTTCTCTTTGACTCACCTGCAATAAGTTGCCTTATTAACGGTATCTTCAGAAGAATCAGATCCTAAAAAATTTCCCCCCAAAAAATAAATCAATAAAAGTTTTCTTAATTAAAAGGGTTAAAAAAATGTACTTGTTGAAAAACAGATATTCAACTAGAAATATTTACTGAGCATCTACTGTGGCAGGTACAATGCTAGTTAAGCTAGTATGTAATACAGAGAAGTGGTTAAAGGCATGGGCTTCGCCAGGCACAGTGGCTCTCACCTGTAATCCCAGCACTTGAGGAGGCCGAGATGGGTGGATTATTTGAGGTTAGGAGTTCAAGACCAGCCTGGCCAACAAAGTGAGACCCCCGTTTCTACTGAAAACAAAAACAAAAACAAAAAAAAAGCACAGGCTCTGACATCTAACTTCCTAGGTTTGAATCATGGCTCAGCCACTTACTAGGTTTAATACCTTGGAAAAATTTCATAACTTCTCTGTGCCTTAATTTTCTCATCTGTAAAATAAGTATAATAGGAACAATCTCAGAGGTCTGACAAGCATCTAATGAGTTATACAAGAAAAGCACAATAGTGCCTGGAATATAGTTAAGTGCTCCTAAATATCAACTACTATAACTATTTTTACAATGCCTGTTGTCTAGGAATTTATGATCATAAGGGGGGAAAACAGTAAGTGTTATGATAAATAGATGGTGGTGCCTGGGAGCTCAAAAGATGGCTATCCTTTTTAATTATAAATATATTCTAAAAGAAAATCCAATTTGAGAGCCCAGTTTGAATTCTGAGCTCAGCAGCTCTTTTTTTTTTTTTTTTGGAGGTCTTGCTCTGTCACCCAGGTTGGAGTGCAGTGGCATGATCATAGCTCACTACAGCCTCAAACTCCTGGGTTCAATGTATCCACTCACCTCTGCCTCCTGAGTAGCTGGGACTACAGATGCACACCACCACACCCAGCTAATTTAAAAAAGAAATTTTTTTGTAGAGATGAGGTCTTGCTATGTTGCCCAGGCTGGTCTCAAACTCCTGGCTTCAAGCAATCCTCTGCCACTGCTGAGATTACAGATGTGAGCTACTATGCTGGCCTCAACTTTTCTTTTTATAAGCTTAAAAAAATTTATTATTTTTAAAAATTATTATTTTTTTGAGATGCAGTCTCACTCTATTGCCCAGGCTGGAGTGCAGTGGTGTAGTGTTGGCTCATTGTAACCTCCGCCTCCCTGGTTCAAGCGATTCTCCTGCCTCAGCCTCCCAAGTAGCTGGGATTACAAGCATGTGCTACCACACCCAGCTAATTTTTTTTTTTTTTTGTATTTTTAGTAAAGAGGGGTTTCACCAGGTTATCCAGGCTGGTCTCGAACTCTGACCTCAGGTGATCTACCTGCCTCAGCCTCCCAAAGTATTGGGATTACAGGCATGAGCCACCGCACCGGCCAAAAATGTATTATTATTTTAAAAATAGAGACAGGGTTCCCCTATGTTGGCCAGGCTGGTCTTAAACTCGTGGACTCAACCAATCCTTCTGCCTCGGTCTTCCAAAGCGTTAGGATTACAGGCACGAGCCATCCTGCCCAGCCAAGATTCAGCTCTTTTTTTTTTTTTTTGAGATGGAGTTTCACTCTTGTTGCCTAGGCTGGAGTGCAATGGTGCGATCTTGGCTCACTGCAACCTCTGCTTCCTGGGTTCAAGCGATTCTCCTGCCTCAGCCTCCTGAGTAGCTGGGATTACAGGCATAAGCCACCACCCCGGCTAATTTTTTTTTTTTTTTTTTTAGTAGAGATGGGGTTTCTCCATGTTGGTCAGGCTGGTCTTGAACTCCCGACCTCAGGTGATCCGCCCACCTCGGCCTCCCAAAGTGCTGGGATTACAGGCGTGAGCCACTGCGCCTGGCAATTCAGCTCTTCTTAAAAGGCTTCCTCATCTAGTACAATTTATCTTGGAACTAAATACTGTAGCAATCCATCATGTTTTTTCTTATTGCTACTCTCCATCTTTCCAAAACATATTTACACATATTTAAAACCAGATATTCTTTCTTTTGCTCTCTTTTTTTTTTTTAGATGGAGTTTCGCTATTTTTGCCCAGGCTGGAGTGCAATGGTGCGATCTCGGTTCACCGCAACCTCCACCTCCCGGGTTCAAGTGATTCTCCTGCCTCAGCCTCCCGAGTAGCTGGGATTACAGTTATGTGCCACCACACCTGGCTAATTTTTTATTTTTTGGTACAGACAGAGTTTCTCCATGTTGGCTAGGCTGGTCTCGAACTCCCGACCTCAGGTGATCCACCCACTTTGGCCTCCCAAAGTGCTGGGATTACAGGTGTGAGCCACCATGCCTGGCCTCTTTTGCTCCCTTTTTAAAGTAAGATTCTTCAAGGTGGGAACTGCGTCTTTTACATTTTTTATAACTCACCATAGGGCTCATAAAATTCACTTCCCAAAGCTGCCTACCACAAATACAAATTATGACCAAGATTTTTGGCAAAACTATAAGATAAGGAATCCAGCAATTATTATTAAATACTTAAAAAACCTGAGACCCTTACCCAATTCAATGTAGACAGACGTCTTTTGAGGTTGTATCCGCTGCTTTGTCCTCAGAGTTCTCACAGTTCCAAGGTTAGAGAGTTGGACACTGAGACTGGTTTCCTGCTAAACAGTATGGTAAAGAACAGTCAAGCAATTGTTGGCCAGTTCTGTGCTTTTCCTCCTGAAGAGAAACTTGACACCATGGACAAAATAAATTGACCATCATCAGTCAGCTAACATGTATGATGCCTGGAAAAAATGCCCAGGAATTTACACACTAAAATGTCTGGGGCTGGGAGCGGTAGCTCATGCCTATAATCCCAGCACTTTGGGAGGCTGGAGCAGGACTGCTTGAGGCCAGGAGTTCAAGACCAGCATAAGCAACAGAGTGAGACCCAGTCTCTACAAAATAATAGTAGTAGTAATAATAAAATGTGTGGGATATGTGTGATTTGAATTTTTTTTTCTGTTGTCTTAAATTTTTCAAACCTGATTATGTATTATTTGTGTAATTTTTGAAGTATTAATATAGCATATTTTGAAGCTGATACTTGATATACATTCCAATCACATCTGATAACTTTTTTTTTTGTTTTGGGGGGTGTACAGAGTCCTGCTCTGTCACCCAGGCTGGAGTGCAGTGGCGCAATCTCAGCTCACTGCAACCTCCGCCTCCTAAGTTCAAGAGATTCTCCTGCCTCAGCCTCCTGAGTAGCTGGGTCTACAAGCGTGTGCAACTATGCCTGGCTAATTTGTGTGTGTGTGTGTATATATATATACATATATATGTGTGTGTGTGTGTATATATATATATAACATATATATAACATATATATATTATATATATATAACATATATATAACATATATATATGTTATATATATATAACATATATATAACATATATATATATATATATATAATATATATATATATATATATATATGTAATCCCAGCACTTTGGGATATATGTGTATATATGTTTTTTTTTTTTGAGACAGAATCTTGCTCTGTTGCCAGGCTAGAGTGCAGTGGCGTGATCTCGGCACACTGCAACCTCCACCTCCCTGGTTCAGTTGATTCTCCTGCCTCAGCCTCCCGAGTAGCTGGGACTACAGGCGTACACCACCACGCCTAGTTAATTTTTGTATTTTTAGTAGAGACAGGTTTCGCCATGTTGGCCAGGCTGGTCTCACACTCCTGACCTCAGGTGATCTGCCTGCCTCGGCCTCCCAAAGTGCTGGGATTACAGCCATGAGCCACCGTGCCTGGCCAATAACATTTTTAAAAAGGATAAATGATGACAATAAAACCCCAGCACTCCTAAGAACATTTAGTATAGGAACGAGTATTTAAAAGCCCAACATTACTTTTTTTTTCCTTCCTTTTTAGCTCTATATCTTTTGAAAAATGAATGCTGGTACTGTGAGAACTACTTTTATTTTATTTGTATTTTTTTAGACAGAGTCTTGTTCTGTTGCCCAGGCTGGAGCGTGGTGGCGTGATCTCGGTTCACTGCAACCTCTGTCTCCTGGGTTCAAGTGATCCTCCCACCTCAGCCTCCCAAGGAGCTGGGACTACATGCGCACGCCACCATGCCTGGCTAATTTTTGTATTTTTTGTAGCGATGGGGTTTCACCACATTGCCTAGGCTGGTCTTGAACTCTAGGACTCGAGATCCACCCGCCTTGGCCTCCCAAAGTGCTGGGATTACAGGCAAGAGCCACTGCGCCCAGCTAGAACAATTACTTTTTTTTCTTTTTTGAGACAGAGTCTCACTCTACGGCCCAGGCTGGAGTGCAGTGGCGCGATCTTGGCTCGCTGCAACCTCCGCGTCCTAGGTTCAAGCAATTCTTGTGCCTCCGCCTCCCGAGTAGCTGGGATTACAGGTACGTGCCACCACACCCAGCTAATTTTTGTATTTTTAGTAGAGATGGGTTTCACCATGTTGGCCAGGCTGGTCTCAAACTCCTGACCTCAAATTATCTGCCTGCCTCAGCCTCCCGAAGTGCTGGGATTACAGGTGCAAGCTACTACGCCCAGCCCCAGAATGATTACTTTTTAAGATCTCCATCATTCATGCACATATAAGTAACAACAGAGCAAATCACTACATTTTCTTTAACAATTACACCTTTTAAGTTCAAGTAATTTTCCCTTTTTTTAAAAGATAGGGTCTCAGTCACCTGCGCTGGAGTCCAGTGGCACAGTCATAGCTCAACTGCAGCCTTGACTCTCTATGTTAAAGCAATGCTCCAGCCTCAGCCTCCCAAGTAGCTAGGACCACAGGTGCATACCACCACGCCCAGCTAAGTTTTTTTGTTTTTTTTTTGAGACAGAGTCTCACTCTGTCGCCCAGGCTGGATCGCAGTGGCGGGATCTCGGCTCACTGCAAGCTCCACCTCCCGGGTTCATGCTATTCTCCTGCCTCAGCCTCCCGAGTAGCTGGGACTACAGGAGTCCGCCATCACGCTCAGCTAATTTTTCTGTGTTTTTAGTAGAGACGGGCTTTCACCATGTGAGCCAGGATAGTCTTGATCTCCACACCTCGTGATCCACTTGACTCGGCCTCCCAAAGTGCTGGGATTACAGGCGTGAAGCTTTTTTTTTTTTTTTTTTGAGACGGAGTCTCGCTCTGTCGCCAGGCTGGAGTGCAGTGGCGCAATCTCGGCTCACTGCAACCTCCGACTCTCAGGTTCAAGTGATTCTCCATCCTCAGCCTCTGGAGTAGCTGGGATTACAGGCACGTGCCACCACACCCAGCTAATTTTTGTATTTTTAGTAGAGACCGGGTTTCACCATGTTGGCCAGGGTGGTCTCAATCTCCTGACCTCATGATCCACTGGCCTCAGCCTCCCAAGGTGCTGGGATTGCAGGTGTTAGCCGCCGCACCCAGCCAGTTCTTTTTTTTTTTGCAACTAGATCTTGCTTTGCCGCCCACGCTGAAGTGCAGTGGAGTGATCATAGCTCACTGTAGTCTACATCTCCTGGACTCAAGTGATCCTTCTGTCTCAGCTTCCCAAGTAGCTGGGACTACAGGCACACACCACCATGCCCAGATAATTTAAAAAAACTTTTAATATAGACAAGGACTTGCTATGTTGCCCAAACTGGTCTTGAACTCCTGAGCTCAGGCAATCCTCAAGCCTCCTAGTGCTGGAATTACAGGCGTGAGCCACGGCACCCAGCTACTTTTTTTTTTTTTTAATTGCAGAGACAGTGTCTCACTGTGTTGCCCAAGCTGGGCTCAAAGGACCTCCTACCTCAGCCTCCCAAAGGGTTGGGATTATAGGCATGAGCCATGGCACCCAGCTGAAGTAATTTCCAAATGCTTAAAAATATCAGTGACCTTATGGCTATTTTAGATAAGCATCACAGAGCAGATAAAGCTCCAAAGCAAGGAAGGGCCTATAAGAGCTCTCTTTTTTGGCCGGGCTTGGTGGCTCACGCCTGTAATCCCAGCACTCTGGGAGGCCAAGGAGGGTGGATCACCTGAGGTCAGGAGTTCGAGACCAGCCTGACCAATATGGTGAAACCCCGACTCTACTAAAATTACAAAAATTAGCCAGGTCTGGTGTCGTACCCCTGTAGTCCCAACTACTCAGGAGGCTGAGGCAGGAGAATCACTTGAACCTGGGAGGCGGAGGTTGCAGTGAGCTGACATCGTGTCACTGCGCTCCAGCCTGGGCGACAGAGCGAGACTCTGTCTCAAAAAAAAAAAAAAAAAAGAAATCTGTCTTTTTGGTGTATCTGATGGGGATCTTGCTATGTTGCCTGGGCTGGTCTCAAACCTGGACTCAAGTGATCCTCCCATTTCAGCCTCCTAAGTAGCTGGGATTATAGGTACATTCACCTCACCTGGCTGTAAGGTCTCTCTCTTGATTATATCAGGTACCCTGACCTTCTCTGAACTCTAACTGATTAGAACACTTGTCTAACCACTTAATATACCATCTTTCCTTCTTCACTAACTTTTTATATAAATCTATGAGCATCTAGCACATTCACTAACATATTCACAATGCTCAATAAAGAGATGTTGCCAGAATAAATGAAAATGGTTTTACCGGCCGGGCACAGTGGCTCACACCTGTAATCCCAGCAATTTGGGGAGCCGAGGTGGGTGGATCACCTGAGGTTAGGAGTTCGAGACCAGCCTGGCCAACATGATGAAACCCCGTCTCTACTAAAAATACAAAAATTAGCCTGGCATGGTGGCGCGTGCCTGTAATCCCAGCTACTAAGGGGGCTAAGGCAGGAGGACTGCTTCTAGCCTGGGCCACAGAGCAAGACTCCATCTCAAAAAAAAAAAAGAAAAAAAAAAGAAAAGAAGAAGAAGAAGAAGAAGAAAACAAATGGTTTTACCAAGGAAGGATTTTCGGGTTCACTCTGTAGAAGTCTTTTGGCACGGTTTCTGTAGCCCATACTTTGGATGATAGAAACTTCATCTTTTAGATGTTCAGGAGAGTTATTTTCCTTTTTTGCAAAATTATAGCTGTTTGCATCTGTAAAATACAAGGGAAAACATTATGTTTGCAGTTAGAGAAAAATGTATGAATTATAATCAAAGAAACCAAGAGAAACCCTATGTATGCTCTTTGTTGTGTTAAGACAATGCATTAAGGTTACCTGTGATTTTTTTTAAAAATCAAATTTTAAAAAATCAACTGGAAATTTTACTCCTAGGAAACAAAAACAAATACACAGACCATCAAAGTTATTTAGAGTCCTTGTTTTCTACCTTAACACTAAGAAATTTGCCTATCAATACTGTATTTCACTAAAGCTAAGACACCAACAATGTAAGTTGCACTATTATTTTCTGTATCACTAAGAAAGAAAGCACACAAATTAAACAAATGACACACCCTCAATAGTAAAATGTTCCCAATTTCAGAGATGTTAAGATGTGAAAAATGTGCACCTTACGATTGATAAAATAAGGTGTGAGACCAGTGGGAGTAATTTTTTAAAAATAGATTACAGATACAGAACTAAAATTAACCTAGACTAAAAGGTCTTATCACCACGTCATAGAAAGTAATTGTGCAAACTTCCTGAGTTTTCATGGACAGCACTTGAGTGTCATTCTTGGGATATTCAACACTTACACTCCAAACCTGTGTCAAGCTGAAAAGCACAAATGATTTTCAATAGCTCTTCAACAAGTTGACTAAATCTCGTACTTTCTTGTAGGCTCCTGAAATTAAATTGTTTGAGAAACACACTCAGCAAGTGATTATCAACCTTTTAAGGACACTAAAATAAGAAAAGACATGTAAACAAATAAAAATAAGATGCAGCAACAGTAGAAAACCTCTATAATCAATACATCATTGACATCTGTATAAACCGTGTGATGGCAGTGATTTAGTAACTTTTTGTCATTCATTTAAGCCTACCAAATGCCTAAAATTATCTGATATAATACTGCCCTAAATCCACAGCAGATATAATGCATTGCATAGAAAACTAGAGTACTTTTTTTTTTGTTTAATTTAGAGACAGGGTCTTGCTCTATTGCCCAGGCTAGCATGCAGTGCCACAATCATAGCTCACTGCAGCCTCAGACTTCTGTACTCAAGCTATCCTCCCACTATAGCCTCCCAAGTAGCTAGGACTATGGGCATATGCCACCATGTACATTTATTTATTTATTTTGTTGGTAGTGATGGGGTCTCACTATGTTGCCCAGGCTGATTTCAAACTCCTGGCCTCAAGCAATCATCCCACCTCAGCCTCCTAGAGTGCTAGGGTTATAGGCATGAGCAATCACACCCTGCTGAGCTTACTGTTCTTAACATCTGAACCCTGCCCAATCCCTCACTTAGTTCTGCCTCTCAAGGATTTCTGTCAAATTATGATTATACTTCTTTGAAAACACATAGATAACAATGTCCAAAGGGAGATTTGGGTTTAGTAAAGTGGAATTAAAGCACAATTCATTCATTCCTTTAAGCATCTGAGTGCCTACTATGTACCAAACTTAGGAAAAACAGTGTTGAGACAGACAAAATTACTACTCTCATAGAATTTACATTGTAGCAGAAGAGATACACAATATATAAATACATTGTGTTTGTGTAAATAATTAGATAGAAATAAACACACACCTGTGAACCCCAGCACTTTGGGAGGCCGAGGTGGGCAGATCACCTGAGCTCAGGAGTTACCAGCCTGGGCAACATGGTAAAACCTCATCTCTACAAAAAATACAAAAATTGGCCGGGCATGGTAGCGTGTGCCTGTAGTCCCAGCTATTTGGGAGGCTAAGGCAGGAAGAGGCTGGGAGACAGAGGCTACAGTGAGCCGAGATCACGCCACTGCACTCCAGCCTCAGTGACAGAGCAGGACCCTGTCTTAAAAAAAAAAAAAAAAAGAAAAGGAAACACAATCAAAAATATAAAAACAAGATTAACAGACAATGGGGGCACGGCGATACAGCCCTACTTTACATAAGTCTGCAAGTTTTTACACTAGAAGCATTAGAGAAAGGCAGTAAGTTTCTAATACCTGTATAAGGCAGATGTCCCATAAAACTTTCAGGAAAATAACTTTGGAAATAATTTACTGTGTGCTAAAAACTCTTTTATAAATTTTTCTGATGAATGGTTTTATAGGAACGCTATGTTATTAAATAATTTCTACTTTTTCCTACTGTGGTTGCTTCCAACCTAGCATCATTACCAAATTATATACCTTTTGGTTATATCATTCTTACATAAAGGACACTGTGAAGGCCCTTTCTTCTGGTTGAGAAGTTTCAGCATGCAAAATCTATAAATTATAAAGAAAGAAAGAACAATTTAATTTACTTCCTTTTGTAGAAAGAATACTCAAAAGGCAAATAGCCATGAAAAGATAATCTCACAACTGCCCTTAAGAGCCATTTAAAAAGTAATGGCAGGTGAATTACAAGCAATAGTTTCCTAATTGTTTTTGGATGCTGCATAAGCAAAAACCTAAACTACATAAGCAATGATCTATGAAAACTGAACTTACATGCATATGGCTTACTGTTATGATCACATAAAACTTAATAAAAGTTAATATGGCATATTTAATGATATATTCATAATTATTTCATGCTGCATAATCAAATATAAACGGTAAGTAGTTCATGTAAGATGCTTATAATTAGTTTAAAATCTCAACACCTCACCACAAAGCTATAGTAATCAAGAAAGTGTGGTAATAGCATAAGAATAGACACATACATCAATAAAATGGAATTGACAGTACAGAAATAAACTCATACATACATCTGTGATCAAGCGATTTTCAACAATAATAAATACCAAGACAATTTTTTTTTTTTTTTTTTTTGAGACGGAGTCTCGCTCTGTCTCCCAGGCTGGAGTGCAGTGGCACGATCTCGGCTCACTGCAAGCTCCACCTCCTGGGTTCACGCCATTCTCCTGCCTCAGCCTCCCGAGCAGCTGGGACTACAGGCGCCCAGCACCATGCCCGGCTAATTTTTTTATTTTTAGTAGAGACGGGGTTTCACCATGTTAGCCAGGATGGTCTCCATCTCCTGACCTCGTGATCTGCCCGCCTCTGCCTCCCAAAGTGCTGGGATTACAGGTGTGAGCCACCATGCCTGGCCGACGATTTTTATTTTCTTAATTTTTTTTTTTTTTTTTTGAGACAGACTCACTCTATCACCCAGGCTGGAGGGTAGTGACACAATCTCAGCTCACTACAACCTCCACCTCCTAGGCTCAAGCAATTCTCGTGCCTCAGCCTCCCGAGTAGCTGGGATTACAGACATGCACCACCATACCCAGCTAATTTTTTGTATTTTTAGTTTCACCATGTTGGCTAGTCTTGAACTCCTGGCCTCAAATTGATCCATCTGCCTTGGCCTTCCAGAGTGCTGGGATTACAGGCATGAGCCACCGTGCCCAGGCCAAAGATGATTAAATGGGAAAATAATACTTTTTGTGTTTTTAACAAACAGTGTTGAGACAAAAGTATAACCACATGTAAAAGAATGAAATTATACTCCTATCTCACACCAAATAACAAAAGTTAACTCAAAGTGGATCATAGACCAGAAGTAGAGAGAGCAATGGTGATGATAATTAAAAGCAGCGATTCACTCATACAACCAATATTTACTATGTCTAGTACTATTCTAGATGGAGGGGATTCAATAGAAAAGCAAAATAAGATCCTGCAAAATAAAACATAAAGGACATAATATACTGGTGAAGGGGGTGACTAGGTAGGGAGTAAATAGCAGACACTGACAATGAAGAGACCCAGGAAAGAAAAGATTAAGGGGCTAAAAAAAAAGTCACTAGGGCTGTGCACGGTGGTCCACACCTGTAATCCCAGCACTTGCGGGGTGGGTGAATCACTTGAGGCCAGGAGTTCAAGACCAGCCTGGCCAACATGGTGAAACCCTGTCTCTACTAAATATTCAAAAATTAGCTGGGTGTGGTGGTGGTGCACTGTAGTCCCAGTTACTCGGGAGGCTGAGGCATGAGAATAAGTTGAACCTGTGAGGCGGGGGTTACAGTGAGCCAATATTGCACCATTGCATTCCAGCCTGGGCAACAGAGTGAGATTGTGCCAAAAAAAAAAAAAAGGCATTGGGAATTGTGAGAAAAGACACTTAGAGAATATTTTTTACTAGCCAGGTAATTTAACATTTATTACCCTCTCTTGGCCGGGTGCAGTGGCTCATGTCTGCAATCCCAGGAGGCTGAGGCAGGCAGATCACTTGAGGCCTGGAGTTTGAGACCAGCCTGGCTAACATGGTGAAACCCTGTCTCTACTAAAAATACAACAAAATTAGCCAGGCGTGGTGGGCACACGCCTGAGTCCCAGCTACTTGGGAGGCTGAGGCATGAGAATCACTGGAACCCAGGATGGCAGAGGTTGCAATGAGCTGAGAAGAGTGCCACTGCACTCCACCCTGGGCAACAGAGGAAGACTCTGTCTCAAAAAAAAAAAAAAAAAAAAAAAAAAGGCCAGGAGCGGTGGCTCACGCCTGTAATCCCAACACTTTGGGAGAGGTCAGGAGTTCAAGACCAGCCTGACCAACACGGAGAAACCCTGTCTCTACTAAAAATACAAAAATTAGCCGGGCATGGTGGCATATGCCTGTAATCCTGGCTACTCAGGAGGCTGAGGCAGGAGAATCTCTTGAACCCGGGAGGCGGAGGTTGCAGTAAACTGAGATCGCGCCATTGCACTCCAGCCTGGGCAACAAGAGCGAAACTCCATCTCAAAAACAAAACAAAACAAAACAAAAAAACCCCAACTATATCTATATCTCTATCTATCTACCTACCTATCTATCTGTCTACAGTCTTGAACTCCCGACCTCAAGTGATCGCCTGCTTCAGCCTCCCAAAGTGCTGGGATTACAGGTGTGAGCCATTGCGCTGGGCTACTTTCTATCTTTATTTTTGTACAGATGTGGTTTCACTATATTGCCCAGTCTGGTCTCGAACTCCTGACCTCAAGTGATCCTCCTGCCTTGGCATCCCAACGTGCTGGGATTACAGGCATGAGCCATCAAGCCTGGCCTTATCTTCATTTTTATAGAGTAGAGGCTTGTCCCAGATCACACAGTAATTAAGCAATGAAGGTTATATTGGATCCAGAATTGGATTGTAGCAAAGCCCACAATCTTCCTTTTTTCTTTTTTGACATGGAAACTAAGTCTGGAGAGAGGCACCCACAATCTTCCTACCAGAGAAAGTGAATGTAGGTAGGTAAGGTCAAGGAGACTTGGGTCCTTCTTCGCCGATATAGATGCTTCAAGTACCATATTGCACTCAACAAAACAATGACTCTATAGTTTGGAAGATGAGGCTGTCAAAAAGCTACCTCCACTGTACATAAGTACCTTTAAAACTCAGAATAGAGGCTCCCACTCCTTCAGAATCTACAAATACTACATATACTCTAGTATAATGGATCAAGAAGGCATCAAGCATTACTCCAGCAAATAGTACAATTGAACAATTCAGAGCAGGGGTAGGGAGGAAATTCCCTTATGATAGTACTGCAGAATATAGTACAGTAGAGTGACAAGCTAAGCTGTCTCGTGCTGTAGTCTATACAATTATATAAATAATTCAGTGGAACTAGATACGCAAAAATCAACCAAGATAAGGATTCGAATCTTTTTTTTTTTTTTTAGACGGAGTCTCGCTCTGTCTCTCAGGCTGGAGTGCAGTGGCACAATCTCTGCTCACTGCAAGCTCTGCCTCCTGGGTTCACGCCATTCTCCTGCCTCAGCCTCCTGAGTAGCTGGGACTACAGGTGCCCGCTACCACGCCTGGCTAACTTTTTGTAATTTTAGTAGAGGCGGGGTTTCACCATGTTAGCCAGGATGGTCTCGATCTCCTGACCTCGTGATGTGCCCATCTCAGCCTCCCAAAGTGCTGGGATTACAGGCGTGAGCCACCGCACCCGGCCTCGAATCTTTCTTTATGCTAGAAAAAGAATACATGTATAAAGGTTGTTAACTAAACTTAAAAGAAAATGAACTTGTATATGACTTGAAAAGACAGAGCTAACTAAAATACTGGCCAGGCATGATGACTCACACCTGTAATCCTAGCACTTTGGGATGCCTAGGTGGGCAGACGGGTTAAGCCCAAAGTTCAAGACCAGCCTGGGAAACATGGCGAAACCCCGTCTCTACAGAAAACACAAAATTTAGCTGGATATGGTGGTGTGCACTTACAGTCCCAGCTACTTGGGAGACTGAGGTGATAGGATCGCTTGAGCCTAGGAGGTCAAGGCAACAGTAAGCCTCATGATCGCACCACTGTACTCCAGCTGGGACAACAGAGTAAGACCCTGTCTCAAAAAAAAAAAAAAAAAGTAGCTGTTGAAAAATTTAAGTTACATTTATTGCTCACATTCTATCTCTTTGAACAATGTGGTTCTAGATCTTCAAAAAAGTATTACAGGCTGGGTGCGGTGGCTCATGCCTATAATCCCACCATTTTGGGAGGTGGAGGTGGGCGGATCACTTGAGGTCAGCTCAAGACCAGCTTGGTCAACATGGTGAAACATGGTCTCTACTAAAATAAAAGGCTGGGCGTGGTGGCTAATGCCTGTAATCTCAGCACTTTGGGAGGCTGAGGTGGGCGGATCACCTGAGGTCAGGAGTTCGAGATCAGCCTTGTCAACATGGTGAAACCCTGTCTCTACTAAAAATACAAAAATTAGCCATGCATGGTGGTGCACGCCTGTAATCCCAGCTACTTGGGAGGCTGAGGCAGGAGAATCACTTGAACCAGAGAGGCAGAGGCTGCAGTGAGCCGAGATTGTACCACTGCACTCCAGCCTGGGCAACAGAACAAGACTCCATCTCAAAAAAAAAAAAAAAAGTATTACACATTGCATTTTTTTGTTTGGAAAGTTCAAACTAATGCATGACTGCCTTAAGAAATATTTTCTAGATTGGTATTATTATCTTTTTTTATAGGCTTCATAAAAGATTTCAGAACTGGCTGGGCAAGGTGGCTCATGCCTGTAATCCTGGCACTGTGGGAGGCCAAGGCGAGCAGATCACCTGAGGTCAGGAGTTTTGGACCAGCCTGGCCAACATAGTGAAACCCCGTCTCTACTAAAAATACAAAAATTAGCCAGGTGTGGTGGCACATGCCTGTAGTCCCAGCTACTCGGGAGGCTGAGGCAGGAGATTTGCTTGAACCCAGGAGATGGAGGTGGCAGTGAGCTGAGATCATGCCACTGCACTCCAGTCTGGGCAACACAGTGAGACTCCGTCTCAAAACAAAACAAAAAAAAACAGCCGGGCGTGGTGGCTCACACTTGTAATCCCAGAACTTAGGGAGGCCAAGGCGGGCAGATCACGAGGTCAGGAGATCGAGACCATCCTGGCTAACACGGTGAAACCCTTTCTCTACTAAAAATACAAAAAAATTAGCTGGGCGTGGTGGCAGGCGTCTGTAGTCCCAGCTACTTGGGAGGCTGAGGCAGGAGAATGGTGTGAACCCGGGAGGTGGAGCTTGCAGTGAGCCGAGACTGCACCACCGCACTCCAGCCTGGGCGACAGAGCGAGACTCCGTCTCAAAACAAAACAAACAAAAACAAACAAACAAACAAACAAAAATAAAAAAAAGATTTCAGAACTTTAGGCTTGCTTGGGTCAATAAAGTTGTTTTATTTTTAGCAATTAGAGTTTATCCGTAGAAAATACAATTAATACAACAAAAGCATGGGGGTATCGCTCCCAGGCTCCCAGCTTTCTCATCATATAGATCAAAGTGTTATTCAGATTATATTGATATTACAGAAGAGATTTCATGAAAAAGTCGATCTATCACATGGGCATTATACTGGACTTTTTTTTTTTTTGAGACGGAATCTTGCTCTGTCGCCCAGGCTAGAGTACAGTGGCACGATCTCAACTCACTGCAGCCTCTGCCTCCTGGGTTCAAGAGGTTCCTCTGCCTCAGCCTCCTGAGTAGCTGGGACTACAGGCATGTGCCCCCATACCCAGCTAATTTTTGTATTTTTAGTAGAGATGGTGTTACCATATTGGCCAGGCTGGTCTCGAACTCCTGACCTCGTGATCCGCCCACCTCAGCCTCCCAAAGTGCTGGGATTACAGGCGTGAGCCACCACACCCGGCTTTGGACTTTTAATTCTAATATAACATTCAAAACACAATTTAAAATATGGCTGGCCCATCTCTACAAGAAACTTAAAAATTAGCTGGGCAAATGCCATGTACCTGTAGTCCTAGCTACTTGAGGGGCTGAGATGAGAGATTGCTTGAACCCAGATTGCAAGGTAAAAGTGAACTATGATCACACCACTGAACTCCAGCCTGGGTGTCAGAGGGAGACACTGTCTCAAAGAAACAAACAAAAATATATATGTGTCACACACACACATATATATAACATATTTATATGTATACACACACATATATCTTTATGACTGGTTCTTTCCTGACTATCACAATCCTGACTATCACAAGCTTGAAACCAAGCTTCTCACTCTTCTCCAGTTGCCAACTCTAATCCTCTCAATCTCAACAGCTGTTTTTTGTTGTTTTTTTTTTTTGAGACAGTTTTCACTCTTGTCGCCCAGGCTGGAGTGCAATGGCGCAATCTCGGCTCACTGCAACCTCCGCCTCCCAGGTTCAAGTGATTCTCCTGCCTCAGCCTCCCAAGTAACTGGGATTACAGGCATGCGCCTCCACGCCCGTCTAATTTTGTATTTTTAGTAGAGATGGGGTTTCTCTATGTTGGTCAGGCTGGTCTTGAGCTCCTGACCTCAGGTGATCCACCTGCCTTGGGCTCCAAAAGTGCTAGGATTAGAGGCGTGAGCCACCGTGCCCGGCCTCAACAGCTGTCTTTACCTCCAACTTCACTGGGCTCAAAGCACCTCAGCATCTTCCTGTAGAATTACTCTCCTTTTCCTTCATTACTGTTTATGAGTAATAATCAACTCTTTCTTACATCCTTTTTCTATTTCCAATCCCTTCTGCCTCCTCTTGGACCTTCTCTTTCTTGCAAATGGCTTCCCATCTTTGAGGGCTTCTTCCTTTTCTAACACAACTCCTATACACATATGCAAAGTTAGCTTATTTTTCCTGGATGTATTTTCTTTTCTTTTCTTTTTTTTCAGACAGAGTCTCACTCTGTTGTCAGGCTGGAGTGCATTGGCATGATCTCGGCTCAGGGCAACCTCTGCCTCCCAGGTTCAAGTGATACCCCTGCCGCAGCCTACCAAGTAGCTGGGACTACAGGTACGTGCCACCATGCCAGGCTAGTTTTTTGTGTGTTTTAGTAGAGACAGTGTTTCGCCATTTTGGCCAGGATGGTCTTAATTTCCTGACCTCGTGATCCGCCCACCTCGACCTCCCAAAGTGCTGGTATTATAGGCGTGAGCCACCGCGCCCGTCCTCTATTTTCTTTTATTTGTACATTTGCTCGTATTATTATCTCTGCCTATAAGCCTATAATTTCCTTCTTCCACAAGTTCTCAAAGCAACTATATTCATAACTTAATCTCTCTTTTTTTGTTAAGAGACAGGGTCAGCCAGGCGCGGTGGCTTACACCTGTAATCCCAACACTTTTTAAGGCCAAGGTAGCTGAAGTCAGGAGTTTGAGAGCAGCCTGGCCAACATGGTGAAAACCCTGTCTCGACTAAAAATACAAAAATTAGCTGGGTGTGGTGGCAGATGCCTGTAATCCCAGCTACTCAAGAGGCTGAGGCAGGAGAATCGCTTGAACCCAGGAGGTGGAGGTTGCAGTGAGCCGAGATCACACCACTGCACTCCAGCCTGGGCAATAGAGTGAAACACCATCTCAAAAAAAAAAAAAGACAGGGTCTCACTCTGTCATCTAGGCTGGAGTGCAGTGGTGTGATCATAGCTCACTACAGCTTCGAACTCCTGGCCTTAAGTGATCTTCCTGCCTTGGCCTCCCAAAGTGCTGGGGTTATGGGCAGGAGCTACCACACTGGGCCCTTGAGTCCCTGTAATAATAGTATAGTATGTTCAGCATTTGTTACTCAAGCTGACAAGAAAACATACAGTTCATTCCAGAAAGATTCTCATCCAGATAAATTGAAAGCCCCAGGGCTTTAAAGGTTAATCTTTAGCTCTCTGTAGTAAATACTGGGACTTTTTTTTTTTTTTTTGAGTCTCCCTCTTGTCGCCCAGGCTGGAATGCAGTGGCATGATCTTAGCTCACTCAGATGAAAATTATGGACTATCTTCCCAGAAAAATGTACATGGCCATAGTTTTGAATACAATTTAAATATAATTCTAGGAAATTCATAAAGACTATTCATAAACCCCAAGTTAAGAACTCTGGAATTTAAAAATTCCTCAAAGGATACATAAGAAATTGATCATTGTGGTTGTCTGGGGAGGGAACAGGGAGGCAGGGGTTGTAGGGTAAGAGGGAAGTATACTTTGCATCATATACCTTTTTGTGCTAATAAACTTTTTACCAAGTACATAGTTTGTACCTGGTACCAGGTTATGTACCAGGTACATAAATACTTAAAAACAAATTAGTTGACATTTAAGGTAAGATGTGAGCCATAGCTTAACATAAAGAAAAGGAGAAAGCCCACTTGTTCTACTAAATTACCTACTCTACTTTTTCTGAAATTCTTTTATTAAGAAACAAACATTTTCATTTCAAAAGACAAGATCATCAAATACGTAAATATAACTTGAATCACTGCTATAAATGAATTTTGGCCTAAATAGAAACTGGTATCAGGTCCTTTCCTGTCTTCACAATGATTACAAAGCGGGCAAACACTGACCCTTAGAAGGGGGAATGCATAAGGATATGCAGAAATGAACAGAAAGGAGAAACTGGGAAGGCTCAAACACAATGTGCTTATTTCAAAACTGCTTGCAGTTTGCTTTCACTGATGGACACAAAAAATACAAAACACTGTTCAAAATGATGTTACATCCTAATAGATAATATATGTCAGTCGGGTGTGGTGGCTCACGCCTGTAATCCCAGAACTTTGGGAGGCCGAGGCAGGTGGATCACAAGGTCAGGAGTTCGAGACCAGCCTGGCCAATATGGTGAAACCTTATCTCTACTAAAAGTACAAAAATTAGCCAAGCATGGTGGCGGGTGCCTGTAGTCCCAGCTACCTGGGAGGCTGAGGTAGAAGAATCGCTTGAACTCGGGGGGCGGAGGTTGCAGTGAGCCAAGATCATGCCACTGCACTCCAGCCTGGGCGACAGAGCGAGACTTTGTCTCAAAAAAAAAAAAAAAGATAATATATGTCAAAACTTTACCAGGAACTATGATTACAACCAACTTTTGATAACTATATACTCTCTGAGAAAGAATGAAATGGAGTTGG
Organism: Homo sapiens; assembly: GCF_000001405.40. Lineage (NCBI taxonomy): Eukaryota > Metazoa > Chordata > Mammalia > Primates > Hominidae > Homo > Homo sapiens. The sequence continues at coordinate 43,115,608 of NC_000017.11, forward strand.
ATTTTTCGTTCTCACTTAATTGAAGAAAGTAAAGCTTCTATAAAGTTAGGTGTTTCCTGGGTTATGAAGGACAAAAACAAAAGCTAATAATGGAGCCACATAACACATTCAAACTTACTTGCAAAATATGTGGTCACACTTTGTGGAGACAGGTTCCTTGATCAACTCCAGACTAGCAGGGTAGGGGGGGAGAAAAAGAAAATAAATGAGGCTCAATAATTTATTTAAAAATAAAGCTATTCTTAGTGAATAAGTTCAACTTTGAGCTGTTATGACTGAGTCAACATAAGGCCTCAAGTTCGTTCAATATTTATTAAATGTCTGCTGTGTCAGGAACTGAGAATACAGCAGAGAATACGATCCTTACCTTCAGTGAGCTTTCAGATATCAAAACAGAATTATATTGATCCCTTCAATACTCTATACTATCATCAGCATTTAAAAGATTAGTTGATAATAGTTCGTACGAATTCATTTCCAGTGATATATTTTTCTGCACTATCACTGTGGGTGCACATCTCATCTTTAAGCTCCATAAAGACAAAATTTTCTGCTTATATTTCTTTTGAATTCCTTCCTAGAACTTTTTTTTGTTTACTGTAAATGCCTTTTTAACTTAATATGGAAAATTTCAAGTATTTCAAAATTTCAAGTAAATAAAATAATAAAATGAACTATATGGACCATCACCCTGGTCCAACAACCATCAACTCATGGCCAAGCTGTTTCACCCATATCCACCCCTACCCCAGATTATTTTAATTATTATTACTTTTAAGATAAGGTCACACTCTGTCACCTAGGCTGGAGTGCAGTGGTGCAAACATACCTCACTGCAGCCTTGAACTCCTGGGCTCAAGCAATCCTCCCAGCACGGGGTTTACAGGCATGAGCCAACACACCCAAACCCAAGTGTCTTCTTTTTTTTGAGATGGGGTTTTGCTTTTGTAGCCCAGACTGGCATGCAATGGTGCGATCTCGGCTCACTGCAACCTCTGCCTCCCAAGTTCAAGTGATTCTCCTGCCTCAGCCTCCCAGGTAGTTGGAACTACAGGCGTGCGCCACCACGCCCGGCTGATTTTTCGTATTTTTAGTAGAGTTGGGGTTTCACCATGTTGGCCGGCTGGTCTTGAACTCCTGACCTCAGGTGATCCGCCTGCCTTGGCCTCCCAAAGTGCTGGGATTACAGGTGTGAGCCACCATGCCCAGCCCCAAGTGTCTTCTGATCTATAGGTGTCTCTTACTTTTTCTCCCTTGTCATTTATTTTTAAAATTAGGTCATTTGACCTGTGGAGTTTCCCCCATTCTGGATTTTGCTGATTGTATAACCCTATGGTGAGGTTTAACTTGTTCCTCTAGCCTTATTTCCTATAAACTAGACTTACAGGCTTAATCATTCAGGTTCAACTTTCTGGCAAGAACACTTTACAGATGGTACTGTGTACTCTTATTAGATCACTTCAGAAGAGGCATGATGTTTGGTTTGTGATTACTTTGTAAAAACAGTGTAATAAGTACTCACTAAAGGAAATTTAGAAAATGATAAGCTTAAGGCCGGGCATGGTGCCTCATGCCTGTAATCCTAGCACTTTGGGAGGCTGAGGTGGGTGGATCACCTGAGCTCAGGAGTTCCAGATCATCCTGGACAATATGGTGAAACCCTGTCTACGCTAAAAATACAAAAATTAGCCGGGCGTGGTGGCGCATGCCTGTGGTCTCAGCTACTTTGGAGACTAAGGTAGAAGGATCACTTGAATCCTGGAGGTGGAGGTTGCAGAGTGAGCCAATATCGTGCCACTGCACTCCAGCCTAGGTGACAGAGGAAGACTCTGTCTCAAAAAAAAGAAAATAAGGCCAGACACGGGGGCTCATGCTTGTAATCCCAGCACTTGGGAGGCCGAGGCGGGCGGATCATGAGGTCAGGATTTCGAGACCAGCCTGGCCAACACAGTGAAACGCTGTCTCTACTAAAAATACCAAAACTAACTGGGCATGGTGGCATGCGCCTGTAATCCCAGCTACTTGGGAGGCTAAGGCAGGAGAATCGCTTGAACCGGGGAAGTGCACGTTGCAGTGAGCCAAGATCGCGCCACTGTACTCCAACCTGGGCGACAGAGCTGGACTCCATCTCAAAATAATAATAAGCTTAAAAATAAAAACTTCAGAAAATACATCACCCAAGTTCCCATCCCTACCTGTCTATCCACAAAACCAAGGCATTCCTGAGATTAGTTCATTTATTATACTAATATAACAAGTGTTTATTAAGTATCTACTACTATATTCAAGTACTATTCTAGGAGATAGAAATGTAGCAGTTTACAAAATAAAGCCTGCTCTCATAGAGCTCATATTCTAGTGTGGTAGACAGTTGATACGGAATTAAAGAATACATGGGAATAAGTGCATTAAAGAGAAAAATTAAGCAGGGTAAGGGGAAACAGGTAGTTCAATATCTATGTGGGGGTGAGATGTACATGGGGGGAGTCAGGAAAGGTTTCACTGAGGTGAGACTAGAGGATAGCTTAATAATGTAAAGAAACACACTATGCAACAATTAGGGGAAGAGCATTCCAAGAAAGAGGGAGCAGAGAAGGCAAACCCTGAGCAGGACCATGCCTGTGTATGCAGGACATCAGATAGGTCAAGGTGCTAAAATGTAATAATCCAGGAGGATATTGTAGGGAAAGACTATCAGAGAGGTAGCTGGTAACTTCTGGTAGGAACCTATAGGCTATTTTAAATCTTTAGCTTTATTCTGGTCTTTTTAATTTTCTTTTTTTTTTTCAGACAGAGTCTCGTTCTGTCGCCCAGGCTGGAGTGCAGTGGCACCATCTCGGCTCTCTGTAACCTCCGCCTCCTGAATTCAAGTGATTCTCCTGCCTCAGCCTCCCGAGTAGCTGGGACTAAAGGCATGCACCACCATGCCTTGGCCTCCCAAAGTACTGGGATTACAGGAGTGAGCCACCATGCCAGCCATCTTTTTAATTTTTAATGTTAATTAATTTTTGTAGAGACAGGATCTCACTATGATGCCCATGCTGGTCTTGAATGCCTGGCATCAAGCAATCTTCCTGCTTCGGCTTCCCAAAGTGCTGGGATTACAGGTGTGAGCTACTATACCCGGCCTTTAGCTTTCTTCTGAATGTGAACCTTTTTTTTTTTTTTTGGAGATGGAGTCTCACTCACTCTGCTGCTCAGGCTGGAGTGCAGTGGTGTGGTCTTGGCTCACTGCAACCTCTGCCTCTCGGATTGAAGTGATTCTTGTGCCTCAGCATTCCAAGTAGCTGGGACTACAGGCGCGTGCTGCCACACCCGGCTAATTTTTTTGTATTTTTGGTAGGGAAGGGGTTTCACCATATTGCCCAGGCTGGTCTTGAAGTCCTGACCTCAAGTGATCCATCTGCCTCGACCGGGATTACAGGCGTGAGCCACTACACTTAGCTCTAAATGTGAATTTTTGAAACGGATTTTTTGGATAAAGTCCAGGCAAGATATCAAAGAACGACTAACCTGGCAGTGTGACAAGAATGTGGTTTTTTCCTTAAATATTTAACTTTTTAGAAAAGGATCACAAGGGCCAGGTGCGGTGGCTCACGCTGTAATCCCAGCATTTTGGGAGGCCAAGGCGGGCCAGCCTGGGTGACAGAGAATCCATCTCAAAAAAAGAAAAAAAAAAAAGAAAAGGATCACAAGAAAAGCTTGTGGACAGTAACCTTATTGTGAAGGGTTGTAATACAACTCTTGTAATCATGGGGTTTTTGACATAGCACAGGGCAGTGAAAAGAAAAACAATGAACTAAGTCAGGAGGCTGGGTTTCTACTACCAGTTGTGTATATAAGCAGAGCCACCTTGGGCTAACCACTCTACCTGAACCTGTTTCCTTCTCTTGCCATTCACCCTGCCAGACTCCTTGGGCTATTGCAAGAATAAAATTAAATGCTACTTGGGAAAATGCTTCACAACCTGAGATGACTTGGGAAAAATGCTTCACAACCTGAGATAACTTGTACCAACATTGGTATTATTACTGGGACCAAATGTGACTTTAAAAAGAAAAACAACCTTGACAAAGAAAACTCTGATTGGTTACTAAATCCCTATTTCTGAGATAAGCTACATTTCAAAGAAATTCTCCGTAAAAGAAAAATTGGATTCAGTTATCATACCAGATGGCTTTCATTCTCACCACTGACTCAATTCTGAAACAATTATATTTCAGTATGGTAATTATAATCTAAACTATATAAACACACTGTAAACACAAACTTTGAACAGATGAAAACTCCGATATGTAAAAAGGTAATGAATGTTGAAGGAAGACTGTGAAAAGGGAAAAGAAAAAAAATTAAAATGTTCCCCTTCTAGGTCCTGATGAGAGTAAATGTTTACTATAAAAATGATTCAAATATTTTAAACACTTTTCAAACCAGGCAATATTTTAGGCCTACTGTATATTTGCATTTTGAGCTTCCAATACGGATAAGTGACTGGAAAAAGCAGCTAGGTTTAGGTTGAAAAACAACAACCCACCGGGGAACACATTTTAGCAAATTCTTCTGAAAGTCAAAAATGTTATAGTCATAGGTAAAAAGTTACAAAGAACTACCAATTGTCAGAAATAGCTGCCAATATTGACTTAGAAGACAGCAGAAGGAATTTTAGTTCAAGAAACCTAAAACAGGCTGAAAACCTTACCTACCCTATAGCTACCACAAATAACACTGTTTCCAGTCATGATCATTCCTGATCACATATTAAGACATAACTGCAAATTGTGCTATACTGTACTATATTAAAAGGAAGTGAAATATGATCCCTATCCTAGAACTTTCCATACAAATGAATGTAAAACACCATAAAAATTAATCTTAAGGCCGGGCGCGGTGGCTCACGCCTGTAATCCCAGCACTTTGGGAGGCCGAGGTGGGCGGATCACGAGGTCAGGAAGTGGAGACCATCCTGGCTAACACGGTGAAACCCCGTCTCTACTAAAAATACAAAAAATTAGCCGGGCGTGGTGGTGGACGCCTGTAGTCCCAGCTACTTGGGGGGCCGAGGCAGGAGAATGGCGTGAACCCGGGAGGCGGAGCTTGCAGTGAGCCGAGATGGCGCCACTGCACTCCGGCCTGGGTGAAAGAGCGAGACTCCGTCTCAAAAACAAAACAAACAAAAATTAATCTTAAGCCAGGCGCAGTGGCTCACGCCAGCACTTTGGAAGGCCGAGGCGGGTGGATCACGAGATCAGGACTTCAAGACCAGCCTGACCAACGTGATGAAACCCTATCTCTACTAAAAATACAAAATTAGCCGGCCACGGTGGCGTGCGCCTATAATCCCAGCTACTCAGGAGGCTGAGGCAGGAGAAGCGCTTGAACTTGAACCTGGCAGGCGGAGGTTGCAGTGAGCCAAGATGGCGCCACTGCACTCCAGCCTGGGCGACAGAGCCAGACTCCAACCCCCCACCCCGAAAAAAAAAGGTCCAGGCCGGGCGCAGTGGCTCAGGACTGTAATCCCAGCACTTTGGAAGGCTGAGGCGGGTGGATCACAAGGTCAGGAGATCGAGACCATCTTGGCTAACATGGTGAAACCCCGTCTCTACTAAAAATACAAAAAATTAGCCGGGCATAGTGGTGGGCGCCTGTAGTCCCAGCTACTCGGGAGGCTGAGGCAGGAGAATGGCCTGAACCCGGGAGGCGGAGCTGGCAGTGAGCCAAGATCGTGCCACTGCACTCCAGCCTAGGCAGCAGAGCGAGACCGTGTCTCAAAAAAACAAAACAAAACAAAACAAAAAGTCTGGGAGCGGTGGCTCACGCCTGTAATCCCAGCACTTTCGGAGGCCAAGGCAGGAGGATCACCTGAGGTCAGGAGTTCGAGACCAACCTGACCAATATGGAGAAACCCTGTCTCTACTAAAAATACAAAATTAGCTGGTGTGATGGCACATGCCTGCAATCCCAGGTACTCCGGAGGCTGAGGCAGCAGAATTGCTTGAACCCGGGAGGTGGAGGTTGTAGTGAGCCGAGATTGTGCCACTGCACTCCAGCCTGGGCAACAAGAGCCAAAGTCTGTCTCAAAAAAAAAAAAAAAAAAAAAAAAAGAAATTAATCTTAACAGGAAACAGAAAAAAGCAATGAAAAGCTAGAAAACATAATAGTTGATTGAAAATAACAATTTAGCATTTTCATTCTTACATCTTTAATTTTTATGTATCTGAGTTTTTAATTGATGGTTTAATTTGCCAGAATGAGAAAGAACATCCTATTTTTATGACTCTCTCCCATGGAAATGAAACATAAATGTATCCAAATGCCACACTATTGAGGATTTTCCTGATCACTGATTGTCATGAGTAAGTTTTGTGCTTTTTCAAAAGCAGTTTTTTCCTACAATGTCATTTCCTGCTTCTCTGGCTCTGATTTTCAATAAATTGATAAATTGTGAATCCTGTTTTCCTCTTATTTTTGTTTAGCTATAATGTTGAAGGGCAAGGGAGAGGATGGTTATTTATAAATCTTGTATCGCTCTGAAAACACAACATACATTTTCCTTAATCTGATTAACTTGACTTCAAATATGAAAAACAACTTTCATAAAGCAGAAAAGAATTTACCCTTTTTTATTGTGGGTAAGAGGCAATGGTACAACTTTTCAACTTATTTTTTGAATGTTACTCACTACTAACCATCACCATATTTAAAAAAATTAAAGAACTAATTTAGTTTAGTTTATTATTTATTTGACAAATGTTTATTGAGTGGCAACTAGGTCCCAAGTACCGTTCTAACTACTGAACATACAGATGTATGTAAACAAAACAAAAATCCCATCCTGGAGTTTACATTCTGTGGGACTAGAGATAAAAAATGGATACATTACATAGAATGTCAGCTAGTAATCAGTGTTATGGAGAAGCAGCAGGAATAGAAGATAAAGTGTGTGCTGGGGGTGTGGTAATTTTAAATAGGGGTGTCTGGAAATGAAAAGGTGGTATTTCAATCAAGATTTTTAGACCATGGCTGGGTGCAATGGCTCAGGCCTGTAATCCCAGCACCTTGAGAGGCCAAGGGAGGGTAGATCACTTGAGGTCAGGAGTTTGAGACCAGCATGGCCAACATAGCAAAACCCTATCTCTACAACAGAAAAATACAAGAATGGCTGGACGCAGTGGCTTATGCCTGTAATCCTAGCACTTTGGGAGGCCCAGGCGGGTGGATCACAAGGTCAGGAGATCAAGACTATCCTGGCTAACACGGTGAAATCCCGCCTCTACTAAAAAAGAAAAAAAAATACAAAAAATTAGCCGGGCGTGGTAGTGGGTGCTTGTAGTCCCAGCTATTCAGGAGGCTCAGGCAGAAGAATGGCATGAACCCGGGAGGCAGAGTTTGCAGTGAGCTGAGATCGCGCCACTGCACTCCAGCCTGGGCAACAGAGCAAGACTCCATCTCAAAAAAAGAAAAAAAAATACAAAAATTAGCTGGGCATGGTGGTGCACACCTATCGTCCCTGCTACTCTGGAGGCTGAGGTGGGAGGATTGCTTGAGCCTGACGAGGTTGAGGCTGCAGTGAGCTGTGATAGCACCACTGCACTCCAGCCTCTCGACAGAGATCCTATATAAAAAAAAAACCTCTGCATTTCATTGTATGTAAATAAGTATGTAATTTCATTGTATGTACAGAGCCAGTTTCAAACAAAGGTTCTTCCAAATACCTATCCTCTCAACGACACCGATCATCCATGTTTTTTTTTTTTTTTTTTTTTTTTTGAGATGGAGTTTAGCTCTGTCGCTGGAGTTCAGTGGTGCCATATTGGCTCACAGCAACATCTGCCTCCTGGTTCAAGTGATTCTCCTGCCTCAGCCTCCTGAGTAGCTGGGATTACAGGCACATGCCACTACGCCCAGCTAATTTTTGTATTTTTAGTGGAGAGGGGGTTTCACCATGTTGGCCAGGATGGTCTCGATCTCCTGACCTCGTGATCCTACCACCTTGGCCTCCCAAAGTGCTGGGATTACAGGCATAAGCCACCGCCCTCGGCCTCATCCATGATTTTATTTTGCCATTTCAAGTGATGGAGCTTGTTTTAGAGCTGGAAGAAAAGCCAAAATGCCAGTTAATCTAAACTAGATTCCTGCCCCAGTGCAGAACCAATCAAGACAGAGTCCCTGTCTTTCCCGGACCACAGGATTTGTGTTGAAAAGGAGAGGAGTGGGAGAGGCAGAGTGGATGGAGAACAAGGAATCATTTTCTATATTTTTAAAGTTCTTCAGTTAAGAAAATCAGCAATTACAATAGCCTAATCTTACTAGACATGTCTTTTCTTCCCTAGTATGTAAGGTCAATTCTGTTCATTTGCATAGGAGATAATCATAGGAATCCCAAATTAATACACTCTTGTGCTGACTTACCAGATGGGACACTCTAAGATTTTCTGCATAGCATTAATGACATTTTGTACTTCTTCAACGCGAAGAGCAGATAAATCCATTTCTTTCTGTTCCAATGAACTTTAACACATTAGAAAAACATATATATATATCTTTTTAAAAGGTTTATAAAATGACAACTTCATTTTATCATTTTAAAATAAAGTAAATTTAAGATTTGGAAGGTTTTAGAATAATACAAACCAAAGAACTAATGACAACGTCCTTTATTTTTAAAGATTCTAGAAGTTGCTTTTTGTAATTAGACAACATAAATTCTGAATTTTTTCACATATTGCTGCCAACCCCTTGGGTCTTTTCCTTTCTCCAAGAAAGAGAAAGCTACAGAGGAGTGACTGACCGGGTAGGTGGTGGTAGCCTTAGCTTTCTCCAATGTTTCTGGTTGTTTTCTTTTTCTTGCATAAAACCAAAATCAACAACGACCAAACCAACACCAATCAAGGCCTCCCCGCCCCTAACCTTTCCCAGTGACCTGCTCTCATCTCTGGATCCTCCTCAAGCACATCCCTGCCGGCAGCATCTGTTACTACTGACGCTCCTCTACTTCCCTCTTGCGCTTTCTCAATGGCGCAAATGGATCCAGTTCTTAAGTTCTCCCTCCCACAAAATCCTGTCTCCTCCCCTTCCCAGACATATTCCTGGCACCTCTTCTTCCACAAGGTCCCATCCTCTCATACATACCAGCCGGTGTTTTTTGTTTTGTTTTGTTTTGTTTTGTTTTGAGACAGTCTCGCTCTGTCGCCCAGGCTGGAGTGCAATGGCGCGATCTCGGCTCACTGCAACCTCCGCCTCCCGGGTTCTAGCGATTCTCCTGCCTCAGCCTCCTGAGTAGCTGGAGCGGCACCACGCCCGGCTAATTTTTGTATTTTTAGTAGAGACGGAGTTTCACCACGTTGGTCAGGCTGGTCTGGAACTCCTGACCTCATGACCAGCCGACGTTTTTAAAGACATAGTGTCCCCCTCAAGGCATATTCCAGTTCCTATCACGAGGATTCCCCCACGGACACTCAGTGCCCCCTTCCTGATCCTCAGCGCTTCCCTCGCGACCTACAAACTGCCCCCCTCCCCAGGGTTCACAACGCCTTACGCCTCTCAGGTTCCGCCCCTACCCCCCGTCAAAGAATACCCATCTGTCAGCTTCGGAAATCCACTCTCCCACGCCAGTACCCCAGAGCATCACTTGGGCCCCCTGTCCCTTTCCCGGGACTCTACTACCTTTACCCAGAGCAGAGGGTGAAGGCCTCCTGAGCGCAGGGGCCCAGTTATCTGAGAAACCCCACAGCCTGTCCCCCGTCCAGGAAGTCTCAGCGAGCTCACGCCGCGCAGTCGCAGTTTTAATTTATCTGTAATTCCCGCGCTTTTCCGTTGCCACGGAAACCAAGGGGCTACCGCTAAGCAGCAGCCTCTCAGAATACGAAATCAAGGTACAATCAGAGGATGGGAGGGACAGAAAGAGCCAAGCGTCTCTCGGGGCTCTGGATTGGCCACCCAGTCTGCCCCCGGATGACGTAAAAGGAAAGAGACGGAAGAGGAAGAATTCTACCTGAGTTTGCCATAAAGTGCCTGCCCTCTAGCCTCTACTCTTCCAGTTGCGGCTTATTGCATCACAGTAATTGCTGTACGAAGGTCAGAATCGCTACCTATTGTCCAAAGCAGTCGTAAGAAGAGGTCCCAATCCCCCACTCTTTCCGCCCTAATGGAGGTCTCCAGTTTCGGTAAATATAAGTAATAAGGATTGTTGGGGGGGTGGAGGGAAATAATTATTTCCAGCATGCGTTGCGGAATGAAAGGTCTTCGCCACAGTGTTCCTTAGAAACTGTAGTCTTATGGAGAGGAACATCCAATACCAGAGCGGGCACAATTCTCACGGAAATCCAGTGGATAGATTGGAGACCTGTGCGCGCTTGTACTTGTCAACAGTTATGGACTGGAGTGTTATGTTTTCGTATTTTGAAAGCAGAAACTAGGCCTTAAAAAGATACGTACAACTCTTTAGGGAGACTACAATTCCCATCCAGCCCCAGGAGTCTGGGGCAAGTAGTCTTGTAAGGTCAGTGGCCTGCGGGGACGCAGTGAGCGCCGAATTTGCCTGGGGCAGGGGAAATGCGCTCTGGCCCATGTCTGCGCACTCGTAGTTCCACCCCTCAGCCCCAGTGTTTGTTATTTTTCGGGTTCAGCTTGCTTTTGCCCCGTCTCCGTCGACGCAATCGCCACCAGTCAATGGGGTGGTCGTTTTGAGGGACAAGTGGTAAGAGCCAATCTTCTTGGCGAAAACGCGGAGAAACGGGACTAGTTACTGTCTTTGTCCGCCATGTTAGATTCACCCCACAGAGATAGCGGCAGAGCTGGCAGCGGACGGTCTTTGCATTGCCGCCTCCCCAGGGGGCGGGAAGCTGGTAAGGAAGCAGCCTGGGTTAGCTAGGGGTGGGGTCACGTCACACTAAGAGGGTTTGGAGAAGTTCAAGGGAGGAATCCTGCAAAGAAGAGGGGCGACTTTTTCCGTGTCTCCGGACAGCTAATCGTTTTAGTGACAGGATGAGAGAGCCCTTCGTGTTCTGAGGGACCGAGTGGGCGAAAAGCGCCGGAGAGTTGGAGAGTCTGTGGTTCAGAATGCGAGGTGACAACGTGCTAGCAGCCCTCGCTCGCTCTCGGCGCCTCCTCGGCCTTGGCGTCCATTCTGGCCGTGCTGGAGGAGCCCTTCAGCCCGCCACTGCGCTGTGGGGGCCCCTCTCTGGGCTGGCCGAAGCCAGAGCCGGCTCCCTCTGCTTGCGGGGAAGTGTGGAGGGAGAGGCGGGTGTGGGAACTGGGGCTGCGCGCAGCGCTCGCCAGCCAGCGCGAGTTCCAGGTGGGCGCGGGCTCAGCGGGCCCCGCACCCCCGGCCCCGGGCAGTCAGGGGCCTAGCACCCGGGCCAGCAGCTGCAGAGGGTGCGCCGGGTCCCCCAGCACTGCCGGCCCGCCTGCACCCCGCTTGAATTCTCACCGGGCCCCAGCCGCCCTGCACAGGGCAAGGCTCAGGACCTGCAGCCCGCCATGCCCGAGCCCCCTCCCAACCCCTGTGAGCTCCAGCGTGGCCTGAGCCTCCCCGACGGGCACCGCCCCCTGCTCCTCAGCGCCCGGTCCCATCGACTGCCCAAGGGCTGAGAGGAGTGCAGGCGCCCGGCACAGCCCTGCGCAGGATCCACTAGGTGAAGCCAGCTGGGCTCCTGAGTCAGATGGGGACTTGGAAAACTTTTATGTCTAGCCTGAGGATTTTATATGCACCAGTCAGCACTCTGTGTCTAGCTTGGGGTTTGGGGATGCACCAATCAGCACTCTGTATCTAGCTAATCTGGTGGGCACTTGGAGAACTTCTGTGTCTAGCTAAAGGATTGTAAATGCACCAATCAGTGCTCTGTGTCTAGCTCAAGGTTTGCAAATGCACCAATCAGCACTCTGTGTCTAGCTAAAGGTTTGTAAACGCACCAATCAGTGCTCTGTGTCTAGCAAATGTAGTGGGGACTTGGAGAATTTTTATGTCTAGCTAGAGGATTGTAAATGCACCAATCAGCACTCTGTGTATATCTAGCTCAGGGATTGTAAATGCACCAATCAGCACCCTGTCAAAACGGACCAATTAGCTCTCTGTAAAATGGACCAATCAACAGGATGTGGGTGGGGTCAGATAAGGGAATAAAAGCAGGCTGCCCCGCTGGGTGCCAGTGGCTCACACCTGTAATCCCAGCAATTTGGGAGGCCTAGAGGGGTGGATCACGAGGTCAAGAGATCGAGACCATCCTGGCTAACACAGTGAAACCCCGACTCTACTAAAAAGACAAAATATTAGCTGGGTGCGGTGGTGGGTGCCTGTAATCCCCTCTACTGGGGAGGTTGAGGCAGGAGAATGGCGTGAACCCGGGAGGCGGAGCTTGCAGTGAGCCCAGATTGCACCACTGCATTCCAGCCTGGGTGACAGAGGGAGACTCCATCTCAAAAAAAAAAAAAAAAAAAAAAAAAAATGCAGGCTGCCTGAGCCAGCAGCAGCAACCCGCTCTGGTCTCCTTCCACGCTGTGGAAGCTTTGTTCTTGTGCTCTTTGCAATAAATCTTGCTGCTGCTCACTCTTTGGGTCCGCATAGCATTTATCTGCTGGTAACACCGACCGCAGAGGTCTGCAGCTTCACTCCTGAAGCCAGCGAGACCACGAACCCACCAGGAGGAATGAACAACTCCAGACGGGAGGAACGAACAAACTCCAGACATGCCGCCTTAAGAGCTGTAACACTCACCGCAAAGGTCTGCAGCTTCACTCCTGAAGCCAGCGAGACCACGAATCCACCAGAAGGAGGTAACTCTGAACACGTCCGAACATCAGAAGGAACAAACTCTGGACACATCATCTTTAAGAACTGTACCACTCACCGTGAGGGTCCGCAACTTCATTCTTGAAGTCAGTGAGACCAAGAACCCACCAATTTCGGACACAAGAACATCCGGCTTCTACTGATGGAAGGCCACGACTCCTCAGTAGAAAGAGGGCCCAGGCAAAGAAAATGAGAGAGAGTCCTTGGGGTGGTGACACTATCTTGGGAACATGGAGTGCTAGGAAACGATAACTGGAAGACTAGGATGAAATCTGCAAGTTAAAAAATGACACTACCCATATATCCTTCTCATCCCATTCTCCTTTTTTCGAGACCCCGTTAAAGAGATCTTGGTTAGGGACCTTTGGTTTTGGAAAGGCACTGTTTCTCCTTTTTGTCAAACACTCAACTTTCAGGCCACACTTTTTTTTTTTTTTTCGAGACAAAGTCTCGCTTTCTCAAAGACCAGCCCAGGCTGGTCTTGAACTCCTGAGCTCAAGCGATCCTCCTGCCTTGGCCTCCCAAAGTGCTGGGATTACAGGCATGAGCCACCACTCCCGGCCTCAGCTTGGATAACTTGGCTTGTACAGGCCTCTGGTGGAGACAGTAACCAAAGTTCGGGTTGCCAGGTTTGTTTCATTAAAGGGATTTTGTTGAGGCTGAAAGAAAAAAAAATCGATGTGGAGGAAAAGCTAACTTGTGCCAAGACAAGGTGAGTCAGTCACATGGACTTAACAATAATGTCAATTATGAAAGCTGAAGGCCTAGGACCCAGCTATCTGACTCTACTGGCTGTAGACCTAAGGAGCAGGTAGGGTTAACCATAGCTTTCGTGTTTACACACGTTCAAGATTAATGCTCTTGCTGAAAGAATTTTTTTACATGCCAGCCAAAGAGAGTTCCTTATGGAGACCTGGATATGGTCCAGCTAAGCTAGAATCTCCCACTTCCTGTTTTCTCTTAGTTGGCCCACCAGCTGGAGGAGCTCCAGAATATCTAAATTAATTTCCAATTGTGTAATTTGAGAAAAAGAGACGAAGATTAATTTCCCTAACGAGTAGGGAAGTGTGTTTCTTTTTTTTCTTTTTTTTTTGAGACTGAGTCTCGCTCTGTCGCCCAGCCTGAAGTGCAGTGGCACGATCGCGGCTAGTGCACTGCGAACTCTGTCTCCCGGGTTCACGCCATTCTCCTGCCTCAGCCTCCCGAGTAGCTGGGACTACAGGCACCCGCCATCACGCCCAGCTAATTTTTTGTGTTTTTAGTAGAGATGGGGGTTTCACCGCGTTAGCCAGGATGACCTCGATCTCCTGACCTCGTGATCTGCCTTCCTCGGCCTCCCAAAGTGCTGGGATTATAGGCGTGAGCCACCGCACCTGGCAGGAAGTGTTTCTTAAAGTTGGAAAGTGGTATTTCAGAATATCCGCTTTTGGCAGACTGAGTCAGTCACTTCATTTTCCTGATTTTTTGCCTAAGGTCCTGGTGAATTGACAAAGATTCTGCCCAAATTTTAACGACCCCAGTAATTACATGTCATATGAATGAATACTTGACGTCAGCAGGACTGCGTTTTGGTGGTGAACTTGGTTCTAGGTAGAAACAAAGAATGGAGAAAACTGGGGGATAATTATCTTAGGGTTTCAAAAAAGTGCCTGATCTTCACAGACTTCAGGGTCCTTAAAATAACAGTCTTAATTGTAGTGTTTTACAGGGCAGTGCATTACATTGTCAAAAACAGTACAGGTTTATGGTTCTAATGACTGGTTTATTATTTTTAAAAATGTTTAATTGAACTTAATTTTTTTAAGGAGACAGGGTCCGGCTTTGTTGCCCAGGCTGGTCTTCAACTCCTAGGTTCACGATCCTTCCACCTCAGCCTCCCAAATTGCTAGGATTACAGGCATGAGCCACCACACCGGGCCAATTTTTTATTTTATTTTTGAGACAGAGTCTCGCTCTATCACCCAGGCGGGAGTGCAGTGGCATGATCTTGGCGCACTGCAACCTTGCCTCCCAGATTCAAGCAATTCTCTTGCCTCAGCCTCTTGAGTAGCTGGGAATACAGGCCTGCGCCACTACACCCAGCTAATTTTTGTATTTTTATTAGAGACGAAGTTTCACCATGTTGGCTAGGCTGGTCTCGAACTCCTGGACTCAAGCGATCTGCCTGCCTCTGCTTCCCAAAATCCTGGGATTACAGACATGAGCCACTGTGCCTGGCCTGTATTATAATATTTTTATATTTGAATGACATTTTGAAAGAACTTGCATATTCATTTTTAATTTGATCCTTATGGTAACACTGTGAGATCGGCAAAACAGACATATTAGACCTATTTTACAGATTAAAGAACTGAAGCTCAAAGGTGAACTGACCTGCTCACAGTTTTATGTCTAGTAATGGGCCAGAGCTGTGTCTAGAACCCAAGTCTTCCCATTTTTTGTGCTCACACACATACACACAATTTGCTGTTCTGATTAGATGACATTTCATTGCTTTCAATTTGCATTGTTCTGACCACCAGAAAGTTTGAAAGTCTTCTGAGGTATTTGTTAGGTGTTCTGACTTCTTCTATGAATTTTATGTATACTTTTTCCTGGGTTGTTAATTGTATCATTAGCAGTTTTGCTGATACTCTGGGTGTGTTGCAGATATTAACCCTTTGCTGTGGGTTGTGATGGTTGTTTGTTGTCTTCTGATTTTGTGGATTTTTTTAACCATATAAAATATTTAGTATGTAATGAAATATGCCCAACTCATCCTTTGACTTCTATGTACATTATAACCTGCCTTTAAATGTGTATTTCTTTTGTAGGTAAAAGTTTCATTTGATCTGAATAGTATTAAAATAAAATACCTGGATGAGGAAGATGAAGAGGTAAAGTATATTATGGTACTTATTGCTAGGTGTTCAGAATAGGGATCTTATTTCTCCAGTGATATGGGCTTTAATAATTCGAAGTAGCGCTTAGCTCATTTGTGTCTCAAAATAATAATAATAATAATAAAAACAATGAGACATGCAAGAGATGTCGGGAGAAGCACCAGAAGATTCCATTGAAATCTTGCTCCCCAGAAGGGTGGGAACAGTAGGGACAGAAAACTGCTGTGGTTCATTATGTTTCATCCCCATTTCGCTTCATTTTATTGAACCCCGTCTCTACTAAAAATACAAAAAATTAGCCAAATGTGGCAGCAGGCGCCTGTAGTCCTAGCTACTTGGGAGGCTGAGGCAGGAGAATGGCGTGAACCCAGGAGGCGGAGCTTGCAGTGAGCCGAGATCGTGCCACTGCACTTCAGCCTCGGTGACAGAGCGAGACTCCGTCTCAAAAAAAAAAAAAGGATATCAGCTTTTTATTTTCTTTTCTTTTCTCCTTTTCTTTCTTTGCTTTGCTTTTCTTTTTGTTTTGGGACAGAGTCTCACTCTGTCATCCAGGCTGCAGTGCAGTGGCGCAATCTCAGCTCACTGCAACCTCTGCTTCCTGGGTTGAAGCGATTCTTGTGCCTCAGCCTCCCAAGTAGCTGGGACTACAGGCATGCACCACCATGCCTGGCTAATTTTTGTATATTTGGTAGAAATGGGGTTTCACCATGTTGGCCAGGCTGGTTTTGAACTCCTGGCCTCAAGCAATCCAGCGGCCTCAGCCTCCCAAAGTTATGGGATTACAGGCATGAGCCATTGTGCCCAGCCAGGATATCATCATATTTAATCCTCACATCAACTGACATTTGCCCCAATTTACAGATGAGGAACTGAGGCACAGAGAGGTTTTGGTACTTGCCTGAGGTCACACACTCTGGGCTCTCTGCTTGGGGCTGAGGGCCAAGGGGGGTTGTGACTGACTTCTCTTTCCTGAACATCAATAAAATTCAATTTAGAAATTTCTGTCTTCAGTGCTATCTCGAGGGGCCTGTGAAAAATGCTGACTCGGTGGCAGCTGTCTTAGCCCCATACTCATTGGGTTGCCCTGAGCCCCACACTGTTTTAAGGAAGTCCCAGCAAATAATATGGGATAGAGGTGAGATCCAAACCTAAGCAGCCCTGGCTCTAAAACCCACTGAACAAAGCTGCCTCTCCAACTAGCATCAGAAAGAACTAGGTGAGAATCCTACTTCTATCACTTACTAGTTCTGTGGCTCTGGCCGCCCCCGCCCAAGTTACTTAACCTCTTTTTTTTTTTTTCCTTTTTCTTTTTCTTTTTTTAGAGACGAAGTCTCGCTCTGTCACCAGGCTGGAGTGCAGTGGCGTGATCTTGGCTCACTGCAACCTCTGCCTCCGGGTTCAAGCAATTCTCCTGCTTCAGCCTCCCGAGTAGCTTGGGACTACAGACGTGCGCAACCATGCCCAGCTAATTCTTTTTTTCTTTATTTTATTTTATTTTTTTTTTTGAGATGGAGTCTCGCTCTGTCGCCCAGGCTGGAGTGTAGTGGCGCGATCTTGGCTCACTGCAAGCTCTGCCTCCCGGGTTCACGCCATTCTCCTGCCTCAGCTTCCTGAGTAGCTTGGACTACAGGCGCCCACCAGCACGCCCAGCTAATTTTTTTTT
The DNA here is from genome assembly GCF_000001405.40 of Homo sapiens. Classification (NCBI taxonomy): domain Eukaryota; kingdom Metazoa; phylum Chordata; class Mammalia; order Primates; family Hominidae; genus Homo; species Homo sapiens. Next base: position 43,132,940 of record NC_000017.11, read on the forward strand.
TTCTTTGTATTTTTAGTAGAGACGGGGTTTCACTGTGTTAGCCAGGATGGTCTCGATCCCCTGACATCGTGATCCGCTGTCCTCGGTCTCCCAAAGTGCTGGGATTACAGGCGTGAGCCACCGCACCTGGTCGATTAACCTCTTTTAAGCCTGTTTTCTCATCCATACAATGGAGATAATGGCAGCACCCACTGCTTGGTAAGGAATATTAGGTGAACACAGGTGCCTATGTGGGTTCCTCCATTTTCCATAAATGTTAATTCCCTTATCCCTCATCTCCTAGGTTAGTCCCAGAGGACAGATTTGAAGTTTGAAAACAGAAAGTAACTGCCAAAAGGGATTATTTAGGGCAGAGATTGTCCCCTTTTATTATGCTTTAGGTCCTCAGTGGTGAGGGCAGGGGACAGGAGAAGTGGGATCCAGCCCAAATTCTTGGATCTCATCGTAGAGTGACTCTTTAGGGGCTTAGGATTCTGCATTTTGGACCCGTCCCCAGGGCATTCTGATGCCTGCAGTTCTCCTGTCTGGCTTTGAATAACTCTGGGTAGTGCTTTAAATCTAAGCTGACATACCAGTGGGATGTGAACTGTCCTTGCAAATGTTTTGAGCCCTTCCTGCGCTGGCCTCCAACTCTGCCTTGCTCAGTCTGTCTTTAGCTCCTTTCCATTCTGGCCTTCTCCCTTTCCTTTTTCACTTCCTTTTTTTTTTTTTTTGAGACAGGATCTCACTCTGTTACCCAGGCTGGAGTGCAGTGGCATGATCTTCGCTCACTGCAAGCTCCGCCTCCCGGGTTCAAGCAATTATCATACCTTAGCCTCCTGAGTAGCTGGGACTACAGGCGCACACCACCACACCCAGCTAATTTTTGTAGTTTTAGTAGAGATGGGGTTTCACCATGTTGGCCAGGCTGGTCTCAAACTCCTGACCTCAAGTGATCCGCCTGCCTCGGACACTCAAAGTGCTAGGATTACAGGCGTGAGCCACCACGCCCAGCCTCCTTTTTCACTTCCTACCTTCCTCCCCACCTCTGGGTGTACCCTCCCCTGAGCTCAGCCTGTATTTCTATCTGCTGGCCACTTACCAGCCAGTCCTTTCATCTACAATGCCCTTTACTCACCTAGAAAGCTCACATCAAAAGTCGCCTCCTCCAGAATACCTCTCAAGTTCTCCTCTCTGGTCCCTTGACCCTTTGCAGGTACCTTTTTTCTTGTACAAGTCACATGATAATGTAAGGGGTTTTTTTCCCCATCTAGAGCCTGCCTGGTGGGCTCATGGTCCATTTGTGGAAACATGCATTTCCCTCTCCTCCGCCCCCCTCCTTCATGATCCATGCTTTAAGAGCTTCCCCAAGGCATGCAGAGCAAGCTGAGAAGAGGTAGACAAGCCTGCAGACCTTTCAAAGAAGTGGGGTGGCTTGGGAAGTAAAAGAAGATCTGGAGATAGGAGTTCCTAAAAAGCAGACAAGAGATTACCGAGGGGTTCCCCACAGCTCCAGCACACAGCAGCTGCAAAAAAAATGCAGTGGAATTACTGAGGGACATTATGGGCTTGATGGAGGACAGGGAATGCTTGTGCCAAGCCACCAAGGATCATGCTGTGGCAGTTGTGACCAGATAGACTATACTTTTGCCAAGGTGAAAGGATTTCCCTACTAAATCCTTTACTTTCCACTTTGTTTAAAATGAGTTTAACACCAAGAAAATAGTTGTCTCTATGTCCTTATTTCTAATCTTCCTGCTCAACCATGAACTGCACTAAACACACTCAGACCCATCTAACCTAAAATTGAGAAAGGGAGGTTCTCACTCCTGGAGAGAGAATTACTGAAAGGGCGGCCCTCATACAGTTCAGGGTCATACCCCCAATAGCTGGTTTTATATTTGAAAGCAGACACTGGGACTCTGACCTTTGCAGAGATAAAAGGGATACTTTCCTAACCCAGAGAGGCCAAAGGAGCACAGGACGCCCAGGCCGAGGGCAGTGAAGCTTGCAGACCCAGGCTGTGCAACCCCCACAGCAGGTCTCCTCACGGGATAGATAGACTATTGGCCCCAATTCCTCAGCCCTACATGCACCCACCCCTTGCCATGGTTTCGTTGTGGGTGGAGGGTACTTTCCCAGCCCCTGGCTTTGGGCTTGCCCACGTGTCTTGCTCTGGCCATGGAATGAAGCACAAAGGAGAGCCTGCTAGTTCCTAACCCACGCCTGAAGACGCCTTAGGCGGTTCTGCGGACCCCGTGCACTTCCACCTTCAGCCAGAAGGCCTTCTCTGGTGCAGCCGTTGCTTCAGCCTCGGTCCAAAAGGATCGGAGCCCCCTGGCCGATCCGCAGGCCTGCAGGGAGCCACAGAGCGCAGCGGCCGGCCCAGCGTTCAAGCCCAAGCACAGGCCTGCAAGAACTTTCTTCCAACTGCCGTTTGGGATGGTTGATTAGGACGCGTTGCTGTGGCGGTAGCTCACCAATCCAATGCATGCACCCGCTCCTTTATTAGGCTATAGGGCCAGTGGCTGCGACAGGGACCTGATACAACAGTGCGTTAAATAAGGAGCTTATTGAGCTATCATGTCATAAGCCGGTGGAGAAGTCCAGGCCTAGTGTAGGGTCTCTGGCCGGGGCTGTAGCCTTCATCCGCGTGGAACCTTCCCATGGTTCGCAGGTCGCGGTCTTCGGAGCCTTCAGCCTCGTGAGCCCGAACAGTCCATAGGGCGGCGCCAGACCCTCTTCCCAACGCCACCCTCTAAAGCCTCGGCTCCAACCGATTCCACTTCTGCTTCAGGCTCAGGATTTTCACTCTTCTCGAATGGGGGTGGCCCTCCCCTGATCTTCTGAATCGCAACAGCATCTCCCTCCCTCCAGGACATCAGAGCCAGAGCTGGGCGAGAGGCCCTGACCTCTGGGGTAGGGTGGCAGCGTCCCCTTGAAGATGCGGTCCCGCCTCCCATCCCCAGGCGCCCGGCCTCTCACACCCTCAGCACCCTGCTCACCTCCAGCTGAAGATGCCAGGGCACCTCTGCTTCCTCCCTGCTCTCTGCAGTACCGCAGAGTGAGCATAAAAGGGCTTAATACAGGCTTCGCCGGGCGCAGGGCTCCCGCCTGTAATTCCAGTACTTTGGGAGACCAAGGCGGGAGGGTCACTTGAGAACAGGAGTTCAAAACCAGCCTGGGCAACAAAGTGAGGCCCGTCTCTAACAAAGACAATGAGAAATAAATCTAAAAATTGGATAGACTGAAACAGGCAATGAGGAAAGGATTCCCTATTTAATAAATGGCATTGGGAAAACTGGCTAGCCATATGCAGAAAACTGAAACTGGACCCCTTCCTTACACCTTATACAAAAATTAACTCAAGGTGGATTAAAAACTTAAACATAAGATCTAAAACCATAAAAACCCTAAAAGAAAACCTAGGCAATACCATTCAGGACATAGGCAGGGGCAAAGACTTCATGACTAAAACACCAAAAGCAGTGGCAACAAAAGCCAAAATTGACAAATGGAATCTAATTAAACTAAAGAGCTTCTGCACAGCAAAAGAAACTACCATCAGAGTGAACAGGCAACCACAGAATGGGAGAAAATTTTTACAATCTACCCATCTGACAAAGGGCTAATATCCAGAATCTACAAAGAACTTAAACAAATTTACAATAAAAAATCAAACAACCCCATCAAAAAGTGGGCAAAGGATATGAGCAGACACTTCTCAAAAGAAGACATTTATGCAGCCAACAGACACATGGAAAAATGCTCATCATCACTGGCCATCAGAGACATGCAAATCAAAACCACAATGAGATACCATCTCACACCAGTTAGAATGTCAGTCATTAAAAAGGAAACAACAGGTGCTGGAGAGGATGTGGAGAAATAGGAACGCTTTTACGCCATTGGTGGGACTGTAAACTAGTTCAACCATTGTGGAAAACAGTGTGGTGATTCCTCAAGGATCTAGAACTAGAAATACCATTTGACCCAGCGATCCCATTACTGGGCATATATCCAAAGGATTATAAATCATGCTGCTATAAAGACAAATGCACACGTATGTTCATTGCGGCACTATTCACAATAGCAAAGACTTGGAACCAACCCAAATGTCCATCAATGATAGACTGGATTAAGAAAATGTGGCACATATACACCATAATATACTATGCAGTCCTAAAAAATGATGAGTTCATGTCCTTTGTAGGGACATGGATGAAGCTGGAAACCATCATTCTGAGCAAACTATCGCAAGGACAGAAAACCAAACACCACATGTTCTCATAGGTGGGAACTGAACAATGAGGACACTTGGACACAGGGTGGGGAACATCACACACCAGAGCCTATTGTGGGGTGGGGGGAGGGGGGAGGGATAGCATTAGGAGATATCCTTAATGTAAATGACGAGTTAACAGGTGCAGCACACCAACATGACACGTGTATACCTATGTAACAAACCTGCACGTTGTGCACATGTACCCTAGACCTTAAAGTATAATAATAATTAAAAAAAAAAAAAGAATAAAAGAGGTCCCTTTTTCTGGGAGATTGATGTAGGGGAGCGAGCGTGTGAGTTGGAAGGGAGGCATTGAGGATCAGCCATTTAAAGCAGCATACAAGGATGTTCAAGGCTCGAGATCCACAGGTGTATTTTCAGAACCTGAATTTCCTGGCGGGGCACAGTGGCTCATGCCTTTAATCCCAGCACTTTGGGAGGTCAAGGTGAGCGGATCACTTGAGGTCAGTTCAAGACCAGCCTGGCTAACATGGTGAAACTGTTTTTACAAAAAAATATAAAAATTAGCCGGGCATGGTGGTGAGCACCTGTATTCCCAGCTATTCAGGAGGCTGAGGCAGGAGAATCATTTGAACCTGGAAGGCAGAGGTTGCAGTGAACCAAGATCATGCTACTGCACTCCAGCCTGGGTGACAGAGTAAGACCATCTCCAAAACAAAACAAAACAAAAACCCAAAATAGGCCGGGCGCGGTGTCTCGCACCTGTAATCCCAGCCCTTTGGGAGGCTGGGGCGGGTGGATCACCTGAGGTCAGGAGTTTGAGACCAGTCTGACCAGCATGGTGAAACCCTGTCTCTACTAAAAATACAAAAATTAGCCGGGCATGGTGGTGCATGCCTGTAATTCCAGCTACTAGGGAGGCTGAGGCAGAATTGCCTGAACGCAGGAGGCAGAGGATGCAGTGAGCTGAGATTGTGCCATTGCATTCCAGACTGGGCAACAAGAGCGAAACTCCATCTCAAAAGGAAAAAAAAGCAAAAGAGAAAAAACCCAAACAAACAAAACCCCTGAACTTCCCTGCGGGCACATTTTCTCTGGCAGCCTTTTTCAATGAGAGCTATGTTTTCTCCGATACTATATGGCCTGCGGACCGCTCAGCTTTCATTCCAGTGAAAACATTCCAGAACAAACTCCAGGTCGGTCCCAGGTGTTTCTCCAATCAACTCAGGGCATGGTTGTGTGTCACCTGCTGCCCAGCTAGAATGACACCTCTCCAGGCCTCTGACTTAGCTAGGTCTCCACCATGTGACTCCACCGTAGACTCCATGCCTTCTTCTTTTGCAAAGCCTCGGACACCCAAACACCTACCAAAAGTGGGTAGGGTGCCAGGACACCTCCAAGTATAAGTAGGGCTCCCCACCATGCCTGGATGTGGAGTTGTGCTGCAGAGTGGTGGCTGCTCATGACATTCATTTCACCCCTTTCTGTGCAGGTGCTGGAAGCCCAGGAAGCACACATCAAGGCTCCCTTGCCAGCAGGGTGCTGCCAATAAAAGGTAGTCACGTGGAATTTGGAATGTGGAAAGGAGGTAGAAGTCATCCTTTCCTCCCCTGTAGCAGCAGGCGTGCAGGCTCTGGTGGTCAGCTGGACTCCATACTCCCCCACCAGTCACCAGCCTGGGGACCGTGGGGCTGCAAGGACCTCAGCAGCGGTGTCCCAAGTTTCCTGACTTCTTCCATCCTCTGGAAATCAGCTGTGGTAAAGTAGCCTGAAAGCCAGTGGTACAACCCCCTCCCCACAACCTTCACCACCTCTAGCCCCTCCAATGAAAAGCACTAATTGCCTATATACAACCCCTTTTTGTTTGAAATATCTAGAGTAATTTCTGTTTTCCTATCTGGGGTAGTGTAACGTAAGAAGAAATATACATTTGGTCTCTGCCCCCGGTTCCTAACACAAAGCTCCTAAAACCCTTGGAAATTCCTGAAAGATGGGGGTGCTAGGAGCATTGTCTTTTTTTTTTTTTAAATTTATCATTTTTCTTTTCTCCCAGGTGTTTTTTCCTTTTTTTTTTTTTTAACTTTTATTTTAGATTAGGGGATACATGTGAACGTTTGTTATATAGCTAAACTTGTGTCACATGGGTTTGTTGTACAGATTATTTCGTCACCCAGGCACTAGGCCTAATACCCGATAGTTTTTTTCTTTTTTTTTTTTGAGATAGAGTCTCGCTCTGTTGCCCAGGCTAGAGGCACGATCTCGGCTCACTGCAACTTCCGCCTCCCAGGTTTACGCCATTCTTCTGCCTCAGCCTCCTGAGTAGCTGGGACTGCAGGTGCCTGCCACCACGTCCAGCTAATTTTTTATGTTTAGTAGAGATGGGGTTTCACCATCTTGGCCAGGCTGGTCTCGAACTCCTGACCTTGCGATCCACCCACCTCGGCCTCCCAAAGTGCTGGGATTACAGGCGTGAGCCACCGTGCCTGGCCAGTACCCAGTAGTTTTTTTGGCTCCTCTCCCTCCTCCCACCCTTCACCCTCAGGTAGGGCCCAGTGTCTGTTGTTCCCTTCTTTGTGTTTATGAGTTCTCATCATTTAGCTCCCACTTATAAGTGAGAACGTGTGGTGTTTGGTTTTCTGTTCCTTTCTTAGTTTGCTGAGGATAATGGCCTCAAGATCCATCTGTGTTCCTACAAAAGAGATGATCTTGTTCTTTTTTATGATTGCACATCTTTTGTTCTAACGTTTGGTCCTTCACCTTGGTTCCTGACACAAGGATTCCTAAATCCCTTGGAATTTTCTGCATGATAGGAGCGTCCTTTGTTCTCATGAGGTGACTCTTGGTGGGCTCCTTATTTGGGGACTGGTCACCAAAAATACCTAACTATGGTTGGAAGCTTAGTGCTTTCAGCCCCATTCCCCATCCTCTGGGGTGGGGAGCAGAGCTGGAGCTCGATCATGCCTGCGTGACAAAGCCTCCAGAAAAATCCTTGAAAGACAGGACATGGAGAGCTGCTGGGTTGGCGAACACATCCATGTGCCGGGAGGATGGTGCACCCCAACTCCACAAGGACCCTTCCAGACCTCACCCTGTGTATCTCTTCATCTGGCTGTTCATTTGTATCCTTTAAAATATCCTTTGTAATAAATCAGCAATAGTAAGTAAACTATTTTCCTGGGTTTTGTGAGCTGTTCTAGCAAATGGTCAAACCTGAGGAGGGAGTTGTGGGGACCTCCAATTTATAGCCAGTTGGTCAGATGCATAGGTGATGCTTGGCCTTGCACCTGGGGTCTGACGTGAGGGCGGTCCTGTGTGACTGAGCCCTTAACCTGTGGAGTCTGGTGCTCACTCTGCTTAGGGCTTCTCTGCCTTTGTAGTGTCCTGTCTAGAAGGCCTTTCCTTCCTCTTTTCTGCTCAGAAAACTTTTCTTCCACTTCCCTTCTTCTAAGCCATCCCTTATATCTACTCCTTTCCAGCCGACCAAGAGCAGAACCACGGCTGGCTCCACTGCCAGCATGCTGTCCCACACTGTCTCCTCAGGATGTATTCAGATGTCCGGCCCTCTCCCTAGTCTAGGAGCCCTTTGAGGAAAGGGATGCTGTCCTAGTCAACTCTTTCCCAGCGCCAGGCACAACGTCTGGCATGTTCCATCTTTTTCATGGACTCTCCCCAGGCGGCCTGACCTTCCCTCCTCTGAACTGCTGCATTTCCTGTCTGCATCATGTTTGCCCTAATCAGACATCGCCTTATTTCATCATCCTTTAAAAAATGCTTTATTTCTCTGGCAGATTTCATTGGAATCAGAATTTTCTTTCATTTAGTAGCTGTTGGCCTTGTGTCCACCTTTCTGTGGCACTCAGGTCTCACTTAAGAGCTGGCCCTCTGAGCTATGGTTTGCCGTCAGTGAGATGGAGACAGAGGCAGCCCTAGGCAGTCATGTTTTGTTCCACCTGACCCTGGGCACCCCTCCCCCTCCCAGGCTACTGGCAGGGATGGGCACCGGCCTGGGAGAGACAGCTCATCCACAGGCTGGCCCAGCAGAAACTCTGGGCTCAGACAAAACTGCTCAATTGAGGACAAACTGGGCAAAATAGAATCTTACTTTGGGAGTTTTTAGAAATATGGTTGGGGTAGCATTGGGGAATAATAAGAATTGTAGCCAGGCATGGTGGTGCATGCCTGTAGACCCCCAGCTACTCTGGAGGCTGAGGCAGGAGGATCTTTTGAGCCCTAGAGCTTGAGGCTGCAGTGAGCTATGAATGCACCACTGCACTCCAGGCTGGGTGACACATCAAGACCCTGTCTCAAAAGAAAAATGTGCACATTTGAGATACATAAAAAAATTTTTTGTTATATAAAAAAAAATTATCACCGGGCACGGTGGCTCACACCTGTAATCCAGCACTTTGGGAGGCTGAGGCGGGCGGATCACGAGGTCAGGAGATCGAGACCATCTTGGTTAACATGGTGAAACCCCATCTCTACTAAAAACAAAAAATTAGCCAGGTGTGGTGACGGGCACCTGTAGTCCCAGCTACTTGGGAGGCTGAGGCAGGAGAATGGCGTGAACCTGGGAGGCGGAGCTTGCAGTGAGCCGAGATCGCACCACTGCACTCCAACCTGGGCGACAGACCGAAAAAAAAAATTTAGCATAAAAATGTGAAATTATGTAAATATGCCAAAATAGGAACCTGGAGGTGCTTGGAATCCAGACTTTGGGAGCCCAGCAGTGCAAGGATCTCTACTCTTGGCTTCTTTTTTTCTTGAGATGGAGTCTTGCTCTGTTGCCCAGGCTGGTGTGCAGTGGCCCAGTCTCGGCTCACTGCAACCTCCGTCTCCTGGGTTCAAGCAATTCTCCCTGCTTCAGCCTCCTGAGTAACTGGGATTACAGGAGCACATGACCATCCCCAGCTAATTTTTGTATTTTTTAGTAGAGACGGGGTTTTGCCATGTTGGCCAGGCTGGTCTTGAACTCCTGACCTCAGGTGGTCCACCCACCTCAGCCTCCCAAAGTGCTGGAATTACAGGCGTGAGCCACTGTGCCCAGCCTAGTCTTGGCTTCTTGTCAACTCCCTGCTTATGTCCAACACTCACCCCTATTACAGAGCTGGTGTGGGGGAGTTTCTGTCCTGGTGACTTAACAGTGTAATTAAAGTGCTTAGCACTGTACCTGACCACAGCTGGTGCCCAACAAACAGCAGCTGCCATCATTCTCACCATCCGTATGTTATTGTTATTGACTCTTCAATGGCAACCATGGCTTATCCCCCTTTATCTCCCTATGTCCTACAGCCGGACAGAGGAATGGTTACAAGGCTTTGAGCCTAACAGTGCTGGCTTAAAACCGTAACTTGTCGTTTTGGATGTGTGGCCTTGGACACTTGGGCAGGTCACCTACGTCCTTCTAGCCCTGTATCCTTATCTGTCAGATGATGATTTTAAAAACTATGCTTCCATGGATTGCTGGGCTAAATCATATAAGACTGTAAAATGCCTAACCCAGGATTTGGCATCAAGTAAGCAAATTGTAAATGGTAGCTGCTGTTCTGCCTATGACTATTTAGTCTTGTGCTTTACTTTTTATTTAATTATTTTTAAGACAGAGTTTCAGTCTTATTGCCCAGGCAGGAGTGCAATGGCGTGATCTTGGCTCACCACAACCTCCACTTCCCAGGTTCAAGTGATTCTCCTACCTCAGCCTCCTGAGTAGCTGGGATTACAGGCATGTGCCACCATGCCCGGCTAATTTTTGTGTGTGTGTGTGTGTGTGTGTGTGTATATATATATGTGTGTGTGTGTGTGTATATATATGTGTGTATATATATATGTATATATGTATATATGTGTGCATATATATGTATATATGTGTGTATATATATGTATATATGTGTATATATATATGTATATATATGTGTGTGTGTATATTTATTTATTTATTTATTTATTTTATTTTTTTTGGTAGACACGGGTTTCTCCATGTTGGTTAGGCTGGTCTTGAACTCCCAACCTCAGGTGATCCGCCTGCCTTGGCCTCCCAAAATGTTGGGATTACAGGCATAAACCACCATGCCCGGCCTAGTCTTGTGCTTTAGACTCAAATATTTGTTGGCCCACTGAAGTCACCACACAGATAAAGACACTTTTCATTCTCAGTAAGGAACTTTGGGAGATAATTGGGGCAGGCAGCTAAAGAACAGGTGTCTTTTGTCTGACATCAGCAAACTCATGGAAACCGATGGGCGGCTCACTTTGCTTAGAACCCCCACAGCACGCACACAGGGCTGCTTCCCAGTCACACTGCTCCTGGGATGGGGGTGCTGCTGTTCTGCAGTTAGCACTGTTCTTTACTTCCTATTACTGAACTGCCAGCGTTCATTTGTGTTCAGTTAGGTAGATTACCAATTCTTGTTCATTCAGATTTTCTTTTGCTCACTAATGTGTTTCATGTTCACTAACTTACCAAATGTGATTTATTAGTGACTTTTTTTTTGAAGATGGAGTGGAGGAATCCTTGCGCCTTCTGCAGCATTCTGCTGCCGTTATGGAACAGTGCATCTATGGAAGTGCATCAGCGGGGGATGGGGAGAGGCTAGGGCAGTACACGTGAATGGAGAGGTAGCCCCACCAGTATGTTTTCTGAAATACAGTCCCGCAGAGGGCAGTCTTGGGAAATTACTGCTCTCACACACTCTTCTTGACCCTATCCCTCCAGCACCTCCCTGCTATCCAAAGGTTGGGATTTTTAAAAAGAAAAATAAATTATAAAAAAAACCAGGCCGGGTGCGGTGGCTCAGTCCTGTAATCCCAGCACTTTGGGAGGCTGAGGCGGGCAGATCACAAGGTCAGGAGATCGAGACCATCCTGGCTAAGATGGTGAAACCCTGTCTCTACTAAGAATACAAAAAGAAATTAGCTGGGCATGCTGGCGGGCGCCTGTAGTCCCACCTACTCGGGAGGCTGAGGCAGGAGAATGGCGTGAACCTGGGAGGCGGAGGTTGCAGTGAGCCGAGATTGCACCACTGCACTCCAGCCTGGGTGACAGAGCGAGACTCCATCTCAATAAAAAAAATAAAGTGAATTTTCCTCCATCTTGTAAGGGCGAAAAGCCCCCTACCATGTCTGAATGAACATTCATGCATGGGCTTGAGGGCTTGGGAAAAAGACAGGGCTTGGCCACACAGTGCAGGTAGGCCCAGTGATCCTATGAGAGGGGCCAGGAGGTGGTAGGTCCCCTGTGGGCAGGAGGTCAAGTATGTGGTATTATACTTGATGAACCAGGGGAGAGGGCACCAAGAACAACGATATTTAATTGTAAAATCTCCACCCTCTGAGGATATGTTTTTAGGTCTGGATGACTAATTAGACTGGGAAACAAGGCAGGGAAAGATGGCCCTGTGCTTCCTCTGCCTGCTGCCTTTGTGGATGCGTGGGCCGCCAGCTTCAGTCCTGCTTTTCTTTCTGATGGCCCTTGTTATTTATGCATAAATATTTAACTACACATTTAAATGTCTTACTGCATGGCTAGAATTAGTTATATATATTCTTTAATATAAGAAAAATAAGAGCAGCTCCGAGGGCAGGCATGGTGGCTCATGCCTGTAATCCCAGCACTTTGGGAGGCCGAGGCAGGTGGTTCATCTAAGGTCTGGAGTTCGAGACCAGCCTGGCCAACATAGCGAGAGCAGCTCCGGTGGCGGGAGGAGTGGCAGCGGCCAGGCAGCCCAGCTTCGCGAAGGCTGTAGGCACACCGCGGCCAGCAGGCACCTGGCACCCACCTTCCCTGCTGCCAGGATGCCCAAGAAAAAGGTCAGCTCCACCGAAGGGGCTGCCATGGAAGAGCCCAAGAGGAGATCAGCGCAATTGTCAGCTAAACCTCCTGCAAAAGTGGAAGCGAAGCCGAAAAAGGCAGCAGCGAAGGATAAATTTTCAGACACAAAAGTGCAAAAAAAGGGAAAAGGGGAGCAAAGGGAAAACAGGCCGAAGTGGCTAACCAAAAAACTAAAGAAGATTTACCTGCAGAAAACAGGGGAAACGAAAACTGAGGAGAGTCCAGCCTCTGATGAAGCAGGAGATAAAGAAGCCAAGTCTGATGAATACCATAGACCATGTCTTATCAGTGGTCCCTGTCTCCCTTCTTTACAATTCAGAGGAATTTTTTTTCTTTCTTTTTTTTTTTTTTTGAGACAGAGTCTCGCTCTGTCGCCCAGGCTGCAGTGCAGTGGTGCGATCTCGGCTCACTGCAAGCTCCGCCTCCCGGGTTCACGCCATTCTCCTGTCTCAGCCTCCCGTGTAGCTGGGACTACAGGCGCCCACCATCACGCCCGGCTAATTTTTTGTATTTTTAGTAGAGATGGGGTTTCACCGCATTAGCCAGGATGGTCTCGATCTCCTGACCTCGTGATCCGCCCGCCTCGGCCTCCCAAAGTGCTGGGATTACAGGCGTGAGCCACTGCGCCCGGCCTCCAGAGGAATATTTTTATCAACTATTTTGTAAATGCAAGTTTTTTAGTAGCTCTAGAAACATTTTTGAGAAGGAGGGAATCCCACCTCATTCCATTTTTTAAGTGTAAATGCTTTTTTTTAAGAGGTGAAATCATTTGCTGGTTGTTTATTTTTTGGTACAACCAGAAAATTGTGTAGGATATTGAATTATGGGAGACTTTGACAGTCTCGGGTGTCAGCTTAACATTCCATAGATGGGGGTTAGTTTTTATATCCTGTAATACAAAGCATATTAAATGGCAATATGGAGTCAGTCCTGCATTTAATGTCTTGAACATTTTAAATTACTTCCATCCCCATGTTGTTTTGTAGTAGAATTGTTTCCTAAAGAAAACAACTCCTTGATTATGGCTCACCCTGTTGGAGTTGTGGGCACTCTGTAACATCTTTGGTTGTGGTAGTCCTGTTTTCCTAATAACTTTGTTATTGTGAAGTGAAATACTAAAAATTTGAATATGTAGTATACATGCTATTCAGTTGTGAACTGTGGGCCATACATAACAGCTGATCAACATGTGAAGATATGGGTACTTAGTCTCTTAAGGAAAATTTGCTTCCAAATTTTAAGCTGGAAAGTCACTGGGATAACTTTTAAAAAGAATTACAGTACGTGGCTTTTTAGATTTTTGTTACTTTTTTTTTTTTTTTTTTTTTTTTTTTGAGATGGAGTCTCACTCTGTGGCCAAAGCTGGAGTGCAGTGGTGCAATCTTGGCTTACTGCAAGCTCTGCCTCCCGGGTTCACGCCATTCTCCTGCCTTAGCCTCCCAAGTAGCTGGGACTACAGGCACCCTCCACCATGCCTGGCTAATTTTTCGTATTTTTAGTAGAGACGGGGTTTCACTGTATTAGCCAGGATGGTCTCGATCTCCTGACCTCGTGATCTGCCTGCCTCAGCCTCCCAAAGTCTTGGGATTACAGGCGTGAGCCATGAAACCTGGCCGATTTTTGTTACATATGTTAAGAATTGTGTACAAATTGAAATGTCTGTACTGACCCTCAACCAATAAAATCTCAATTATGAAAGAAAAAAAAAGAAAAATAAGTAATTTTACAGGAGGCCTGAGGTGGGCTAGGGTCACTCTGTGTTCTCCTCCTAGGGCAGGGCCTCACTCTCTTCCCCTCTCAGCAGCCGACTCTCCTGTTGAGATCTTCTCTGTTGGGGATTCAACATCCCTGGGATAAGAATAACAATGCCAAGGTTTTGACTCTTGAAAGGAGCAATTAAGTTTCTCACCCCCTCCTCATTTTAGATGGGAACCATGAGGGCCCCGTCGTTTACCCCGCATCACTGTTGAAGATCTCATCCTCACTGGAAGACTCCTTGTCCTGCAGCCTCATGGCTTTTTTTTTTTTTAAGATGGAGTTTCACTCTTGTTGCCCAGGCTAGAGTGCAATGGCGTGATCTCGGCTCACCGCAACCTCTGCCTCCTGGGTTCAAGCAATTCTGCCTTAGCCTCCCAAGTAGCTGAGATTACAGGCTGCGCCACCGCGCCCGGCTAATTTTGTATTTTTAGTAGCGACGGGGTTTCTTTTTTATTTTGAGACAGAGTCTCGCTCTGTAGCCCAGGCTGGAGTGCAGTGGCACGATCTCGGCTCACGGCAAGCTCTGCCTTCCAGGTTCACACCATTCTCCTGCCTCAGCCTCCTGAGTAGCTGGGACTACAGGTGCCCGCCACCACGCCCGGCTAATTTTTTGTATTTTTAGTAGAGACGGGGTTTCACTGTGTTAGCCAGGATGGTCTCGATCTCCTGACCTCGTGATCTGCCCGCCTCGGCCTCCCAAAGTGCTGGGATTACAGGCGTGAGCCACCGTGCCCGGCAGTAGTGACAGGGTTTCACCATGTTGGTCAGGCTGGTCTCAAACTCCCAACCTCAAGTGATCCACCCGCCTCGGCCTCCCAAAGCGCTGGGATTACACGTGTAAGCCATCCCGCCTGGCCTTTCTAGTTAGAATTCTGTGAGGTTTGTATAAAAGGAATAGAGTGGGGGCCCAAAAACCAGTAAGATGAGAAAGTACTGTTTGCTCAGTTCTAGGATCCATGAAATAAATAATAAATAAATAAAAAAGAGAAAGTAGTGTTTCCTGCCACTTTAGAGGAAGGACTCACATATCCTACCTTCCATCAGCCTTGAAGGAGATGAGTGCCCTCTCCAACACCTGGTGGCCTTCCCTACCCCTTCCCCAAAGCCTCCAAGAAGGCCCCTGGCCTAGCCTGATGCCCACTATCAGCAGGAACAGGCACGACAAACTTTCCCCTTCCTATCCCTCCCCACCTCTGGAAAGGGCTGGGGACAGCAGATGTGTCCTTGTTAGTTCCATCCATTTCAGCTTTGGCTGGGGAGCTAATTTCACTGGAGCCAGGATAAGCATTAGGGTAAGTAACTATTTTTCCTGTCTTGGGCAGTTTCCTCACTGACAAATGAGGGCAGAGTTCTAAGCTCTCTTCTAATTCTAAAATTCTAATGTAAAAATTGCCAGACTAGTGGTGGCGCAAGCCTGTAATCCCAGATACTCAGGAGGCTTAGGCAGGAGAATCGCTTGAACCCAGGAGGCGGAGGTTGCGGTGAGCTGAGATCGCGCCATTGTACTCCAGCCTGGCAACAAGAGGGAACTCCATCTCAAAAAAAAAAAAAATCACCAGACTAATATTTACCTTGAGTGTTATGCGCATCCATGTGAAGAGACCACCAAACAGGCTTTGTGTGAGCAATAGTTTTTTAATCACCTGGAGTCAGCAAAAGGAGATGGGGTGGGGCAGTTTTATAGGATTTGGGTAGGTAGTGGAAAAATTACAGTTAACGTGCGTTTTCTCTTGTGGGCAGGGGTGGGGGTAACAAGGTGCTTGGTGAGGAGCTCCTGAGACTCATTGTCCAGGAGAAGGAATGTCACAAGATCAATTGATCAGTTAGGGTGGAGCAGGAACAAATCACAATGGTGGAATGTCATCAGTTAAGGCAGGAACTGGCTATTTCACGTTTATGGTTCTTCAGTTGCTTCAGGCCATCTGGATGTATATGTGCAGGTCACAGGGTTATGATGGCTTAGCTTGGGCTCAGGGGCCTGACATTGAGGATTCTTTTTTATCTTCCTCTGATGCTCTTCTATAAGAATGACTCTGTTTTGGAAGAAAACGCAATTAAGATTTTCCATCACAACAACCACTATCTCCAAATCTGTATTCATTCCTTTTAATTCATTATAAGTCTCATCTACCTAATGAGATAACTTTTTTGAAGACAGGAATTGTATGCTGTTTAACAGTGCTTTGTTTCTTCCATAGTTCAGTCATCCTTGATATTTTGCGGGGGACTGGTTCTAGGATACTGCCCCCACACACCAGAATCTGTGAACGCTCAATCCCTTACATATAATGGTGCAGTATTTGAATATAACCAACACACATCCCCCCGCCACCACCCAATTAACTTTTTTACTTTTTTTCCCCCCCGAGACAGAGTCTTGCCCTGTCGCCCAGGCTGGAGTGCAGTGGCACGATCTCGGCTCACTGCAAGCTCTGCCTCCTAGGTTCATGCCATTCTCCTGCCTCAGCCTCCCGAGTAGCTGGGATTACAGGTGCCCGCCACCACACCGGGCTAGTTTTTTTTTTTTTTTTTTTCTTTGTATTTTTAGTAGAGATGGGGTTTCACCATGTTAGCGGGTGGACCTTGTGATCCGCCCACCTTGGCCTCCCAAAGTGCTGGGATTACAGGTGTGAGCCACCATGCCCAGCCAATTTTTGTATTTTTAGTAGAGACGGGGTTTCACCATGTTGGCCAGGCTGGTCTCGAACACCTGACATCAAGTGATCCGCCCACCTTGGCCTCCCAAAGTGCTAGGATTACAGGCATGAGCCACCGCACCCAGCCTCAGACTAAACTATAATAAAAGAGAAAGCAGAGAGAGTAAGAGCACCTCATATGGAATCACCTACATTTCAGAAGCTGGAAAGAAAGAGAGTGGTCTACTTGATGATATGAAGCATGATCAATCAGTATCAATACTAGCTTTAGGGTGAAGGCATAGCCAAATTGGAAACTGTGGACAAATTTCAGAAACTGCACCAAAACTTACAAACCTCAAATCCTAGTTTTCTTCCTTTCTCTTTGGCCACTACCCTCAGTTTCTTTTTTTTGTTTTTGAGACGGAGTCTTGCTCTGTCGCACAGCCTGGAGTGCAGTGGCATGATCTCAGCTCACTGCATCCTCCGCCTCCTGGGTTCAAGCAATTCTCCTGCCTCAACCACCCGAGTAGCTGGGATTACAGGAACCCACCACCGTGCCTAGCTAATTTTTGTGTTTTTAATAGAGACGGGGTTTCACCATCTTGGCCAGGCAGGTCTCAAACTCCTGACCTCAGGTGATCCACCCACCTCAAGCCTCCCAAAGTGCTGGGATTATAGGCATGAGCCACCATGTCCGGCAAGTTTCTTTTTACTTAATTTGTATTTATTTATTTATTTGAGACCGGGTCTTGCCCTGTTGCCCTGGCTAGAGTGTAGTGGCGTGATCATGGGTCACTGCAGCCTGAACCTCCTGGGCTCAAGCAATCCTCCCACCTTAGCTTCCTGAGTAGCTGGGACTACGGGCTGTCACTACTACACCTGGCTAAATGTTGTATTTTTAGTAGAGACAGGGTTTCATCATGTTGGCCAGGCTGGTCTCGAACTCCTGGCCTCAAGTGATATGCTTGTCAAAGTGCTGGGATTACAGGTGTGAGCCACTAGGCCCAGCCTCAGTTTCTTTTATGGACTCACTTACCTCTGCAGATTGGCTCAAATGTCATTATTCTCAGGCTTCTCTCCTGTTTACAGGTGTCCTGGGCCATCCAGTCCAGTCTCATGATATTTGCCACCCAATGTGCTCATGTTTCCCAAACCAGCATCTCTTCTCTAGACCCATCCTCTAATTAGCTGTTTCTCAAGCAACCTTTTGACTGTTGTTTCTTTTTACTTCCCTGGTACCAGGGATAAAAGTCCCCTGAATTCAAACATGAATATTCACCTCACCCAGTCCTCTGGGAGGTCCATAAGTCCCTGTTTTGGGAAGAATGAAGCTGAGCTCTAGCTAAAAAAAAACAACTCCATTTGGGGATCTAAAAATTTTGCAGCTTGGAAGTGCAAAAAAAATGTGCAGCTTTGCACAGTGAGTCAGGGTGACCAAGTTCTCCTAGTTTGCCAAAGAGTCTCTCAGTTTTAGTACTAAAAGTCCTAAATCCCAGGAAACCTCTCGGTTCCAGGCAAACCAAGTGGTTTGGTCAACCTGACAGGGAGGTGTCCTTTATGAGGTATGGCAAGAGTGAAGGCTTGGCAAAGGGTGGCTGTGCCCATCAAACACAGACAGTTTATGAATAGTTGGGTGGGTGGGGCATATGCTTTATTCCCTAGGGCCCTCAGGGCCTTTGCAGAGGTCTGTAAGAGCTGGTGGGGGCAATGGGACAGTGAAATTCGGGTATAAGGCTAATGTGACCTCATTTAAAATCACAGGCTGGAGAGGCCCAGGGACTTTGGGTATCTATTTACATAGCCAAGATAACATCAGATTCAAATTTTATTTAGTGCTTTTTGTATCTATGACTGTCAAACATTGTCACAGTTTAACAGCTACATAATACTCCATCAAAAGGATATTATATGAAGTGTGGTGGCTCACACCTGTAATCCCCACATTTTTGGGAGGCCAAGGCAGATGAATCACTTGAGGTTAGGTGTTTGAGACCAGCCTGGCCAACATAACAAGACCACATCTCTACTAAAAATACAAAAATGAGCCACATGTGGTGGCGCATGCCTATATTCCTAGCTCTGGGACTCTGTCTCAAAAAAAACAAAAACAAAAACAAAAAAACCAAAAGAGGATTTTCAGTGTGTTCCAGAAATGTTCCTATTATAAATACATCTTTGTGCTAAAAGTTTTTTTTCCCTATATGTAAGATTTGTTTCAGGCTAGATGCAGTGGCTCATGCCTGTAATCCCAACATTTTGGGAGGCCAAGGTAGAAGGATTGCTTGAGGCCAATAGTTTGAAACTAGTCTGGTCAACATAGGGAGACCCCATCTCTACAAAAAAATGTTTAAAAAAACTTAGCCGCACATGGTGGCACGCCCCTGTCCTTCCAGCTACTTGGGAGGCTGAGGAGGGAAGATCACTTCAGCACAACTGTTCAAGGTTGCAATGAGCTATGGTTGCACCACTGTACCTCAGCCTGGGTGACAGAGCAATACCCTGTCTCTTAAAAAATAAAAATATACATTTTTTTCTGTAGTAATTTGGAAGTACCATTAAGTGCCAGAGACTGTGCTAAGCACTTTACATGCATTATTTCCTTTAAATATCATCATAAATAACACCCTGGAATAGGTAATATTCTCCCCAGGTAGAAACTGGTGCTTAGAGGTTATGTAACTTTCCCAAGGCCACATAGTGTGTGATGGAGCCAAGATTTGAAATCAGCACCACCACATACTTTCAAAATATGTTGATGGTGAATTTTGGTTTGTTTACAGCTGTGTCATCTGTTGCCTGGCTTTGCTCTACTGAGCCACCACTGAGCCTTGTATATGTCTCTCTTTATTTTTGGTTATGTGCACTGCCCCAGTGACCACACAGTTCTCTCTTTAGCACCTCTCCCACTGTGTTGAAATTGCTTGTTTACACTTCCACTCCACCTACAAGTGGAGGGTAGAACTGCATTTATTCATCCTTTTCCAACACATCTAGCAAGACGTAGTAGAGACGCAAGAGAAATTTGTTAATGTATAAAAGGAGAACTCCAGGCCGGGTGCAGTGGCTCACACCTGTCATCTCAGCACTTTGGGAGGCTGAGGTGGGTGGATCACGAGGTCAGGAGTTGGAGACCAGCCTGGCCAACATGGTGAAACCCTGTCTCTATTAAAAATACAAAAAATTGGCTGGGCGTGGTGGCTCACACCTGTAATCCCAGCACTCTGGGAGGCTGAGGTGGGCGGATCACAAGGTTAGGAGATCGAGACCATCCTGGCTAACACAGTGAAACCCCATCTCTACTAAAAAATACAAAAAATTAACTGGGCATAGTGGCGGACACCTGAAGTCCCAGCTACTTGGGAGGCTGAGGCAGGACAATGGCGTGAACCTGGGAGGTGGAGCTTGCAGTGAGCTGAGATTGCGCCACTGTACTCCAGCACTCCAGCCTGGGTGACAGAGCAAGACTCCGTCTCAAAAATAAAAAAATAAAAAAAAATAAGCTGGGCATAGCAGTGGGTGCCTGTAATCCCAGCTACTCGAGAGGCTGAGGCAGGAGAATCCCTTGAACCCAGGAGGCGGAGGTTGCAGTGAGCCGAGATCTTGCCACTGCCCTCCAGCCCGGGCAATAGAGTGAGATTCTGTCTCAAAAATAATAATAATAAAAATAAATAAATAAATGGAGAACTCCACTGGTTAAGAGCGAAGGGAAGGATTACTTCTGGATTTAGGAGACGAACTGCTGGACAGGTCACTCGACCTGTAGAGTTTTGTGCATTTTGGATTTTGCTGATTGTATAACCCCATGGTGAGGTTTAACATGTTCCTCTGGAACAGGAATTAAAAGAAATTAAAGAACGTGTAAGCAGAAACTCAGTTGTATGTAAGAAAACCCAATTTCCCCTGAGAAAAAGAAGGAGCTGAAGTCCTTTAAAAATTAACTGCCTGTTTTTCTGTGGCTAGTGAGCCTTATCTCTCCTCCTTTCCCAGGCACTGTGAAGATCCTGTTTCCCTAGCTGTGCAGCTGCAAGGTCACTAGACAGATAAACTCAAGTTGTAAAAAATGTTTTTCCTTGAAAAGTAAAAAATGATGTAATATATGTCTCAATTAATTGAATAACCGTCTTTGTTTCTCACTTCTGTAATATGCTTCCCCCTGCACAGATCTCCCCCACCCCACCAAATGCTTAAAAGGTAACTTAACTCTTTGTTCAGGGCTCAGTCCTTTGGATGTTAATCCACCTGGGCTGGTGCACCTAAATAATAAAGATCCTCCTCAATCCCATCAGTCTCTCTGATTCCTTATCAATCCTGCTAACCCTCTAACCTTATTTCCTGTAAATTAGACTTATAGGCCTAATCAAATTCAGGTTTAACCTTTTGGCAAGAACACTTTACAGATGGTACTGTGTACTCTTATTAGATCACTTCAGAAGACGCATGTTTGGTTTGTGATTACTTTGTAAAAACAGTGTAGTAGGTACTCACTAAAGGAAATTTAGAAAATAATAAGCTTAAGGCTGGGCGTGGTGCCTCATGCTTGTAATCCTAGCACTTTGGGAGGCTGAGGTGGGTGGATCACCTGAGCTCAGGAGTTCTAGATCATCCTGGACAACATGGTGAAACCCCGTCTCTACTAAAAATACAAAAATTAGCCAGGCGTGGTGTCCCATGCCTGTGGTGCCAGCTACTTGGAGGCTAAGGCAGAAGGATCACTTGAACCCTGGAGGTGGAGGTTGCAGAGTGAGCCAAGATCACACCACTGCACTCCAGCCTAGGTGACAGAGGAAGACTCTGTCTCAATAAAAAGAAAATAAGGCCAGGCACGGGGGCTCACGCTTGTAATCCCAGCACTTCGGGAGGCCAAGGCCGGCAGATCACGAGGTCAGGATTTCGAGACCAGCCTGGCCAACATGGTGAAACCCCATCTCTACTAAAAATACAAAAACTAACTGGGCATGGTGGCAGGCGCCTGTAATCCCAGGTACTCAGGAGGCTGAGGCAGGAGAATCGCTTGAACCTGGGAGGCGCAGGTTGCAGTGAGCCAAGATTGCCCCACTGCACTCCAGCTTGGGTGACAGAGCTAGACTCCATCTCAAAATAATAATAATAAGCTGCACTCCAGCCTGGGTGACAGAGCTAGACTCTGTCTCAAAATAATAATAATAATAAGCTTAAAAAATAAAAACTTTAGAAAATACATCACCCCAGTTCCCATCCCTACCTGTCTATCCACAAAACCAAGGCATTCCTGAGAGTAATTCATTTATTATACTAATATAACAAGTGTTTATTAAGTATCTACTACTATATTCAAGTACTATTCTAGGAGATAGAAATACAGCAGTTTACAAAATAAAACCTGCTCTCACATTCTAGTGTGGTAGACAGTTGATGCAGAATTAAAGAATATATGGGAATAAGTGTATTAAAGAGAAAAAATAAGCAGGGTAAGGGGAAACAGGTAGTGTAATATGTATAGGGGGTAGGTGTACATGGGGGGAGTCAGGAAAGGTTTCACTGAGGTGAGACTAGAGGACAGCTTAATAATGTAAAGAAACACGCTATGCAACAATTAGGGGAAGAGCATTCCAGGAAAGAGGGAGCAGAGAAGGCAAACCCTGAGCAGGACCATGCCTGTGTATGCAGGACATCAGATAGGTCAAGGTGCTAAAATGTAATAATCCAGGAGGATATTGTAGGGAAAGAGCATCAGAGAGGTAGCTGGTAACTTTTGGTAGGAACCTGCCAGCTATTTTAAATCTTTAGCTTTATTCTGGTCTTTTTAATTTTCTTTTTTTGAGACAGAGTCTCACTCTGTCACCCAGGCTGGAGTGCAGTGGCACAATCTCAGCTCTCTGTAACCTCTGCCTCCTGGGTTCAAGTGATTCTCCTGCCTCAGCCTCCCGAGTAGCTGGGACTAAAGGCATGCACCACCATGCCTTGGCCTCCCAAAGTACTGGGATTACAGGAGTGAGCCACCATGCCCGGCCATCTTTTTAATTTTTAATGTTAATTAATTTTTATAGAGACAGGATCTCACTATGTTGCCCATGCTGGTCTTGAATGACTGGCCTCAAGCAGTCTTCCTGCTTTGGCTTCCCAAAGTGCTGGGATTACAAGTGTGAGCTACTATGTCCAGTGAAACTTTTTTTGGGGGGAGATGGAGTCTCACTCACTCTGCTGCTCAGGCTGGAGTGCAGTGGTGTGGTCTTGGCTCACTGCAACCTCTGCCTCTCGGATTGAAGTGATTCTTGTGCCTCAGCCTTCCAAGTAGCTGGGACTACAGGCGCATGCTGCCATGCCTGGCTAATTTTTTTGTATTTTTGGTAGGGAAGGGGTTGCACCATGTTGCCCAGGCTGTTCTTGAAGTCCTGACCTCAAATGATCCACCTGCCTCAGCTGGGATTACAGGTATGAGCCACTACACTTAGCCCTAAATGTGAACTTTTGAAATGGATTTTTTGGGTAAAGTCCAGGCAGGACATCAAAGAACAAGTATCCTGGTAGTGCGACAAGAATGTGGTTCTTTTCATTAAATATTTAACTTTTTAGAAAAGGATCACAAGGGCCAGGTGCGGTGGCTCACACTGTAATCCCAGCACTTTGGGAGTCTGAGGCAGGTGGATCACCTGAGGTCAGGAGTTTGAGACCAGCCTAGCC
Source organism: Homo sapiens (assembly GCF_000001405.40). Taxonomy (NCBI): domain Eukaryota; kingdom Metazoa; phylum Chordata; class Mammalia; order Primates; family Hominidae; genus Homo; species Homo sapiens. The sequence continues at coordinate 43,156,050 of NC_000017.11, forward strand.
AATATGGGGAAACCCCGCCTCTGCTAAAACTACAAAAATTAACCAGGCATGGTGGCACGCACCTGTAGTCCTGGCTACTCGGGAGGCTGAGGCAGGAGAATTGCTTGAACCCGGGAGGCGGAAGTTGCAGTCAGATGAGATTGTGCCACTGTACTCCAGCCTGGGCGACAGAGTGAGACTCCATCTCAAAAAAAGAAAAAAAAAAAGAATCATAAGAAAAGCTCGGGGACAGTAACCTTATTGTGAAGGATTTAGTAATACTACTCTTGTAATCATGGTGTTTCTGACGTAGCACAGGGCAGTGAAAAGAGAAACACTGAACTAAGTCAGAAGGCTGGGTTTCTACTACCAGTTGTGTATATAAGCAGAGCCACCTTGGGCTAACCACTTTACCTGAACCTCAGTTTCCTTCTCTGTCATTCACCCTGCCAGTCTCCTTGGGCTATTGCAAGAATAAAATTAAATGCTACTTGGGAAAATACTTCACAACCTGAGATGACTTGTACCAATGTGGGTATTATTACTGGGACCAAATGTGACTTTAAAAAGAAAAACAACCTTGACAAAGAAAACTCTGATTGGTTACTAAATCCCTATTTCTGAGATAAGCTACATTTCAAAGAAATTCTCCGTAAAAGAAAAATTGGATTCAGTTATCATACCAGATGGCTTTCATTCTCACCACTGACTCAATTCTGAAATAATTATATTTCAGTATGGTAATTATAATCTACACTATATAAACACACTGTAAACATAAACTGTGAACAGATGAAAACTCCAATATGTAAAAAGGTAATGAATGTTGAAGGAAGACTGTGAAAAGGGAAAAGGAAAAAAATTAAAATGTTCCCCTTCTAGGTCCTGATGAGAGTAAATGTTTACTATAAAAATGATTCAAATATTTTAAACACTTTTCAAACCAGGCAATATTTTAGGCCTACTGTATATTTGCATTTTGAGCTTCCAATACGGATAAGTGACTGGAAAAAGCAGCTAGGTTTAGGTTGAAAAACAACAACCCACCGGGGAACACATTTTAGCAAATTCTTCTGAAAGTCAAAAATGTTACAGTCATAGGTAAAAAGTTACAAAGAACTACCAATCGTCAGAAATAGCTGCCAATAGTGACTTAGAGTCCAGCAGAAGGAATTTTAGGTCAAGAAACCTAAAACAGGCTGAAAAACTTACCTACCCTATAGCTACCACAAATAACACTGTTTCCAGTCATGATCAGGAATCACATATTAAGACATAACTGCAAATTGTGCTATACTGGGTACTGTATTAAAAGGAAGTGAAATATGGTCCCCATCCTAGAAGTTTCCATACATATGAGTCTAAAAAACCATTAAAAATTAATCTTAAGGCCTGGCGCGGAGGCTCACGCCTGTAATCCCAGCACTTTAGGAGGCCGAGGTGGGCAGATCACGAGGTCAGGAGATCAAGAACATCCTGACAACATGGTGAAACCCCGTCTCTACTAAGAATACAAAATTAGCTGGGCATGGTGGCACACGCCTGTAATCCTAGCTACTCAGGAGGCTCAGGCAGGAGAAGCACTTGAACCTGGGAGGTAGAAGTTGCAGTGAACCAAGACGGCACCACTGTACTCCAGCCTGGGCAACAGAGCAAGAATCCATCTCAAAAATAAAAATTAAAAAAATCTGGGCGCAGTGGCTCACGCCTGTAATCCCAGCACTTTGGGAGGCCGAGGCAGGCAGATCACCTGAGGCTGGGAGTTTGAGACCAGCCTGATCAACATGGAGACACCCCGTCTCTACTAAGAAATACAAAATTAGCTGGCTTGGTGGCGCATGCCTGTAATCCCAGCTACTCCGGAGGCTGAGGCAGGAGAATCACTTGAACCCAAGAGGTGGAGGTTGTGGTGAGCCGAGATGTGCCATTGCACTCCAGCCTGGGCAACAAGAGCGAAACTCTGTCTCAAAAAAAAAAAAAAAAAATATTAATCTAACAGAAAATAGGAAAAAAGCAATGAAAAGCTAGAAAACATACAATAGTTGACTGAAAATAAAAATTTAGCATTAACTTTCATTCTTACATCTTTAATTTTTATGTATCTGAGTTTTTAATTGATGGTTTAATTTGCCATAATGAGAAAGAACATCCTATTTTTATGACTCTGTCCCATGGAAATGTAATGATAAATGGATCCAAATGCCACACTATTGAGGATTTTTTTGATCACTCTGATTGTCATGAGTAAGTTGTGCTTTTTCAAAAGCAGTTTTTTCCTACAATGTCATTTCCTGCTTCTCTGGCTCTGATTTTCAATGAATTGATAAATTGTAAATCTTGTTTTCCTCTTGTTTTTGTTTAGCTAAAATGTTGAAGGGCAAGGGAGAGGATGGTTATTTATAAATCTTGTATCTCTCTGAAAACACAACTTGCATTTTCCTTAATCTGATTGACATGACTCCAAATATGAAAAACAACTTTCATAAAGCACAAAAGAAAATTTCCTTGAATTTACCCTTTTTTATTGTGGGTAAGAGGCAATAGGTATAAATTTTCAACTTATTTTTTGAATGTTACTCACTATTAACCACCATATTTTAAAAAATTAATTGAAGAACTAATGTAGTTTATTATTTAATTTATTCAACAAATGTTTATTGAGTGGCAACTAGGTCCCAAGTACTGTTTTAACTACTGAATATACAGATGTACATAAACGAAACAAAAATCTCTGCTGCCCTGGAGTTTACATTCTGTGGGACTAGAGATAAAGGATAGATACATTACATAGAAGGTCAGCTAGTAATAAGTGTTATGGAGAAGCAGCAGGAATGGAGGATAAAGTGTGTCTTGAGGGTGTTGTAACTTTAAATAGCGGTGTCTGGAAATGAAAAGGTGGTATTTCAATCAAGATTTTCAGACCATGGCTGGGTGCAGAGGCTCATACCTGTAATCCCAGCACTTTGAGAGGCCAAGGTGGGTAGATCACTTGAGGTCAGGAGTTTGAGACCAGCGTGGCCAACATGGCAAAACCCTATATCTACAAACACACACACAAACACACACACACAAATTAGCTGGGCATGGTGATGCACACCTGTAGTCCCTGCTACTCTGGAGGCTGAGGTGGGAGGATCGCTTGAGCCTGGCGAGGTTGAGGCTGCAGTGAGCTGTGATAGCACCACTGCACTCCAGCCTCTCGACAGAGATCCTGTATAAAAAAACCTCTGCATTTCACTGTATGTAAATTATACCTCGATTCAAAAACAAAATGTGGCCGGGCAGGGGGCTGACCCCCCCACCTCCCTCCGGGACGGGGCGGCTGGCCTGGCAGGGGCTGACCCCCACCTCCCTCCCGGACGGGGCGGCTGGCCTGGCGGGGGCTGACCCCCACCTCCCTCCCGGACGGGGTGGCTGCCGGGCTGAGACGCTCCTCACTTCCCAGACGGGGTGGCTGCCAGGCGGAGGGGCTCCTCACTTCTCAGACGGGGCGGTTGCCAGGTAGAGGGTCTCCTCACTTCTCAGACGGGGCGGCCGGGCAGAGATGCTCCTCACCTCCCAGACGGGGTCGCGGCCGGGCAGAGGCGCTCCTCACATCACAGATACTTGAAGGCAGCATGCTCGTTAAGAGTCATCACCACTCCCTAATCTCAAGTACCCAGGGACACAAACACTGCGGAAGGCCGCAGGGTCCTCTGCCTAGGAAAACCAGAGACCTTTGTTCACTTGTTTATCTGCTGACCTTCCCTCCACTATTGTCCTATGACCCTGCCAAATCCCCCTCTGGGAGAAACACCCAAGAATGATCAATTAAAAAAATAAAAAAATAAATAAATGTGAACAGTACAGTCCCCTTTTCCTTTTATAAATGAAGAAAAACAAAGGCTCACTCCAAGAGTCAGACTTGCTAAAGGCTTTGATGATTTGCAGTATTCTTATTTAAATGTACAGAGCCAGCTTCAGAGGAAGGTTCTTCCAAAGACCTATCCCCTCCATGACACCAACCATCCATGATTTTTTTTTTTTTTTTTGAGACGGAGTCTTACTCTGTTGCCCAGGCTGGAGTGCAGTGGCATGATCTCGGCTCACTGCAAGCTCTGCCTCCCAGGCTCACACCATTCTCCTGCCTCAGCCTCCCAAGCAGCTGGGACTACAGGCACCCGCCACCACACCTGGCTAATTTTTTTGTATTTTTTTAGTAGAGATGGGGTTTCACCTGTAGCAGGACGAGCTGCAGACAAAACTCCTCAGACACCGAGTTAAAGAAGGAAGGGGTTTATTAGGCCGGAGGCATCAGCAAGACTCCTGTCTCAAGAGCCGAGCCCCCGCCCCGAGTGAGCAATTCCTGTCCCTTTTAAGGACTCACAAGTCTAAGGGGGTGTGCGTGAGAGGGTCGTGATCGATTGAGCAAGCAGGAGGTACGTGGGTACGTGACTGGGGGCTGCACGCACCAGTAATTAGATTGGAACAAAACAGGAATGAGATTTTCACAATGCTTTTCTATACAATGTCTGTAATCTATAGATAACATAACCGATTAGGTCCGGGATTGATTTTCAACTACCAGTCCCAGGGTGTGGCGCCCGGGCTGTCTGCTTGTGGATTTCATTTCTGCCTTTTAGTTTTTACTTTTTCTTTCTTTGGAGGCAGAAATTGGGCATAAGACAATATGAGGGGTGGTCTCCTCCCTTATTCCCCCACTTTGAGACTCTCACTCAATAGCAGGAGTTGTTTCATGTTTACTACCCATGTCTTCTTGCTAGACAGATCAATAGTGATTTATATAGTACACTTGTGCTGATGCATTTTGGTATACTAAGGTAGCGATGAAGCTTTTTATCATTTGAAGAAGTACAGGTAGCAAACGAGGGAGCAGTAAGTAGGTTCCTATTACTATTATAACTCTTATTATAAGAGTTTTAAATCCTCCTAGCGCTGGGAACCATTTTCTAAACATGGCCCCAGGATCAAATCCATGCCACACTTGCACGGGCACATGTGCCACTTTTGTCATATCTCTAACTATGTCTTCAACTACTTGCCCTTGGTTATCTATGTGTAGGCAGCAATTAGTAAGGTTAAATTTCCTACAGACCTCTCCTTCAGCTGCTAGCAAGTAGTCGAGAGCTAATCTATTTTGATAGATAGCATTTCTCATCTGAGTTTCTTGCTGGGCCAGAATAGTCAAGGCTCTGCCGGTTGCAGTGATTATTTTTAAGACAGCTTGTAACCGTATGATTCAGTTGATCATATAAATGGGGATCCGGTATCCCCACGAGCCATCTTGTGCCTAAGTAGCAGGCCCATAATACTGTATGATTCTCTCAGGGGGCCATTTATCATTGTTTCAATTTCTTATAGCTATGCTTTTCACGGGAAGCATAGACAGGGAAGCCCAGGAGTTCTCCTGTTTTTATGGACAGTAGGAAGAAAGATGGTTTAATAGTGCCAATAACACAACTACTTGTCAGGCAGCTTAGTGTAGGCTCTATGTCCACATATCCAGTATAGCCCAGTGGGGGCTGTCCAGTCCCGGTGGGATTCTGGGTGGGCCTAAACGGTCTGCAACTTTGGAAATTTACTGAATGGATTTTTCTCTGTGTGGTTTGAACTCCACCATGTAGTCTTCCTACAGGAAGGGTGAAGTCCTTCTCCACTCTTGCTATATAGTATTGTCTAATGATTGAGGCTTTTAGGACCCAGAAATTATCAGGGTGATTCTTTTGAGCTGGGAATTCATCAGGAACTGGGTCTGTAGGTACTAATTCTCGGGCTTCCCATGGCCATTGATCTGCTATTACAGTTCCTCCACATACATAACATGAAGTGACAGTGAGAGACTGGGCTACATGCTCGGCTAATTGCAAAAACAAATTTCTTGTTTTTCCTGGAAATTCTGTTATTGGCACATTTAGTTCATCATAGAAAGTTTGAAACACTGGCTCAAGAGAGCATTTGTAAACTTCTCCTCGAACCAAGATATTTACTCGGGGATTCAGTCCAGCCCCATTGATTCCTAAGGTCACACGCTACTCTTTTTTCCAGCGAGGATCAAGGGGATTGGTTATTACTAGCTCTAAGGGGTTACATTGTCCCTTAGCACAGGAAGGGCCATTTTTTTCCTTTCTGAAGGTGGACTGGATCCTTTTCATTTTTTTTAAATCCAAGTGGCCTAAATGACACAAGACCAGTATTTACATTTATTTCCACACAGTCCTAATTTATGACAGATGTACTTATTTTCTGCCATATAGCCTCTTTTCTAATTAAGAGAACCACACTTTATTCCTAACTTATTACTATTAATGACAGCACAGGCATCAAATTTTAAGGTGACTTGTTTGGGCACCCCTTTTTCTTCTGTTTTGGCTAACACTTTACTCATATCATTTATGAGCCCCCACCAGTCCTCAGTCCTTAATCTTATTTTAAAAACCGTGGTCATGGGAGGCTCAGATGGGTCATAACACACATCAGGTTGGTCACTTCCTGGGCTACATACCTTGTACAGAATAACATTATACAAACAAGTTATTTTTAGAGTTCCAGTACACTTATAATAACCATAAAATAATAGGACTGTAGCAACCTTTTGTCCTACCTCAGTGACTTGATGTATACACTGGAACAGTCCTCAGTCTGAGGAAGGTCAGTTGAAGTCCTTACTGTAAAAGTCCAAATTTTAAGGAAAATGAGTTCCGCAATGAGTTTTCTCATGCTTCGGCCGTGCGTGGACCAGTCAGCTTCTGGGTGTGACTGGAGCAGAGCTTGTCGTCTTCTTCAGAGTCACTTTGCAGGGGTTGGCGAAGCTACTCCCGTCCACGTACCCCTCACAGTCTACTGATGTTTAAGGATAGTCTCGGAGGTTGGGCCTGCTAGAATAAACTGAGTCCAACACCTCTACACAGTATGTTCAACTAGGCTCTCTGATACCAGGAGCAAGGTGGTGGGGTTTAGGGTGTTGCAAACTTCAGTGGTTATGTGGGGATTTTCACATAGCAAGCTTTGGTACTTGGTTAATCTAGCATTTGTAACCAATGAGGTCCTTTGGTAGTCATTAAAGTTACCACAGCATGGGGGGCCTTTATATTCAGGTTTTCCTAAGGGTTAGTTTATCTGCTTCTTGTGCTAACAGGGCTGTTGCTGCTAGGGCCCTTAGACCTGGGGGCCAGCCTTTGGAAATCCTGTCTAGTTGTTTTGAGAGATAGGCCACTGGCCTTGGCCAGGGCCTCACAGTATGGGTTAAAACTCCAACTGCCATTTTTTCTCTTTCTGACACATAGAGTGTAAAGAGTTTTGTCAGGTCAGGTAGCCTCAGGGCTGGGACCAACATGAGGTTTTCTTTTAACTCATGAAAACCTCGTTGTTGTTGGTTGTAATAGATGTAGTTTATCTAATCTACATTTTTATTAACTGTCACCCACTAAAATATTGACTTAAATCCTGCAGCTATTTGATTTCAAGCTTTAAATTGATCTGGTATTCTTCGTGGGACTCCAATTGCATCTAAATAGACATGAGAGTCGAAAGACCCATAAGGGGCTTCTCTCGCTTTACAATGTCTTTCTTTTTTTCCTTCTGGTTGATGAAATGCCAGGGTGAAAGGGATAGCCAATTGGACTAAAGTACAAGTGCCACTCCAGTTATTTGGCAGAGTGCCCAGTAAAGGTCCACCACAATACCACCACACATCTGCTCGGGGATGAACAAGGGCTGACTGATTGATAAGCTCTTGAAAATTCTTAAGCTAACTGCATCCTTTCAGGTCTCCAAGGAACGCTAAGTTTCCTCCCTGTTGTGAGAGACATGAAGTGAACTTAGTGTTGGGAGATGGAGGATGGATGGCCCTCGGGGGCTGACCCGCAGGGTGCTGGACTTTGGGATATAGCAGAGAGAGCTTGGCATGACTTATTAATACAGGCTGTAGAATCCTGGAAAAGAGCTACCAGGCAGCCCACATCTGGTCGACTGGAGGACCACCTTAGTGGAAAGGGGACAATCTGGGCCTCTGGCCTGCCATGTGCACAAGCATAACAATTGCTTTTGTTTAACGTGCAGATGGAATATTTGATGCATTTTAACCAGGCATTTGCATCTTGGTATCCTGTCTTCATTGGTAAAGTTTGTTTTAACTCTTTAACTTCTATGATCCTCTAGTAAAACGAATGTATGGTTTTAGGAAATTACAAAAACTGGTTGGGGCAGTCCATTCTTGCTCTTTAGTGGTCCACAGAACGTTGGACCAACTACGGCATAAAAACTCTACATCAGGGGACAAGACTCCTGGTTGGCACTGGGGTCTTTATCGAAATCTCCCTGGATTAAATGGTCCTAGTTTACTAATGTCCAGTCTGAGGAGAGTCAGGAGGGACAGAAGTACTTTTCTGAAGTAGAGAGCTGTCTTTGACTTGGCAAGTCCCCACAGGGTATAACAAGGCAAGCATTAAATGCAATAGTTTGAGGTGAAATTGACTTGGTTATGTTAATAACTAGATGGTCAGCAATAGCACGAGGAAAGAAAGAAGAGTAATAGAATAGATGAAAAGAGATTTTTCGTAGCTTTAGTTTGGCAGGGTTTTCCTCTGGGACTGTGGCCCATGACTCTGGAGGGGGTGGCACTTTCTTGATTCTGGTGTGACGAGTCCATCCTTTTTTGCTGTACGAACAGCAGTCTTGGTGGTTAGCAACACAAGGTAGGGTCCTTCCAGGCTGGCTCGAGTTTTTCTTCTTTCCACCTTTCGATGAGAATGTGATCTTCAGGCTGGTGCTGGTTTACTAGAAATTCTAGGGGTGGTACATGTGCTAAAAGACTTTTAGTTTTTGAGAGAAAGGAAAGTGGAAAATAAACCAAGCATATAATTCTAAGGAACTGACCTTTTGTTTTAAATGTGGGGACCTTGGCAGTGGACTTTATAGTCCTTAGTGCCTTTTTCCTGAGAAATTTCCTTTAGCACCTATTTTTATTAGTTTTTAAACCAAAGAAAGCCAAATACCATTTTACATTTAACAGTGCTTCTCGTATGATTTTTATACCAGATAAGCTAAATTTTATCTTTATATTAGTGTGTTATTAATATTAAACTTAATTTTAATAAAACCTTGTAGACATATGTATCTAATTGTTAATGTTTGACCATAAGGTAAGATTTTATAGATTCTTTTTAACCCTTTATAATTTTTGCAAAAGAGCAGGTTGGTGCTTTAAGAAAAAACCTGTTATGCTTTTACTTTAATGTCCAGTTCACAGAAAAACTGGATGATACTTCTTTAACTTTAGCTAATATGTTTACACACAGAATTTTCTTTACAATTAACATTTTGAAACTTGCTTAAATCTTCAAAACAATAATTATTTTTAACCTTTTAATGTAGGTGAAAATGTACATCCTTATGCCTCCTTACAATTCTTTTACCAAAGATATATTTTACTTTTCTTATACACCTTGCATATAAACTGTTTTTTTTTTCAACAGTTTTACATTCAGGAGGCCTAGTTACTTTTAAATTATACAACATTTTTTGCATAAATTTTTTTATAACATTTTTCTCTTTCGTGACTTTCGCAGACAATTCTTCGATATGCCTCAACTTTCTGACTTATTACAAATATTTATTTCTTTAAACAACCAGTTAATTTGTTTCAGGACAAGAATTTACCATATAATACTCTTTTTATATAAATTCCGCCCCCCCTTTTTTTCCTTTTTTTTTTCGAAGATGATAACCATTCTTTTCCAAAGCGAACCTTTTTTGTGTCTTGTGGACTAGGCCACAAGAATATAAGTTACTATATACATGTTACACTGTTAACTTTTAGCAAACTTTAGTTGAAAACCTTTAAAAAAAATTTTAAAAAAATGCATGTTGTGCACATGTACCCTAAAACTTAAAGTATAATAATAATAATAATAAAAAGAAAACCTTCTAAGTTTGGGATTTTAATTATCCTTTGCTATTAATAAGACCTTGTTTTGTCTAAATTAGAATTGGTATAGATGGCTTTTTTTTCTTAACTTTGTATCTCTCTCTCTTTCTCTCTTTCTTTCTCTCTTTGACTTTGTCTCTCTCTTTGACTTTCCTTTTGCCTCTGCCTCTTCCTCTCTCTCTGTGTGTGTGTGTGTGTGTGTCTCTCTCTCTCTCTCTCTCTCTATCCTTGACTCTCTGTCTGTCTCTTCCTGTCTCTTCCTCTCTCTCTTTTCCTCTTTTCCTCTCTGTCTCTTTCCTTTCTCTCTCTCTGCTGGTCTTTCCTTGCCTCTGCCAGCCACTTATGCTGCTGTTCTCTCAACCACTATGTGTTGGGGGTGGGGGGTCTAAAACCAGCTCTAATCAAGTGTCTCTGTAAGGGAACTGGTCTGGGTTCCTTGGCTTATAGGTTACCTTGTGCCATACCTTTGAAACAAGGGACCTGTCCAGGCTTCCTTCTAATGGCCAACCTACCTCTAATGCTGGCCAGTCTATCTTACACAAAGTTTTAAGTTTTCCTGGTGTCATAGCACTCCATAGTCTCCCTCAGATTCTTTTTTGAAATTTGTCAACATAGTTCCTAGTGGGGTGGGCTTATTCGTGCCTGACCTATGCTTCTTCAAGACAAAACACCACGCTCACACCACAAACACACCACAAAACAAAGAACCGGTAAAAAGGGCGCACACACAGTTTTGCAGTTTGCACCAAACCAAAATCAGAGTATCCAGAAATCCAAGCCAGGTCAAAACCAAAACCAAAGTATCAAGCAATCCAAGTCAAGTCAAAAATAAAAACCAAAGTGCCAGGAGAGGCACACCATGGGTGATCAGGCCACACTTCCACTCAAATGGAGTAGGCAAGTTCCCAAGACCAATCCTGTCAAGCAATTCAAACCAAAACCAAAGTGCCAATAAAGGCACGCCATGGGTGATCAGGCCATGCTTCCACTCAAATGGAGTGGGCAAGTTTCAAAGACTACTCTTACCAAGTTTTAGATGTCCAGACTCCAAGTGCCCGTTCCTTCCCGGTGTTCAGCCACTGCGTTGATCCTCCATGGGGGCCTGCCATACAGTGCTCTGGCGAGGCGTCCCAGTGGGGCAAATGCCTAACCAGGAGCGCCCTCAGGATCCGTGTTGCTCGGGCTGGTTGGAGTCCCCTGCAGGGATGTTCCACAGGGCAGGTTTAAGCCGCCTAAGGAGCTGCCTTGACCATCCGCCATTCACCTCGCTTCCCAGTCAGGGAACCAAGAAATCGAGCTGCAGACAAAACTTATCAGACACCGAGTTAAAGAAGGAAGGGGTTTATTAGGCCAGGGGCATCGGCAAGACTCCGGTCTCAAGAGCCAAGCTCCCCGAGTGAGCAATTCCTGTCCCTTTTAAGGGCTCACAACTCTAAGGGGGTGCACGTGAGAGGGTCGTGATCAATTGAGCAAGCAGGGGGTACGTGACTGGGGGCTGCATGCACCAGTAACTAGATCGGAACAAAACAGGAAAGGCATTGTCACAGTGCTTTTCTATACAATGTCTGTAATCTATAGATAACATACCAATCAGGTCAGGGGTTGATTTTTAACTACCAGGCCCAGGGTGTGGCACCTGGGGTGTCTGCTTGTGGATGTCATTTCTGCCCTTTAGTTTTTACTTTTTCTTTCTTTGGAGGCAGAAATTGGGCATAAGACAATATGAGGGGTGGTCTCCTCCCTTACACCATGTTAGCCAGGATGGTCTCGATCTCCTGACCTCGTGATCTGCCTGCCTCGGCCCCCCAGAGTGCTGGGATTACAGGTGTGAGCCACAGCCCCCGGCCTCATTCATGATTTATTTTGCCATTTCAAGTGATGGAGCTGGTTTTAGAGCTAGAAGAAAACCAAAATGCCAGTTAATCTAAACTAGATTCCTGCCCCAGTGCAGAACCAATCAAGACAGGGTCCCTGTCTTTCAGGGACCACAGGATTTGTGTTGAAGAGGAGAGGAGTGGGAGAGGCAGAGTGGATGGAGAACAAGGATTCATTTTCTATACTTTTAAAGTTCTTCAGTTAAGAAAATCAGCAATTACAATAGCCTAATCTTATTAGACATGTCTTTTCCTCCCTTCTATGTAAGGTCAATTCTGTTCATTTGCATAGGAGATAATCATATAGGAATCCCAAATTAATACCCTCTTCTGGTGACTTACCAGATTGGACACTGTAAGATTTTCTGCATAGCATTAAGGACATTTTGTACTTCTTCAACGCAAACAGCAGATAAATCTATCTCTTTCTGTTCCAATGAACTTTAACACATTAGAAAAACATGTATCTTTTAAAAAGGTTTAGAAAAATGACAACTTCATTTTATCATTTTAAAATAAGGTAAATTGGGCTGGGCGTGGTGGCTCACGCCTGTAATCACAGCACTTAGGGAGGCCGAGGCGGGCGGATGACCTGAGGTCGGGAGTTCAAGACCAGCCTGACCAATACGGAGAAACCTCGTTTCTACTAAAAATACAAAAAAATGAGCCAGGCATGGTGGTGCATGCGTGTAATCCCAGCTACTCGGGAGCTGAGGCAGGAGAATCGCTTGAACCCACGAGTCAGAGGTTGCGGTGAGCCCAAATCACGCCATTACACTCCAGCCTGGGCAACAAGAGCGAAGCTCCGTCTCAAAAATAAATAAAATAAAATAAGGTAAATTTAAGATTTGGAAGGTTTTAGAATAATACAAAATCCTTTAAAGGTTCTAGAAGTTGCTTTTTGTAATTAGACAATATAAATTCTGTATTTTTTCACATATTGCTTCCAACCCTTTGGGTCTTTTCCTTTCTCCAAGAAAGAGAAAGCTACAGGGGAGTGACTGACCGGGTAAGTGGTGAGCTTTCTCCAATGCTTCTGGCTGTTTTCTTTTTCTTGCATAAAACCAAAATCAACAACGACCAAACCAACACCAATCAAGGCCTCCCTGCCCCTAGCCTTTCCCAGCGACCCACTCTCATCTCAGGATCCCCCTCAAGCACATCCCTGCCGGCAGCATCTGTTACTACTGACGCTCCTCTACTTCCCTCTTGCGCTTTCTCAATAGCACAAATGGATCCAGTTCTTAAGTTCTCCCTCCCACAAAATCCTGTCTCCTCCCCTTCCCAGACATATTCCTGGCACTTCTTCTTCCGCAAGGGCCCATCTTCTCATATATACCAGCCGGTGTTTATTTCTTTGTTTGTTTTTGAGACGGAGTGTCGTTCTGCCACCCAGGCTGGAGTGCAATGGCGCGATCTCGGCTCACTGCAACCTCCGCCTCCTGGGTTCAAGCGATTCTCCTGCCTCAGCTCCTGAGTAGCTGGCGCGCGCCACCACGCCCGGCTAATTTTTGTATTTTTAGTAGAGACGGGGTTTCACCACGATGGTCAGGCTGGTCTCGAACTCCTGACCTCGTGATCCATCCGCCTTGGCCTCCCAAAGTGCTAGGAATACAGGCGTAAGCCACCATCCCCGGCGACCAGCTGATGTTCTTATACACATGGTGTCCCCTTCAAGGCACATTCCAGTTCCTATCAGGAGGATTCCTCCTCGGACACACTGTGCCCCCAACCTGATCCTTAGTGCTTCCCTCGAGACCTACAAACTGCCCCCTTCCCCGGGGGGTTCACAACGCCTTATGCCTCTCAGGTTCCGCCCCCGCCCCTCGCATAAGAATACCCATCTGCCTAGCTTCGGAAATTCACTTTCCCCCGCCCGTCCCCCGGAGCATCCCTTGGGCCCCTGTCCCTTTCCCGGGGCTCTTCTACCTTAACCCAGAGCAGAGGGTGCAGGCCTCCTGAGCCCAGGGGCCCAGTTATCTGAGAAACCCCACGGCCTGTCCCCCGTCCAGAACGTCTCAGCGAGCTCACGACGCGCAGTCACGTTTTTTTCCCCCCCTCTACACTGCAGATGTGGCTCCCAATGTTGACGTTGGCCAGGACCTTTGCAAACAAGCCAGGCCAAAAAGTTTCAATATTTACACTGGCTGCTTTAATAAGGGCATTGATCTTATCCTCCGTAAAGGTCACCTCATAGTCCTGCAGAATGAGGGCAGAGTAGATGCAGGCAAGCTGGGAGACGGAGGCCATAGCGCGGGCGAGTGTGGGGCTGGGGCTGCCGGACGCGGTGCTACTCACCGGATGAAGTGAGGGTCTCACCCCAACGCGGCCTTAGCTTCCTCGGAAGGACCGAACACCTTGGCGGCAGCCGAGGAAAGGGGTTCCACAGTTTTAATTTATCTGTAATTCCCACGCTTTACTGTTGCCACGGAAACCGCTGAGCAATAGCCTCTCAGAATAGGAAATCAAGACACAGTCAGAGGAAGGGCGGGACAGAAAGAGCCTAGCATCTCTCGGGGCTCTGGGTTGGCCACCCAGTCCTCCCCTGGTGACATAAAAAGAAAGAGACGGAAAAGGAAGAATTCTACCTGAGTTCGCCGTAAAGCGCCCGCCCTCTCGCCTCTACGCTTCCAGTTGCGGCTTATTACGTCACAGTAATTGCTGTACCAAGGTCAGAATCGCCACCTGAGGCCTGAATATCAGCGTAAGATAGTGTCCAAAGCAGTCTTAAGAAGAGGTCCCATTACCCCACTCTTTCCGCCCTAATGGAGGTCTCCAGTTTAGGTAAATAAAAGGATTGTTGGGAGGTGGAGGGAAAGAACTACTATTTCCAACATGCATTGCGGAACGAAAGGCCTTGGCCACACTGTTCCTTGGAAACTGTAGTCTTATGGAGAGGAACATCCAATACCAAAGCGGGCACAATTCTCACGGAAATCCAGTGGATAGATTGGAGACCTCCGCGGGCTTATACATGTCAACAGTAATGGATTGGAGTGTTGTTATGTTCTCCTATCTTGAGAGCAGAGACTAGGCCAAAAAAAGATACCTACAACTCCTAGGAAGACTACGATTCCCATCCAGCCCCACGAGTCTCGGGCAAGTAGTCCTCTAAGGTCAGTGGCCTGCGGGGACGCAGTGGGCGCCGAATTTGCCTGGGGAAGGGGAAATCCGCTCTGGCCCACATCTGCGCACTCCTAGTTCCGCCCCTCAGCCTCAATGTTTGTTATTGTTGTTCGGGTTCAGGTTGCTTCTGCCCCGCCCCATCGACGCAATCTCCACCAATCAATGGCGTGGTCGTTTTGAGGGACAAGTGGTGAGAGCCAATCATCTTGGCGAACACTCGGAGAAACAGGGGACTAGTTACTGTCTTTATCCGCCATGTTAGATTCACCCCACAGGGATAGCGGCAGAGCCGGTAGCGGACGGTCCTTGCATTGGCCTCCGGCAGGCGCCCCCCGGGGGCGGGAAGCTGGTAAGGAAGCAGCTGCGGTTACCTAGGGGTGGGGTCACGTCACGCTAAGAGGGTTTGGGGAAGTTCAAGGGAGGAATCCTGCAAAGAAGAGGGGCGACTTTTTCCGTGTTTCGGGACAGCTAATCTTTTTAGTGACAGGATGAGAGAGCCCTTCATGTTCAGAGGGACCGAGTTGGCGAGAAGCGCCGGAGAGTTGGAGAGTCTGTGGGTCAGAACATCCGGCTTCTACTGATGGAAGGCCACGACTCCCCAGTGGAATGAGGGCCTAGGCAAAGAAAATGAGAGAGCCCTCGGGGTAGTGACACTGTCTTGGGAACATGGAGTGCTAGGAAACGAAAACTGGAAGACTAGGATGAACTCTGCAAGTAAAAAAATGACACTACTTACACATCCTTCTCATCCCATCCTCGTTTTTTCGAGACCTTAAAGAGATCTCCTTGGTTAGGGACCTTCGGTTTTGGAAAGGCACTGTTTTTCCTTTTTGTCAAACACTCAGCTTTCAGGCCACACTTTTTTGAGACAGAGTCTTGCTTTCTCAAAGACCAACCCAGGCTGGGCTTGAACTGCTGAGCTCAAGCGATCCTCGTGCCTTGGCCTCCCAAAGTGCTGGGATTACAGGTATAAGCCACCGCTCCCGGCCTCAGGTCACACATTTTAAAGCCTGGATAACTTGGCTTGTAAAGGCCTCTGGTGGAGACAGTAATCAAAGCTCAGGTTGCCAGGTCTGTTTCATTAAAGGGATTTTGTTGAGGCTGAAAAAAAAATCGACGTGGAGGAAAAGCTAACTTGTGCCAAGCAAAGGTGAGTCAGTGGCATGGACTTACAATAATGCCAGTTATGAAAGCTGAAGGCCTAAGACCCAGCTATCTGACTCTACTGGCTGTAGACCTAAGGGGCAGATAGGGTTAACCATAGCTTTGGTGTTTACACACGTTTAAGATTAATGCTCCTGCTGAAAGAATTTTTTTACATGTCAGCCAAAGAGAGTTCCTTATGAAGACCTGGATATGGTCCAGCCAAGCTAGAATCTCCCACTTCCTGTTTTCTCTTAGTTGGCCCACCAGCTGGAGGAGCTCCAGAGTATCTAAATTTCCAATTGTGTAATTTGAGAAAAAGAGAGGAAGATTCATTTCCTTCACAAGTAGGGAAGTGTGTTTCTTGAAGTTGGAAAGTGATATTTCAGAATACCCACTTTTGGCGGACTGAGTCACTTCATTTCCTTGATTTTTTGCCTAAGGTCCTGGGGAATTGACAAAGATTCTCAAATTTTAAGGACCCCAATAATTACATTTCATATGAATGAATACTAGATGTCAGCAGGATTGTTGTTAAGAGACTAATATTATTTTGGTGGTGAACTTGGTTCTTGGTAGAAACAAAGAATGGAGAAAATTGGGGGATAATTGTCTTAGGGTTTCAAAAAAGTGCCTTTAAATGACAGTCTTAATTGTAGTATTTTACAGGGCAGTGCATTACATTGTGGAAAACAGTACAGGTTTATGGTTCTAAAGACTGGTTTATTATTATTTATTTATTTATTTGAGATGGAGTCTTGCTCTGTCGCCCAGGCTGGAGTGCATTGGCGCGATCTTGGCTCACTGCAAGCTCCACCTCCCAGGTTCACGCCATTCTCCTGCCTCAGCCTCCCGAGTAGCTGGAACTACGGGCGCCCACCACCACGCCTGGCTAAATTTTTTGTATTTTTAGTAGAGACGGGGTTTCACCGTGTTAGCCAGGATGGTCTCGATCTCCTGACCTCGTGATCCACCCACCTCGGCCTCCCAAAGTGCTGGGATTACAGGCGTGAGCCACCACATCCGGCCCTATTATTTTTTAAAATGTTTAATTGAACTTAATTTTTTTAAGGAGACAGGGTCTGGCTTTGTTGCCCAGGCTGGTCTTGAACTCCTAGGCTCATGATCCTTCCGCCTCAGCCTCCCAAAGTGCTAAGATTACCAGCATCAGCCACCACACCCGTCCAGTTTTTTATTTTATTTTATTTTTGAGACAGAGTCTCGCTCTATCACCCAGGCGAGAGTGCAGTGGCATGATCTTGGCTCACTGCAACCTTGCCTCCCAGGTTCAAGCAATTCTCCTGCCTCAGCCTCCTGAGTAGCTGGGATTAAAGGCCTGCGCCACTACACGCAGCTAATTTTTGTATTTTTAGTAGGGACGAGGTTTCACCATGTTGGCTAGGCTGGTCTCAAACTCGACTCAAACGATCTGCCTGCCTCTGCTTCCCAAAATGCTGGAATTACAGACATGAGCCACTGTGCTTGGCCTTTATTATCATATTTTTTATATTTGAATGACATTTTGAAAGAACTTGCGTACACATTTTTAATTTGATCCTTATGGTAACACTGTGAGATAGTCAAAGCAGACGTATTAGACCTATTTTATAGGTTAAAGAACCGAAGCTCAAAAGCGAACTGACCTGCTCACAGTTTTATGTCTAGTAATGGGCCGGAGGTATGTCTGGAAGCTAAGTCTTCCCAGTTTGTGTGCTCCTCCGCCTCCCCTCTGCCCCCCACCCCCACCCCCGCAGACCACGCTGTAAATCCCTGGGACTTAATCTTGTTCCTCTCAACCTAAGCTATTTTTTCATATCTTGTTCCTCTCAACCTAAGCTATTTTTTCATAAAGTCATAAAAACCAGTTAAACGTAACCATTCATCAGTAAACAAAATCCTTAATTAAAAACATAATGATCAGAATAGAAATCTGATTAAGGAATTGTTAACTTGTTAGGCATGATAATGATATCTAGACTGTTTTTAAAAAATTCTTATCTTTTAGAGGTACATACTCAATTCTTAATGGATAAAAGCATAGATGTCTGTCAAAATAATCTAGTAGGGAAAGGGTATTGCTGTAAACCTTTGGTTACAGCAAATTGGTCCTGAGTTGATAATTATGAAAGAAGCTAGCTTATGGGTCCATAGGGATTCATTATATTCTCTCTACTTTTGTATAGATTTAAATTTTCCCATAAAAATATTTTAAAAAATAGTCCGGGCATGGTGGCTCACGCCTGTAATCCCAGCACTTTGGGAGGCCGAGGTGGGTGGAATCACGAGGTCAGGAGATCGAGACCATCCTGGCTATCACGGTGAAACCCCGTCTCTACTAAAAATACAAAAAAATTAGCCAGGCGTGGTGGCGGGCGCCTGTAGTCCCAGCTACTCAGGAGGCTGAGGTGAGAGAATCGCTTGAAACCAGAAGGTGGAGGTTGCAGTGAGCCAAGATTGTGCCACTGCACTTGAGCCTGGACGACAGAACAAGACTCTATCTCAAAATAAATAAATACAATAATATAAAATAATTATATTATTATAGTTTGGTTAAAACATTAGTTGACTATGGTCAGTTCATTGTTGGGGCAGAAGTGGGAGATGCGGGGGTATATGTGAATGAGGATAGCCTTGAGTTGATTGTTGGTTTAACTAAGTGTTTATTACTCTCCACTTTTATATATGTTTGAAATCCCCCATTTAAAAAATCAGTACAAGGCCAGGTGCGGTGGCTCATGCCTGTAATCCCAGCATTTTGGAAGGCCAAGGCAGGCAGATCATGAGGTCAGGAGATCGAGACCATTTTGCCTAACACGGTGAAACCCCGTCCCTACCAAAAATACAAAAAAAAAAAAAAAAATTAGCCGGATGTGGTGGCGGGCACCCCAGCTACTCGAGAGGCTGAGGCAGGAGAATGGCGTGAACCCAGGAGGTGGAGGTTGCAGTGAGCTGAGATCGTGCCACTGCACCCCAGCCTGGGGCGATAGAGCGAGACTCCGTCTCAAAAATAAATAAATAAATAAAATAAAATAAAAAATCAGTAGATTGTGAAAAAACATAGTAACTTGGATGGAGGGCATTGAATGCTACCTCTGTGTAGTTTCTTGGCTAGTGTTTTGGCCTGTAAGTTCGTAAAACTGGTAGAAAACCTAGGTTCTCAAGTTAGGACAACCCTCCTTCTGCAAGAAAAATGTAGAATGTCACTCTCAAGTCATACAAGAATACAAGTTCCCTGAGGGCAGAGACCTTATCTCTCTTATCCATGTTGGTATGTCCTGCTACTAGTAAGTATTTGTTTAGTTAACCAGTCATCATAAAGTACCGTAAGGATTTTACAAATGCTAGATGATTTCTGGGAATGTGGTCAAAATTTAAATACTTTCAGCATACTTCTGTTTCCACATGTTTCCAACATGTGGAAGTTCCTAATAACTTCAAGAATAATTTTTGTGACTTAAGTACAAGTCTTTATGGCATGGTTTTAGCCTATCTTTCTTTCCTGAAACAATTCCTATTTAACAGTGATGGTAAGTTTCGTAAGAACAGGGACAGTGTTTCTTTTGTTCATTGCTGTCTCCCAAGCCCAGCCCATATTGGGTCCTCACAAGTATTTGCTGAGTGAACTTTTAGTGCAACTTATAGAACCCTTTCTAATGTGTTTTTCTCTCTCTCCCACCAACCTTCTCAACCCTAGCCTCACAGCATGGAACCACAGGTTACTCTAAATGTGACTTTTAAAAATGAAATTCAAAGCTTTCTGGTTTCTGATCCAGAAAATACAACTTGGGCTGATATCGAAGCTATGGTGAGTGTTACTTTATTTTGTTTCTCCTTGGTTTAAGCATGGTTATTTTTTCCAAAGGTAGCTATTTTTAGCAGTGTTGTTTCATAGCTGTGAAGTCTGTCATAGTTACCATTTCTGGGCCTTTTGGAAAATTGCTTTTGATAGGGTTTCAGTATTCATATATGAGATGTGCCCCAATAAAGGGAACCAACACATAAATTTCCTTTTGAACATTTTAGAAAGGGAAGGTAAAATTGTTTTTAGTGAGATAGGATTTAGAAAACCTATTAATTTTAGAACCAGTATGAGGAGTGAATTGGTGTGGACTCCACCCAACCAGATCCCAAGGAAATGTTCTCTTGTGTGAGGATATGACTTGTGTTTTGCACAAGGATATAACTTGTGTTTTGCAAGAGCCTATCAATTGTTTTTATTGCTAGGTCAGAGGTTGAGTATCTCAGAGTTGAGCAGGAAAAACTTTCATACCTGCTTAGACAGCAGTTCACCTGTTCCGTTTTTTTGCTAAGGCTTTTCCTCCTCTTGGTTTGCCCTTTGTACTCTTCTGTTTTTGTTCAGTTTGCAGTGGTGAATGTTTTACTTCCTGTGTTGACTGTGTTTCTCTCTGAAACCCTTTGGTAAAAATCTACGTTTACCTGGTTATATCTGATGATAACTAAAAAGGGAAAGAAATGGTAGATCTTAAAAGATGATCTGAGGTAGTTGTCTGCCTTCCAGCAAATACCTGTTCATACTGTCCTATCAGTGACAGTGAGACCCGTCTCAAAAAAAAAAAAAAGATTGGATTCAGAAAGAAGTTAGATCTTGTTTGCCAAAAGATGTGAAAATCAGTTATCTTTCTTTTCCTAGTAGTTAAATGAGCTGACAGCTTGCCTTTTTTCTTCCTTGTAAATTTTAAATTGTATAAGTATAATACATGCCCATTTTAAGAAGAGAAACCATCTCAAGCAGTTAATAGCCCTCCATTCTCCCCCCCCTCATCTGTTACTCCCACCTTCTTTGGGTAACCAATGTTAACAGCCCTGTATGTACTTTAAATTTTCCATGTTCATGCAGATATCATACTAGGATCATACTATAAACATTATTTGGCCAGGCACAGTGGCACACGCCTAGAATCCCAGCACTTTGGGAGGCCAAGATGGGTGGACCACTTCAGCTCAGGAGTTTGAGACCAGACTGGGCAACATGGTAAAACCCCATCTCTACCAAAAAAATACAAAAATTAGCTGGGCCTGGTAGCAGGCACCTGTGGTTCCAGCTACTCCGGAGGTTGAGGTGGGCGAATTGCTTGAGTGCTGGAGGTTGAGGCTGCAGTGAGCCAAGATCAAGCCACTATAATCCAGCCTGAGCGACAGAGTGAGACCCATCTCAAAAAAAAAAAAAAAAAGATATTTTTCGTTTTTTTTTTTTCTTATCTTGAAACTTCAGGAGATATCCATCTATACACATAACTTATACACTGTTCTACAGGATAAACTCTGTCCTATACAAATGTGAGATTAATGGGTCACAAAGCATTTTATTTGAAATTTTAATAGATTCTGCCAAATGCTTTGCAGAACAATTGTAGCAGCACACAGAAATACATGACAGTGTCCTGAAGTTTTGACAACACTGGATGTTATGGCTTTAAAAAACATTTGCTGTTCCCTACCCCACACCCCACCCAAAACACACACACACACACACACACACACACACACACACACACACACACACAGTTTGGTATTCTGATGAGATGTCATCTCATTGCTTCAATTTGCATTGTTCTGACCACCAGAAAGTTTGAAAGTCTTCTGATGTATTTGTTAGGTGTTCTGATTTCCTCTTGTATGAATTTTATGTATATTTTTACCTGGGTTGTTAATTGTATCATTAGCAGTTTTGCTGGTACTCTGGGTGTGTTGCAGATATTAACCCTTTGTTATGGGTTATTAAGGTTGTTTGTTGTTTGTCTTTTGATTTTGTGGGTTTTTTTTACTTTGACTTCTGTGTACATTATAACCTGCCTTTAAATATGTATCTCTTTTATAGGTAAAAGTTTCATTTGATCTGAATACTATTCAAATAAAATACCTGGATGAGGAAAATGAAGAGGTAAAATATATTATGGCACTTATTGCTAGGTGTTCAGAATAGGGATCTTATTTCTCCAGTGATATGGGCTTTAATAATTCAAAATAGTGTTTAGCTTATTTGTGTGGTGGTTTAAATATATTTGATAACTGAATATTCTAAGAAGACTTGCAGCATCTGAGATGGAGTTGAGAAATGGAGAAGCAACACTGAAGAATATCTCAGAGATAACTTTCACTTAAAAAAAAAAAAAGGAAACAGGGTCTCACTATGTTGCTCAGGCCAGTCTTGAACTCCTGGGCCCAAGCAGTCCTCCCACCTCAGCCTCCCAAAGTGCTGGGATTATAGGTGTGAGACACCCACCATGCCTGGCCTGGCCTGAGAGAACCTTTTTTTTTTTTCTTTTTTTTTTTTTGTGAGATGAAGCCTCACTCCATAACCTAGGCTGGAGTGCAGTGGTGCGATCTCTGCTCACTGCAACCTCCAGCTCCTGGGTTCAAGTGATTCTCCTGTCTCAGCCTTCTGAGTAGCTGGGATTACAGGTGTATACCACCACGCCTGGCTAATTTTTGTATTTTTAGTAGAGACGGTATTTCACCATGTTGGCCAAGCTGGTCTCGAACTCCTGGGCTCAAGCGATCAGCCCACCTCGGACTCCCAAAGTGCTGGGATTACAGTTGTGAGCTACCACACCTGGCCAAGATAACTTTTAAAATTATATAGTGACCTTAAGTTCACATATAGCACAAGCTACCACTTAGTTTATAATAATACAAATATAATGGCTAAGCTTTTTTTTTTTTTTTTTTTAAAGAGGGTCTCACTCTGTTGCCCAGGCTGGTGTGCATTGGCATAGCTTGCTGCAACCTAGAGCTCCTGGGTTCAAGGAATCCTCCCATCTCAGCCTTCTGGGTAGCTAGGACATACCTCTCTGCATCTGGCAAAATTTTTTAATTCTTTGGAGGGATGGAATCTCACTTTGTTGCTCAGGCTAATGGCTAAGCTTTATTGAGTGGTTACAGTGTGTCAGACTAGCCACAGTACCATGTATTGAGTACATTATTATCATCACTATTTTACTCATGAGGAAACTGAGGCACAGAGAGGTGAAAATAACTTGTCCAAATGCACAAAAACTTGGAAGTAGTAAAGTAGCCGTTCAGTCCATACCCTCTGGCTGTAGAACTCAAGCTCCTAACTGTTATATTGCACTGCCTTTTAATGTATCTGAAATAAAGGAGGGCACAGTAGATAAGCAATAAAATTTCTTAAGTGTTATTCATGACTAGCAAGTGATATGGAAAAGCTGAACGCTTGGCCTGAGTTTTTGTCTGTCCTATGGGGCTGGTCCTAGTAACAGAAATGCTCAACTGATGAGACACTTATAATTCACTGTTGCTTTTTTTCCTTTTATAGGTATCCATCAACAGTCAAGGTGAGTCCCTAAGAGAGTCTGTTCAGCCTTGTTTAAAAACCTTAATCTGCTCATTGAGGCATTTCTATTTATACTCAAACCTTATTGCAGTATTAATTTTAGAGTGACATTGCACTGATGGACATTAGTTACCTAGGGGATTTTATTGTATAGCAGTTTTTTATATATAGGATGATGCCTTTGAATGGACCCTAAGGACAGCTTTAATGGGAGGTTCTCATATTTAAGATGCCAGTCCTCTGAAATTAATATGCCTCCCAGTTCAACACATATAAGTATTCCCATGGTGTTGCATTTGTTTCTGACTTGGTATATATGTTAATATCAACTTATAAAACAAGTGGTATTCCAAAAGTTTATTTATCAGATGTTCAGAGCTTGGAGTGCATTTTCCCATAGGAACCATGTTATAGTTGAAGATTAGTTTCCCACGATAGCCCCTAAAATCTTAATTTAATCAGGTGAAATGATAGTATTAACATTGAACTCTCAGTGCGTAAATGTGAGGGACCTGGGTTGAGATTTTGTAACTGGAAGATTCCCAGTAGTGATGAAGGAGGGATTTAAGGGGAAGAACTGATCTACAGTAGATGCTGTTTGCAACAAAAAGGGAGTTTGTCAGCAAAAAGATAGTTGCTGTTCATATATAATAAGCTAAGAATTCTTTAAAGTCAGGATTAGCTGTACATTTAACAAATTTTTATTGTATATATTGAAGGTGCACAACATGATGTTATGAAATACATATACAGTAATGCATCGCTTAATGACAGAGATTTGTACTGAGAAATGCATCAATTAGGTGATTTTGTCATTATATGGACATCATAGAGTGTACTTACACAAACCTAGATGGTATAGCCTAGTACACACCTAGGATATATGGTATAACCTATTGCTTATAGGCTGCGAACCTGTAGAGCATGTTACTGTGCTGTATACTATAGACAGTTGAAACACAATGGTATTTGCATATCTAAACATAGAAAAGGTACAGTAAAAATGTGGCATTATAATCTTATGGGATCACCATCATACACATGGTTGACCAAAATGTTATGTGGCAATGGTTACTGTAGTGAAGCAAATTAACATATCTATCATCTCATTATAGTGGCCCTGTGGTGCCCTGAGCCCTCCCCAGAAACCAGCCATAATCTACTCATTTAGCAAAAATCATGAATATAATTTACGATTATTTAACTATAATATGTTCCTCATGTTGTACAGTCCATCTTTAGGATTGGCTATCCTTAATCTTATGGAATCTTTGGTTCTTGAATGAATGAATGGATGTGTACAAAATAAAAATAATTTTAAAATAATAGAATCTTTTGGGGTGTGTGAAGAAGTATCATGGTGTATATTTTTTGTTCTTTTAGGAGAATATGAAGAAGCGCTTAAGGTAATGATTATTTAATCTCATTTTTAAATAATTTAAAAAATATTATTATGGGTTGGTTTTTTTTCTTTTTTTGAGATGAGGTTGTGCTCTGTCATCCAGGCTGGTGTGCAGTGGCACAATCTGGGGTTGCTGCAGTCTTCACCTCCCAGGCTTAAGTGATCCTCCCACCTCAGCCTCCCGAGTAGCTGGAACTACAGAAACACGTCACCACGCCCGGCTAACTTTTTATATTTTTCTTAGAGACAGGGTTTCACCATGTTTCCCAGGCTGGTCTGGAACTCTTGGGCTCAAGCAATCTGCTGGCCTTGGCCTCCCAAGTGCTGGGATTATAGGCATGAGCCACTGCGTCTGGCCTAAAATATTTATTGACTGAAACTCAAACCTGAATTCCATTAGTTATGGGGAGAGACTAGTACGTATAAACACAGTGAAACCTGTTTATAGGGAGACTGATGAATGGGCACGACACTCAGCAAAAGGCAATTCATAATAAAAAGGTCCTTCTCAGTTACAGTCCCATCTCTTTGCTGGTCTTTGTGCTACTGTTCTAGTGTTTAAAAATACAAATAACTGGCCAGGCGTGGTGGCTCACGCCTGTAATCCCAGCACTTTGGGAGGCCGAGGTGGGTGGATCACGAGGTCAGGAGATCAAGACCATCCTGGCTAACGTGGTGAAACCCTGTCTCTACTAAAAATACAAAACAGCCGGGCGTGGGCGGGTGCCTGTAGTCCCAGCTACTTGGGAGGCTGAGGCAGGAGAATGGCGTGAACCCCGGAGGCGGAGCTTGCAGTGAGCCGAGATCGTGCCACTGCACTCCAGCCTGGGCGACAGTGAGACTCTGTCTCAAAACAAAAAAAACAAACAAACCAAAAAACAAATATCTTGGCCGGGTGCAGTGGCTCATGCCTGTAATCCCAGCACTTTGGGAGACTGAGGCAGGCGGATCACCCAAGGTCAGCAGTTCAAGACCAGCCTGACCATGATGGTGAAACCTCATCTCTACTAAATACAAAAAATTAGCCAGGTGTGGTGGTGCATGCCTATAATCCCAGCTACTTGGGAGGCCAAGGCAGGAGAATCATTTGAACCTGGGAGGCAGAGGTTACAGTGAGCTGAGATCACGCCATTGCACTCCAGCCTGGGCAACAAGAGGGAAACTCCATCTCAAAGACAAAAAAAACCCAAAAAACTCTTGATGCCCCCCTTTTTTTTTTCCTAAAGAGGCTGGGTCTTGCTATGTTACCCAGGCCAGCCTTGAACTGCTGGGCTCAAGTGATCCTGCTGCCTCAGCCTCCCGAGTAGCTGGGACTATGGGTGTGCACCACCATGCCTGTTCTAGAACTATGTTTACTGGTTCACATTTTTCACCTCTTTCCCTCACTCTGTTCTCTCCTTTTTTTTTTTTTTTTTTTTTTTTGAGACAGAGTCTCACTCTGTCGCTCAGGCTGGAGTGCGGTGGCGCAATCTTGGCTCACTGCAACCTCCACCTCTGGGGTTCAAGTGAGTCTCATGCCTCAGTTTCCCAAGTAGCTGGGATTACAGGTGTGCGCCACCACACCCAGCTAATTTATTTTGTAGTTTTTAGTAGAGACAGGGTTTCGCCTTGTTGGCCAGGCTGGTCTCAAACTCCTTACCCAAGTGATTCGCCTGCCTTGGCCTGCCAAGGTGCTGGGATTACAGGCATGAGCCACTGTGCACAGCCTATGTCACTCTGTTCTCTATAGCCCATACAATGTTATGTTTAAGGCAGAGATGACAGCCACTTTTTGGACATGGAATGCTTTTTTTTTTGTTTTTAGTTTCTAATTTTTAAAAATTTGTATGTTTAAATATAAAAATGTGTATAAAATGTGATGTTTTGAAATATGTATACATTGTGAAATGATTACCACAATCAAGTTAATTAACACATCCATCACCTCAGATGTAGTTACCCATTGAATGCTTTTTTTCTTTTTTTTTTGCGACGGAGTCTCGCCCTGTTGCTCATGCTGGAGTACAGTGGTGCGATCTTGGCTACCAGCAGCCTACACCTCCCAGGTTCAAGTGATGTTCCTGCTTCAGCCTTCCTAATAGCTGGGATTACAGGTGTATGCCACCATGCCCAGCTAATTTTTGTATTTTTAGTAGAGACGGCGTTTCACCATGTTGGCCAGGCTCATCTCGAACTCCTGACCTCCGGTGATCCTCTTGCCTTGGCCTCCCAAAGTGCTGGGATTACAGGCGTGAGCCACTGCGCCTGGCGTCTTTTTTTTTTTGAGACAGGGTTTTACCATGTTGCCCAGGCTAGTCTTGAACTTCTAGGCTTAAGCAACCCATCCACCTCAGCCTCCCAAAGTGCTAGGATTAGAGGTGTGAGCCATCACGCCCGGCCTCTTTTTTTCTTTGACGTGTGTGTCATTCCTTTTGTTGTTGTTTTTTGAGATGGAGTCTTGCTCTGTTGCCAGGCTGGAGTGCAGTGGCGCGACCTTGGCTCACTGTAACCTCCACCTCCCGGGTTCAAGCAGTTCTCCTGCCTCAGCCTCCCGAGTAGCTGGGACTACGGGCATGCGCCACCACACCCAGCTAATTTTTGTATTTTTAGTAGAGATGGGGTTTCACCATGTTGTCCAGGGTGGTCTCAATCTCTTGACCTCATGATCCACCTGCCTTAGCCTCCCAAAGTGCTGGGATTACAGGCATGAGCCACTGCGCCCAGCGACACGTGTGTCATTCTGTCATAGAGGCTGGAGCACAGTGGTGCAATTATGGCTTACTGCCCCCTCAACGTCCCAGGCTCAAGCAGTTCTCCCACTTCAGCCTCCTGAGTAGTTGGGACCACAGGTGTGCATCACCACACTTGGCTGGTTTTGTTTGTTTGTTTTTGAGTCTTGCTCTGTCACCCAGACTGGAGTGCAGTGGTACAATCTCAGCTCACTGCAGCCTCCGCCTCCTGGATTCAAGCAATTCTCATACCTCAGCCACACTAATAGCTGGGATTACAGGCATGTGCCACCACACCCAACTGTTTTTTGTATTTTTAGTAGAAATAGGGCTTCGCTATGTTGGCCAGGCTAGTCTTAATCTCCTAGCCTCAAGTGATCTGCCTGCCTCAGCCTCCCAAAGTGCTGGTATAACAGGTGTGAGCCACTGTACCCAGCTACCACACCTGGCTAGTTATTTTTATTTTTAAAAAGTTTTTTTTCACTGACAGCACTTGTTAAAAAAAATCACTTCGATATATTTTTTTGAGACGGGATCTCACTGTCACCCAGGCTGGAGTGCAGTGGTATGATCACAGCTCACATAGCTGGAGTGCAGTGGTGTGATTGCAGCCTTGACTTCCTGGGCTCAAGTGGTCTTCCTACCTCAGGCTCCTGTGTAGCTGGGACTACAGGAAAATACCACCATGCTCCGATGATTTTTAAACTTTTTTTTTTTTTTTAATAGAGACAGGGCCTTGCTGTGTTGCCCAGGTTTGTCTTGAACTCCTGGGCCCAAGTTATCTGCCTCAGCCTCCCAAAGTGCTCGGATTACAGGCATGACCCACCTCTCATCGCCCCAAAATACTATTCTTTTTTTTTTTGAGACAGAGTCTCACTTTGTTGCCCAAGCTAGAGTGCAGTGGCGCCATCTCAGCTCATTGCAACCTCCGCCTCCTGGATTCAAGCAATTCTCCTGTCTCAGCCTCCTGAGTAGCTGGGATTACAGGTGCATGCCACCATGCCCAGCTAATTTTTGCATTTTTAGTAGAGATGGGGTTTCACCATGTTGGACAGGCTGGTCTCGAACTCCTGACCTCAGGTGATCTGCTCAGCTCAGACTCCCAAAATGCTGGGATTACAGGCATGAGCCACCGCGCCTGGCCCCAAAATACTATTTTTATTGGAAAAGTAAATGCTTAATTATAGGACATATCTTTAAGTTTCTTGAGTTTTGTTAGTCTAGAATTAACCTTTTTGGAAACCTGAGTTAAGATTCCATAGAGAGAGTCTTGTATAAAAACCAATTAGACTAGGCGCAGTGGCTCACACCTGTAATCCCAGCACTTTGGGAGGCTGAGGCGGCAGATCACGAGGTCAAGAGATTGAGACCATCTTGGCTAACATAGTGAAACCCCATCTCTACTAAAAATACAAAAATTAGCTGGGTGTGGTGGCGTGCGCCTATAGTCCCAGCTACTCGGGAGGCTGAGGCAGGAGAATCGCTTGAACCCGGGAGGTGGAGTTTGCAGTGAGCCGAGATTGCATCACTGCACTCTAGCCTGGTGACAGAGCGAGACTCCACCTCAAAAAAAAGAAAAAAAAAAAAACAGAAAAATAGTAACCCAGTTAAGGAGAATCTTACCTAATTTGCCATCTTAAAACCTACTTTTATGGGTTTTTTTGTTTGTTTTTGTGGAATAAAGCAACACAATACTTTTGTGGTTTTAATAACAAAACCAAGTTCATGACCGGCCTGGGTAATGTATGACAAAAAATTTTTTAAATTAGCCAACAGGCATAGTGACCCAAACCTATGATACTAGCACTTTGGAAAGCCAAGGTGGGCGGAGCCCGGGAGTTCGAGACTAGCCTGGGCAACATCATGAAATTTCACCTCTACAAAAATACAAAAGTTAGCCAGGTATGGTGGTGCGCACCTGTAGTCCCAGTTACTCAGGAGGCTGAGGTGGGAGGATAGTTGAACTCAGGTGTCCAAGACCAGTCTGGGCAACACAGTGAGACTCCTGTCTCCAAACTAAAACAAAAACCTTAGCCAGGTGTGGTGGCATGCGCCTGTAATCCCAGCTACCCGGGAGGCTGAGGTGGGAAGATCGCTTGAGCCCAAGAGACAGGCTGCAGTGAGCCATGCACTGCATTCCAACATGGGTGACAGAGCAAATTGCCATCTCAAAAAAATAAAAATAAATTTCTAGGCTGGGCACGGTGGCTCATGCCTGTAATCTCAGCACTTTGGGAGGGCGAGGTGGGTGGATCACCTGAGGTCGGGAGTTCGAGACCAGCCTAGCCAACATAGTGAAACCCCATCTCTACTACAAATACAAAAATTAGCTGGGTGTGGTGGTTGGCACCTGTATGTAATACCAGCTACTTGGGAGGCTTAGGCAGGAGAATCGTTTGAACCCAGGAGGCGGAGGTTGCAGTGAGCCAAGACCGTGCCATTGCACTCCAGCCTGGGCA